>NC_000014.9:43986713-44611713 GCF_000001405.40 Homo sapiens | reverse complement strand
TCATTTATGGGTTCATCTTATATTTCTTACTTTCATGTTTCTGTTTCCCCCCAATTTATTCCTATTTTGAAATTTGGTTTTATTACATTTTGTGGACTTGCACTGAATAAATTTTTTTGTGGAATGTCTCCACATCCTTGCTGGTATAAGGCAGGGTATGTGTGCACACATACAAACAAGAAACATGAGAGGAAGTGCATTTTGCTTGTAGCACTTCAAAATCAAACTTTTTTTTTTTCTGTTGGTTGAGACAAGTGAGTTTAGGTAGGAGTTGTTTTGCAAGTATGTTCTCAACATGGCTTTTAATATTAGAAGGAATGTTTTTAAACTTTCCCCTCTCGCTTGAGTTAACTTTACTTTGGCTTAAAAGTGTTTTTGGTTGAGAAAGAAAGACTGAAATTGATAGTTCTCACAGCAGTGTTTGCAATTAAAGTAGAAGCTTGGGGAGAGAAGGTTGGATAATGTCTGAGGAAGATTTTCCTTTTTCTTTTTTCCCCTTTACGTTTTAGCTCTAAATCAGATTTTTTCTGACTTTAAAGCACTAGTTTGAAATTATCTGGCAGTCTGAGTGCTATCACTTAAGAATACTTTTCCTTTATAATCATAAAGATTAATAACTAAACATCTTAGCTAACATATTTACGATTCTGATGTCTAGCCCTTTTGAACTTAATAGTGGATTAATTTAATGTTAATCATACATTTAATTGCATGGGACTTGTCATAAGAGATACTGGAGAAGATGGAGAATTTTTCTACGAAGGCAGGGATTTTTTTTCTCTGAAATTTTTAGTGACTGTTGTAAGACTGAAGAAATGGGTGAGTTTTGGACATTGAAGGAATCCTAAATAGTCAGGAATTTTCTCCTCTGGCACCCAGTGAGATTCCAAACAAACCCAAGGGGATTACTTCCTACTGGGACCTCTGACATTTTTAGTAGGGTGCTGAGGTTAGACAGGGGAGAATTTTCTTCATTCATTTATTACCGCTTTACGTCATCATAGAGGCAAAAGTAAAGCTGTGGGGAGATGGCCATAGTGGTAAAGAAGAGACTCCAACTCATGTTGGCGAATCAGCTCTCCATCTCTAACCAATCTGAGCAGAGCAGGTTGTTTTTTTTGTTTGTTTGTTTGTTTGTTTTTTTTGCCAAAGACAGCTGGTCAGCACTTAATTTATCTAGGTCCATGAGAGGAATATGCAGTCAGGGTCTGGGCCTCCATTACCTGTGGCTGAACTCTCTGTTGTATGGAATCAGTGCTGGCAGGGAGAAGAATCTCCCGAGTAGGGATCGCATGGCCCCCTCTCTATCCCCAACACACACACAAACATGCATACACATTCTGGAAAGGAGAGAAATGTGCCACATTAGGCTCACCAACCTGACCTTAGGGAGCCTGGAGCAGATACCCCCCTACCCCAGATGCTGAGGATGTAAGAAGCAGAGGCTTGGGAGTACTGGAGCTGGCAGGAGTAGCGTTTAGGAAAAGTACATTTGATTTTGAAAGACATAAGATGTTTATTTAGGAAAGAATATGGCTGAGATAACATATGGAGATATTTATCTTTTATTCTTCTTGTATTTTCCATTTTTCTTTCCAAGTTGTCTAATGAATAATGTGCTCTTTTGTATTTGTAGTCTCAG
This sequence comes from Homo sapiens, assembly GCF_000001405.40. Taxonomy (NCBI): domain Eukaryota; kingdom Metazoa; phylum Chordata; class Mammalia; order Primates; family Hominidae; genus Homo; species Homo sapiens. The sequence continues at coordinate 44,610,071 of NC_000014.9, read as the reverse complement.
GGGATGGATGTAGCAGAATAACCAGCGGAAAGTTGCATGCCTAACATTTCCTTTCACTTATTCCCTCAAGATTTAACCCCAGAGTCCAGAGACGATTTGCAGATATAGACAGCATCTCATCCAAGAGGAAGGAGAGCAGGAGTTCACCTCAAACTAGAGAGACAGAGAGAGAGTCCTCCAGTGTCTGCCATAGTTCCAGCCACATCACAGAGGGTGGAAAGGAGTGAGCCTCCAGGATCCACAGCCTTTTCTTACACTGATTGTCAATGAGATATTTATCATCCTTGTTTACAAAGCTCGTCAGTCCACAGGCTTATTAAGCCTCCACAATCTTCAGCAAGGCTCTCTGTGTTCCTGTCTGCCTTTCTACTGCCTACAGTTCTTACCTTTCAGGGGCTTTGCTGCCTACCCTGATGGTTTTACTGATGGGCTCTTCCATATTCTGTAGACCCACAGAATTCTTTTTCTCTCTTTGTCTCTCTCTCTGTCTCTGTCTTTCTCTCTCTTTCTCCACCCAGAAGAAATCCCTTGTATTTTTTTCTCCTGGGAGGAAATCTTTTTCTTTTCATGTTTCTGACTAATACACTGTCAATGTTTGGGGATCCTCTACTTTTAATCCCCTCTATAAAACTCCAGAGATCAGGCTTTGGAAGATAATAGAAAAATTGTAAGCTACTGTCCTCTTTGTTCCGTATTTATCTTGAGTAAAGAGCACAATCTAGTTGCCTACTTGAACTAAAGAGAGAACAAAAAGAAAAGTACAGGGAGAAAAAGTAATAGCAAACCAGTATTTCAAAACATTATCCCAGCCAAATGGGCATTGTGGGGGTATGTGTATGAGATGAGCAAACAAATTAAAGTGAATTTGGTAAATATTTACTTAGCCCCACTTGTCTAGGAACTGTCATAAATACAGACTACCTTCTCTTCCCACCAATGCATTACATGGCTTTAATATTTTTTATGTTGGGTGGTGTTGGGATACTTCAAGCACTTAGTAAGCAAATGTAGAAGTTACTACCCTTTAACAAATGTGGTGCTAGAACATGGTTGCAGGTGCGAATATGGGGGACTTGTAGCTTAGAAATGATGTGTGGAATGAGGAGACAAAGGAACAAGACAGAGAATGGAGGTAGGGGGATGTCGTTCTCTCTCAATGCTTTGAAGGATGCAAAGTTTAATCTCCTAAGAGGGAGCTACTGAGTCGTGTCTTATATTGACAATCACTACTTATGAGTGGCTTATGGCCCCTCATTATTCCTCCCTTTACTCTGTTTAACTTTTGATTCTTTTCTAGTTTTTTTTCTTTCAAATTTGCACTTCTATTAAATGAAGGTTTCACATATTAGCTTTACTTGAAAGCCTTTGATTTAGCCCTCTACCTGAGGACTGAACTTCGATGTAAAGCTGGGCACTTTGTGAAGTCTCTCCCTCCCTTATACTTCCGTGCCTTTTGTTTATACCTGGGCATGAGATGTGTCTGATGACCCACTGAGCCACATAAAGGATCTCTGAAAAATAGAGACAATGGCTGGGCCGGCGGGTCCCTGAAGTGCTCCTCTAGATTGTGGCTGAAGCAATTCCAAACCTCTCCATCACATTGCTCATCGCTGATGTCCCCTCATGAGGGCTGCCTTCTCTGGAGCTGGCACCGGTGCTGTTGTGGTTTGGGTTAATGTGGTCTTGTTGAGAAGGATGCTGTTTTTCAGTGTCTTCAGTTCCTGCTGTACTTTGAAAAAGGTGAGAGATGCCTATTGATCGGTTGGCTCTGGGAGGATGCCTTGCCAAAATGACTCTACAGGCACTCCCAGCAGAGGTCTTATGTCCACCATGCATGGTGACCAGATCCACACCCATCCTAGGGCGCTTTTTAATTGGAATGGCTGTTCAAACAGTAGTGTGAGTTCACAGTTTTCATTTCCCCCTGACTATACTCTAGGCTTCAGCTCTTTAAGTAGGAAAGAGGATGGTTTACTTGTCAGTATTCTCTTTTCTCCTTGAAAACAGCTCATCAGATGTTTTAAAGGAGTTCAAGCAAATGAGAATGGTTGACTCAATTATGTGTACTAGAGTAAATTAGCAATTATTAAAAACAAAGGAAACTCTTTGGATCCCCATTACTATAGAGTTACCATCAACCTATCTTCTTCGCTGATACAAAAGTTTGCCAAGTAAGCAGATTCTGCTCACTTCTCAAGCACCCAGGGATATTTTAAGAGAAGGGGCTAATTGAAAGGGCTGTGTGAAAAGGAAATACAGTGTTTCATTCCACCCACCATTACCTAAGACCTAGCCCTTCTTGCTGTAGAAACAACTTCTTGCATGAGCTAGGAGCTCACATTCCAGCAGTCTGATTTTTATTAGCTGGGTCATCCTGAGCAAGTAGCTCAAGTATTCTGTACCCCATCTATAAAATGGGAAGAATAATAATGAACTAAATCAGGTAGTATTTGTAAAGAGCTTTAAAAATATCTGGCACTAGGTTAATGCTGGCAGTTGTCCATTAAGCTTTCCCTTAGGCAGCCCCTCAGTGCCTGTGGCCCCTTCCTCTAGGATCTCCTCCCTGCGTCTTAGATCAGTGCGAAAGGGGAGAAACCAGTGTGTTTTAATAAACTGTCTTCCTGCTTCCTTGAGTATCTGTGCTTACTATTACTAAATAACATTTGTATAGACCTTACTGCTCACAAACGATTTCTCCTCTGTAGGGTTTTATCCACACTACAATCCTGTGAAGTTAAGAAATGGTGGGAGATGTCTTCATAATATGTCATGCTTCTACACCCTTTCTGATAAAATTATACACTAATGCTAATCATATATTAAAGGACAATACCAGAAAGTCAAGGCTTAGGTCAAAAAGGAGATGGATATTTTTACAGACCAGACACAGAGTACATATGTAACATGGGGAAAATGCCACAGGGCTGCTGAGCTATGGACCCAGTAGCAGGAAAGTGGCAGCAGGAACTTGGCCTCTGTGGATAATAGTCTTACATGTTTTTATGTGAGATAGGGGACTAAAACCAGACTCACAGCATAAAACTGGGGACTGGAGTACAGCACTCTGCTCATAGAAGCTAAAAAACCCAAATGGCCAAAATATCCAAATGGCTACAATTGCTGCTTGAAGCTGTGGCTCATAGCAAGCAGGGTGCCTCATGAGAAAACGATCAAAGTTCCTGCTTTGCAGCCAGGAACTAAACCAAGTCCCACACAGCTTTCCTTATTGTATGGAAATATCTCCATATCACAATAGGTCATTAGAAGACCTGGTTTGGAACGGAGGCCCAGTGGGTGGAGTAGGTGAGGAAGCACTCGATGCAGAACCACTGGACAATGAGAAATATGTTTCCATTGGATTTAACAACAAGGGGTCTACTGATGACCTTAACCTTAGTAGTTTCATGGAATTGCAGATGCAAATACCAGAATAGAATGAAAGGGTAAATGAGGGTAAAAGGAGGAGTTAGGCACACTGAGTGTAGTTATCTTTCTCAAGAAATATAGACTATGCTTTTCCTACAGAGAGTCAGGTACAGGGAACACTGAAGACGCTTTGGCATGCCTATATGCAAATGGAAGGAGCCGGTATAGAGGGAGTTGTGGAAAGTTTCAGAAGGTGGGCTGAGGTGGCATAGAGTGAGGTGTGACATAGCAAGGTCCTGAGAAGAGCCTGTGGTGCTTTGGACTAAAGGGACTTGGAAATGGAGTCTTTTATTAAGAATGATAGAGAGTAACACAGGTTGCAAACCACCCTCCCCCTTTACAGGAAATTGCCAAAATGTTGGATACCATGGGGACTGGGGTAAATTGAGATGGATCTGTGCCTTCTGCACAGAGATCTGTGAGGAATGAGAACTCTGAGTTAACATGGGGTGGTGGGTGAAACCCAGAAGAGGGAAGTCTAGAGGAAGTGGAAGACCAGAACTTGTAGCACTTAAGGCCAACCCAGATGGAACAGCTAAGGGCAGCAGAGGCCTGTGGCAGGAAGAACCTCCACATATGAGTACATGAAGCAAACTCTTGGCTTTCACAGACAAATTTTGTTGCTGGTAAGGATGGAGGAAGGGATTCTCAAGGGACTAAATTTACTTTGTGAACAAGTGGGACTTGGAACTAGCAAGATTTATGTATTAAAGCTAGTGTGACACTTAAGCTCTTGATCATGCTTGGGGTGCATTAGAAGTATATTTACTTATATATCTGTCTCCCTCTATTACACTGTATGGTCCTGAATGCAGAGACTATATCTTACTTGACATGGTTGGTAATACTTGTTGACTGAAAGAATGGTGTGAAGGATGTTAGCAAATACTTCTCATTTAGGTTTGTCAAGACTTGAAACAATTAATATAAAAGACAACGTGAAAATCTGCAAATAAACCTTAGCACTTGGAATTAAATCTTTGAAAGCTTTATTTAGGTTTTTGAACAAAAGCTTATTCTTAAAATGTTTCTAGGATCACATTTTCAATGTAATAACATCTGTTTTGTTGGCATTAAAATAATAGAATTTTTCTTACACTGCCCTTTTATTACTCTTAGGCCTTACCTGTATGACCCTACTGGATATGAATGAGAAAGAATATATTGAAATTGAGAAAATAAGATTTACATTATGGTAATACCTTTTGGATATTTATTTTTGGTACTAAGTGAATCATACCACAGGGAAAATGACAAAGCTAAATATATTAAATAAATTATAATAATTATTGTATTACCTGTCATTTAAATGTGCTGAATTTTAAAATATGTTCTCTTTATTTGATTTTACAGATATCTTGATAGACATCTTGACATCTGTAAAATCTGGAATTATGTTGGTCAGAATTTTATATGAGCTAAAGTTATAGACTTGAATTTAATAAATGATAAAAGCCAGTGACCAGGATATTCTGTAAGTTGTGGGGAAAATATAAATATGGTAGCTAACCTCCAAGATGACTTCTAAGAATCCCTGCATCCTGATATTCACAGTGGATGTCACCTACTCCATCTACTGAATGGGGCTGATCTGTGTAATTAACAAGACCATGTGGAAATAACAGTATGTGAGTTTAGAGGCAAAGTCTTAAAAATCATGGCTTGATATTTCTTGTATTACTTGTGAGGAAAGCAGGCTACTCAAGCCAGATTGAGTAGGACATTCAAGGGTCCCCATGAAGAGAACCATGTGCCAAAAAACCAAGGGTCAAACAACTAGCACTAATTTTTCAGGCATGTGAGTGAGCCACCTGAAAGTAGATCCTCCAGCCCAGTCAATCCTTCACATCACGGTAACCTGGGCTGACAAGTTGACTGCAGCTTCATGAAAGATTCTGAGCCAAAACCACCCAGCTAAAATGGATTGTTGACCCAGAGAAACTGTGTAAAATAATACGTGTTTATCATTGTATGCTGTTAAGCTTTGGGGTAATTTGTTATATAGAAATAGATACCTAATGCAATGTTATCAGGGAAACTTTGTATTCCTCTTTACTTTTCCAATTAAATTGTCACTGCTTGCTGACACTATTAGAATCTGTGAAACCAAAAAAGTTGATACTCCCATAAGCAGATGAGGATTTGTACACAGGGAGTCTCTGCTCTTGTTCCAGGGCCAAAACACAGACAGAAAAAAATATGAAATGAAATCTATAAACAAAATAAATACCTATGAAAATATAAAATAAAACATATAAACAAACATTAAATAAAAACATGTTTCCTGTTACTGACCCAGTGATATTTGGGACGTATGTGTTGGTGTTCTGGCTTTTAAGCTGTAATTTCTAGTTGATCTCAAGAAACAATGTTACAAGTTGTGAAGGTTAATTTTATATGTTGACATGACTGAGCCATGGGGTACCCAGATATTTGGTTAAACATTATTTCTGGGTTGTTTGTGAGCATATTTCTGAATGAGATTAACATTTGAATTGGCAGGCTGAGTAAAGCAGGTAGCCCTCTCCAGTGTGAGTGGGCTGAGACAATCTATTGAGGGCCTGGATGGAATAAAAGGCTGAGTAAGAAAGAATTCTTTCTCTCTGCCTGACTGTATTTGAGCTGGAACATAGATCTCCTGCCTTCAGACTTGAACTCAGGCTTAGACTGGAACTTGTACCATCAGCATTCCTAGGTTCCTAGTTTGCTGACCGTGGGCCTTAGATTTAGCCTCCATAATCATGTAAGCCAATTCCTTACATCTCTTTATATAAAAAAGAGATTATTATATAATAGTATTATTATATCATAATTATTTGGTTAAACATGATATAAACCCTAACTATTATATAATAATAATTTCTTTCTTATATATTATATAATAATCTATTATAAAGAAATTATTTATTTATTATAATCTTTATTATATAATAATCTATATAATGAAGAGATGTAAGGACTTGGTTCACATGATTATGGAGGCTAAGTCTAAGACTTAGACTTATCTTTTTAATCTTAAAGCAACTCAATATTAACTTTTAGAAACTAAGTAATAAAGGACTAGCATAGGATTTTAATTTCCATTTATAGCAGGTTCCTTTGTGAGAGGCATTCTGACCTAAAATTATGTTTTGGGATACAACTTATTTTTATGTTGAGAATTAACTTTAATTTAAATGGATATCAGCTTTAGTTTTAGGAATCCTAGCTATTTAAGAACAAAATGCATATCCCTCCATTCTTAATGACTCCATTTCCTGATGGTGCTGTCACCCATATGGCAGTAGAGTATTACAAACCTATAACCAAGCAGTCTTCCCTTTGGCCTGCCACATTGCAGTCTGAGAAATGGCTCTACTAGTTAGGATGAGCTGGGTTATGCAGTAATCTCAAACAGTCCTCCTAGTCTCAGCATCTTAAAGAAAAACCAAAAACTTATATCTTATTCATGTTGCATGTCAATCACTGGTTGGCCACAGTGCTGTTCCATGTCACCTTCACCCCAGGATCTTGGCTAATGGAGAAACTTTTCGCTTGAAAATTGGCAATTGTTATGGAAGCAGGAGAGACAGAATGACAAAGCATGCATTGCTCTTAAAGCTTCAGCTTGAATACCTGTTCCTTCCCATGTTTCGTTGCCTAAAGCAAGTCACGTGCTGCCCGTGCATTTAACAGGGTAAGAATGTTTAATTCCCCACAGGAAGGGCAGTACATTTTTGTGAATAGTTATGCAATCTACCACAGCATCAAAACTGTTACACTTTTCATAAGCATTCTTGGGAGGAATACTTTAAAGCTGAGAGTCAGGCATTTTACTCACATAAAGTTATATCAAAACAATGATGGAAAAGAAACTCACGCTCTGAGAAATATGTCTGTACTCTATTGTAAAGCAATTTCCCTCAAGTATGGTTATGGGAGTAGTGTGATTCCTTACTGCATGTCTGGGTCTGCTTCTCTCAGTGACTCCTTTTTTGCCCTGGTGTCAGAGTTAACTTCTCAGCTTCTGTCCCTGAGCACTGCGGGGTAGCAGTGCCAATATATCTCTGCCTGTGAGGCCACTGGGTCTTGTTGGTCTCAGTTCCTTTGTCCTAACCTAGCCCTCACTATGAGCAATGAAGATAAATAACACTGGTTTAACATAAAAGAGTCAATTTTTCATGCAGTTTTCTTTCTGTAAGAATTCTGTTTTTATAAATGGGAGTAACCTTTTTTTTGTATGCGTTTTTGGTAAGAGCAGTGAAAGAGTGCTTGACATGTTACTTAGCTGTGGTTCTCTCAGGACTTGGTGAGTTTCTTAGCTTTTCATTTGGTGTGAAAGTCCTGTACTAGCTCTGAGCTATTCATGCTACATATGGGAAGCAATAGCATGGAAAATCCAAAGCATAATTTATATTTATTTATTTATTTATTTTGTATTGATCATTCTTGGGTGTTTCTTGCAGAGGGGGATTTGGCAGGGTCGTAGGACAATAGTGGAGGGAAGGTCAGCAGATAAACAAGTGAACAAAGGTCTCTGGTTTTCCTAGGCAGAGGACCCTGCGGCCTTCCGCAGTGTTTGTGTCCCTGGGTACTTGAGATTAGAGAGTGGTGATGAGTCTTAACGAGCATGCTGCCTTCAAGCATCTGTTTAACAAAGCACATCTTGCACCGCCCTTAATCCATTTAACCCTGAGTGGACACAGCACATGCCCCAGAGAGCACAGGGCTGGGGGCAAGGTCACAGATCAACAGCATCCCAAGGCAGAAGAACCCCTCCCAGTACAGAACAAAATGAAGTCTCCCATGTCTACTTCTTTCTACACAGACACAGCAACAATCTGATTTCTCTATCTTTTCCCCACCTTTCCCCCTTTTCTCTTCCACAAAACCGCCATCGTCATCATGGCCCGTTCTCAATGAGCTGTTGGGTACACCTCCCAGACGGGGTGGTGGCCGGGCAGAGGGGCTCCTCACTTCCCAGAGGGGGCGGCCGGGCAGAGGCGCCCCCCACCTCCCGGACGGGGCGGCGGCCAGGCGGAGGCACCCCCCACCTACCTCCCGGACGGGGCGGCTGGCCGGGCGGGGGCTGACCCCCCACCTCCCTCCCGGATGGGGTGGCTGCCGGGCGGAGACGCTCCTCACTTCCCAGACGGGGCGGCTGCCGGGTGGAGGGGCCCCTCACTTCTCAGCCCGGGCGCTGCCGGGCGGAGGGGCTCCTCACTTCTCAGACGGGGCAGCCGGGCAGAGACGCTCCTCACCTCCCAGACGGGGTCGCGGCAGGGCAGAGGCGCTCCCCACATCTCAGACGATGGGCGGCCGGGCAGAGGCGCTCCTCGCTTCCTAGATGGGATGGCGGCCGGGAAGAGGTGCTCCTCACTTCCCAGACTGGGCAGCCGGGCAGAGGGGCTCCTCATATCCCAGACGATGGGTGGCCAGGCGGAGACGCTCCTCACTTGCCAGATGGGGTGGCGGCCGGGCAGAGGCTGCAATCTCGGCACTTTGGGAGGCCAAGGCAGGCGGCTGGGAGGTGGAGGTTGTAGCGAGCCGAGATCATGCCACTGCACTCCAGCCTGGGCAACATTGAGCACTGAGTGAGGGAGACTCCGTCTGCAATCCCGGCACCTCGGGAGGCCGAGGCTGGCGGATCACTCGCAGTTAGGAGCTGGAGACCAGCCCGGGCAACACAGCAAAACCCCGTCTCTACCAAAAAAATACGAAAACCAGGCAGGCTGAAGCAGGAGAATCAGGCAGGGAGGTTGCAGTGAGCCGAGATGGCAGCAGTACAGTCCAGCTTCGGCTCGGCATCAGAGGGAGACCGTGGAAAGAGAGGGAGAGGGAGACCGTGGAGAGAGGGAGAGGGAGAGGGAGAAGGAGAATAGTTTATATTTAATCTTCTAAATGATTTTTATTTTTAGTGCATTTACTTTCTTAACAAAATTTGATGTTACTAGAGTTAAAATTAGTTTGTCTTGGCCGGGCGCGGTGGCTCACACCTGTAATCTCAGCACTTTGGGAAGCTGAGGTGGGCGGATCACGAGGTCAGGAGATGGAGACCATCCTGGCTAACACGGTGAAATCCCGTCTCTATTAAAAAATACAAAAAATTAGCCTGGCATGGTGGCGGGTGCCTGTAGTCCCAGCTACTCGGGAGGCTGAGGCAGGAGAACGGTGTGAACCCGGGAGGCAGAGCTTGCAGTGAGCTGAGATCACGCCACTGCACTCCAGCCTGGGTGACAAAGCGAGACTCCATCTCAAAAAAAAAAAAAAAAAAAATTAGTTTGTCTTCCCAGAGGAGGCTGTGTATTGTTGTAGGTGCAGGTCTGCTCTGTGACAAATTGTTGACTGAACAGTTTTTCCTCAGATTTCTCCTCTTGTCATTTCTGATTTTACACCAATTCAGATATGACCTATCTAGAGCTACCCACTATGACTGTCCACCTGCGTTTTTTCTTTCTGTCCCTAAGCAGCAGTGTCTGCTTTGGATTCTTCTGTGGCAACATATGCCCCATAAAAAGTTTTGTTTCAAACTCTTAGAATCCTGTTCTAAGACTTGCTGTTTGGTTAAACAAATTCATGTAAATATAGTAATAGTTTAGTACATTTTCCCTCCAATGTAATGCATTTACCTTTGAATGGAGGTTTTCTGGAGAAAGTGTCTTAATTTATGTCAGTTCAAAAGTGGAAAATTTGTTGGGCAATATCTTCTCTGTGTGGTTGTGATCATCACTTACAGGTTGGTTTGTTCATGTTCCCAATAGAATCCAATCCTTTCACTCATTCATTTTTCATTTGTTGAATGTCAAATATGTGTCAGGTAGTGGGGAAACAAAGAAATCAATAGCCTTTTGCCTACCAGTGGACCACAGCCAAGTGTGTGAACAGATACCTGAAGAAATACAGCAACTAGACAGACCTTATAATAGCCATATGAATTAAATGATATGGGAACACTGATATTTGCAGAAGTCCTGGAAGGATTTCTAAGGTAGGGTCATTGAGCTGAAGCTTGAGGGATGAATAAGACTTGTTCAAGTAGAAAAGAAAGAGGGCCAAGGAGGCAGTCTGATCAGGGGTGACACTGTGTCAGGTTGGGGAGGAGAGAAAGATGAGGCTTTTTCAGGGAATTGCTTGTGGGTCTCAGTCCCAGTCTGGCTTGATGTAAGATTGAGAGCTGGGAAATGAGGTTAGAAAGGATGGAAACAGAAAACAACTAAAGAATTTTGAATATGGTAATGATTCTGGTTTAGAAAGACCACCTTTGCAACTGTATAACATTTGCACACTAGAGAAAACTTGGCTTCAGATTAAGAAAAAAAAAACTAATAAAATCCTAAAGCACACCAAACATAGGCAATAATTAATGATCAATAAAATGGATTTAAGTTTGGATTAATAACTAACATTTATTTGATATTTACTATGAACAAATGTCATAACTTGCATTTTATAATTTAATTCTCACAAGAACCATGTGGGGTAGATAAAATTGTTATCTGTATTTTATAGTTGAGAAATACTATGCCCAGTGAACTTAAATAATTTGCTATATAAATCAGAAATGGATAGAGCCAACTATTTGAATTAAATTCTGATCGACTACAAATCCAATGTCCCTGCCACAATATTTTCAATTTTTTTGTTGTGAAATACACATAACATAAAATGTACTATATTAGTTAAGTGTATAGTTGAGAGGTATTGAATATATTCATAATGTTGTGTAACCATCACCACTGTCTGTCTCCTCTTGCATTCCCTTTTTCTCTCTCTGATTTCTGAATTCATAGTTAGGATACAGGTAGAGAAATGTATCTCCAGGCATATTTCCTTAAAGAAGGATTTTGCTGGTTCAACATTCTGTGCTGAGTCCTAGTTTAAAGATTGAACTGTGGGACGTAAATTGGGTGGGATAAATAATTTAAGAGGATGGAAAAGGACTGGTTGGGGGAGTAAGCCCAACTCTCATGATTATAATAGTGTCTGCTGAGAATTTATAATTAGAACAATAATGGTAATAGAGATGTCAGAAGAGTATAATATGTGGGCAGACCCATAAAATACATAGGCGTAGAGCGAGTAATGCCACAGATTTCACCAAGGAGTTTAAAAATTCTCCATAGTGTTTAATTAACACGTATTGCTCTTAATGAAGTAAGATAGTGATATGGTTTGGCTCTATGTCCCCACCCAAATCACATCTTGAATTGTAATCCCCAGATGTTGAGGGAGGAACCTGGTTGGAGGTGATTGTATCATGGGGGTGGTTTCCCCCATGCTGGTCTCATGATAGTGAGTTCTCAGGAGATCTGATGGTTTAAAAGTGATTGGCAGTTCGCCCTCCTCATTCTTTCTCTCTTGCTGCCATGTAAGAGGTGCCTTGTTTCCCTTCACCTTCTACAATGATTGTTAAGTTTCCTGAGGCCTTCCTGGCCATGTGGAACTGTGAGTCAATTAAGCCTCTTTTATTTGTAAATTACCCAGTCTCAGGTAGTTCTTTATAGCAGTGTGAAAATGGACTAATAAAGATAGCAAATAAAGAATGGAGAGGAAAAAGAATGTGATTTAAAAGGGGCTCAGAATGCCAGAGTATTGTAGGAAGATTTTGGTCATCCCCCAATATCCTCTTCCATGATGACCTGCTTACAAATTGCTAGTTTTCAAGCATGGGAATTTCATTAAATTTTCTATGGCCAATAAAATATTTTTATGCCTGCTCAAACACATTCTTGATAGTGATATTTATCTAACCTATTGAAATATTATTCTAATTTCAGAAAATCTTTCAGTTTTTCTTATCAAACTGTTATTGCTTAAGATAGCAAAATAATGAATATTTATCATTTATTTCCTGCATTTCTAACCATTTTTCAGGACATTGTGTAAAAATGTATTAATATTTCTTTCATTAATGCATCTTTGTGGTATATTTCAAAGGCAGCAAGGTCTAAGTTCCTGGAATATATCTCTAACTTTTAAGGCATACTTAAAAAAGATCTAATGTTTTAAAATTACTTTGTTTTATGAGTCCCCCAAAATACCAACAAAAATATTAACTCTGTGATAAATATGAATGTAAAAACAGATTTTATTTGCTGTGTAGTTTGCATGTTAAAAACAGACACGAGATGTTACAATATGTAACTTGTGTGCTCTTTATTATTCTTTAATTATGATCCTATTGATTCCCATTGGGGCACCAAGCTGAAGATGTTTACATATTGCTACTGAAGTTTTTCTCCTGTATAGGAATTTATTTCAAGGACCATTGCAAACGAAATTCCAGTTTAAATAATTTTTAGGTGTCAATTTTTCGGTAAGATCTGCTTTACTTCATGGTGAATGATGCAAGGTATAGCCTATTAGTTCTTTACTATTTAAGTAAAGTAAAACTTGATTTATAATATGATGAAACATGTATATAAGAATTTTATTTTGTTTAGCTCTGGTTTCATATAATCTTAATGTAACATGTAACTGTAATAATGTTCCATATAATTTATTTCCATATTCCAAAGACTATGGAAATAAAATCTTTACTTTGGAAAACTGAAAAACATAAAAAGGGCATCTTTCTTTAACAGATGAGAAGAACGTTTAAGTTATCCTCATTTACCTCAAAATGATATAATCGAACCACTTATCTTTTTTAGAAATCAACTCTAAGGAAAGAAGTAGGCAGGAAACCTGTTGAAAGAAAATGAAAGCATTATATTTCAGCAATTACTTAAATCCTGCAAGAAGATCATGTTTGATGGGTAAGTTTTCAGAATGAAAATCTCCATTGACTAAAGTGAAACTCAGTGGCAATTTTAAATGTCCTGTCTGCATGACATTGAGAGTAATGATAGAAAACTTTTGTAATTTCTTTTAGTGCAACCATTTAGCTCAAACTATGCCCTAAGACATATCCTTACCTCCACCAGGAATCATTTATCATGCCTTGTCTGGTAGAAATATAATTTTTACCTTAAAGGAGATATTGGCAATTCAATTAATTTCATCTGCTTTGGATAAAAGTCATCTGATGTTTTAAAAAAGGAATTTTTTAAAAAAAGACATTAAGAAACTTTTTAAGATGATGCCTATGTTCATTAACTTGATTATGCTCCTGGTGCCCTGGTTGTATTTAACTCTCCTTTGAGCAGGAAGACTATCTTGTCAATATGGTGGTCAGGCTCCATGTATATATACATACATCAAAACTTAGCAAAATTTCTTCCCTAAATATGTGCAGTTTCTTGCATGACAGTAATACCTCAATAAATGTGTTAAAAATAAAAATATCAGCATAACAATAACAAGCTTATATAGACATATACCTTTTAACACTACATCACTAATTGTTTACATAATTGAGAGACAATTCATGGGTCTTTCACATTTCTGCTCATTTTCTGAGCAGAGGCCCTGACTGCCTTTATTCCAGGCTATCTTATCAATGATGATTATATAGTGAAAAGCCTTGGAAGATTGAGATAATACCTCCTTCTTAAACAAAGGGCAGATTTATTTACTGTCTGGTATGAAAAATATAATGTCTCCTTTTGGAGCAAGCATGCTTTATTGTCCATTTTAAAAGATCCAGATTTCCTGGCCGGGCGCAGTGGCTCATGCCTGTAATCCCAGCACATTGAGAGGCTGAGGCCGGTGGATCATGAGGTCAGGAGATCAAGACCATCCTGGCTAACACGGTGAAAACCTGTCTCTACTAAAAATACAAAAAATTAGCCAGGCGTGGTGCAAGCACCTGTAGTCCCAGCTACTGGGGAGGCTGAGGCAGGAGAATCGCTTGAACCTGGGAGGCGGAGGTTGCAGTGAGCCGAGATTGTGCCACTACACTCCAGCATGGCAACTAAGTGAGACTCCATCTCAATAAATAAATAAATAAATATATATTTTTTAAAAAGATCTGGATTTCCTAAGCTTGGAGTTTCTCTCCTGTAATGCAAAATGCAACTCATAGCATGTGCCTTCTTGATGATGCCCTTAAGAACTGAGGTTTAGGAATGTGATGCAAATGCTCATACTGTAGATACTTCGATATCGGCAATAGCTTTGAGGAATAGACTGAACGTTGTCTCTGAGGCAGGAGTCTCACATTTCTCATCAGTCTCCATGAAACTATGGCTGCCTTTCTTGTTAGCTTTCATATATGGTAAAATTTCAGACCCTTCTAAGTCCTTGATAGTTTTGATGATGAGCATGGGATGCTGAAAGAGACATGAGTTTTTGGAAGAGGAAGAATGAGATCCTTATGGCTGATTTAAGGCAATGCCATGTGTTGATAGCAGACATTTGACCAAACTATATGGTCAACAGGACAATTAATAATCTTCTACTTTAATGGGTGTTAATGAGGATGAATTTGGGAGGGTGTTGCAGCCTGAGAACTCAGAAGTAAATTCAAAGGCAGCTGTCTGAATGGTGCCCTGATTGTATCTAATTCTCCTCTGGGCAGGAAGACTATCTTTTCAATCTGGTGGTCAGGCTCAGGTCCACCCTATGGTAACAAGTATTATTAAAATTTGCCCTGGGGAGACCAGAAGGTTCTTACTTCTGTGTGATAATATTTATAGAAAAACTACTACTGAGTGTCAAGGAGGAAAATTTGAAACCACATAGACAGAAACCAGGCAAATGGCTAGCACTTGCTTGATTTACTCAAGAGATGAGGGGTAGGTTATATAATGCTTGTTTAAAAAGAATGGCAACCAAAATGCCATCATATGACTTTGTGCCTCCTGCAGTCTATCATCTGAATCTTAGACCCGTTTAGAGATGAAAATAAAGTCTTCTGACTTTTCTTTCTTTTTTTAAAAAAATTATTCATGGTTGTTATAAGAGATTCTTGAGCTTCTTTGAGATTTTTTGGAGACAAACTCCTGTGGCAAATCATCGATGAGGGATTAACAAGTACTTGAGGTTTTCCTGATCCAAATTGGGTTTATGATGCTGATGAAGGTGATCCACTGAAGAATGAGAAACTAAACCAAATTCTTAGATCAATTTTATGGTTAGTGCTGCAGCCCTGGAACACTCCCCTATTTTTTATATTGAAACTTGAAAGAATTTAAGAGAATGTTATTTTGGTAGTGGTGCTTGCAGACGCTCCAGATTTAGGTGAATTCCTTAAAAAAGTTGTTGCTGTGTCAGGCTTGAGTTGGGCAAAGGGCATAACCCTTGCACCCCCAGTGAGAATGCGATGTGGTTGTGGGTGTTATGTTATATCCAGGGGTCTCTAATACTGAAATTGATGCTGCTAGCCATAAGAATCTTGCCAATTGATACAGAATTTTGGTCAGAATGAGAACATTAGAAGTTCATTTGGTTGAGTCATGAGCTATGAGCTGTGCTACCCCACTTTTTCCCTTTGCATCTTTTCATAAAGCCCCTATGTCACTTCTTGCCACCTCCTGCCTCCTCTGTAGCTTCATTATGGAGAAAGATGAATAGGGGTGAGGCTGAGGTCTCCCCATCCTTAAGAGGGATCAAAGGACATATTCACCTAGTTAAGTATGCTAGAGAACTTCAGGGAGAAAGACTCAAACTCGTATGACCTTATTGGATGCAGGCGTCCATGTCATTATTCTACCTGGTCTTGAGTCGGGAAGGAAGCCCAGGTTCAACTTATCTGACTGGGCAAAGTTTACAGTGGGGTAAGAGACACTAATGTAAGTTTGTAGTTGGTAGGGCCCTTTGGAACAATTCAATGTACTGCTTTTGTTGCTTCTATATTTGAATATATAGTAGAAATTGATGTGAATATGCTTGTACCTTCCATTCCATAAGTACCAAAGGGAATTCTGATCAAGAAGAGCTATCCGTAGGAAAGTAATAATACTTTTGGGATCCCACAAACTGGATGACCTCCTCAAGCTATAGTCTCAGTGACTAATGATTTTTCCATCTTGAGCCTCTGGCAAAGGGAGGCAGCTTCCACCTGAGGCACCCTTGGGGCTTTACTTTAGATGCATCACTTTCCTTATATTGGCACCATGCACACTCTTTTTGAAAGCACCTGTTGGCTTGCTACTGTGCTTTTATTGAAACTGAAGGCCTGAACCTTGGAGGGCTTTTGACTCTCTATCCTGATATTCCAATTTTGGGGTGAGTGAACTCAGGATCAACAACTATTAAGGTGAGAAGGGTTTCACAAGTCTCATTTGTCTAAAGGAAATGATATTTTCAGGACTGCAGTCAGTCCAGATAACATCTTGGCTTCATGTGAAAAAGTGGCAGCTATCCCTTTGTGGGATGGGCCCTCAGCTGTTCAGCCTGAGCACCAGCTGTAATAGAACTGAGAATGGACATAAATATTCTGCACAGTGGGCAGAACTCAAGGCTTTTCTCTTGCCTCTGGATGATACTCCCCTTGACTAACCTTATATATTTACCGACTGTAGGTTGTAACCAATGTCCTAGCTGCTGGTGTGGAAAAATTATGGCTGGCAAATTCAAGACACACCTCTTTGGGCCTGGGAAATTATGGAAACAAATTGTAGCTGCTGATGAAACTGTCTGGGTCACTCTCTAGGTGCCCATGATATGGGCTCATTCTCTGATATGAACAGCTGGAATTACACTATTGATCAAGTTTGCTCTGCCCAGATTGCTGTCAGTGCTTCCTGGTTCCATCCTTACCCTGGGCATGGCAACACATTCACCATCACAGATTGGGCACAAAGTAAAGGACTCTATGTTTCTGATGCAGAGGACATTTCTGCATAGAAGACTTGCAACTCCTGCCAAAAGTTAACCCATTTGTCCTCCAGAAATGGAAGACACATCACATGGGATTGGAGCCCTCACCCATTTCTGGCAGGCTGCCTACATCTTGGAGGTATATAATATTGCCTCCCTTCCATTAACACTTTTTCAGATTATGAAATTGCTTTTCCTGTCTGATTAGCTGACTCTGGCCCCACTATTGGGACCTTTGAAAGTATTTTGTGTTATATATTAATATGTGTTTTTCTAGACCATTTGAAGTCTGACAGTGATGTGCTTTTCATCACAAAAGCTACTCAGCAATAGGCTGATAGTCAAGGTATAGTGAACTCTGCTATTAAAGAATGAAAACAGTCAGAGACAATACATACATGAATGGCTGTGTTTTAATAAAACTTTTTAAAGAATTGACGGCCCGCAGGATTTGACCGCTATTGTTCAGATTAATCATCATAACTGATGGAGTGTTGTACTCATGTGAAAAATTTTCAGAGGCTAAGAAAATGTAACAATGAGAGGTGGTTATAGTTTCAAGACAATTCTCAAAAGGTCTCTTGTGCTTCTGCAAATAGAGGCTGATTTTTTTTCTGGACTATTTAAGGATATTTGTATAAAAATAGCCTTGAAAAATAGAGATAATATTTTTCTCTGGAGTAAAGGACATATTAGCTTACCGTCCAGTATAACGAAATTAGTATCCCTTCTACAGAAAGATCAGGTCGGCTCACTGTCTGTAATAAAATATTTCTACTCTCTAAGTTTAGGGTTCTTCTTTTGTAACATCCCATTGCATGTGCTAGCATCATTGGCCCTCTTTGCATTACTCTTGGGGACATGTTGCAAATGTTGATACTCTAGCTATTGCTATTGCCGTGAGAAATAATCTATTTTTTGTCTCTAATGAGCTAATTTGTTAGCTTGCAACTAGGGTAAAATCTGACACTTCATGGTTCTTGACATTTGTCATAAACAAACTTAAAAAAAGACTACATCCTAACATTTTATGTGTTTTTATTTATCTTTTTTTGATTGGCACTATAAGCTTTTTAAAAACTAGCTATTAAGGAAAATAATAATGTGTTCTGATCAGATCAGACTTCTCAAAGTAGTTGTGTTTTAATGAGGACAAGAGGTAGAAATGGAATATTTGAAATGTGATTGTATAGAAAGAACACAGGACTAGAAGGCAACTGGCTTGGGGTTGAAACTGAGTTCTGTTACAAACTGGGTGTGTGATCTTGAAGAGTTCAGACCAATGGACTAAGCTTCAGGGATCTCATCTTTAAAACAAGAGGGTTAGGAGAGATTATTTCTGTGGCCCTTTCTATCGTGAGATTGAATTATTCTTTGTGAAAAAGTTTTTTTCCTGGGGAAGTTTTTCTTACAACATAGGTTTGAGAAGTCAGAATCTTTACATATTAAAAGAGATTGCTTTTGTCCATATCATCTCCTGCATCTCTTTCTTTCCTCCCCAAATATGTGTCAACCAAGAAGTTTTTCTGTCAATATGCAAAATATGGAAAGTATAAGCTCTTTCTTTTCTTTATGTTTTTTGTGTCATAAATTAGGCTTTGTGAAAGTGCTCAGTTACCATGGTGATACCCACTAAATAAATGTAAAGGAAAAGAATTCTCCATTTTAAATATAAATTGTGCATTCATAACACATCACATATGCACTATATAATAATTGGCTTCTTCAGCATCAGAAGTACCTGACAATAACGCCAAATTTATCATAGTATCTTTCTTAAAGAGAACAAGAACTAATGATAAGGAATAGTTTGAGATATGTGGTGGAATATGTACAGATTTTAAAAAAGATGTCTGTGAATTTAAGCAATCTGAACTATATAGTGGTCAGAAAATGTATGGTGTATACTATCTAAAAGGTCTTATTTCAAGTCCTGTATTTCTTGCCCAAAACATATCTAAAAATATTTGCTTTAGTTATTCCTTTAGATAGTATGACTTATGAGAAGAGATTCAATTTCCCCTTTGAAAAGACAAGTGAATAGAAATCAAAATAGTTCAAAAAGTATATATGAATTTAGGATGTTGTTCAATATTTTCTATAAAATGTGTTGAATCTGGTATAGCTTAAAATAGCATTAGAAGTAACCAATTACAGACCTCATAATAGCCTAAATTATTTTCTATTTCATTGTATGGGAATGAATTACGTGACTTAGTAAGCTATTAGAGGACTAGTAATGGTGTCCTGAACTGGTTTTTACATTTCAGTAAACAAGAGAAAAAATTAGTTTCACTTAAGCTATAATATTGGTAGAATACAAAGAATATTATTTAGAAGTAAGAATATCTAAAGTTTGTTCAAATAAAATTAGCTATAACCAGGCACTGTATAACAATATTTCAGTCAATGATGGACTGTGTATATGATGGTAGTCCTATAAAATTATAATGGAACTGAAAAATTCCTATTGCCTAGTGACACAGTAGCTGTAGTGACATCATAGTGCAAGACATTACTCACATGTTTGTGGTGATGCTGGTGTAAACAAACCTACTGTGCTGCCAGGCATACAAGAGTATAGCATATACAATTATCGTATAGGACATAATACTTGATAATGACCATAAAATACTATTAATAAGTTACTGGTATATGTGCTATACCATACTTTTAATTGTTAGTTTACAGCATGCTCTTTTATCTATATCTATATCTATATATAGACATATAGATATAGAGATATAGATATATAGATAATATGCTGTAAAACAGCTTCAGGCAGGTCCTGCAGGAGGTATTCCAGAAGAAGGCATAGGAGATGACAGCTTTACGTATGTTATTGTACCTGATGAGTTTCCAGTGGAATAAGATGTGGAGTTGGAAGAGAGTGATACTGATGATCACGACCCTGTGTAGGTCTAGGCTAATGTGGGTGTTTGTGTTTTAGCTTTTTTTTGAGTCGGGGTCTTGCTCTGTCACCCAGGCTGGAGTGCAGTGGCATGATCATTGCTGACTGCACGTCAAACTCCTATGCTCAAGTGATTTTCTTGCCTCAGCCTCCTGAGCAGCTGGGACTATAGAAATGTGCCACTATGCCCAGTGAATTTTTAATTTAATTTAATTTTTTAGTAGGGATGGGGTCTTGCTATGTTGACCAAGCTGGTTTTGAATTCTTGCCTCAAATGATCTACACTCCTCAGCCTCCCACAGTGCTGGGATTACAGGCATGAGCTACTGCACCTAGCCTGGGTTTTAGTTTTTAACAATAAAGTTTAAAAAGTAAAAAAAAAATTAAATAGAAAAAAAACTCATGGAATAAGGATATGAAGAAAGAAAATATTTTTTGTACATTTTTAGGATGTGTTTGTGTTTAAGCTAAGTGTTATTACAAAAGAGTCAAAAAGTTAAAAAAAAATTAAAAAGTTTATAAAGCGAAATAGTTACAGCAAGCTAAGGTTAGTTTATTATTGAGAAAAGAATTTTTTAAAAATAAATTCAGTGTAGAGTATGTGTACAGTGTTTGTAGTCTACAGTTGCATACAGTAGTATCCTAGGCCGTCACATTCACTCACCACTTACTCACTCACTGACTCACATAAAGCAGCTTCCAGTGGTGCAAGCCCCATTCATGGTAAGTGCCCTAAACAGGTGTAACTTTTAAAAAATTTCCTATATTGTATTTTTACTGTATGCTTTCTATGTTTAGATATGCAAATACTTAACATTGTGTTATGCTTGCCTACAGCACTCAGTACGGTAACATGCTGCACAGCTTTGTAGTCTAGGAGCAATAAGCTATATCATATAGCCTAAAGGTGCAGTAGTAGACCATTTAGGTTTGTGTGAGTACACTCTGTGATGCCCACACAATGATGAAGTTGCCTAATGACACATTTCTCAGAATATATCCCTGTTGCTAAACAATGCATGACTGTATTTAAGGGTCTTAATTCAATAGTGGTAGTATAATTTTTTAAGCTGACTAAAAATGTGGCAAAAGATTTATTTAAACTTTCACTGTGGTTTAGTCAGTATTTAAGGTAGGATGGGAAACTTCTCTACTCCTAATGCTTCCTCCCATGTAAAGAGAGTTCCGTTAGGTTAATATTCCTGTGCTCTCCCCACTCCCTTACTCCACTTCCATAAAGGGAAACAAGTAGCAATTTGGTGAATTTGGAAGGACAAACTGAACATTTGAAGATTAAACCCTCTTTCTCTCCCCATTCTCTTTGGGAGCTAGCTGCCCACAGAAAGGAGGCACACATTCAGGCCTATGCCTCTGTATTGTTTTATAGTTGTAGTCTCCAGTGTTAGAAAGTCTGATGAATTCAGTACTATCAATGACTAAGCCTGTCTAATTCTGTGGTTCAGGTTTTAAAGAGCCTGAAAGCTTTCAGAGTTAAATCATATTCAGGAATATCAGCTTTGTAATAATAATAATACAAGTAATACATTTATCTTCAGAGTTTGTATCTTACTACAGCAGAGCTTAGCCTAACATTTCTAATACAATAAAACATTTGCTTGAATTATCTTTCTTAAATCCCAGTAGTTAAAATAGCCCTACTTAATGGCACTTACCATAATTCATCTGTGCAAGTCTACTCTTTTGTTTTATTTTTTTCTTTTAATTTTTGATTCATGTTTCCAATACCTTCTTCCCTGTAGGCACTCATTCTGATGTGTTTTTTGTATGCCGTTGAATATGTATGTACCCTTACAAAATATGATTTATTGTGTTGTGCATATTTTTAAATTTACTTAAATGTTACATGTGAAGAGCTATGTACCTTTTCCCAATTTTTATACTTTTTATTCAAAATAATGTTCCTATGTATATATGTTTAGAGAATTGCTTCCTCGCAGAAAATTTGAGCTTTTGATAGACTTGCTGAGGGAGGGCAGGGAAATGTCTGAGAATAGATATGTGAGAAAGCAGCAAATGCTGTGTGGTGTCTCATGTGAGTGTGCATCTCTGTAAGAGGGTGTATTGTTTTGTTTATTATGTGTGCTTCATGTGGTGATTATAAAACAGTTAACCTGCAGGTGAGCTGGTTAGGTGAGTCTAAACTCAGTTCCAGATTCAGGTATTTTCTTTTTTGGAATTTCTGTTTGGTAAATTGGAATGGGAAAAGGTGGTGGTGGGGGATAGAAACACAGTGAGAGACAGGAAATAAATACAGTAGATAGGTTGTTGGAGCATTGGGAAAAAGCCAGGAACTGCACTTGAAAAACATTATTTTTTTCCCACTTAAAACTAGTGGTTGACACATGAAGGGAACTGCATACAATGTACATACATTCCAAAGTACCCATGGAATATGGACTTTCGGCTGTTAGACCAGAACTGGGAATAAAATCCCAGAACCTTGAAAGATAATGTTTATATTTAAAAAATTGCCTTGTTTATCACATACGTACTATGTTCTATGTATTTCACGTATATTATCACGTTTAATCCTTATAAGAATTCTATGAGGAGGGCACAATTCTTATTCTCGTAGCTAAAGAAGTTGAAGACACAACATTATTAAGAGTCAAATTTCAGATTTAAAAATCAATCTGTTTTTGCCTAAAGTCTGTGTTCTTTCCAGTAGGTCATGGTGCCTGTCTATTTCAAGGAGAGAACTTTCAAGGATTTCTCTTTGCATTTAGTTTATTAGATTGCTACTGGTGTGCAATTCAGAAGAGAAGAAGGCTTGGAGACAGAACAGTGAAAAATGGAGAGTTGGATCAACACCAAGTTGGAGACAGGAACTTTGTAACACCTGACACAGAGTGGAAATTCAATAACAGTTGAATGAAGGTTAAATGAACCACATCTGTATGCAATTTGTAATTTGGTGTGTTATTTATAGGGACTACCTACTGTTTAAACAAAGGCAGTTCTTTCCATTCTATGCCTTTGGTTTTTCCCAGTTAATAGTTTTGTTGACCAGTTTAAGTACCAAGGTAAACAGACAATCAGACAATCATCTTAGGCATTATTAAAGAATAATACCTGAGCCAGGTGTATGCAGCCAATAATTGTAGCCAGCAAGCATGGCTTCAGCTAAATATCTAGATAAGCAACCACTCTTGAAAAAAAGAACCCAAATGGCTTATTTATTCCTTTTGATGGTCAGGCTTTCTAGTTTCTATGTGAACAGATACTGTAGTGTTTCCAAAACATTTTAAAACCGCATTTTTTTTCATTTGTTTCTTGTCTATTTCTCCTTCCCATCTTCCTCTCTTAGTAATCTGATCACCGTTCCCTTAAATAAAAACCTCTCCCTGGCTGGGCGTGGTGGCTCATGCCTGTAATCCCAGCACTTTGGGAGGCTGAGCTGGGCAGATCACTTGAGGTCAGGAGTTCAAGACCAGCCTGGCCAACATGGTGAAACCCCATCTCTATGAAAAATACAAAAATTAGCCAGGCGTGGTGTCGGGCGCTTGTAATCCATGCTACTCAGGAGGCTGAGGCAGGAGAATCACTTAAACCTAGGTGGTGGAAGTTGCAGTGAGCCGAGATGGCAGCACTGCACTCCAGCCTGGGCGACAGAGCGAGACTCTGTCTCAAACAAACAAACACCTCTCCCTTATTATTTCAGTAATTAGTAGCAAGTT
Organism: Homo sapiens; assembly: GCF_000001405.40. Classification (NCBI taxonomy): domain Eukaryota; kingdom Metazoa; phylum Chordata; class Mammalia; order Primates; family Hominidae; genus Homo; species Homo sapiens. The sequence continues at coordinate 44,586,353 of NC_000014.9, read as the reverse complement.
AATGATAAATTTTACTAAATGCATTAATCAGACTCTATGAAGGGGATTTAAAAAATATTCCCATTCTACAAAAGGAGTATAATCATGCAGTGCAACCATTAGATATGTAAATAGAGTATTTAATCAAATTAAATGTTGAATACTAATACAAGCATGCAAATCTGATACCAGAAGAGGAGAGATAATTTAGGTTAGGATATTCTGGATTTTGCCCTTAAGGTAAAAACGTAGTGGTTTTTCTTATTATAAATCTTTTTTTCCCCTCTGGAAGGGAAAGCAGACCACTTTTATATATCAAGAGAAGCAAAGATCTTGTCTGAAAGTGAATTGTTTGTCCTGCTCTTTCCAAATGGAATAGGGAGCCTAGTGAGGCTAACTGAAATATTAAGGTTTATGTGAGTCAGAATAATGGCTCAAATTAGCCAAAACCGAAGGCTCTATATCTATGTGTTGCCAACATTTATACATTCCAGTGCCAAATATTAGAATTTAACTTTCAATTAGTTATGAAATACAGGTTTTGTGTAAGAGATAATTAAGATCCTGTATAATTTAAAAATACTATTTTGGGTCATGTTTTATATCAAACGTAAGCATATGGTATAGTTAATCTTTATTCATTTTCTTTTTCTACTTAGATAGAGAGAATGATTTCTGTATAACTAATTGGGAAGAGAGGAAGTTATGGATAAAAAAGCAAAAGTTGTTGCACCAAGAGTGGAGGAACTAAATATATTGTTTAACCTTCTCTCATTTTCTTTTTGTTCTACTGGTTTTTGATATCTGCATGAAGAGGAAGAGGGTATATGGTTAAAAATTCACTCTGATGGTAGTTTCTTTTGCTGTGCAGAAGCTCTTTATTTTAATTAGATCCCATTTGTCAATTTTGTCTTTTGTTGCCATTGCTTTTGGTGTTTTGGACATGAAGTCCTTGCCCATGCCTATGTCCTGAATGGTAATGCCTAGGTTTTCTTCTAGGGTTTTTATGGTTTTAGGTCTAACGTTTAAATCTTTAATCCATCTTGTATTGATTTTTGTATAAGGTGTAAGGAAGGGATCCAGTTTCAGTTTTCTACATATGGCTAGCCAGTTTTCCCAGCACCATTTATTAAATAGGGAATCCTTTCCCCATTGCTTGTTTTTCTCAGGTTTGTCAAAGATCAGATAGTTGTAGGTATGCAGCGTTATTTCTGAGGGCTCTGTTCTGTTCCATTGATCTATATCTCTGTTTTGGTACCAGTACCATGCTGTTTTGGTTACTGTAGCCTTGTAGTATAGTTTGAAGTCAGGTAGCGTGATGCCTCCAGCTTTGTTCTTTTGGCTTAGGATTGACTTGGCAATGCGGGCTCTTTTTTGGTTCCATATGAACTTTACAGCAAAAGAAACTACCATCAGAGTGAACAGGCAACCTACAAAATGGGAGAAAATTTTCGCAACCTACTCATCTGACAAAGGGCTAATATCCAGAATCTACAATGAACTCAAACAAATTTACAAGAAAAAAACAAACAACCCCATCAAAAAGTGGGCGAAGGACATGAACAGACACTTCTCAAAAGAAGACATTTATGCAGCCAAAAAACACATGAAAAAATGCTCATCATCACTGGCTATCAGAGAAATGCAAATCAAAACCACTATAAGATACCATCTCACACCAGTTAGAATGGCAATCATTAAAAAGTCAGGAAACAACAGGTGCTGGAGAGGATGTGGAGAAACAGGAACACTTTTACACTGTTGGTGGGACTGTAAACTAGTTCAACCATTGTGGAAGTCAGTGTGGCGATTCCTCAGGGATCTAGAACTAGAAATACCATTTGACCCAGCCATCCCATTACTGGGTATATACCCAAATGACTATAAATCATGCTGCTATAAAGACACATGCACACGTATATTTGTTGCGGCATTATTCACAATAGCAAAGACTTGGAACCAACCGAAATGTCCAACAATGATAGACTGGATTAAGAAAATGTGGCACCTATACACCATGGAATACTATGCAGCCATAAAAAATGATGAGTTCACATCCTTTGTAGGGACATGGATGAAATTGGAAATCATCATTCTCAGTAAACTATCGCAAGAACAAAAAACCAAACACCGCATATTCTCACTCATAGGTGGGAATTGAACAATGAGATCACACTCTGGGGACTGTGGTGGGGTGGGGGGAGGGGGGAGGGATAGCATTGGGAGATATACCTAATGCTAGATGACGAGTTAGTGGGTGCAGCGCACCAGCACAGCACATGTATACATATGTAACTAACCTGCACAATGTGCACATGTACCCTAAAACTTAAAGTATAATAAAAAATAAATTAGTTAATTAAAAAAAAAGTTCAGAAAACACACCAAGAAAGTTGAAATCGAATGATGTTGAAAACAGTATTCATGATTTTTCTAAATTTAGAAAATTTGTGTGGGTCCATAGTAGGTGTATGTATTATGAGGTACCCAAGATGTTTTGTTACATGCGCGCAATGTGAAATAAGCTCATCATGGGGAATGAGGTATCCATCCCCTCAAACATTTATCCTTTGAGTTACAGACAATTCAGTTACACTCTTTATTTTAAAATGTACAATTAAGTTATTATTGACTATAGTCACCCTGTTGTGCTATCAAATAGGAAGTCTTATTCATTCTTTCCATTTTTTCTGGTACCTATTAACCATCCCCACCTCTCCTCTAGCCCCCCATGACCCTTCCCAGCCTATGGTAGCCATTCTTCTATCCTCTATGTGCATGAGTTCAATTGTTTGATTTTTGGATCCCACAGATAAGTGAGAACATGTAATGTTTGTCTTTCTGTGCCTGGCTTATTTTACTTAACATAATGATCTCCAGTTGCATCCATGTTGTTGCAAATGACTGGATCTCATTCTTTTTTATGGCTGAAGGCTGAATACTACTCCATTGTGTATATGTACCATGTTTTCTTTTTTTATTATTATTATACTTTAAGTTCAGGATACATGTGCAGAACATGCAGGTTTGTTACATAGGTATACATGTCCCATGGTGGTTTGCTGCACCCATCAACCCATCATCTACACTACGTATTTCTCCTAATACTATCCCTTCTCTTATCCCCTACCCCCTGACAGGACCCAATATGTGATGTTCCCCTCCCTGTGTCCATGTGTTCTCATTGTTCAAATCCCACTTATGAGTGAGAACATGTGGTTGGCTTTCTGTTCCTGTGTTAGTTTGTGGAGAATGGTGGTTTCAAGCTCCATTCATGTCCCTGCAAAGGACATGAACTCATTATTTTTTATGGCTGCATAGTATTCCATGGTGTCTATGTGCCACATTTTCCTTATCCAGTCTATTATTGGGCATTTGGGTTGGTTCCAAGTTTGCTGTTGTAAATAGTGCTGCAATAAACATATGTGTACATGTGTTTTTACAGTGGAATGATTTATAATCCTTTGGGTAGATATCCAGTAATGGGATTGCTGGGTCAAATGGTATTTCTGGTTCTAGATCCTTGAGGAATCACCACACTGTCGTCCACAATGGTTGAGCTAATTTATGTTCTCACCAGCAGTGTAAAAGCATTCCTATTTTTCCACATCCTCTCCAGCATCTGTTGTTTCCTGACTTTTTAATGATTGCCATTCTAACTGGTGTGAGATGATATCTCATTGTGGTTTTGATTTGCATTTCTCTAATGGCTAGTCATGATGAGCATTTTTTCATGTGTTTGTTGGCCACATAAATGTCTTATTTTGGGAAGCATCTGTTCATATCCTTTGCCCACTTTTTGATGGGGTTGTTTGTTTTCTTCTTGTAAATTTCTTTAAGTTCCTTGTAGATTCTGGATATTAGCCCTTTGTCAGATGGATAGATTGCAAAAATTTTCTCTCATTCTGTATGTTGCCTGTTCACGCTGATGATAGTTGCTTTTGCTGTGCAGAAGCTCTTTAGTTTAATTATATCCCATTTGTCAATTTTGGATTTTGTGGCAATTGCTTTTGGTGTTTTAGTCCTGAAGTCATTGCCCATGCCTGTGTTCTGAATTGCATTTCCTAGGTTTTCTTCTAGCGTTTTTATGGATTTAGGTCTTATATTTAAGTCTTTAATGCATCTTGAGTTAATTTTTGTATAAGGTGTAAAGAAGGGGTCCAGTTTCAGTTTTCCGCATATGGCTAGCCAGTTTTCCCAACACCATTTATTAAATAGGGAATCATTTCCCCATTGTTTTTGTTTTTTGTCAGGTTTTTCAAAAATCAGATGGTTGTAGATATGTGGTGTTATTTCTGAGGCCTCTGTTCTGTTCCATTGGTTTATATATCTGTTTTGGTACCAATACCATGCTGTTTTGGTTACTGTAGTCTTGTAGTATAGCTTGACATCAGGTGGTGTGATGCCTTCAGCTTTGTTCTTTTTGCTCAGGATTGTCTTGGCTATATGGGCTCTTTTTTGGTTCCATATGAAATTTAAAGTAGTTTTTTTCTAATTCTGTGAAGAAAGTCAATAGTAGCTTGATTGGTATAGCATTAAATCTGTAAATTACTTTGGGAAGTATGGCCATTTTCACATTGATTCTTCCTATCCATGAGCATAGAATGTTTTTCCATTTGTTTGTGTCCCCTTTAATTTTGTTGAGCAGTGGTTTGTAGTTCTCCTTGAAGAGGTCCTTCACATCCCTTCTAAGTTGTATTCATAGGCATTTTATTATCTTTGCAGCAATTGTGAATGGAAGTTCACTCATGATTTGGCTTTCTCTTCTGTTGATTTGGGGTGGAGAGTTCTGTAGATGTCCATAAGATCTGCTTGGTCCAGAGCTGAGTTCAAGTTCTGAATATCCTTGTTAATTTTCTGTCTTGTTGATCTGTCTGATATTGACAGTAGGGTGTTAAAGTCTCCCACTATTATTGTGTGGGAGTCTAAGTGTCTTTGTAGGTCTCTAAGGACTTGCTTTATGAATCTGGGTGCTCCTGTATTGGGTGCATATATATTTCGAATAGTTAGCTCTTCTTGTTGCATTGATCTCTTTACGATTATGAATTGTCCTTCTTTGTCTTTTTTGATCTTTGTTGTTTAAAAGTCTGTTTTGTCGGAGACGAGGCTTGCAACCCACGATTGATTTTTTTGCTTTCCATTTGCTTGGTAAATATTCCTCCATCCCTTTATTTTGAGCCTATGTGTGTCTTTGCACATGAGATGGGTCTCCTGAATACAGCACACCGATGGGTCTTGACTCTTTATCCAATTTGCCAGTCTATGCTTTTTTTTTTTTTTTTTTTGAGACAGAGTCTCACTCTGTCACCCAGGCTGGAGTGCAATGGCGTTATCTCAGCTCACTGTAACCTCCGCCTCCCAGGTTCAAGAGATTCTCCTGTCTCAGCCTCCTGAGTAGCTGGGATTACAGGCATGTGCCACCATGCCCGGTGAATTTTTGTGTTTTTAGTAGAGATGGGGTTTCGCCATGTTGGTCAGGCTGGTCTCGAACTCCTGACCTTGTGATCCACCCACCTAGGCCTCCCAAAGTGCTGGGATTACAGGCGTAAGCCACCATGCCAGGCCCAGTCTGTGCCTTTTAATTGGGGCATTTAGCCCATTTACATTTAAGGTTAATATTGTTATCTGTGAATTTGATCCTGTCATTATTATGCTAGCTAGTTATTTTGCCCGTTAGTTGATGCAGTTTCTTCATAGTGTCAGTGGTCCTTACAATTGGGTATGTTTTTGCAGTGGCTGGTACCAGTTTTTCCTTTCCATATTTAGTGCTTCCTTCAGGAGCTCTTGTAAGGCAGACCTGATGGTGACAAAATCCCTCAACATTTGCTTGTCTGTAAAGTATTTTATTTCTCCTTCCCTTATAGTTTGCTGGATATAAAATTCTGGGTTGAAAATTCTTTTCTTTAAGAATGTTGAATATTGACCCCCACTCTCTTCTGGCTTCTCTCTCTAGGGTTTCTGCCGAGAGATCTGCTGTTAGTCTGATGGGCTTCCCTTTGTGGGAAACCTGATCTTTCTCTCTGGCTGCCTTTAACATTTTTGTCTTCATTTCAATCTTGGCGAATCTGAAGATTATGTATCTTGGGCTTGCTCTCCTTGAGGAGTATTACTGTAGCCTTAACTCTCTGGGCTTATTTATAGCTGTCCTTCTTGCAAAGGCTTTCCAGATATTTGAAAGGACTTTGGTGTTGTGATCTAAGCTGTATCTGCTTTAGGGGGGCACCCCAAGTTCAGTAACACCATGGTTCTTGCAGACTCATGGAAGTATTGCCTTCACGGTCTTGGACAAAATCTAGAAGAATTCTCTGAATTACCAGGCAGAGACTCTGGTTCTCTTCCTTTACTTTTTTCCCAAAGAGACAGTTTCTCACTCTGTTCTGAGCCACGTAAAGCTAGGGGTGGAGTGACACAAGCACTCCTGTGGCCACTACCACTTTGACTGTGCTGGGTCAGACCTGAAGCCAGCACAGCACTGAGTTTCACTCAAGGCCTGCAGTAACCCCTCTGTGGCTACTGCCTGTGTTTACTCAAGGCCCTGGTGCTCTACAATCAGCAGGTGGCAAAGCCAGCCAGGCCTTTGTCCTTTCTTTCAGGGCAGTGAGGTCCTCTAGGCCTCATGTGGGTCCAGAGGTACAATCCAGGAGTCAGGGACTAGAGTCAAAGACCCAGAAGTCAACTTGGTATCCTGTTGTACTGTGGCTGAGCTGGCACTCAGTCCACAAGATCCAGTCCTTCCCACTCTTCCCTCTCCTTTCCAAAGGCAGAGGAGCCTCACCTTGAAGCCACTACTACTCCAAGCCACAAGGAGTACTGCCAGACTACCACAGATGTTCCCCTAAGGGTCAAGGGCTCTTAAGTCAATTTGCAATGAAGGCTGCATGGCCTGGGACCCATCCTTCATGACAGTGAGCTCCACTCTGCCCCGGGGAAGGTCCAGAAATGCCATCCAGGACTCAAGTCCTGGAATCAGGGACCCCAAGAGTCTGTTTGGTACTCTGCCCACTCTGTGGCTTTGCTGGTACCTAAGGTACAAAACAAAGTCCCCTTTACTTTTCTCTCTGCTTTTCTGAAGCAGAAGTTGTTTTTCCCAGTAGCCACCATTTCTGGTAATGTCGTGAGTCTCACCTGAAGCAAGCGTTAGATGCTCATCCAAAGCTCTTAATATCATACCTGGGTATCACTGCTGGTTATTCAGGGCCTTCAGTTAGCAGGTGATGAATGCTGCCCGGACCAAGATCTTTCCTTCAGGGCAGGGAGTTCCCTTCTGTTTTAAGGTGTGTTTAGAAATGTTATCTGGAAGCTGGGACCTGGAACGGGGGCCTCATGGCTCTGATCAGTGACTTATCCTGCTGTGTTTGAGCTGGTATCCAAGATGGGCAATAAAGTCCTCCCAGCTCTTCCCTCTCGTTCCCTCAAGCAGAAGGAAGAGGTCTCTTTTGCAGCTGGGAGCTGTGCAGCCTGGGGCTAGGGAAGAGCTGATAGCAGCACTCCCTTGGCTGCCCCAGTTGGTGTCTCAGTATATCGCATGCCCTTCCAGTCCACTGTCTCAGCCTAGTTTAGCACTAGGATTTGCCTAAGAGTTGCAATCCTTATGGCCTAGACTGCCTTTCAAATTTACTTGGAGACACAGAGCACTGGAGCCTTCAGTGATGAGGTTTGTGGGAACTCAAGTTCAGACCCACTGGGATCTGCAGTTTTCCTCTGTCGAGGCCTGGTTTAAATGCTGTCTCCATGAGTGGGTGTCAGCTGAGTTTGGTTGTTTTCCTTTCTGCTCTAACAGGACAGCACTGAGTTCAATGCCTCACAATTTCTGTGTTCTTCTTCCCCCAGCACCCAGAGATGCTCTCTGCACCATGTCACCACTGTGGGAGTCGGGGAGGAGGGGCGGTGTCAGCAATTCAAGACTGTTTTTTCTATCTCTTCAGTGCCTCTTTCAGCAACATGAAGTTGAAACCAAAAAACAAATGAGCAATTAAATGAGTGCTTTCCTGATTTTTGGTTCTTATGAAGGTGTTTTTTTTTCTTTGTAGATATTTGTTAAACTGGGGTCCTTGCAGGGGGATGATCAGTGGAGTCTTCTATTCCACTATCTTGCTCCACCTCCAATCTCTTATTTTTCTTTTAATGAAACCAAAATTACTTACAGAGGAATTTATGATATGTAGACTTGTATGAGAATGTATCAAAACGATGATGTTTAAAGGAAAAATACCACATACATAGGTACTAAATAGAGTTTCAGCAAATATCTGTAAAGTAATGAAAGGAAAATTAGTGACAGAACTGTATCAATCACATAGCTACATCAAACTTTCAATTGTTTTTTGAGCTATACTAGTAAAATTTGGATGTCTACTTGAACAATTCGTATCATATATGAGTGAGGTTTGAGTGGCTGAAGTTCATGGCCCTTTCCCATTTAATATGGTTTGATGAAATAAAATTCCATTCAATTAACAATTCTTTCATAGTGGTTGTGCTGGCATAAGAGTGCTGGCAAGAATGGTAATCCAATCCTCCTGGCAAGAAACAATCTTCCTGCCCAAATTAAGACAGCAGTGGAGTTAGAGAGGAAGTTACAAATACAAGAAGTTTTAGATCTTGTGGATAGAACTTGAGTGGATAGAACTTGATAGATGGTTGAATGTGGGTATATCAGAGAGACTGTTGAGGTTTCTGGTTTAGGCAACTGGATGTATAAATTAGACACAGAGTACATAGAGGGACGAGGTTTGGGGTAAGGGAAGAGGAGTTTGGTATTTAACAAGTTGATCCAGTCAGCTGACTCACCTACACTTCTCTCGTTTTTCTTCACATATATTTGGGGATCATTCTGGCTGAACTTTAATAATTTATGTTCACAAAAATATTGCTTTATCCATTGCTCTTAAGAAATTTTCATTAATACAATTGTCTTTCACACGGGATTGTAAATGACGTGAGGGCAAGCTCCTTTTATTTTTTCCCCTTTGGTATTCTTCTTAGGCCTCTAGTGAAATCCTGATACAGTAGAAATAAATATTTACAGCCAAGTTATCATTAATTTTCCCATGAATTATGTAAGCCTTTAATGGCAGACATGGTTCGCCAAACATCCATTCCAACTCCCATTAAATAAAAAATGAAATTAAAACAAAAAACATGGAAAAATGTGGCTATAGAGGGATTATTAGAAGACAAAATATAGTTTAGGAATGTTGATACATTTTAACATTATGTTCTATTATTTATGTGCATTCAAAAAGTATTAATATTAATAAAATATTTACTTTTAAAAAATTGAGTTGATAAAGGCAAAATAAAGATTGTAGATTACTCTCTGAAAAATGTATTTTGATTTTGTATCTCAATATCTCCTTTCTAATTAGTTCTTCCATTATTTTGCTATCAAACAGGGAAAAATTAAAAGTAATGATATTCAGTGCTAGTGAATGTGATGAGAATCCTCATATACTTTTAAAAATATGTATACTCTAATAGAAAGCAATTTGGATCTGTGTATTAAGACTCCTAAAATGTTTATTAACTTTGACCCGGAAACTCCATTTAGAAATCACTCTAAATAAAATAATGTTTTTATTGGATAATTATTTTCAAAGATGTTCATAACTTTACATAATAATAATAATGAAAAATTTTGAGTAAGTTGAATGTGCAACCAGTAGGTTCATTAAATTATGAGACTGGCTCTACCTTCTCTTCCTGGTCTCACTGTATTCAGCTTACAGTCCATTTTTCATTAAAATCACTTTCCTGCAAACTCTTCTGCAGGTTTGGTTCTCTTCTTGCTTCACTTCCAGGCAAAATTCCAGCTCTGGAAAAACTCAACTACTAGCTTTTCCCATGCTTGTATTATTGCAACTAAGAATTATTGGAGAAAATCATGCATCTTTTAAGTTAGCTTTCACTTCATCTGGGCCCTCAGCACTGACAAGTCCATTCTCTTGTGCTAAACAAAAGTTATTTCATACTTGCACACCTTTTCTCCAGTCTTTTCAAATCTCCATTCTCTTTATTTCTCACACTCCTTTCTCCCTGCTGGGGTTCCAGATGATGACACTGCCACATATTGTATAGAAAAAAGTGGAAGCTGCTGCATAGTCACTCCAAATCTACTGTTTATATTTGCACAGCTGCCTTTCCTATTTTCTTTCTGTGGTAGTAGGTGAGGGACCCATCTCCTATGAGAGATGAAATCCTTCATGGGTGCTCTGGATCCCATCCTATCTTATCTTCCCTAAGACCTTATTCAAGTAGTTATTTTGTGTCTTCTCCCTTTAACCTCTGCTAGGTACTGGATCATGTTCAGCATTCAGACATGCTTTTGAATTTCTCCTTCTCTAAAACAAAAAACAAATAAGCAATTAAATGAACACACCTTTCCTTGAACTCACCTATTTTTTTCTGTAATGCTCTTTACAGCCAAGATTCTCAAAAAGGTGTACATATACTGTCTTCAGCACTTCATCTCTTGCCACTCTTATACTATTCTCATTTAACTTTTGCTTCTCCCCCACTGCCACCTCTTACCTAAACTTCTCTCATTGAGATCATTGCGGATTGTACATTGTTAATTCCAGGGGATCATTTTCAGTCATTATTATTAACTCTCATTCACATGGATAATTTTCTGTCTTTGAAACATTCTCCTTTTTTGGGTTTCCTTGACACTACATTATTCTGGTTTTGCTCTTACCAATATGACCATTCCTTTTGAATAATATTTTTGCCTAGACTTCGTGTCTTTTTGATATCTGTTTGAGTTCCCACTGTATCTCTTTGCTTATTCTACATACCCTTCCTAAAATATATTGCTAATTAGGAAAGACATTAGATACCATAAATTTGTTAATGACTTCAAAATCTAATCTCCTACCTAGGTCCTTTTCTGAGGACCAAATTTCTCTGCATATCCAACTGTTTTTTTTTGTTTTGTTTTTCAGATGGAGTCTTGCTCTTGTCACCCAGGCTGGGGTGCAGTGGCGTGATCTCAGCTCGCTGCAACCTCTGCCTCCCGGGTTCAAGCAATTCTCCTGCCTCAGCCTCCTGAACAGCTAGGATTACAGGCACACACCACCACGCCCAGCTAATTTTTTTTTTTTTTTTTTTTTTGTATTTTTAGTAAAGACAGGGTTTCGCCATGTTGGCCAGGCTGGTCTCGAACTCCTGACCTCAGGTGATCCGCCTGCCTTGGCCTCCCAAAGTGCTGGGATTACAGGCATGAGCCACCATGCACAGCCAATATCCAACTTTTAATTTGACTTTTTATGAGACTCTGGTGTCTCATAGTCAGCTCAAATTTGTTGTCTTTTCAGTTGAACTCTTGATTGTCCCTTTCACATTTTTTCCTCCACCAGTCTTTCCCATTTAGTAAATGGGGTCTTAATTGCTCAGTTTTTCATGTTAGAAACTTATGAATTATCCTGACATCAGCCGCTTATCTCTCACATTGAATGTACAGCCAAGTCCCATTGATTCTACTCCCAAAATATATTTTGATTATATTTCACTCTCTTTCCACTACTTTGTTTTGGTCCTAACCAATAACCTAGCCTAAATTATTACAATTGCTCTCTTATTGTCTCTTACCTTCCACTTTGCTCTCCTATAATTCATCATCTGCCTAGCAGCCAAAGAGGTCTTTTTAAAGTGCAAATCTGATAATATCACTCCCTGGCATAAATCCCTTTATTTGGTTTCTCATTGCTTTTAGTTTATAAGAGTTACATTTTTAAATATGTCCTAAAAGACCTTGAGGGCTCTGCGCCTGACTACTCTGTCGGCCTAATATCCTGCTGAACTCCCACCCCCTGTGCCAGTGTTATACACTCCTACCACTCTGACTTTTGTGTTCTCACACACTCTGAAACCTTTTCTCAGTCCAGGGACTTCATACATCTTGTTTGGTTTTCTTACTTTCCCCTCTTCTCTTCATTTGACTTAACACCTACTCCTCCATAAGGCATCATCTTTAATTGTGCTTTTGCAGGGAAGCCTTTCCGATTTTTTCAGATTAGGCTGAGCGCCTATATTATTTGCTCTTATAGTACCTTGTCTGTGTCTTTAAAAAATAGTGATCAGAGTACACAAGTATGTAATTAATGGTTTAATGTTTGTATCTCCATAAGGGTCCGTCCATTCACTTCTCCTCACTGAACATTTAGCATAGTGCTTAGTAGACATTCGGCTCTCAATAAAAATATATATAATTTTAAATTTTATTTCATTAGTTTTGGAGGAACAGGTAGTGTTTCATTACATGGATAAGTGCTTTAATGGTGATTTCTCAGATTTTGGTGCACCCACCACTTGAGCAGTGTACACTGTACCCAATGTGTAGTCTTTTATCCATCACCCTCCTCCCAGCCTTCCCCCTTAGTCCCCAAAGTCCACTATATCATTCTTATGCCTTTGCATCTTCATAGCTTAGCTCCCACTTATAAGTGAGAACGTATAATGTTTGGTTTTTCATTCTTGAGTTACATCACTTAGAATAATGGTCTCCAACTCCATCCAGCTTGCTGCTAATGCCATTATTCCATTCCTTTTTATGGCTGAGTAGTATTCCATGGTGTGTATAGATATAGATATAGATATAGGTATAGATATATATAGCTATATCATATTTCCTTTATCCACTCATTGGTTGATGGGCATTTAGGCTGGTTCCATATTTTTGCAATTGTGAATTGTGAGTTGTGCTGCTATAAACATATATACAAGTGTCTTTTTCATATAATGACTTCTTTTCCTCTGGGTAGATACCCAGTAGTGGGATTGCTGCATCAAATAGTAGTTCTACTTTTAGTTCTTTAAGGAAGGTCCATACTGTTTTCCATAGTGGTTGTACTAGTTTACATTCCCACCAGCAGTATAAAAGTGTTCCATTTTCATCACATCCATACTACCATCTGTTATTTTTCTGCTTTTTAATTATGGTCATTCTTGCAGGAGTTAGGTGGTATTTCATTGTGGTTTGGATTTTCATTTCCCTGATAATTAGTGATGTTTAGTGGTTCCTCATATGTTTCTTGCCCATTTGTATATCTTCTTTTGAGAATTGTCTATTCATGTCCTTTGCACCCTTTTTGATGGGATTATTTTTTTTCCTCTTGCTGGTTTCTTTGAGTTCCTTGTAGATTCTGGATATTAGTGTTTTGTGGAATGCATAGTTTGCAAATATTTTCTCCAACTCTGTGGGTTGTCATCGTCTGTTTACTTTGCTGATTATTTCTTTTGCTGTGCAGAAACTTTTTAGTTTAGTTAGGTCCCATCTATTTATCTTTGTTTTTGTTGCATTTGCTTTTGGGTTCTTGGTCATAAAGTATTTGCATAAGCCAGTATCTATAAGAGTTTTTCTGATGTTATCCTGTAGAATTTTTTTTTTTTGAGATAGTGTCTTGCTCTGTTGCCCAGGCTAGAGTGCAGTGGCGCGATCTCGGCTCACTGCAAGCTCCGCCTCCCAGGTTCATGCCATTCTCCTGCCTCAGCCTCCAGAGTAGCTGGGACTACAGGCGTCTGCCACCACGCCCGGCTAATTTTTTGTGTTTTAGTAGAGAGGGGGGTGTTAGCCAGGATGGTCTCTATCTCCTGATGTTGTGATCCACCCACCTCAGCCTCCCAAAGTGCTGGGATTACAGGCATGAGCTGCTGCATCCAGCCATCCTCTAGAATTTTTATGATTTCAGGTCTTAGATTTAAGTCTTTGATCCATTTTGAGTTGATGAGAGATGAGGATCCAGCTTCATTCTTCTACATGTGGCTTGCTTGCCAATTTTCTCAGCATCATTTGCTGAGTAGTGTGTCCTTTCCCCAGTTTATGTTTTTGTTTGCTTTGTCACAGATCAGTTGGCTGTACGTATTTGGCTTTATTTCTGGGTTCTCTATGCTGTTCCATTGGTCTATGTACCTATTTTTTATACCACTACCATGCTGTTTTGGTAACTATAGCCTTGTAGTATAGTTTGAAGTCAGGTAATGTGATGCCTTCGGATTTGTTATTTTTGCTTAGTCTTGCTTTTTCTATGTGAGCTTTTTTTTGGTTCCATATGAATTTTAGGATTTTTTTTCTAGCTCTATGAAAAATGATGGTGGTATTTTGATGGGAATTGCATTGAATTTATAGATTGCTTTTGGCAGTATGATCGTTTTCAAAATATTGATTGTACCCATCCATGAGTATGGGATGTGTTTCCATTTGTTTGTGTCATCTGTGATTTTTTTCAGCAGTGTTTTGTAGTTTTCCTTGTAGAGATCTTTCACCTCCTTGGTTAGGTATATGCCTAAGTATCTTATTTTATTTTTTGCAGCTGTTGTAAGAGGGGCTGAGTTCTTGATTTGATTCTTAGCTTTGTCACTGTTGGTGTATAGCAATGCTACTGATTTGTGTACATTGATTTTGTATCCTGAAACTTTACTAAATTCATTTATCAGATCTAGGAGCTTTTTGGATGAGTCTTTAGGGTTTTCTAGGTATATAATCATATAATTGGTGAACAGTAACAGTTTTACTTTCTCTTTACCAATTTGGATGCCCTTTATTTCTTTCTCTTGTCTGATTGCTCTGGGTAGGACTTCCAGTACTATGTTGAATAGAAGTGGTGAAAGCGGGCATCCTTATCTTGTTCCAGTTCTCAGGAGGAATGGAAATTTTCTCCATTCAGTATAATGTTGCCTGTGGGTTTGTCATAGAAGCCTTTTATTACCTTGAGGTATGTCTCTTCTATGCCGAATGTGCTGAGGGTTTTAATGATAAAGGGATGCTAGATTTTGTCAAATGCTTTTTCTGCATCTATTGAGATGATCATATGATTTTTGTTTTTAATTCTGTTTATGTGATGTGTCACATTTATTGACTTCTGGATGTTAAGTCATCTTTCTATCCCTGGTATGAACCCACTTGATAATGGTGTGTTATCTTTTTGATATGCTGCTGGATTTGGTCAACTAGTATTTTGTTGAGGATTTTTGCATCTATGTTCAACTGGGATATTGGTCTGTAGTTTTCTTTCCTTTTCTTTTTTTGTTATGTTCTTTCCTGGTTTTGATATTGGGGTGATATTGGCTTCATAGAATGATTTAGGAAGGATTCCCTCTTTCTTTATCTTTTGGAATAGTTTCAGTAAGATTGATACCAATTCTTTGAATGTCTAATGTAATTCAGCCGTGAATCCATCTGGCCTTGGACGTTTTTTGTTAGCAATTTTTTAAATTACCATTTTAATCTTGCTGCTTGTTATTGGTCTGTTCAGAGTTTCTATTTCTTCCTGATTTAATCTAGGAAGGTTGAGTATTTCCAGGAATTTATCTATCTCCTCTATATTTTCTAGTTTGTGTACGTAAAGGTGTTCATAGTAGCCTTGAATGATCTTTTATATTTCTGCAGTATCAGTTGTAATATATCCTGTTCCATTTCTAATTGAGCTTATTTGGATCTTCTCTCTTCTTTTCTTGGTTAATCTTGCTAATGGTCTATCAATTTTGTTTATCTTTTCGAAGGACCAACTTTTTGTTTCATTTGTCTTTAATTTTTGTTTGTTTCAATTTCATTTAGTTCTGCTCTGAGCTTTGTTATTTCTTTTCTTCTGCTGGGTTTGGGTTTGGTTTGTTCCTGTTTCTCTAGTTCCTTGAGGTGTGACCTTAGATTTTCTATTTGTATTCTTTCAGACTTTTTCATGTAAACATTTAATGCTATGAACTTTTCTCTTAGCACTGCTTTTTCTGTGTCTCAGGGGTTTTGGTAAGTTATGTCACTATTATGGTTCAGTTCAAATAATTTTTAAATTACTATCTTAATTTTATTATTGACCCAAAGATCATTCAGGAGCAGATTATTTAATTTCCATGTATTTGTATAGTCTTGAGGTTCCTTTTGGAGTTAATTTTTAATTTTATTTCACTGTGGTCTGAGAGAGTACTTGATATAATTTTGATTCACTTAAATTTATTGAGACTTGTTTTGTGTCCTATCATGTGGTCTATTTTGGAGAATGTGCCACGTACTGATGAAAAGAATGTATATTCTGCAGTTGTTGGGTAGAATATTCTGTAAATACCTGTTACATTCATTTGTTCTAGGGTATAGTTTAAGTCCATTCTTTCTTTGCTGACTTTCTGTATTGATGACCTGTCTAGCGCTGTCAGTGGAGTATTGAAGTACCCCCTATTGTTGTGTTGTCATCCTTCTCATTTCTTATGTCTAGTAATAATTGTTTTATAAATTTGGGAGCTCCCATGTTAAGTGCATATATATTTAGGATTCTGATATTTCCTGTATGACTTATCATTTTATCATTACATAATGTCCCTCTTTGTCTTTTCTAACTGTTATTGCTTTAAAGTCTGTTTTGTCTCATACAAGAATTAGCTACTCCTGCTCATTTTTGGCTTTTATTTTCATGGACTACCTTTTGCTAATCTTTAACTTAAGTTTATGTGAGTCCTTATGTGTTAGGTGAGTCTCTTGAAAACAGCAGATACTTGGTTGGTGGATTTCTATCCATTCTGTTATTCTGTGTCTTTGAAGTGGAGCATTTAGGCTGTTTACATTCAACGTTAGAATTGAGATGTGAGGTACTGTTTTATTCATCATGCTAGTTGTTGCCTGAATACCTTGGATTTTTCATTGTGTTATTGTTTTATAGGCCTAATGAGATTTATGCTTTAAGGAGGTTCTAATTTGGTGTATTTTGAGGTTCTGTTTCAAGGTTTAGAACTCCTTTTAGCATTGCTAGTAGTTCTGTTTTGGTAGTGACAAATTGTCTCCGCATTTATTTGTCTGAAAAAGACTACCTCTTCTTCGTTTATGAAGCTTAGTTTTGCTAGATACAAAATTCTTGTCTGGCAATTATTTTGTTTGAGGAGGCTAAAGATAGGACTTCAGTCCCTCCTGGCTTGTAGGGTTTCTGCTAAGAAATCTGCTGTTAGTCTGCTATGTCTTCCCTTATAGGTTATCTGATGTTTTTGCCTCATAGCTCTTTAGATTCTTTCCTTTGTCTTGACTTTAGATAACCTGATAACTATGTGCTTGGGTGATGAACTTTTTGCAATGAATTTGCGAGATGTTCTTTGAGCTTCTATATTTGGATGCCTAGATGTCTAGCAAGGCCAGGGAAGTTTAACTTGATTATTCCCTCAAATATGTTTTCCAAACTTTTAGATTTGTCTTCTTCCTCAGGAACACCAATTCTTCTTATAATTGGTCATTTAACGTATCCCAAATTTCTTGGAGTCTTCTCATTTTTTTAAATTATTTTTTTCTTTGTCTTTTTCTGCAGGGTTAATTCAAAAGCCTTATCTTCAAGCTCTGAAGTTCTTTCTTCTGCTTATTCGATTCTATGGTTGAAACTTTCCAGTGCATTTTGTACTTCTCTAAGTGTTTGTTTTATTTGCAGAAGTTGTGATTGTTTTTTCTTTATAATATCTATTTCTCTGAAACATTTTTAATCCATATCTTGTATTTTTTTAAACTTTTTTATTTTTCACCTTTCTCTGGTATCTTGAGAAGCTTAATAACTTTCTGAATTCTTTATCTGGAAGTTTAGAGATTTCTTCTTGGTGGGAATCCATTGCTGGGGAGCCAATGTGGTCTTTTGGGGGTGTTATATAAACTTGTTTTGTCATATCAGAATTACTTTTCTGATTCCCTCTTATTTGGGTAGATTATTTCAGTGGAAAAACCTGGAACTCAAAGGCTGCTGTTCAGATTCTTTTGTCTTATGGAGTGATCCCTTGATATGGTACACTCCACCTGAGGATGGGACTTCCTGCAAGCCAGATGCAGTGATTGTTGTTGTTCTTCTGGGTATAGTCATCCAGTGGGGCTACGAGGCTCTGGGCTGGTGCTGGAGAATGTCTGCAAAGAGTCCTGTGATGTGATCTGTCTTCAGGTCTTCCAGCCATGGACACCAGCACCTGCTCTGGTGGAGGTGGCAAGGGAACAAAGTAGACTCTGTGAGAGTCCTTGGTTGTGGATATGTGTGTAGATAGTGTGCTGGTTTTCTTGAATGCTGGTTATGCTATCAATGAAGTTGTCTCGTGGACAAACTAGGACCACTGGTTACCCAGGATGTTGCAGGCAGTGAAATTAGCTGTTGTTTTCTCCTTCCTTGGAGCAGGGGTTTTTTGTCATGAGTTTCAGTAATGTCCTGAGTTCCTGAGTTGGTTGGCCTCCTGCCAGGAGGTGGAGCTTTTGAGAAAGCACTAGCTTGATAGTAGAAGGGGAATATAAGCTTGCCCTAAGTTGGCAAGGATAAGAATTTGGGTTTCTCAGGTGACAGGCAAGGTCATAAAGCTCTCAGGAGTTTATGTCTTCTGTGATCTATCAGGGCAAGTAGAGAAATATCATCAGTGGGGGGCAGGGTTAGGCATATTCTCCTTGGGTAGGGCTTGCCATGGCCACTACAAGGAATGGGGAGTGATTCTCAGGCCAATGGGGTTATTATGAAGGGGGATTATGGCTGCCTCTGTCACCAGGGAAGTGGGGAAAGCTGGTAGCACTAGGCCTCACCCAGCTCTCACACAATTGGCATGGCCGGTCTTGCTCCCACCTCTAACAGACACAAGCTTATCTCCAGGCAGCCTGCAGAGTGGGACTCAGAGCTAGCCCCAGGCTGTAAGTTTCCCCACTGAGAAAGCAGCATGGCTTTCAGGCCATGCCCCTGCCCATCTGCCCACCTTGTCTGCTAGACTCCTGCTCTTCTTTCTGCAGCAGTTCCCCTCACCTCCGGATTTTGCTCAGAAGAGTTTGCGCCCAGCCAAAATTATTACAAAGTTCAGTTGGAAGCTTCTTTTACCCTGTGACCCCTCCCACATTCTGTTGGCTGCCTTCCCCAAGGGCTCCTGTGAAATACAGTCAGGGATGGCTTCCCTGGGCTCGAGCTGGAGAATGGGAGTGCATACGATGCTCTTTCCACTGCTGCTTCTACTTTTGTATTTCACACTAAATCCATTGCAGCTCCAGGTAAGGTTAAATCCTTCTCCCGTAATCTGGATTTTCAGGTTCCCCAGTGGGGATGTGTTTAGAGGCAGGTATTCCCCTTTCACACTTTGTGAACTCCGTTTTTTGCCTATCTTGCAGCATTTGCAGTGGCCTGCTGCTTCTTTCAAAGGATCTGTTATTTCTTTCAGTCTTCCTGGTATGCTCCTGCTGCTGTTTCTGGAGTAAAAGTCCATGGTGTGAGTCTCCACACGCTGTTCTTTCTGTCCAAGTGGAAGCTACACATCAGCCTTGTCTCCTGATATCTTCCCTCTAGTAAACCAATAAAAGTATTTTTAAATGAAAAGGTCAGTAAATTCTTATAGGTTGTTAGTGATCATATTTTATAATTAATGATGTAAAGAAATGTTCATGATACATGTACTATAAAAAACAAAGAATGTTAAGCATGATGATTGGATTTTCATGTGTGAGATATGCCTCCTTCAAACTCTGTTACCATGTCTGCACATTACCTGTCTGACATGAATTACAAAAAAAAAACCTCAAAGAGTACAAAATAGTATTTAGCATATAATCTAAATTTTCAAAAAAGGGTCTTTATTTATTTCCATATTTTGCCTGTTGGAGGGTCAGGGCTGGAAGGAGAGAGAGCATCAGGAAAAAGAGCTAATGGATGCTGGGTTTAGTACCTAGGTGACGGGATGATCTGTGCAGCAAACCACCATGGTACACATTAACCTAAGTACCAAACTGCACATCCTGCCCGTGTACTCCTGAAGTTAAAATAAAATTTGGAAGAAAAAAAGGAACAATAAAAAAAGGCCTGGAAAGATTTCTTCACCCTAGATTTAAAAATTTTTGGAAGAATTTGAAGTTTTTAGAACTTTAATATTTTTGGAATTAATTCTAAAATTAATTCTCAAAATCACCTGTAGGAATTACAGGTGATTTTTATTCTGTATATTTTTCTGTGTTTTCTGCATTTTCCTACTGAAACTTATTGACTGTTATCAGAAAAAGTAATTTAAGAAGAAAAAAATCAGTTATTGGTACAGTATTCAAATACATGTTTATTTCAGATCTTTTATATTGTTGCCTCAGCTTCCTTAAGCCTTTGCAGATCTCAGTTTTAAAAAATAAGGTACATGTTATTCTAATATAAAACATCTTTGTGCTCAATGATCAGCTGCATGGAGAGGATATACCAGCTCAAAAATATGAATGCTTATGAATCACAGGGTACCAAGGTTTGTAACACTGATCCAACTAGCAGGAGAATTAGTCAGAGTCATTGAACAAAGACAATTTGTTCAAATGTATTCAATAAACTGCTCACTGGGATATGAACAACAATCCCTTATCTTTGGGAAGTGTATGGCCTATTTATTAGTGCAGGTTTTTTGAGAAAAAGATACAGATAACAAGCTGTGAAAGTCTTCAGCTGTTTCATTCTTTGCAGTGCTTAAACATTTAAAAAGAAAACCCTAATTTTTGCAGTTATATTGACATTGTAATTTTTGCATATTTAATAAACGCTAGGTACTTTAACTGAAAAGTGGAATTTTTCATGGAATGCTACCCTTTTCATTACTGCATACATCTTAGATTTAATTTAGCATGGGATGCATCAACCTTGGCTCTTGGAGACAAGGTTAGAATCCGTAGTGCATGAAAACGAGCTCTTCTAAACATTTTTTTTTTCATTTCCTACATATTCTGTGCCTGCTTTGGGGAGAACACAAATAATGAGAACAGTCCTTTTTCTTAACTTGACAGAAAATTATTAGAGTAGATGCAAATATTTTCCTTTTTAGAATGGAAAGGACTGCCTTTCTCCACATCACCGTTCACTTTAGAATGCCAACAAGGTAGCACTTGTCATACTATAAAGCAAAACAGCCCTTGTGGAAGTCTTACATGTTTTGAATAAAGCTGTTATTGTTTAATGTATAGTCTTCTGATTTTTTATGTTTTTCTACCAAAATTCAGATGTGCCTTATTATCATCAGAAAGATATTCTATGGATTGATATCAAAAATTTTAAAGATATTTTGAAAATTTTCAGATTTGTTTCAAAGTACCCTTTTTGGTTGAATTTAAGATATTAAAAAATCCTATTCTCTAACTGATATTCATATTATTACTCCATTTCTTTCTTGGGAAGAAAGATAGATTACCCACACTTATGGTGTATGTCTGTGTGTACCTATTTACAAGATACTCATTAATAAAGTTAGCTTTCTTTGAAAAGCTTGCACTATGATTCATCTGAAAAGTAAGGCTTGAATGAAGCTAAAGAGGTTTAATAAAATCTCGTAGTGAGGACTCTTCATTGCATGTAATATGATCTGACTTAAAGGGAAAAAAAGAGTTTGCTGACTCATATAATAGAAAATTCTAGGCATAGGTCAGTCTTCTGGCAGAGCTGTATTTTAAAACTAAAACAAAGTCCTCAAAGTTTAGTTTATCTTTACCTCTCAGCTTTTTTTTTTTTCCTTCCTTCCGCATCAGCTTCATTTCAGCTGAATCAACCAGCCACTTTCCTCCACTACCACTTTCCCTACTTTTAAAGGCAAAAATTTCTTTTCTAAAATTATAATTAAATTTCCCTGGGATTGAGTTTCTTTGGTCCTGTAGCTTGGGTTATGCTCATTACTCAATTAAATGCCTCTGGTCATCAGGTGTTATGCTCTAATGGACAAGGCCTGAGGCATATGGAAGCTCAGAGCCAGGGGTAGATCCATTTATATGAACTGAGAATGGGGAAAGACAAGATATCCCCAACTGCTATTATGTGAATAAGAGGGATTTGATGTAGGGCAGGAAAATATGATAAATATCTAATACAACTTCATAAATCTTTCTATATATCTAAATTATAATGAATATATATATATGCGTGTGTATTTGTGTGTGCATATATAGTCAATTATAGTCAGTGTGTATGTATAGTCAGTATAGGGTGTATATTGTCAGTATAGTATGTATATACAGTCAGTATATGTAGTCAGATATGTAGTCAGTATGTGTATGTATAGTCAGTCAGTCAGTCAGTCAGTCTCAGATTAGGCGATGAAGTCCCTGGAAGACATCAAAATTTTGACACCACTGAGGGCTAGGAGACTTTTGCCTGATGCCCTTTAAACCTATTCCTATTATTATAGGATGAAGAGGGTTATGTCTCCTGGGTGACTGCTACTGGATAGACTATTGAGGAACCATTGTGAAGGCGATCTTTTGATCAGATGAAGGTTTCATAGAATTTGTTTGCTCTTGTCTAGCTGGTTCCTTTTAATTGCACACATTAATTGGAGTTCCTCCTAATGAGCCCCAATGACTTGGACATTCAAAGAATAGTCAGTAATAAAAAAGCAGGCCATCTTGATGTCCCAAAGATGTGGGGTTTATATCATTTATTGTTAAAATAGGGCAGCTTGTAGCACCAAAGACGATGCTATATTGGAGGCACATGGGATTTGAAATATCTATAAGATTGTTCTGGTCATGGAATTGGCCTGAGAAATCTAGAGAGCCTTCAGACCCACTGAGATCCTTTATGAAGTTGAGGATCTGAAACTAAGTTATACTGGCAGTTCTATATTGTTCTGCCTCTTCCTTCATGTCTGTTTGAATGGGCCTAAACATTCTATCTGAGGATAGAAAGGCAATTTCTTTGAGCTTTCATTGAAGTAATACTTCCTGATATCCCACAGAGTCTCTTAGCATCCTGCGAGGAGTCTAGAATAAGTTCTGGAAAGTATCTGAGTCGAGATTAAGCCTTCTCAAGCGAGTCTCACTAAAGGTGTTTTCTTGGGTCATCCTTTATCTAAATTCTTCTTTTTCTTTGATTTCCATTTTTTTCAAGTTTTTAGTCAATAAGAGGATATAGGTTTTTTATTTGGCTGGAATTTAGAGTCCTTTGATTAGCGTGTACCTTCATCTTTGAGCCATGACATGAAAGCCAGTTGAGGACCCCTTAATATAAGCAAGATGGTGCTATGGTACTCACATCTGGTGGTTAGCAGGTACCACAATATTAACATTACGAAGATAAGACTGTTAGGAGAATTTGGTTCTCACTATGGCCTATACTAATTTAACAATGAAAAAATGCATTGTCTCTGTTAGTAAAAAAATTGCATGATTCTAAACTGTATATTTTGAAAACAAAACATTGCATTTACAGTTTTATTTCCTTGCTTATAGCATGGATAAAATGCAATTTGTATATTAGGCATTTCAGTTGCTCTGAAAAGCAGTCATAATGAAATCTTTAAGGTCGCTTGTTTCAAAAACGGCATTTAGAATGATGTCTACTTTAGTAAGGCTTTATATTTTACCCCTACCGGAAACTTATGTCTCTCAAATAAGAAAACGAACATTTTCCCCCAGCAGATTGAAATGAGGAAAATTGTAAGAGCTTAGAATCTGGAAAAGAAAATAAAGTGTCAACTATAGATGTGAGAGGTCCTCCCCTCCATCTGGTTGTAGCATTGGTGTAAATAAGAAATTGTTGAGCTGGATAATTTAATTGAAAAGCAGATGATGCTGTCTTTCCTACTGACTATGGCTCTATTTCAAGTTCTCATTATCATAGGCACAAAATGTTTGAGGAAAGTAAATAGGTCAACGAACCTCAAGTGCAGTTAAGTCCTCATGTGTAGGGCAATAACTTTAGTTCGTCTTCAAAACTTTTAAAATTACCCCAGCAAACCAACAGCAACTTTTAATGAGACATGAGCAAGGAATACACAGATTCTGTAAGAAGGAAAATCAGATAGCTATGGCAAAATCCCTGCTCTGCTACACATAGGTTTACTCCATTTGCTCTTAATGAAGCATGGCCACTTTCTGTGTTCCTGCATTTAATTCTACTTTCTGTATGTACTTGTTTCACCTTCCCAGGGATACAGAGACATGTACATTCCAAAGAGATGAATCAATAAAAGAGGAGAAACATCTTTCCAGTACATGATTAAAAAAAGAGACAGAAAGAAGCAAGCACCCTACATACACAGTGAAATTAGGAATTAGAAATCTGTGTTAATTTAACTTTAGTTCCACTATTTATTAGTCATATAACTTTAGGTAAGTTTTTCAACCTCTATTGCTCTCAGTGACATCATCTGTAAAATTAAAGAGGTGATTTAGATAACCTAACTTAGTTTTACTCTATGGTATCAACGTAAAACTTTTTAAATGACTGAATAACTTTAAAAAGCTCATTTTGAGAATCAGGACCTTTGTATTAGAATTGCCATTTGGGATTCACAATTGCGTTTTTCTTGGTGCATAGTGATAAGCAGGCAATTTTGAATATTGGAACAGGAGAATAGCTTGGATTTACTTAGAAGGCATGGGGGAAGAGGCTGAGATTTTAGAAATGCTGTCATTGTACTTCATTAATAACTACTTATCCCATTCTCCTCCATTCCTAGCTTTCTTTCTAAGTGTTAACTCCCTAGTTTAAGCAATTGCAAAGTTAGAAACTGTGTGGGTTTCAGTTTCAGTTTTTAAATTTTTATTTGCTTTAGTTTAGCCCTTCTTTCTCTTATATCTTGGGAAAACTTTTTAATACTAATAATTGCTAGTGGTTTTTGAGGAGTGTATACTTGTTTTTTTTTGTTTGTTTAATCCTATTAAAATCCTATAAGGTGGGTGTCATCATATTCATAAGTAACCTGTCCGAGGCTATTCAGCTAGAGAGAGGCAGAGTCAGGATTCAAACCCAAGTCTGTTTCTCTAGAGCCTATCTTCTCTACCTTAGGAGATAGCATAACACAGTGGTTGTCAGCAACAATATGAGCTAGCGCTTATATCATGTTCTCTGTGTGTCAGGCATTGTTTTAGGCACTTTAGGTATAACGAGACTCATAATTCTCATAAAAAAATCTATGATGCAGTCTCATTAATATCCCCATGTGATGGATGAAGAAACAGCCATAAGGAAGTTAAGTAATTTTCCCAATGTCAAACAGCTAATAAGTGCCAGAGCTGAAATTTGAAACCATGAATGTGGCCCCACAGTCCTTGCAGTTCACCATGATACTACACTGCTTCTCTAGCTACTACTCTTTCTGGAGGAGAACTTCAAAGATAATTCTTGATTTTTATGATAGTTGTGTTCCTGGAACATTTCCTGAATTATTCATTATGACTTCCTTAAAAAAAATGAAGCATAGGTTCTGTTAATGCAAGAACTAAAGTGAATAAAGTGGGAAAAGGGAGACCTGAGAGGTATTAATAAAGAGAATGGTTATGGTGAGAGTGTTGTGTATAGGACCAACTTGTAGCGATGGCATGACAAAAAAAAAAAAAAAAAGAAAAATTATCTCTACTTGCCTAAATGGAGTGGAGAGGTTTTTCCCTCTGTGGGTTGTGTGTGTGTGTTTGAAACAATAGATGGGGAATTAATTCAGTGAGATATATTAACAAACTGTAGTCAAAATTTTGGGTGTGGACCAAGCTGACTTTGGAGACTGGCAGATGCTGTTCCAGCTATGATGACCAAAGGAGTTGTTTGTGGGCTCTGACATGTGCCCATGGTCCTTGCCCCAGTTTATGTACATGGTGTGGTGCTAATCTGAGTTTCGGAGAATGACTTCGCTAACTTAAGGATGTACTTTGGACCCAATTACCTTCCATCAGTGAGGTACTGGAGCCACCTCTAGTGATGCAGGACATACAGGATGGTATAATTTTCACACTCTATTGTTCACTAGTCAAGAAGGGGAGTATATAATAGTTCGCGATTGTCAAGTCTGGAAGGGAAAATCAATGAAAAGATTGGGGTCATGTGGCAGGCTTTGCATTTTACAGGTCTCCAGATTTTATGGATAAGCATATTGAGGACTAGGAATTATTCTTTTAGAGGATTGAATGGAATGGAGATATTTGTTTAATAATCAGATTTCCCTTCTTTATGTTGAGAATTCCTCAAAAGCCCTTGTTTTTTAGATCATGTCTTGTGGTCTTTTGTCCTATTAAAGATGTGTTTCTTGAAGTTTCCCCAAAGTATTTGTTGCTGAGGAAGATGGAGGAGAGGAAAAACCTAAACACCTTGGTTAGAAACCTTAATTTGGGTGGAGGAGGCGTTGCATTAAATCAAATATGGTAAACTTAGTGGGGAGGAGGAGTATGTGACATAGGACCACAGGTAGCTTCCATGGTGCCATGGATGTGTTTGCCCTTGAAAAATTATAGTAATAAATGCACTTTCACCAGGAAAAAAAGAAAAAACCTTTCCAAAGTAGGAAACAAAGTAGCTCTCATGCCACAAAGTCATCTGGGTATGAAGCTTGCGGAGACAGCAGATGCTCAGAGCAAACTCACGGACAGCACAAGTTTTCAGAGAGGTCCAAGTTGTGAGCCATTTTTTTAGACTTTGCTAATGACCAGGGAGATCAAATTGTAGCCCTGTATTGCAAGGAATTCCCAGATACCATTTATTATGTTAGAAACCTACAGTGGCCCCAAATTCAGCAGGCAGTAGAGAAACACTTTATGTTTCCATGTCTGAGTTTAGGTTTAGTCCCATACCCCACACATTTTAATGTGATGCTTTATGTTCTCCACAACTTGAGGTATCCAAAAGTTTTAGGTTCCAGAATTCAAAATTTTAAACAGGCCAAAAGAGATGCAGCCTTCTGGCAGGTAAGGAAGTTATAAGAGTGACTGCTCTTGGCCAGAATATAGAGAAAAAAATCCCCCAACTAGGTAACTTTTTGGTAAGGAAAATGTGTATTCAGCTTAGTGGGAGACTGTGCACCATGCCTCGGATTTCTATACTGCTATTGTTGATTTCAGGTGAAGGAGGCTGATCCTGGGCTATGGTGTGTTCATATGACAACCCTTCAGGATGGACTCTAGATGACAGTGTTGCTGCTGATTTTTAAACAGGTCCTTTTGGGTCCCCCACCTCCTTTTCCAGTAGCAGGAATGCGTAAACAACTCTCACTGAGTACCTGGGAGTGTTCTGTTTTACATTTTACATTTTATTTTTTATTATTTTTTTTTTTTTGAGATGGAGTCTCACTCTTTCGCCCAAGCCAGAGTGCAGTGGCGCTATCTTGGCTCACTGCAAGCTCCAACTCCCGGGTTCACACCATTCTCCTGCCTTAGCTTCCCGAGTAGCTGGGACTACAGGCGTCTGCCACCGTGCCCAGCTAATTTTTTGTATTTTTAGTAGAGACGGGGTTTCACCATGTTAGCCAGGACGGTCTCGATCTCCTGACCTCGTGATCCACCCGCCTCGGCCTCCCGAAGTGCTGGGATTACAGGCATGAGCCACCGTGCCCGGCCACATTTTACATTTTAAATCATTTAACCCAGAAGCCTGTTAGTCTTGTAGATTATTATATCTCCATTTTTAAAGATTAGGAAACTGAGGCACAAAGAACATATGGAATTTGCCTAAGTTGAGTAGCAGTATTGGAATTTGAACCAGGTTGTCTGGCTCCAGAGTTAGTGTTTATAATTAATATATTTCGGTGCTTCTTGTTGGATAATCTTAGGGCTCTGGCAAACTCAAGACACCCAGGGGATGATGTGATGCAAGTTTTCTGCACCCACCAAGCTGGGAACTGTGCTTGTATTTTGTTTTGTGCTTGTGAAAGTTGCAGGCAACTTTTCTGAAGGTGTCTGTCTTGTCAGGTGCCATACTCTACATAATATTTTCCCTTATATCTACTTCAACCACAGGAAGGATGTTTTCTGTTTCCAAGTGGGACTTGGACTAATATATTCCTCTGAACAGATTAAAAAAACAAATACTGCTGGGCTATGGCAGTGTCACAGACGAGGCATTGGTCCAGCAGGCCCAGCTGTTTATCAAGCTCATTTTCCCATTCAACTCCACACAGTGACCACCACCCACAGGTAATTCCTATTGAGGGTGTGGCCATATTTTTTATTCAAATGGCAGTGATTACACTTGCAGCACAAGTTCATTATAGAAAACAAGAAAAAGAGAGAGGTTTATTGATGACAGTGAATAGCATGAAGATCAGCACCCTTTTCTAATACAAATGGGAGAAAATAATGAGTGGCTGTTTAATCATCTTATATAGTGATCTTTGATTGCTATTACTCTTTCTTTACTGGAGCTTCCATGGCATAAAATTTTCATGCCTCCTTTTTATGTCTCAATTCCATTGTGTGTGCTTTTGGGTTCTACTCCACCTGTCATACTGGATTTTGAGTCCCCACATGGAGAGGCATTTTCAGATGCAGAAGGCAAAGTCTCTCATATTATGACAGTGATTGTACAATTAATATGCTTCCTGGAGGCGGGTGCCTCTGTTTTTGCCATTAATGAATAGTTCTTTCATTTTAAGCATGAGATCATCCTCCAACCTGTGGAAGAAGGGGTGCATGAGGTCTTTTCTCTGTATTTTCAGGGCACTGGTACTCTTTGCAAAGAAGGAAAAATTTGGCTCCATTCCTGTGTCAGATGCATCAGCTTTGTTGTGGTAACTAACCAAGATTTCTAGTCAATCCCTTAAAATTGCTTTTTTCTATGTATTCTCTATCTCAATGAATGGCACCACCACCCAGTCAGCTAGATATATGTGCTGAGACATCTTGGCTATCACTTATCCCTTAAGCCATATTCACTAAATCTTAAGAGTTTCGGGGGTGGAGCCAAGATGGCCGAATAGGAAGAGCTCCAGTCTACAGCTCCCAGCCTGAGCGATGCAGAAGATGGGTGATTTCTGCATTTCCATCTGAGGTACCGGGTTCATCTCACTAGGGAGTGCCAGACAATGGGTGCAGGACAGTGGGTGCAGCGCACCGTGCATGAGCCGAAGCATGGCGAGGCATTGCCTCACTCGGGAAGTGCGAGGGGTCAGGGAGTTCCCTTTCCTAGTCAAAGAAAGGGGTGACAGACAGTACCCGGAAAATCGGGTCACTCCCACCCTAATACTGCACTTTTCCAAGGGGCTTAAAAAACGGCACACCAGGAGATTATATCCCGCACATGGCTCGGAGGGTCCTACGCCCACGGAGTCTCGCTGATTGCTAGCACGGCAGTCTGAGATCAAACTGCAAGGCAGCAGCGAGCCTGGGGGAGGGGTGCCTGCCATTGCCCAGGCTTGATTAGGTAAACAAAGCAGCCAGGAAGCTCGAACTGGGTGGAGCCCACCACAGCTCAAGGAGGCCTGCCTGCCTCTGTGGGCTCGACCTCTCGGGGCAGGGCACAGACAAACAAAAAGACAGCAGTAACCTCTGCGGACTTAAATGTCCCTGTCTGACAGCTCTGAAGAGAGGAGTGGTTCTCCCAGCATGCAGCTGGAGATCTGAGAATGGGCAGACTGCCTCCTCAACTGGGTCCCTGACCCCCGAGCAGCCTAACTGGGAGGCACCCCCCAGTAGAGGCAGACTGACACCTCACACGGTGGGGTACTCCTCTGAGACAAAACTACCAGAGGAACGATCAGGCAGCAGCATTTGCAGGTCACCAATATCTGCTGTTCTACAGCCACCATTGTTCTGCAGCCACCGCTGCTGATACCCAGGCAAACAGGGTCTGGAGTGGACCTCTAGCAAACTCCAACAGACCTGCAGCGGAGGGTCCTGTCTGTTAGAAGGAAAACTAACAAACAGAAAGGACATCCACACCAAAAACCCATCCGTACGTCATCATCATCAAAGACCAAAACTAGATAAAACCACAAAGATGGGGAAAAACAGAGCAGAAAAACTGGAAACTCTAAAAAGCAGAGTGCCTCTCCTCCTCCAGAGGAATGCAGCTCCTCACCAGCAACAGAACAAAGCTGGATGGAGAATGACTTTGACGAGTTGAGAGAAGAAGGTTTCAGATGATCAAACTACTCCGAGCTACAGGAGGAAATTCAAACCAAAGGGAAAGAAGTTAAAAACTTTGAAAAAAAATTAGATGAATGGATAACTAGAATAACCAATGCAGAGAAGTCCTTAAAGGAGCTGATGGAGCTGAAAGCCAAGGCTCAAGAACTACATGAAGAATGGATAACTACATGATGAATGGATAACTAGAATAACCAATGCAGAGAAGTCCTTAAAGGAGCTGATGGAGCTGAAAGCCAAGGCTCAAGAACTACAGGAGCCGATGCGATCAACTGGAAGAAAGGGTATCAGTGATGGAAGACGAAATGAATGAAATAAAGGGAGAAGGGAAGTTTAGAGAAAAAAGAATAAAAAGAAAGGAACAAAGCCTCCAAGAAATATGGGACTATGTGAAAAGACCAAATCTATGTCTGATTGGTGTACCTGAAAGTGACGGGGAGAATGGAACCAAGTTGGAAAACACTCTGCAGGATATTATCCAGGAGAACTTCCCCAATCTAGCAAGGCAGGCCAACATTCAGATTCAGGAAATACAAAGAAAACCACAAAGATACTCCTCGAGAAGAGCAACTGCAAGACACGTAATTGTCAGATACACCAAAGTTGAAATGAAGGAAAAAATGTTAAGGGCAGCCAGAGAGAAAGGTCGGGTTACCCTCAAAGGGAAGCCCATCAGACTAACAGCGGATCTCTCAGCAGAAACTCTACAAGCCAGAAGAAAGTGGGGGCCAATATTCAACATTCTTAAAGAAAAGAATTTTCAACCCAGAATTTCATATCCAGCCAAACTAAGCTTCATAAGTGAAGGAGAAATAAAATACTTTACAGACAAGCAAATGCTGAGAGATTTTGTCACCACCAGGCCTGCCCTAAAAGAGCTCTTGAAGGAAGCACTAAACATGGAAAGGAACAACTGGTACCAGCCACTGCAAAAACATGCCAAAATGTAAAGACCGTCAAAGCTAGGAAGAAACTGGATCAACTAAAGAGCAAAATAACCAGCTAACATCATAATGACAGGACCAAATTCACAGATAACAATATTAACTTTAAATGTAAATGGACTAAATGCTCCAATTAAAAGACACAGACTGGCAAATTGGATAAAGACTCAAGACCCATCAGTGTGCTGTATTCAGGAAACCCATCTTACATGCAGAGACACACATAGGCTCAAAATAAAGGGATGGAGGAAGATCTACCAAGCAAATGGAAAACAAAAAAAGGCAGGGGTTGCAATCCTAGTCTCTGATAAAACAGACTTTAAACCAACAAAGATCAAAAGAGACAAAGAAGGCCATTACGTAATGGTAAAGGGATCAATTTAACAAGAAGAGCTAACTATCCTAAATATATATGCACCCAATACAGGAGCACCCAGATTCATAAAGCAAGTCCTTAGTGACCTACAAAGAGACTTAGACTCCCACACAATAATAATGGGAGACTTTAACACCCCACTGTCAACATTAGACAGATCAACGAGACAGAAAGTTAACAAGGATACCCAGGAATTGAACTCAGCTCTGCACCAAGCGGACCTAATATACATCTACAGAACTCTCCACCCCAAATCAACAGAATATACACTCTTTTCAGTACCACACCACACCTATTCCAAAATCGACCACACAGTTGGAAGTAAAGCACTCCTCAGCAAATGTAAAAGAACAGAAATTATAACAAACTGTCTCTCAGACCGCTGTGTGATCAGACTAGAACTCCGAATTAAGAAACTCACTCAAAACTGCTCAACTACTTGGAAACTGAACAACCTCCTCCTGAGTGACTACTGAGTACATAACAAAATGAAGGCAGAAATAAAGATGTTCTTTGAAACCAACGAGAACAAAGACACAACATACCAGAATCTCTGGGACACATTCAAAGCAGTGTGTAGAGGGAAATTTATAGCACTAAATGCCCACAAGAGAAACCAGGAAAGATCCAAAATTGACACCCTGACATCACAATTAAAAGAACTAGAAAAGCAAGAGCAAACACATTCAAAAGCTAGCAGAAGGCAAGAAATAACTAAAATCATAGCAGAACTGAAGGAAATAGAGACAAAAAAAAACCCTTCAAAAAATTAATGAATCCAGGAGCTGGTTTTTTGAAAGGATCAACAAAATTGATAGACCGCTAGCAAGACTAATAAAGAAGAAAAGAGAAAAGAATCAAATAGACACGATAAAAAATGATAAAGGGGATATCACCACCAATCCCACAGAAATACAAAGTACCATCAGAGAATACTACAAACACCTCTATGCAAATAAACTAGAAAATCTAGAAGAAATGGATAAATTCCTCGACACATACACCCTCCCAAGACTAAACCAGGAAGAAGCTGAATCTCTGAATAGACCAATAACAGGCTCTGAAATTGTGGCAATAATCAATAGCTTACCAACCAAAAAAAGTCCGGGACCAGATGAATTCACAGCCGAATTCTACCAGAGGTACAAGGAGGAGCTGGTACCATTCCTTCTGAAACTATTCCAATCAATAGAAAAAGAGGGACTCCTCCCTAACTCATTTTATGAGGCCAACATCATCCTGATAGCAAAGCCTGGCAGAGACACAACCAAAAAAGAGAATTTTAGACCAATATCCTTGGTGAACATTGATGCAAAAATCCTCAATAATATACTGGCAAACCGAATCCAGCAGCACATCAAAAAGCTTATCCACCATGATCAAGTGGGCTTCATCCCTGGGATGCGAGACTGGTTCAACATACGCAAATCAATAAATGTAATCCAGCATATAAACAGAACCAAAGACAAAAACCACATGATTATCTCAATAGATGCAGAAAAGGCCTTTGACAAAATTCAACAACCCTTCATGCTAAAAACTCTCCATAAATTAGATATTGATGGGACGTATCTCAAAATAATAAGAGCTATCTATGACAAACCCACAGCCAATATCATACTGAATGGGCAAAAACTGGAAGCATTCCCTTTGAAAACTGGCACAAGACAGGGATGCCCTCTCTCACCACTCCTATTCAACATAGTGTTGGAAGTTCTGGCCAGGGCAACCAGGCAGGAGAAGGAGATAAAGCGTATTCAATTAGGAAAAGAGGAAGTCAAATTGTCCCTGTTTGCAGACGACATGATTGTATATCTAGAAAACCCCATTGTCTCAGCCCAAAATCTCCTTAAGCTGGTAAGCAACTTCAGCAAAGTCTCAGGATACAAAATCAATGTGCAAAAATCACAAGCATTCTTATACACCAATAACAGCCAAACAGAGAGCCAAATCATGAGTGAACTCCCATTCACAATTGCTTCAAAGAGAATAAAATACCTAGGAATGCAACTTACAAGGGATGTGAAGGACCTTTTCAAGGAGAACTACAAACCACTGCTCAAGGAAATAGAAGAGGATACAAACAAATGGAAGAACATTCCATGCTCATGGGTAGGAAGAATCAATATCGTGAAAATAGCCATACTGCCCAAGGTAATTTATAGATCCAATGCCATCCCCATCAAGGTACTAATGACTTTCTTCACAGAATTGGAAAAAACTACTTTAAAATTCATATGGAACCAAAAAAGAGCCCGCATCACCAAGTCAATCCTAAGCCAAAAGAACAAAGCCAGAGGCATCACACTACCTGACTTCAAACTATACTACAAGGCTACAGTAATCAAAACAGCATGGTACTGGTACCAAAACAGAGATATAGATCAATGGGACAGAACAGAGCCCTCAGAAATAATGCTGCATATCTACAACCATCTGATCTTTGACAAACCTGACAAAAATAAGCAATGGGGAAAGGATTCCCTATTTAATAAATGGTGCTGGGAAAACTGGCTAGCCATATGTAGAAGGCTGAAACTGGATCCCTTCCTTACACCTTATACAAAAATTAATTCAAGATGGATTAAAGACTTACATGTTAGACCTAAAACCATAAAAACCCTAGAAGAAAACCTAGGCAATACCATTCAGGACATAGGCATGGGCAAGGACTTCATGTCTAAGACACCAAAAGCAATGGCAACAAAAGCCAAAATTGACAAATGGGATCTAATTAAACTAAAGAGCTTCTGCACAGCAAAAGAAACTACCATCAGAGTGAACAGGCAACCTACAAAATGGGAGAAAATTTTTGCAACCTACTCATCTGACAAAGGGCTGATATCCAGAATCTACAATGAACTCAAACAAATTTACAAGAAAAAAAACAAACAACCCCATCAAAAAGTGGGCAAAGGATATGAACAGATACTTCTCAAAAGAAGACATTTATGCAGCCAGAAAATACATGAGAAAATGCTCATCATCACTGGCCATCAGAGAAATGCAAATCAAAACCACAATGAGACACCATCTCACACCAGTTAGAATGGCGATCACTAAAAAGTCAGGAAACAACAGGTGCTGGAGAGGATGTGGAGAAATAGGAACACTTTTACACTGTTGGTGGGACTGTAAACTAGTTCAACCATTGTGGAAGTCAGGGTGGCGATTCCTCGGGGATCTAGAACTAGAAATACCATTTGACGCAGCCATCCCATTACTGGGTATATACCCAAAGGACTATAAATCATGCTGCTATAAAGACACATGCACACGTATGTTTATTGCGGCACTATTCACAATAGTAAAGACTTAGAACCAACCCAAATGTCCAACAATGATAGACTGGATTAAGAAAATGTGGCACATATACACCATGGAATACTATGCAGCCATAAAAAATGATGAGTTCATGTGCTTTGTAGGGACATGGATGAAATGGAAACCATCATTCTCAGCAAACTATTGCAACGACCAAAAACCAAACACCACATGTTCTCACTCACAGGTGGGAATTGAACAATGAGAACACATGGACACAGGAAGGGTAACATCACACTCCGGGGACTGTTGTGGGGTGGTGGGAGTGGGGAGGGATAGCATTAGGTGATATGCCTAATGCTAAATGACGAGTTAATGGGTGCAGCACACCAACATGGCACATGTATACATATGTAACAAACCTGCACATAGTGCACATGTACCCTAAAACTTAAAGTATAATAATAATAAAATTAAAAAAAAGAGTTTGATTTTTAATCATTTATTTATTTATTTATTCATTTATTTATTTTGTGGAGATGGAGCCTCGCTCTGCCACCCATGTGGGAATGCAGTAGCGTGATCTCAGCTCACTGCAACCTCAGTCTCCCGGGTTCAAGCGACCCTCCTGCCTCAGCCTCCTGAGTAGCTGGGATTACAGGCATGCGTCATCTCGTCTGGCCAATTGTTGTACAGTTTTAATAGAGGTGGGGTTTCACCATGTTGGCCAGGCTGGTTTTAAACTCCTGACCTCAGGTGATTTGCCTGCCTTGGACTCCCTAAGTGCTGGGATCACAGGCGTGAGCCACCACGCCTGGCCTTAATTATAATTATTTCTTAAATCTGACCTGTTTCCCCCACTGCCATTGACATGTTTAGTTTCAGGCATATCTTGTTTTTCCAACTCAGTTAACATGGTAGCATCTATTTATTGGTGACATGGTAGTATTTATTTATACCATTTATGTAACATGATAGCTGATATGATATGGCCCTGTCCCCACCCAAATCTCATCTTGAATTGTAGCTCCCACAATTCCCTTTGTGGGAGAAACCTGGTGGTAGGTAATTGAATCATCGGGGCACGTCTTTCCCATGCTGTTCTCATGATAGTGAATAAGTCTCAGGAGATCTGATGGTTTTATGAAGGGGAGTTTCCCTGCACAAGCTCTCTTGTCTGCCACCATTTGAGACATGTCTTTCACCTTCCACCATGATTGTAAAGCCTCGTGAGCTACGTGGAACTGTGAGTCCATTAAACCTCTTTCTTTTGTAAATTGCCCAGTCTTGGGTATGTCCTTATCAGCAGCATGAAAATGGACGAATACAAAAACATTTATTTGCTTGCTTCCATTATGAATCCTATTACTGCCATCCAATTTTTAATTTTACTTTAAGCTTCTTGATGTCAGTCTCCTAGTTAAAAAGAGCAAGACTTTAGGACAAGTCCCAGATGTTGTGCATATCTCTTTAGCTCACATTCGTTTGGCAAGATCTTTCTAATCCAACTATCTGCAAGGGAGCCAAGGAAATGCAGCTTCAAGCTGGCAGGTCATGATGCCACCTAAAACATGGGGACTCTATTACCAATGGGGAGAATGGGAGAAAGAATGGTCTTTACCTATCCCTGCTCACATATGTGGATATGCATTCATATGTCCTCCTATGCCCTAGAAGGTGGAGGTAGGACACCTTTTGTAGGTTCAGAGCAGTTCTCACAGGATATGAGATGCCCTGAGTACATGTAGGTTCCTGGGAGTCCTCAGACCCACAGACTTAGCTTGTTTGCCATGACAGTGTGGGCCCAAAACACTGATTTTCTCTATCCTCCTGCTACTTCCTCTTCTTTTCCTCTCTCTGCCTCAGACTTTCCCATTAGGTGGCCCAGTTTCTTCACAGCTGATACTACAGTAAGTGTATTCTTATTTTACTGATGCTTCTTTCAGTTTTGACAGTGGTTGGCTGCTTGAGTAGGAGTAAAATTTTTCCTATTCTTCTTGTGGGTAGTTGAGCTCTTAAACCTGTTACTCCCACCTCAAGCATGACCTTCCAAAACATGAAATTGTTTTAACCAGCCAGATTGTCTGGCACAGAGAGTGAAAGAACTGCATTGTACCTAATAAAAAGATTTCTGATATGTAACAAAAGTGGTCCCTAATGTGGATTTCACTGACCTATACCTAAAAGCTAGCTAATATATTTTCTTTTATTAAACTTCTCAGCAGCAGAGTCTACATTTTGTCAATAACAACAACAACAACAACAACAAAAAAAAAAAAAAACAGTGAACTTGAAGGTTTTACTATCTCTGGGTATTGTCAAAACAGCATTTTCTCCACTTTATTCTCACTTGCTAAGTTTTCATTGCACTAAATTCTATTTCCTTTGAAGTTCATGTAGCATCATTTTCTTTAAAAGAGGTTGACTGAGAAAGATTAACTTAGTCTGTTTTTCTCTCCTGCTAACCTACATCTTCATAAGCCATAAAAGCCTAGTCTAACATCACCACAATTGAACTTTTGTGTGTGTGTGTGTGTGTGTGTGTGTGTGTGTGTGTGTGGCTAAAACACAATTTGAAGCAGAACAGTATTTTCCTACAAAGGAAAATAGCCAAGAGCTTAGCCTCTGAAGTCACAGTGCCTGGCTTCCAATCCTGGGTATTATTGTGTGTACTTAAATGTTTTATTTGAAATTTCTGTCTTTGTTTTATCTTGGTAGAAAGGAGATGCAGGCATTACATGCCTCATAGAGTGGTTGTGTTAAAGAAAAATTATTCTCATGCTTGTTAAAACTGTAAGGAAGACTTTATTCAAGACTATTGCAATAGGGGTCATGACTGTCACAATAGTGGGGAGCAACTGAGCTCCCTCTGACTACCGCAAAAGCAGCTGGGATTTTATAGCCAAAGAACAGAGTGTAGGGGACAGTGAATGGAAAATTACTAAGAGGAGAGATCAAGGGTAGGGGCATTCTTGCTTAATGTTCTAAAAGAATTTTTGTTAAAGGTAGGCCAGGGATTTATACATCAAAGGTAGGGGATAATGAATTTGATCAGACATTAAGGGAGATCGTGTATTAAGGGTTGGGAGATTCTTGCTAAATGGAGTTAACAAGATTCTTGCTTAACTGGGCTAGGCTGAGATAGGCTGGGCCAAGGTCCCAGTTCAGAAGAGGGCTCATGGTAACCTGACCAAAATTTGATCAAGGAGAAAATCTTTGTCAGTAGTGAGGCTTAAAGAAGATATTCATATAACCACAGTAAATCAGTCCTTAGCACATTATAAAGGCTGATTAAATGTTAGTCAATATTATTATTATTACAATTAACAATGATTACTTCTCTCTCCATCTTGTGAGTCTGTACAGATTGGGGAATTAATTCAATTCAAATTTCAAATTGAATTAATTCAACTCAAATTTCAAATTGAATTAATTCAATTCAAAATTCAGAGCAAATGCTATTAAAGCATCCTCTGAGTTTGACAGGACTAGCACTGCCTTTAAGTTTTTCTTTGTCTAGTCTGGTTCCCCTGATAGGATGGTGTGATAGAAGATGGGATCTGTGGCCACTTGGTGTTTGGAAGCTGTATCTGAAGACCTGGATG
The DNA here is from genome assembly GCF_000001405.40 of Homo sapiens. Lineage (NCBI taxonomy): Eukaryota > Metazoa > Chordata > Mammalia > Primates > Hominidae > Homo > Homo sapiens. Next base: position 44,548,418 of record NC_000014.9, on the reverse strand, counting down.
TGAAAGGGACCCTTATCTGCCAATGGAAGATGCTAAAAATTAAGTCTTGAAGGAGAGTGTTGAAGGCAAGCCAAAAACATGTCCAAGCCTGGTCATGTAAGAGGAAATAAAAGGAGCTTATATATGGGATTGACTTGGTGTTACAGGACTTCCAGCCCAGAGAAAGTGAAGTGGCCAGTTTGGGCAAATATTTAAATTCCACAGCCAGCAGATCTTAGGATGTGGTTTATACATATTCAGAAAGAGCAGATGTAATACAGTCTAGATTTATTTAAATGGGAATATAAAAAGACAAATACTACTAAATTACCTGATTGCTGAAATAGAACCAAATTTTCAGGCTGGGGTACCCGAAGCCCAAAAGACATGGTGAGTTACCTTTTTTGCTACCATGTTTTTGTGGTTCTAACTCTTCTTACAAATCTGGGAAATATGCCTTCCAGAAAAGTCGGTACTTCCTCAGTTACAAGCATTCCTTAACTATCAGAAAGTAAAATTTAATAACAAGCAGAAAGCATGATCCAATTTCATTAATGCAACTGTCCATTGCTTCCCTTTCAGGTGAGTTGATGTTTCTCTGCTGTGAGGCATGCCTTCAGATGGCACAGGTCCTCTTTCTGCACTGTTGTCCTCTGCTTTAGGACACCTGTGTCTCAGTCTCTCTTCACCCAGATCCTCTGTCTATGAAAAGAAAGAGACCTATATATTTTGTTCTACATCCATGTAGAATCATTTTTTAACATTCTATTGAGGTATAACCTACCTACAGAAAACAGCCCATATCGCACGGTGGCTCATGCCTTTAATCACAGCACTTTGGGAGGCCAAGGCATGTGGATCACGAGGTCAGGAGATCGAGACCATCCTGGCTAACATGGTGAAACCCCATGTCTACTAAAAAATACAAAAAATTAGCTGGGCATGGTGGTGGGTGCCTGTAGTCCCACCTACTCGGGAGGCTGAGGCAGGAGAATGGTGTGAACCCAGGAGGCAGAGCTTGCAGTGAGCCGAGATCGCTCCACTGCACTCCAACCTGGGCGACAGAGCAGACTTCGTCTCAAAAAAAAAAGAAAAAGAAAAGAAAACAGCCCACACCATAAGTATACAGCTCACTGGATTTTTACAACGTCAACATGTGTGATCAAGAAGCACCCCGCTCACAAAACAGATATCACCAGCAGCCCAGAAAACTCTCACACATTCCTTGCTAGTCACTAACCATTCCTCACCACTGATGCCTCCATCAAAAGTAACCACACCCTGACTTCTAATAGCACAATTCAATTTTGTTGCTTTTTTGTACTCTATACTAGTGTAATCATACAGTATATAGCTTTGAGGTCTTGATTCTTTTGCTTAACGTGTTTGTGAGATTCATCTATATTGTTGAGTTGCAGGGTGTTTATTCTCATTGCTCTATGTGCTCCATTATGTGACTATACCAGCTTATTATTAAGCTGTCATAGGAACTTTGACATTTCCATAGTATCACAATTTTGAATAGTGCTGCTATTTTGTTTTAAAGAGAATTTAAAGTTTTTGCTATTAAGGGTGGGCAGTATATTTGGAAAGTGGCAGAGTTAATTTTATAAGTGATTTTATTGATAACCTTGGGAAGAAAATATCCACTGCTCTTATCTCTAAAGTATAATCAATCTACCTCTAGTATTTCGATGCCGAGGAAAATGATTATTTGAATACACTGTGTACAAGATTTCATTTGGATTTCCTCCCATTCAATATTACTGATGATTATTCAGCAGCATTCATCAGGAGTTGATTATTGACAGGACATCAATCATTTGTTATAAGAACAGGGTAGACCATGATTTCAAAAGGGAGTTAGAGATTGAACTGGTCACACAGATGTCTTGCCAAATTTCGTTTGAGATATCATAAGAGAAAAAAAAGAACAAGGAAAATATTTGAAAATTTCAAGATCTGTTTTCTGAAAACACATAAAGCTTTACTATTTAATTAATCTCAATTCAAAGCTTTTTTTCCATGGGCTCTGCCAAGGGGACTGTGATAAATGACACATAAAAGTTGCACATACTATGATGTTGATAAAGAGGATTCTATATTATTTAGCCAGATTAGCAGTCTTGCATGTCTGCACACTAAACACTGGTTATCAATGATTAATGGACGACATGCTTGAACAGTGCTCTCCTACTCGAGCTAATGAACTAAATAGTTTATTTCATGCTCCATTTCCACAAATAAATGGCTGTAATACATAATGTGATAATAATTTCTGATTTCTTTGAAGCACATTTTCTTGTCTAAAATGAACAAATTTTTTTAAAAAAATCAAATTTAGTCAAACATTGCATTAATGTGATTTTACATGTTGGATAAATTATGAAATGTTGCTGAAATCAAAATGTTTACACCGAAGGGAATAGAGTTGTTAAAATTAAACAACTTAAAAGGACACCATGAAGAGGTTTAAAAAAGAGCTCATAATAGGCTTTTCTCTTACTTTCATTTCAACTACCTTCTTGGGTAAATTTACATAACTAAAAAGCTATTCTACATATTTTTATGATTGTAAATAAACATTATTATTTCCTTAATCATTATGGTGTATTTCTTATACAGCAGAATTATGATTTAGCTTTCCATATCTAATATTAACTTCAGTGAAGAAGTAGAAGTTGTGTATTTTGTATACAAAAATATACAAAACCTTTATACTGAACAAGAACAATCTATGGGATGTAATACCAGGCCACCCTATTTTTGACTCCTCTCATATTGACTGTCCTCTAAATCTAAACTATGGAGTTAGTTCTTCCCCTGCCCCTGAATGAAAACTTGGGCAGACCCCATAACATCTCTGGTCTCTTTTAGGTAACATAAAAGTTTCAATAGTCACTAGAGATCACAGCATCTCAATATAGCAATTGATGTGATCTTTTCTTTGTAATTATCAAATATCCAAACTTGCTTTAAAATTGAGGCTTCTAATTAGCATTCCTAAATCCTTTTCTTTCTCATCTCATAAACCCTTTTTGTGGCCCTTCAGGTAGAGAGGAGGTAGGAAAAGAGTTCTCTTTCAATTGGCATTGTCATCCTTGTCTGGCACCTGTGCTCTCTTCTGGGTTCAATAGGTGTTTAAAAACAAGTCTATTTCTTGTAAATGCTGGTGATGTTTCACCTAAGACAAGTTTCCTTATAGAGGACAGCATATCTAATTTATACTAAGTCATTTACTTATTTTTTTTAGCACCGTGTAACCCAGCAGTACCTTCAGATTGTTTTTACTGAGATCTATTTTGTACCTCTAGTTAGTTTTTTGGACAGGGCCTAAGATCAATAAAGCCAGCTTTTTCCTCCTGGTTTTTGAAGGGAAATTCATGCATTCTCTGAGGGTACAAGCCATGTGCAACTCAGGAAATTCTTCCTTGCTTTGCCATTAGAACAGCTAGCCAGAGTAAATCATGATGTAGATTGCACAGGTATAAATAGACAACAGACCACTAGGTCCTCCAATTGCAAATGACACGTTAAGTACTCTGAGCCACCGCGCCCGGCCAACATTCTTAATAAATCATAAAAGGCACTTAACACAAAGATGAAAACAACATATTCTATGACATAGGTTTTATCGAAAGTTGGTGGGACTACAACAAACTAAACAGTGTCTGTACAGAAAAAGAAACCATCAATAAAAAGAAAACAGAATGGGGGGAAATATTTGCAAAACCATGTACTGAGTAAAAGCTTAATGTCCAAATATATAAAGAACTCATGCAACTCAGTAGCAATAAAGCCAAATAATCCTATTAAAAATGGGCAAAGAACCTGAATAGATATGTTTTTTCTAAAAAGTCTTACAAATGGCCAACAAGTATAGGAAGAAATGTTCAAAATCATGGATCATCAGAGAAATATAAATATAAATCAGAAATATAAATATAAATCAAAGCCACAATGAGATCTCACCTCACACCCATTATGATGATTATTATAAAAAAGACAAGAGATAACAAGTGATGGCAAGAATGTGGAGAAATGACCTTTAATACTGTTGGTGGGAAGGTAAATTGTTAACAACTGTTTTGGAAAAAAGTATGGAAGTTCCTCCAAAAAATTAAAAATAGAACTACCATATGATCGAGCAATCCTACTTCAGGGTATATATCCAAAAGAAATGAAATTAGTGTCTCTAAAGGATATCTGTACCCCCAAGTTCACAATAGCCAAGATACAAAAATAACCTATGTATCCATCAATAGGTGAATGGATAAAGAAACTGTTGTGTGTTTGTGTGTGTATATGTGTATGTGTGTGTGTATATACATATATTTGTATATGTAATATACACACACACATACATATATACATATAATATATATTATATACATACATATATAATATATACACATACATATATGTACATATACTATACACATATATAATGAAATATTATTCATATAAAAGAAGGAAATCCTGCCATTTTTGACAACATTGATGTAACTGGAGGCAATTATGCTAAGTGAAATACACCAGACATAGAAAGACAAATACTGTATGATCTCACTTATATGTGGAATCTAGAAGAGTTGAACTCACAGAGAAGCAGAGAGTAGAATGGTAGTTGCTAGGGTCAAAACATGGTGACTATAGTTAATACTACTGTACTGTTTACTTGAAATTTGTGAAGAGAGTAGATCTGAAGTGTCTTCACACCCCACCCCCCTGCCACACAAAAAAGGGTAACTGTGTGGTGAGGATGTCTTAATCTGATTATAGTAATCGTTATACAATGCGTATGTATGTTAAAACATGACATCATACATCTTTAATATATATAATTGTTATTTTTAAATTACACCTCAATAAAGCTGGAAAAAAAGAGTCAGATCCATTTTTTGTCTATGAAAGGGTAAGATTTCTGCTTCTAGCCATGATAGAGTAACAGGGACCAGATTTACCCTCCTGCCTTGAATAACAAAAACAAAAACAGACAAAATACGTCAAACAACTGTTTCCAGACCTTTAACAATAAGCAACATAGGACAGAAACTCCTGAGAAAAGGGAAACAAATGGTGAGAAGGGAAAAGCTGAACTCCATGCCTCAGTGTATTATCTTGAGTTTCCAGGCTATAGCAAAAGCTGAAAAAATTAATCATGAACACATGAGCATTATAAGACATGTCGAAGGAATTCTTCAGGCTGAAGTACAATGATATCAGATGGAAATATAGATCTAAAGAGAGGAATAAAGAGCAGGAGAAATTGTGAATATATGGGCAAGCATAGCAGAGTTGAAAGCTATCCCCAAACTCACTTAAGCACAGTACATAGGGATACAGTGATTAACAAAGAAGGAAGGAACCATGCTAAAAACTGTTTTTTGTTGTTTTTGTTTTTTCCTTATCTTTCAACTTTTATTTTAGATTCAGGGGGTACACGTGCAGGTTTGTTACCTGGGCATGCAGTGTGATGCCGAAGTTTGGGTCAGGAATAATTGTGTCATCCAGGTACTGAGCATAGTACCCAAGTTAGTTTTTCAATCCTTGCCCCCTTCCTTCTCTCTCACCTCTAGACCTCCCCAGTGTTTATTGTTGCCATCCTTATGTTCATGAGTACCCAATGTTTAGCTACCACTTATAAGTGAGAACATGTGGTATTTGGTTTTCTGTTCATGCATTAATTCACTTAGGATAATGGTCTCCAGCTGTGTCCATGTTGCCGCAAATACTATGGATGCATAGTATTCCTTGGTGTGTATGTGCCACTTTTTTTTTTTAAATTATAGTTTAAGTTCTAGGGTACATGTGCACAACGTGCAGGTTTGTTATGTAGGTATACATATGCCATGTTGGTTTGTGGCACCTATTAACTCATCATTTACATTAGTTATTTCTCCTAATGCTATCCCTCCCCTGCCCCCCGCCCCATGACAGGCCCCCATGTGTGATGTTCCCCACCCTCTGTCCAAGTGTTCTCATTGTTCAATTCCCACTTATGAGTGAGAACATGTGGTGTTTCGTTTTCTGTCTTTGTGATAGTTTGCTCAGAATGATGGTTTCCAGCTTCATCCATGTCCCTGCAAAGGACATGGACTCATCCTTTTTTATGGCTGCATAGTATTCCATGGTATATATGTGCCACATTTTCTTAATCCAGTCTATCATTGATGAACATGTGGGATGGTTCTAAGTTTTTGCTATTGTGAATAGTGCCACAATAAACATACGTGTGCATGTGTCTTTATAGTAGCATGATTTATAATCCTTTGGGTATATACCCAGTAATGGGATTGCTGGGTCAAATAGTATTTCTAGTTCTAGATCCTTGAGGAATGACCACACTGTCTTCCACAATGGTTGAACTAGTTTACACTCCCACCAACAGTGTAAAAGTGTTCCTATTTCTCCACATCCTCTCCAGCATCTGTTGTTTCCTGACTTTTTAATGATCGCCATTCTAAACTGTTGTGAGATGGTATCTCATTGTGGTTTTGATTTGCATTTCTCTGATGGCCAGTGATGATGAGCATTTTTTCATGTGTCTGTTGGCTGCATAAATGTCTTCTTTTGAGAATTGCCTGTTCATATCCTTTGCCCACTTTTTGATGGGGTTGTTCATTTTTTTCTTGCAGATTTGTTTAAGTTCTTTGTAGTTTCTGGATATTAGCCCTTTGTCAGATGAGTAGATTGCAAAAATTTTCTCCCATTCTCTAGGTTGCCTGTTCACTCTGATGGTAGTTTCTTTTGCTGTGCAGAAGCTCTTTAGTTTAATTAGAACCCATTTGTCTATTTTGGCTTTTGTTGCTATTGCTTTTGGTGTTTTAGTCATGAAGTCCTTGCCCATGCCTATGTCCTGAATGGTATCGTCTAGGTTTTCTTCTAGGGTTTTTATGGTTTTAGGTCTAACATTTAAGTCTTTAATCCATCTGTACCACATTTTTTTATCCAGTCCACCACTGAAGGGCACCTAGGTTGATTCCATGTCTTTCATATTGTGAATAGTACCGCAATGGACGTGAGAGTGCATGTGTCTTTTTGGTCGAACGATTTGTTTTCTTTTGGATGTATACCTAGTAATAGGATTGCTGGGTCGAATGGTAGTTCTGTGAGAAATCTCCAAACTTCTTTCAACAGTGGCTGAACTAATTTATCTTCCCACTGACAGTATGTAAGTCTTCCTTTTTCTCTGCAGCCTCACCGACATCTATTGTTTTCGACTTTTTATTAATAGCCATTCTGAATGGTACGAGATTGTATCTCATTATGGTTTTGATTCACGTTTCTCTGATAATTAGTTATGTTGAAAATTTTTTCTTTTATGTTTGTTCGCTGCTTGTATTTCTTATTTTGAGAAGTGTCTGTTCATGTCTTTTGCCCATTTTTAATGGGGTTATTTGTTTTGTGCTTGTTCAATTATTAAAGTTTCTTATGCATTCTGGATATTAGATCTTTGTCAGATGCATAGTTTGTGAATATTTTCTCCCATTCTGTAAGTTTTCTGTTCACTCTGTTGATAATTTCTTTTTCTGTGCAGAAGCTCTTTAGTTTAATTAGGTCCCACTTGTCAATTTTTGTTTCTGTTGCAATTGCTTTTGAGGACCTAGTCATAAATTCTTTCCCAAGGCCGATGTCCAGAATGGTGTTTCTTAGGTTTTTCTTCTAGTATTCTTATGATTTGATGTCTTACATTTTAAGTCTTTAATCCATCTTGAGTTAATTTTTGTATATGGTAAAATGTAGGGCTTTAGTTTCATTCTATATATGGCTAGCCAGCTATCCCAGCACCATTTATTGAATAGGGAATTCTTTCCCCATTACTTATTTTTGTCAGCTTCGTCAAAGATCAGATGACTGTAGGTGTATGGCTTTATTTCTGGGTTCCGCATTCTGTTCCATCGGTCTATGTGTCTGTTTTTGTACCAGTACCATGCTGTTTGGGTTATGGAGTAGTATGAAGTCAAGTGTGATGCCTCTGGGTTTGTTCTTTTTGATTAAGATTGCTTTGGCTTTTCAGGTTCTTCTTTTTTCTTTTGATTCCATATACATTTTAGCATAGTTTTTAGCAGTTCTGTGAAAAATGACATTGGTAGTTCGATAGGAATAACATTGAATCTGTATATTGATTTGGGCAGTATGGGTATTTTAATGATTATTTTAATCCATGCACATGGGATGTTTTTCCATTTGTTTCTGTTTTCTACAATTTCTTTTAGCAGTGTTCTGTAGTTCCCTTTATAAAGATCTTTCACCTCCTAGGTTAGATGTATTCCTAGGTATTTTATTTTATTTTTTCTGTCTATTTTAAATGAAATTGCATTCTTGATTTGGCTCTCAGCTTGAACTATATTAGTGTATAGAAATGCTACAGCTTTTTGTACATTGATTTTGCATCTGAAATCTTCATAAAGTCATTTATCAGTTATAATAGCCTTTTGTCAGAGTCCTTTGGGTTTTCTCTGTATAGAATTATATCATCAGTGAAGAGAGATAATTTGACTTCTTTTTCTATTTGGATGCCTTTTATTTCTTCCTCTTGCCTGATTGTCTTGCTAGCACTTCCAGTACTATGTTGATTAGGAGTGGTGAGAGTGGACACCCTTGTCTTATTTCTAGTTCTCTGGGAGAATGCTTCTACTTTTGGTTCAGTCAGTATGATGTTGCCTGTGGGTTTGTCATAGATGGCTCTTGTTATTTTGAGGTATGTTTCTTTGATGCCTAGTTCCTTAAGGGTTTTTATCATTAAGGATATTTTGAGGTACGTTTCTTTGATGCCTATTTCCTTAGGGGTTTTTATCATTAAGGATGTTGGATCTTTTTGAAAGGGTTTTCTGTATCTATTGAGATAATCATATGGGTTTTGTTTTTATTTTAGTTCATGTGGTGAATTATATTTATTGATTTGCATATGTTGAGCCAACTTTGCATCTCAGGAATGATGCCTGCTTTGTCATGATGAATTAACTTTTTGATGTGCTATTGAATTCAGTTTGCTATTATTTTGTTGAGGATTTTTGTGTCTATGTTTATCAAGGATATTGACCGACCTGTAGTTTTCCTTTTTTGTTGTGTTTTTTTCCAGGTTTTTTTTTTATCCTGGTGATGCTGACTTTGTAGAATGAGTTAGGGAGGAGTCTCTCCTCCTCAATTTTTTTTTTAAATAGTTTCAGTAGAATCAGTACTAGCTCTTTTTTGTATGTCTGGTAGAATTCAGCTGTGAATCCATCTGGTCCAGGGCTTGTTTTCATTGATAGGTTTTTAAATTACTGATTCAATTTTGGAACTCGATATTGGTCTGTTCAGCATTTCAATTTCTTCCTGATTCAATCTTGGGAGACTGTGTTTCCAGGTATTTTTTCATTTCCTCTAGATTTTTTAGTTTGTGTGCATAGAGGTGTTCGTAATAGTTTCTACAAATCTTTTGTATTTTTGTGGGATCAGTTGCAATGTCACTTTTGTTATTTCTGATGGTGCTTATTTGGATCTAGTCTCTCTTTTTTTCTTTGTTAATCTAGCAAGTGGTCTATTCATGTTGTTTATCCTTTCCACTTTTGGTTTTGTTGATTCTTGTATCAATTTTTTGGGTCTCAATTTCATTCAGTTCTGTTCTGATTTTCGTTATTTACTTTCTTCTGCTAGCTGTGGGATTAGTTTATTCTTGTTACTCCAGTTCCTCTAGGTGTGATGTTAGATCATGCCTAACAAGTCTTTAGGAAAACTGACAGATTGCATTGCACTAAAGTAGCCAAAATTTTCAAACCAATCTTCATATCTACAAAGTGTTTTAATACTATCCATGCCCACCCAGAAGGACAAGATCAACAATAATGAAAACTGAAGTTGAAGAATTTGGTAACATTGAAATATTCATTACTTTTGAGCCCTGTGTCCTACATGCTTAAGAAGAAAAACATAGCAAAAATTTTTTGTTGTATATTTTTAATATGTTGCCCAAACATAGTGGATATTGGAAAAGCACTTTAAGCATTTCGGGAGACAACTGGAGTCTATTGGTTTGCCTGGAACACAGATTGGAGAGAAGGAGTTATTTTTTGGTCTGGGAGTAAGTGTTGTACAAAGGGAAAGAACTCAATGCAGGTGAACTTCATGGTGCTCAGTGCAGACAGGACTCCTGGTGCCTTCCAGAAACATCTTTACTTTTCCTTAATATAACAAAATAAATAATGTCATCTTTGAAATACTAAAATTATAGATGATCGTGTAAGGCAACAAATTTTCTTTACAGTAAAGTTAATGTATTTATTGAAGAAAAGGATACGCTTTCTAAATCTTAACATATATGAATAATTAGTATTTATTTTTATATAAAAATTTTCAGTTGTGTAAAATTTAATTATACTAACATGGTATACAGTTCTTCAGACATTTGAAAAAGGCTCATTCAAAATACTTCATGGAAAGCAATTCCACATATATTGCCTCACATATATTTGAAACTGTCCTGTTAAATTAAATTTGGCTTAGAGCTGCCTCTCTAAGTAGCAAAAAGCAACCTATCTTAGTATGTGAACAAACTGTAACCTAACTTAAGAATATATTCTTGTAACAAGTAGGTGAGTCTTAGCCAATCATAGCAGCTGAGCTTCAGCCAATCACAGACTGCCAACAGCCAATCACAGACTGCCAACTGATCAGACCATGTCCATATAAAGCAAATGCCTCATCACACCAGGCCCAAATGTGGAGCTATAATCAACCAAGCTCTTTATGTACATTACTTCCTTTTTCTGTCTACAAATATTGCCTGCCTACACTGACGGGTGGAGCTAAATGATCTTCAACTTGTTCAATGTGCTGCTTGATTCATGAGCTTTGCTTAAATAAACTCTGCTAAATTTAATTTGTCTGAAGGTTTTCTTCTAAATATAGATCATATTAACCTTTCAGAGTATTAGTGATTACTTTCTCACAAATATCAATTTTGGAAAATTAGGAATTTCAAGTCTAGAAATATTTCAAAACAAAGTAGTAGACATTATAACAAATGTTGAAAACTTGTTTTAATTTGAATTTTTCCTTTGAATTACTGAATTCTTATGCAACCACAATATTTTGATAGCCATTTTTTTTTGTTTCTTTTTCTGGCTAGCTTGTGATATCCTGGACAGCAGGGCATCTTACTCATTCTTACATTTCCAGCGCCTCCTATAGTGTTTCTTAATACATAATAGAAAATAAAAAAGATCTTTTGGCAAGATCAGTCATTTTGACTTTGATCTTATTAGTCTGCACATAGTCTCTATCAGTAGCATCATTATGGAATAAGATGAGTATTAACAATTAGATATTTAGAAAATCTGATTACATTGTAACTGTGAAGGATGTAGGAAGAACACTTTACAATATGAGGCTGAAGGAAGCAGCATCACCAGTTCATCAAGCTAGGTCAATATACAGACACAAGGCATTTAGATGTAATTCCTTCTTTTTAAAGCATTGGAATAAACACTTGGAGTAAGATAATTGGCATGTTGAAAATCAACCTCAATATGCTTAAAGACACTGATTTCTAGACAACTCAATGATATTAATAAAACAAGTATTAAATGAAAGTGTTTTGCATTGTACATTGTGAAATTTTTTCCTTTTCATGACAATTTTACATGAAATGTTGAAATAACTGTTCGGCTCTCTTCATCACTGTAACACTTACGTGATTACAGGAAGTTTCTTCTTCAGATAAATGTCTTGTTTTAGTCATTTACTTTAGGAGAAAAGTATATATGTTTAAATGGGTGTAAATTGTATAATCCTTGACCATCTTTATTATACTGAGTAGGCTAAGCATACACAAATCAGAAGAACAACAGGGCGCCTGGGCAATGGATTTTGCTCTGTCTCTGAAAATAACTTCACATAGTCCTCTCTCTTTATCTAAAAAACTGAAAACATACATTTAGTATAGTTTTTATAACAAAGGAGATTTACTCGCTTAGATAAAAGTAAATAATATATACATATTTTTCTTTTTTTGTTTTATGATTAATATTTCAATTAATTTTGAAAAAGTTATCACGTTGTGTGTCCTGGTCTCTGGAGTCAATTTACCACACACAGTTGGGAAGAAGGGATTGTTAGACAATTATGTTCTCATTGGCTTCTCCACTAGAGTTTTAATAAACGATCCAGCAGGCAATAAAAAAGTCATTTCTAGTTATTGATAAATGTTTGTGTAGTAGACAAATACCCAGAAGGCAGAATAGCAAATTAAGAAAAAAATCCTTTGAACAGACCAGTTAGCAATAGGGCTTTTAAAAAAATTTCAGCTCCATTTAGAGGAAAAGTGTGGATTTATACCATAGGATTGAATTGGGTCTTTGGTTTTTGTGTTCATAAATTTACGTCTCACTGACTTTGCTAGTACATTTTCCAAAACAGTATTCATTTATATTGGTTACTATAGAAACTAAAAGTGCTCCATTCCTATGTAGTTCTTTGCACATATTCCCTCCCCTTTCTTGTTTTTCAAGTCTGCTAAATTGCTTTATGTGGCATTTCATGTAGAATAATCTTTGTTTTCTTAAATCTTTCATGAAGCAAAGCTTCATAACTTCAAATGTGTTACTTTATATTAATCTAAATCATAATTTTGATTTGTGAATTTTGCTAAAAAATGACTAACTGAATAAAACAAATGTTTTCTAAATAAAATCTATATATCAGTAGACAGTTTTAGAATAACTCTAAATGTTGCTTTGCTAAACAAAGAAGAAAAAATTAAAAATAATTTTCATAACCAAAGGGTGAATATTTTGTCAAGTATTATAATCAGGTACATACATAGGAAGCAGTTATTGAGTAACTATTGTGGGCCCAGTTTGTGATGCGCTTGAGGGAATACCAAGACTTGGAAAATGGAGTTGTCTTCAAGGTTTTTACAAATCAGTTCAAATGTAGAAATAATAAGCTGTAGAAATTAAATTTTTAAGTCCTGTCACTTGAGAAATCTGCAGAATATGTGTGCATGTTACACAGTGATTAAATACACTGATGAGCCACTTTTTTCTCTTCTGTAAGGTTAGTCATATGCATCTGTAAGACATGTCCTCCCCACCAATATTTCTTTTCCTATATCAGTTTTAATTCCAGGTTGCTTCCCTTTCCTGTATCATTCTCCCAATAATATTAAGGCAGCATGTAGAGCTGAATGAGAATGTTGAACTCAGTATCTAGGAAACCAGAAATTTAGCCCTATACTGTCACTATGTAGCTGTGAATCTGTGTGCCCTTGAGTAAAGTCACTTTCTTTCGCTCTACTTCATTGTTCAAATCAATAACGTGAGAGATTAGATGAGGGTTCTTTAAGATCTTGTGTCATACTAGGAAACTAATTTTGATTCTGTTATCCTAAAAATCTATTTTTTGATACTATTGTGGCATTTTGGACTTCTACGTGATCTATATAAAGTACATGTTGGAAGTCCCTGAAGTCCCTTGAAATTATGCTGGGAATGACAGCTGAGTAAGAGAGCAGAGACAGACCTTTTAGTGTGGGTCACCTTGAGGTTTCAGTGTGTTGACAAGTATGCAGAATGGCCACATTTTAAGGGCTGTTTTCCAATATGGTAGGACCTCTGAAAAGTGGCCTTGTGATTGGGCCATTAGGGATCCACTATCTAGGTACTTTGTGGTTTAACTAGTATATTGCTCTACCAAAAAGCCTTTTTTTATTTGGAAACACCAGAAGCTCAGAATCCATCTACTGTTTTACATATACAATGTGAAAACATCTTAGTGTCTACAACATATTTTCCCTAAAGCCTTATTTTAGTTTTCAGTAGATATATTCACCCTCTTAGCAACTGTCAAATGTTTGAGAATTATTGGACTAATACTAGGTTTGCCTATGTCTTCACTCTCATTGTGAATGTATATTGTTTCAGTTTTACAATGTTATTATGAGCAATAACACTGTAGATGTGAAAACATTTTGTAAACTAGACAGTGTTATAGAAATTATATTATTGCTCATAATAAATGTTTTGGTGTTTTTACCGTCAGAAAACTATTATCATTTTTGTTTGTTTGTTTGTTTATTTCTTTTTTGAGACAGAGTTTCGCTCTTGTTGCCCAGGCTAGAGTGCAGTGGCGTGATCTTGGCTCACAGCAACCTCCGCCTTCCAGGTTCAAGCAATTCTCCTGCCTCAGCCTCCTGAGAAGCTGGGATTACAGGCATGTGCCATCATGCCCGGCTAATTTTGTATTTTCAGTAGAGACGGGGTTTCTCCATGTTGGTTAGGCTGATCTTGAACTCCCGACCTCAGGTGATCTGCCCGACTTGGCCCCACAAAGTGGTGGCATTACAGGCGTGAGCCACTGCGCCCGGCCTTATCATTCTAATCATAGCGTTTTTACTTTTAGTAAAAGTAAGGTAATAAGTGGCAAATACTTCTTTCACACTTCTATGTCTTTCTCTAAATTGCATCCACTATCATCTACAGTGCAGTATTCTCAGCCTCTTTTCTGAATGTGGCTTAAACCTGACTCTCCTTTGAAGACTTTGCCTCCCTCTCAGAGTTCTCACGGTTAGCTGTTTTCTCTTTTATATCCCTCATATCACTGGCCTGGAGTTCAGGTCTTCTTTGTTCCTCATTACCGTTTCCATACCTTTTATGTCTTCTTTTACCGTAACCACACTCTCCCTCCTCCCAGTCTAGGCTCATTGTAGTCTGTCATTATATGATACCACTCTTTAACAATATGGAACTTATTATACACCAGATATTATTCTAAGCACTTTATAGATACCCATTTATTTAATCTTTACAGCAATTCCATGAAGTTGATATTTTTGTCACCATTATCTGCATCTGACGCGTAAAGTAACTGAGGTACAGAGAGGCTAAGTAACTTGCCTGAGATCATAGGTTTAGTAAGAAGCAGAGATAGGACTCAGGTGCTGGCAGTGTGGCTCTACTGCTCATGCTTTATCTACACAGCCTCCATCTCTACTGCTTCTGCACCCATTTCTCTCCACCCCATCACTGATTTATTTTCCTTCAAAGCATTTTTTACCACCTCAAATATTAAATATTTGTCTATTTATTTATTATTGGCCTCACCCTACCAAAATGTCAACCGCAAAAGTGGAGACTTTGTTATTTTGTTCAGTGGTCACCAGTGCCCAGAATATAGTAGGCATTTAAAAATGTTTGGTGAGTGAATGAATGAGCTAAACAGTATACCATGTGTTTCTTTGCTTGAACTGAGACACTGCAAACCCACCTTTCTGCTTTGCAGGCAGGCTGGTTCTCTGTTAGGGTTTGCCAATAGGGGCAACTAGAAGTTTGCAAAGATAGAGGAGGTAGGGGTACTCATGCCTGCTCCCTTCAGCATTTCCCCAGCAAAGTTTCTTTATCTCAGAAGCAGTGTCAGTTCTTTCCATAGCTGCTGTGGATATCAGATTGCAGTTTTTCTAACACTCATGTAACCAGCCTTATTATGACTACTCAGGGACACCAGAGCTAGCTGAACACTGCCCCTTCCTCAGAGATCTGAGTTCAGTTCCATGGGTCCCTTCTCCAAGCATCTAAGTTTTATCATTACAACCTTTCCCCCTTTTTATTCCCAGCTCCTGGAGGTGGTAGCTGCTCTTTGTATGACTATCTCAATGATTTCTTAATATTCCTTTTTGTCTTTTCAGTTTTCCAATTAAGGATAAAAAATTATCCTTAATAATTTTTTATGTTATATTCTCTGTGTTAATAACTGGTATGGGTTTTCTCTCCTGTCTCCCAACCAATACAAAGCTGGTATTAGGAGTAGTCTCAGGAAACAGACCTTCAAAGATGAGATTTGGGGATTGCATTGGTTGTATGCTTGAGCTTGAATACAGTACTGAGTTCTGTGCAAATGTGTAATGAGATATTAGTAATATATGGTATATAGTGTCATCAGGATTAATAAAATTTTCATCTGCTGTTAACTGTGTGGAAGTGCCTAATAATCAAGTGCATTGGTAGTGCTGACCATTATGGAAGTGATGACGACTACAAGCACTGTGGTATGGAATGCTTTTCTTTGAATGCACTGGAGCACTCAGAGAAGAAATTCAAACCCAGGTCTTTAAGCTCCCAGCCAAAGTCATTATCAGAGAACCAGAGAGCTGCTTAAAAAATTCCTTGTTTCTTATAGCTTACTGAAAATCAGGCACAAAATTTAATTGTGCAGGTTGCAGAATTACAACATAAGTTGCAATCTTGCCAGATCTCTTATGTGATAGAGAATTGATTGGAAAAGAGTGAAACCTTGAGACTTGGAGTAGAGACATCTGAGTGGATTCATACTTAGCATGAGGTTTAGTCAATGGCTATTTCCATGAAAACTAATATAAATCAGAAGGCAAAACAATAGTGCTTTAAATGATTAATAGTAAAACTGCAATATACATTAATGTTCTTTAGTAGAGGGATCCTATCCAGGAGTGGTCAGTCCATATGTCAAATTGTCTCTGCCCAATGAGTCACTGGAAATGGGAATGTTTGAGTCTGTCAACACTGAAAAATGGTGTCAGTGGGCTGTACTGGTGGGAACCATTACTGAAAGCTCTCTTGTGATTCATGGCGTCTGACGTGCTATAGCAGCCAATCTGCTTGTCATCAGCAGCTGTCAGAATGCCTCCCTGCTTCATTGCTCACATCTATATGTGTAAAACTCCTAGTTTTGCTCCTCCAATAAGTCACTGTTTTACTGTTTTATACCACATTCTCATTCATTCTGAGTTGAAAGAGCCACAGTCTGCACCAGCTGCTTCATGTGCAGGTACAGAGTAAGGCCCCAGTGATGAAATCTTTTCTTGGAATAAATACGTGGTGGGGAGTTGTAATGTTGAGTGTATGGTAATATCAACCCATGAGAGAAGAATTATAATAATTAAATGGATAGACCTTGGAATTAGAATAGTTTTGAAACCTGGTTTAGGTACCCACTAGCTGGGTAAATTTGGGCAAGTTAACTAAACTCTCGGACTCAGTTTCTTTATCCGTAAAATAGCAATAATAATACATTTATAGAATTTCATAAGGATTAAATGAAATAATGGAACAGTCAATGTAGTGGTTTCCTATTGCTGCTTTACCAAACTACTACAAATTTCATGGCTTAAAACAGCACAGCTGTGTTCTCTGACAGTTCCAAAGGTCAGAGGTCTGAAATGGATCTTGGCTAAAATCAAGGTATCAGCAGGGCTGCATTACTTCTGGAGGTTCTATGGGAGAATTCATTTACTTTTCTAGATTCTAGAGGCCACCTGTGTTTTCCTTGGCTCATGGCTCCTTCATCCACCTTCAAGGCCAACAGAGAATAGCCAACACCATAGCATCTTCAAATCTCTCACTCTTGTGCCTCCCTTTCCTACTTATAAGGACATTTGGCCCAGCCAGATAATTGAGGATAATCCCCTCATATCAAGGTCATCTGATTAGCAGCCCTAATACTCCTTTGCCATATGCACTAACATATTCACAGATTCTGAGTATTAGGACATGGACATATTTGGGAGGGCCATTATTCTGTCCACCACATTCAAATATTTGTTAAATAATTTATATGATGTGCTTAGTACTGTTCCTGACACATAGTAGGTCATTAATAGAGATTTATTTTTTTAGTACTGCCCAAAGTTCTAAAATATTTCTTTAGATAATTGGAAAAAAGAACATGAGCAATCTGGGAGATTTATGCAGATGATGACTAGTGTATGGATGAATCCATTTATTACTGGATGAGGAGAGCATTAGTCACCTACGGATCGTCCCTGGGGCTGATCTTGGACTCTCTCCTTTTCCAAGCTTTATCTGAATTATCTCACATGGGACAGCCCCTATCCTTTGAGCCTTCTTTTTAACAAAAAGAAGCCGACTTTTTAACAAAATCAGTAAATATGTTGTCATTTTTTAAAGTTCCACCAGGTATACATCATTTTGATATTTGTATACATCAAATGACGTATACATCATTTGATATTTGTCTGGTTGAATATAAATGTTAAGCATTTATTTGTTATTGCTAATCCTGCCTCTTAATGTTCTTGCAGATATCTGATGTGCTTAAACTGAGAAATTGCTCTCTAAAAAAACACTTAAGTTGGTCTGGCAAAATTATGTTTTCCTTATTATCTATGTTTCTTATTGTTACATACTGGAAACTCGTATGTTGGTTTAATATTTTAAAAAATATATATACATATATAAAATATTAGAGGTCTCAGTATGTCAGTATGTTTTGGGGCAATTTTCTATGGTATAATAAAACCTTGAAAAAATTGTGCAGTAAGCTATGAGGCTATGTTTATTTGTAGGATCTTCTACCCCTTTTTACCTTGTGTCACCTCTTTCCCTCTTTTAAGGATCTTTAGGGCCTACATGTTTTCTTCCTTCTTTTCACTATCAAAGTCTGCTCTGAAAAAAGGAAAATCCACAGAAATGTCATTTATAAGCTTATTACAAATGTTTTTCTTCTCTGAAGGATATTTGCATGTTAGACTGCATCTCTTATGTAATGCCTTTGCTTCTTATTAAAGAAACTTTCAGCATCAGAATTAGGAGAAGGCTTTTATGTTTACAGTCACATAAATATATGTGTAGAACTAATCCACCATACAGATCTGTGTACACTCTCTGATTTTCACAATCTGGATTCAATCCCATTTTTGGAAACTTAGAAATTTCTATTCTATCTTATTTGATGCAACATTAATATTCAGTCTGCATCAAAATACTTGATTTCAAGTAATGCCTACTTGAAATCTCTGCGGGTTGAGCTTGTTGTGATTTGATCTCTGTTAATTGATTTGGCATTCATTCTGAGGCTGGAATTGGAAAAATTTGTTTTACATAACTCTTTTAAAACAACAGAACACAAACCAGAAGGGTGGTGGTATAGTTGCTTATTTGTATGATTGAAGCAGAAAGCTTATATGTAGTGTTGAGGTGAGGATGCTTTCCAGTTTTTCCAAATGCATCATCAAAATTTTCTCTCAAGTCCCATGGGCTTCACACTTAAAAAGATCTAGCCGTGCACTGAATGCAATATAGTGTAATGTCATGTTGAAATTCAGAGAAGTGGGGATCCTATTTCCTTAGTCTGCCTTTTATTGCTGTCAGTGGTTTTCACTGTGACTCCTGGTGCCAAGTAGTTAGGAACAATGTTATCATCAGAGAGCAGTGTTTGGGTTTTAATGCTTTGTAATGCTAGAGCTGACAAGTCATACTTTTAGAATGAATCTCCAGAGTCATGTGCTATGCCCCATTTGTGTGTGCAGTAGCCTCTATTGTCCATGGAGAGCTTTGACCTTTCAGCAAGAGCTGAGCATGCCCAACATAAGGACTTATGTTGTTCAGCTGAGCTAGAACTTTAATCCATTGTACATTCAGTCCCTTAAACAAAGGATTATTTCAAATGCCTTCATGTGGTAGGAGTATATTTTTTTCTCAATTGCTCTAATGCTACCTTTGTTATGTGTATGTGAGGCTGTGTATTTTCACGAAGAGTTGATGTGGATATTTTTTAACCTACTTAACACGTTGGGGCTATTTAAAGCAAGCAAATGCTGGAAGTTAATTGAGGGGTGCTGTTTCTGTGGGCAAATCGTCAAAGGGTACTCAAGTTTTGGGGTCACATGTAATTTGCATAAAACACAGCTGTACCTCAGATTTTACCATCCTATTGCAAAAATTCTAGTCCAAGACTGCCTCCTTTAGCCTTCTCTTCAGTGAAGACTTATGCAGGGCAGAGGAGTCAGAAGGTGGGTTTATTCTGGATGGGGCAGTGGATTTTTCATAAGTATAATCTAACTCTAATATTGTTTTTATAGAAACTTCTGGTAGATATATTTATGAAAATGATCTGTAGTCATCCACAATCTAAAGTCAGAATTAATAGAAGGGATAACTATATACTTTTAAAGTTCTTTCTCAGCAAGTTCATAATTTGTCCCTGGGGGATTTTTTCTAAGCATTTTTTTTTTCTGAGCATGTTTAAAAACTCTGGTCTTCTTTTTTAATAAAGAATTTTTAATAGCCTTTCAAATTGCTGAATTTGCATTTTCAATAGTTTTCTGCTTGAGCATTTCTGCTTCTATATAATTAGAAAAATTCAAAGTAGAGCTTATACTTTTCAAATTTCTGTCAAAACAATGTTCTATTTAAAACTATATAATGTTAAATAAAAAGTTTTAAAAAGTGTGTTGGACTAAACAGAAATTTTCATCCAAAGGGTTCTTTCAAATTGCTATACATGGAATATTTGAGCCTGTCCATATATCATTTGTCTAAGGAGAAACTGGAGTTAGGAGGAGTTCAATAAGTTACCCAAACAGGTATGAAAATTTTCATTAATAGGTTTGATTAAGTCTGATATTCTCTCAACCAGGAGAGACAATGTTTTAGATTTAGAGATAATCTGGAGGAGTAATTTAATGTTTTATTATATATCCATTTTGTTGACAAAACCACTTGAGTGGTTTTATATATGTTGAGCTTTAAATCTACATATGGGATTTTGTTAAATTCTCTTTAATTTTCTCAGGAGAAATGGAAAAGAGAAAAAATGTTAAATCTGTATAGGGATTGTAAGTCTTTAGATAAAAATAGAAATGTTAAGACCTTATATTGATTATTAGTTGCTGCATACAAGAATGTTTTAGTCCTTTGTGTTGGGCTTTTTTTTTTTTTGGATTAGAAGTAGGTTCTGATTCTAATGTCATAACTTGGTGGTTTGAACTAAGGAGGAGCAGAACCTACCTAGGTAAAAAAATTGCTCTGTGGCCAGGCATGGTGGCTCACGCCTGTAATTCCAGCAGTTTGGGAGGCTGAGGTTGGTGGTTTACTTGAGGTTAGGAGTTCGTGACCAGCCTGGCCAACATGGGGAAAGCCTGTCCCTACTAAAAATTAGCTGGGAGTGGTGGCTTGCACCTGTAATCCCAGTTACTTGGGAGCTGAGGCAGGAGAATCTCTTGAACCTGGGAAGCAGAAGTTGCAGTGAGCTGAGATCGTCCCACTGCAATCCAGCCTGGGCAACACAGCAAAACTCTGTTTCAAAAAAAAAAAAAAAAAAATTACTCTGTAAGCAGTTGAATTCTGGTCACAATCCAGGACTATTTGGTGTGTATCCTTCTTTGTTCACATAACTCATATTCTTTGTAAAAAAGACTAACCTGAGGGCCCAGTGGCAATTATGGCATAGCCCAAATGAATGTACTACATTTGTCTCTATTGCTAAGCAATATCCATCCTAAAAGAGACTTCCTGGATTGTTGAAGCAGGGTTAGGTTAGGAAAGGGAGATGATTGACTGTTGTCACTAAGCTCCCGCTGTCTGACTCCTGTAATGTAGCGTAATAAAAGGCTACATCTATTACATTGATGTAATAGAACTAATACTCAATTTGATTTTCCCATATGGTGCATTAAAAAGAACTGACATAAACTTCCTTTTCACCTCCTTTATTTCTCTAGCTAAATTCTGATTTAATCTGAAATAAATACTATTAATCTAAAACACTTAGACAAAGAGTACTGGTAACTGTGCATTCTTATCTGGGAGTTATAATTTAAATCATATACCAGTGACTTCAAAGTTTATGACATAATAACATCCTCAGATCCCTAAATATGATAAGTGCATCATTCACTGGCTTTGCAGGAAAATGCTCTATTTGTGTAATTTAAGAAGAGTTTAATGAGAACTAGTTATAGATGTCTGAGCAGAGTATAGGGAAATCACAAAGGTTACCTTGAGGCTAGTAACATCATTATCCCTAGGCTGAAAGGGGAAGGAGAATATTGGTTTGGAGGCAAGAAAAAGTGGGAATGCTGTATGGAGAAAGCTAAGTGAGAGGGATCTTATAAAAGCTGTGATGTTTGTCTGAGAGACTCAGCCAGCTCGAAGCAACTCTTCAGTAAAGGAGCTGGGAGAACTTCACTATTCTGCCTCCATCAGATCTCTGCTAAGTGCACCTCATTTGCTGAATCCAATCAAAGTCAGAGAGCACTGCCACTCATTGTTGAGGTCCATTTGGCCCATACTGCTGGGGTAAAATGTAGGGAAAAGAGTGAAGAGAAGATCTATAATAATAAATAGAAGACAGAATAATATTTAATTTAAAACTTGAAGATTCAGAGGCACTCAAATATTTCTGAATGTTTGTGAATAATCATATGAATATTGATTTGAATTGTATACTTTTTTGAAATTATTCTGAATATGTACTAACTTACTGATGTATTCTGGAACTAACTTTATTGAATTAATAAACACACACACATACAGACACCCCTGACATCTTGTTATAGAGGTAAAGTGAGGAATTGTAAAATCATCCACACACAAAAAAACCAATATCCTTCTATCCCAGACTTATTTGCATTTTCTAGATGTTTCTTTTAGTAAAAAAAAAAAGACCAAAACAATATCTAAAAAAACTCTGCCATATATGTATATATATACGTATATATACACATATATATACATATATATACATATATATACGTATATATACACATATATATACATATATATACATATATATACACACATATACACATATATATACACACACATATACACACACACACACACACACACACAGACATATATATATATCTTTTGCCATAAACAATAATAGAAAGAAGGGTGGGACAAAAATTGTTCTGTAGCCTGTGATTAAACAAGGGTTACCAGAATAAGACATTGCAGCCTACACTAACAGTAAAACACTTTTTAGTCTGAGATATTTGGTAACATTGAGACTACACTATCTCAGGATGCTTCATGTCTTTGTTCCTTTGGCTACTACACATGCTAAACTTTGCCTGAAAAAAAATCTATTCTTTTGTTCTGTCAAAGCAAAAAATTGCATCGAAGCAAGCTAAACCAGCAAGGAAGACTTTGTTCAATGCTATTGTAATAAAAGAGAGATGAACACATTGTCTGAACTCAACTTCACTAAAACAAATGACGGGAGGATTTTTGAGAGACAAAGACCTGGGGTGGGGCAAAGCTTAGGTCATCTGTGCTTGCTAATTGGCCTTACCGAAAGGAAAAGTAAATTTTCTCATGTATTCATGACAGAAGGTAGTTTTACAGTTTGGAGCTGAATGTAGTCTTCTATCATCCCACAGAGAATGGAAGATAGGGGCACTATCTTCTTAGGTGACTGCATTTCAAAAGGATGGCTCCCAGGTCCTTGAGAAAGCAGTCCTGGATTGTAAAACTGGCAGGACGCTTTTAGAAAGATTTGCTTTTAGAAAGAAAGATTTATATCTTAGAGGAGCAGGGAAAGAATTTACAATTGCGAGTTTATTTTTTAAATAAATGCTCTAAAAAAACAGGTCCCAGAGAAGAAGCCTATCTGAAATTTAGTCAAGCTGAGGGCGACATAGGCCATCTTGGTCAACTCTCATACTCATTTGATTCCTTTTCTAATCTTTCATTGATCCCATCCAATTCAATCCTTTTACTTTGGGCATTTCCCTAACCCTCACAAAAGATTTCAGACATTGTCAATATACTGATGGCCTGCTACATCCATCTCTGCTTTAACTGAAGGTGCAGCTGACATTGATTCCAGCCTGGCGAGATCCAGATCAGAGGACTCATTTCACCAGTACCATGATCCTTGACCCACAGAAACAGAATAAAATTGGATTGTTTTAAGATGGGCTATTTGTGGTCATTTGTTTTGCAGCATAGGCATTAATACACTTCCTCCTTGTTCCTACAATCATTATAAACACAGAGGACAGAGGAAACTTAAAACTCTTCAATGTTTTTATGTGGCATTTAAAACAAAATAACAATTCTTGGTAGAATCTGTAAGTCGCTGCATCATCAGGCTCCTGTCTACTTGTTCAAGCATATCTCATGCATGCTTTCCTTACTTGGCCTTCCCTCCAGCCACAGCAGTTTTCTTACAGTTTCTAGAACATGGCATTTGCCTCCTAATGTGACTCTTTTTTGCTTTCTCTAATAGAAGCTCTCTCTTACAAACCCCTTCAGCTCCTATTAACCTAGGTAAAGTATATGCTCTCTTCACTACTTAATATACTTTTTAAACTTGATTTTAAACTTGTTTATATATTCAGTTTCTCCCACTAAACTGTAAGGTACATGAAGGCAAGAAGCAATGTCTAGTTTTTTTGTTTCCCTAATACCTAGCAGCAGTCATTGGAATATATAGGTGCTCAAAAATATTTCTTCAGGAAATAATTATTTCAAAAATTCAAGTTTCTTGAAAGTAGAATTGTTGGTAAGTTGTGTGCATATTTTAGAAACTTTATATATTCTACACATAAAAATTGTATACATGTAAGTTGCACAATGTGATGTGTTTTTTGTTTTTTGGGTTTTGTTTTTGAGACAGGGTCTCCCTCTGTCACCCAGGCTGGTGTGCAGTGGCGCAATCTTGACTCCTGTCATCTCTGCCTCCTGAGCTCAAGCGATCCTCCCATCTCAGCCTCCCATGTAGCTGAGACTACAGGCATGAGCCACCATGCCTGGCTTATTTTTAAATTTTTTTGTAGAGCCAGGGTTTCACCATGTTGCCCAGGCTGGTCTCAAACTCCTGAGCTCAAGCCATCCACTTGCCTCAGTTACCCAAAGTGCTGGGATTACAGGTATGAGCCATTGTGTCCAGCCCAATGTAATGTTTTGATATATGTATTATGAAGTGATTATCACAATCAACATATTCATCACCTCATATAGTTACTATTTTTTTGTGGTAAATGCATTTAAAATCTACTCCCTTAGCAATTTCAAGTATATAATACGTTATTAACTATACTTACCTTGTACATTAAATCTACAGAATTTAGAAATTTGATATGTATTTTCAAATTATCCATAATAAAGATTATATCGAGTCAAACTCTAGACAGAAATGTGGGAGATTATCCGTTTACTAGCACTTTATTTTTTGGGTATCTTTAAAATAAATCTTTGCTACTTTTACATTGGAATTATTTTAATTTTTATTTCAGAAGTGAATTTGATCTCTTTCATGTATTTATTGGTCTTATTTTTCTTCTTCAAGTTTTCTATTTATGCCTTTTGTTAATTTTCCTATTGTGTTATTTTTATATTGATTTTGGATATTAAGGCTAAATATGTGAAATTTCACACTTATTTTTCTTAGTTTCTCATATTGCATTTTATTTTTAATGTACAGAGATTTTAAAATTTTATGACTTCTGTCCTCACCCTTCTACTGAAGTTGCTCTTACTATTAATAAAATTACCAATAACCTCTTCATTGTTATAGCAAATGGGCATTTTTTCAGGCTTCATCCTACTTGTTCTATTCGGTTAAAAACAAGGCAATATAGGTCACAGTTTAGATATTTGCCCTATATTAATTCGTAGCATCTCTGCCATCACTAAATCATAGCTTTCAAAGTCATTAGAATTATAAGTAAAATTAAATGCTACTCAGCAAACTTGTTTTGATAAAATTAAATCATCAGGAGGAGGCCTTTCAGCAAATCTCTGTGGTTTTATGATTATAGAAATGGGTCAAACATGGTAATGACAAGCCTGAATAAAAAATAAAGAAACAAACACCAGAGAGTGAGAGTCAGAAGTATAGTGTGTCAGGCAAGAGTCAGAAACATGGGGCTACAAAATGATGTTGTAATAGTTTCCTAGGGCTGCAACAAGAAAGTATCACAAATTGAGTTATGATAACAAATTTATTCCCTCAAAGTCTGGAGGCTAGAAATCCCAAATTAAGGTGGCAGCAGGACCATGGTCCCTCTGAAGCCTCTTGTAGTCCCAGATATTCCTTACTGTGTGGCAGCATAACTCTAATCTCTCAATCTTTACATGCCCATCTTCCTTCTGTGTCTGTGCCCAAATTTTTCTTTCTCTCTCTCTCTTTTTTTTAAGGAGACATACTCCATCAGCCAAGCTGGAGAGCAGTTGCACAGTCTTGGCTCACTGCAAACTCCACCTCCCAGGTTCAAGCAATTCTTGTTTCTCAGTCTCCTGAGTAGCTGGAATGATAGGCACACAATACCATGCCTGACTAATTTTTATATTTTTAGTAGAGACAGGATTTTGCCATGTTGTCCAGGCTGGTCTCAAACTCCTGACCTGAAGTGATCCACCTGCTTCAGCCTCCCAAAGTGCTGAGATTACAGGTGTGAGCCACTGCACCCAGCCCCAATATTTTTCTTCTTATAAGGATACCATTTTAACCTAATTACATCTGTAAAGACCCTATTTCCAAAGAAGGTCATATTCACAGGTACTGGCAGTAGGACTTCAACGTATCTTTTGGGGAAATACAATTCAATCCATAACAGATGTGAACCAAGTGAGGGAGAAAGAGCTGAATCATCTGGGATTTCTAGAACAAAAGATAAAATGCCAAGTCCTAAATTGAAAGAGAGTTTGTGTAATGATTAGTGGGGTCATGTAGATGATTCGAGCAAAAGAAACATATGTATGTCTTAAGAATGGAATGAGAAACTGCTCCATGAAATCTCATTATTCTACTTGAAATCTTAGGTAATTTTTAAAATTATCTATGCATGATATTTTTATGAACAAGCTAATACTAGTAGCAAAAGGCAGTTTACTATGACAGTTTGGTACATGATTAAGAAAGATCAAGTTCTGACTTCCAGTTCCAAAATGGCAGTGTAGAGGCAAGCTGGCTTCCCCTCCCTCTCCTCCATACAGAAAACCAAAAACAAACATGGAACACTAAGATTTTCACCACCAACAACGCAGAGCTCAAGTGTAAAAATGAGAGACAGTTGCTGGGGCTTCAGAAAAGTGGAAAAACTCTGAGTAGATGGTAGGAGAATTGATCTTCCACATCCATAATGCCCCTCCACCCCCATTCTGCCCGGCACCAAGCATATAAAAAATCTCCCCACAACTCATGATTTATACAGTGGAAGAAGTGAAATTGAGGTTCTTGACCAGCTTCTCCACCTTCTTGAGTTCTCATAGGAAGCATCATGACTGCCTGAATAGAGAAATATCTTTGAGGACAGGCAGAGACAATGAGGGGAGCTGGTACTACCATTTCCTAATCCTAGAAACTCTGCTGTGTAACTTGGCCAAAGGAGATGTCAAATCAGAATGACTGTTCAGCAGCAGCACACTGTAGAAGGTATGTTCTTTGGATCCACTGGACAAAAACCCCTAGTCACTCTTCCCACACTGCTGGGATAATCCCTTTGGAACATCCCCCACTTGGGACAGGCAGCACTCTGACCATTTATTATAGCTGAAGTGAACCTGGGTCTAAGATGTCACTCAGCATCAACAAGGAGGCAGTGACCTACAAGATTTGCTAAGCAAACATATTCAGTAAAAGCCCAAACAAGCCAGACAGAGTAAACTAGAATAAATAATTAATTATTCAATAGAAAGACATAGACATATGCCCTCAAGAAACAACAGCAAACAGAAAACCATTACCTCCCCATGAGGACAAAGTAAAAATTAAATGACTGATTCTAACAAGATGGTGATATGTGAGCTCTCTGACCAAGAATTTGAAATACCAATATTAAGAAAACTCAATGAGCTCCAAGGTAACACAGAAAAGAAATTCAGAAATCTAGCAGAGAAATTTAACAAAAAGATTAAAATAATAAGACATTGCTGAAGTGAATACATTTGCTGAATTGAAGCACTCTTTAGAGGCTCTCAACAGCAGAATGAACCAACCAATGAAAAAAATCAGTGAGCTTGAAGGCCAGCTATTTGAAAATACACAGAGGAGGAAAAAGAAAATGAATAAAAGGACTGAAGGCCACCTACAAGACATAGAAAATTATTTCAAAAGACCAAATCTAAGAATTATTGGTGTTCAAGAGGGGGCTGAGCAAGAAGGGTGTAGAAAGTTTATTCAAGTAAATAAGAACAGAAAACTTTCCAAAACTTGAGAAAGAAAGAAATACTACGTACAGAAAGGTCTTAGGGCACCAAACAGATTCAACCCAAATATGGCTACTTATCATAAAGCATATAATAATTAAACTCTCAAAGGTCAAAGACAAACAGATGTCAAGAGCAGCAAGAGAAAAGAAACAACATAGGAAGAAGTTCCAAATTCATCTGGCAACAGACTCCTCAAACCATATAGGCAGGAGGGACTAGAATGACATTTTCACTGTGCCCAAAGGAAAAAAAAAACTGTCATCAAAGAATACTGCAACCAGCAAAATTAACATTTAACTACGAAGGAGAGACATATATATTTTTTTCTCAGACAAACAAAAACTGAGAGAATTCACCAACACCAGACTTGTCTTGCAAGAAACGCTAAAGGGAGTTCATCAGTCTGAAAGAAAAAAGCACTAATGTGTAAAAGAAAACTTTAAGGTATAAAATCCATTGGTTAAATTAAGTAAATGGGAAAATCTAGAGTACTCTATTACTGTATTTGTAGTGTGAAATCCACCCATAAATCTAGCATGAAGCCCAAAAGACAAATAGACAAAGAACAATAATGCTATAGCAACCTGCTAAGAGATAGATAATATAAAAATGTGTACATTGAGACAACTAAAAGTCACAGTGTGGTTGGGGAGAAGGTAGAGTTAAAGTGTAGAATTTTTTTGTGTGGGTTTTTTTACTTTTGTTTCTATTATTTTGCTTGTGATGTAAGATAAGTTGTCGCCTCCTTAAAATAACTTGTTATGTAAATAAGATGTTCTTTGTAAGCCTCATGGTAACTACAGTGAAAAACCTACACTAGATTCACTAAAAATAAAGAAAATTAAAACATACTACCAGATACAACCACTTAACCACAAAGGAAGACAGAAAGAAAGGAAGGAGAAAAGGAAGAGAGGAATCTTAAAATCAGAAAACAAGCCAAAAAATGGCAATAGTAAGTCTTATCAGTAATAACACTGAATGTAAATTGTTACAATTCTTTAATTAAAAGGGGTAGAGTGGCTGCATGGATTAAGAAACAAGACCCACCTAAGTGCTGACTTCAAGAAAACCACTTTACCTATAGAGATACACATAAACTGAAAGTGAAGTGGTGGAAAAGATATTCCATGTAACTGGAAACCAAAAATGAACAAGGGTAGCTACTCATATCAGATAAAATAGTTTACAAATCTAAGACTGTAACAATGACAAAGAAAGTCACTATAAAGAGGTCAATTCAGCAAGACAGTATACAAATCCTAAATATCTATGCATTTAACACTGGAGATCCCAAGTGTATAAAGCAAACGTTAATAGATCTAAAGGGAGAGACAGACTGCAATACAAAAATAGTAGAGGACATTAATACTCCACTTTCAGTAACAGACCGATCATCCAGACAGAAAAGCAACAAAGAAACAGAGTTAAACAATATACTAGATTTAATAGGCCTAACTGATATTTAAAGAACTTTTAACCTAACTGCTGCAGAATACACATTCTTTTCATCAGCATATGGAACATTCTTTAGAATAGACCAGGCTACAAAGCAAGTCTGAATCAATTTAAAAAGATAAAAACCATATAAAGTACCTTTTCTGGCCACAATGGAATCAAATTAGACATCAGTAACAAGAGGAACCTTCGAAAATACACAAACACGTGGAAATTAAACAACATGTTCCGGAACAACCAATGAATCAATGAAGAAATTAAGAAATTTAAAATTTCTTGAAACAAATGTAAATGAAAATACAACAAATCAGCATCTATGGGATATGGCAAAGCAGTACTAAGAAGGAAGTTTATAGCAATAATGCCTGTATGATAAAAGTAGAAAGCCTTCAAATAAACAACCTAATGATGCACTGCAAGGAATTAGAAAGGCAAGAACAAACAAAACCCAAAATTAGTACAAGGAAAGAAATAATAAATATCAGCACAGAAATAAATGAAATGGAGACTAAAAAACAATACAGATCAGCAAAACCAAAAAGGGTTTTTTGAAAAATAAAATCAACAAACCTTTGGCTAGACTTAAAAAAAGGAGATGATTGAAATAAATAAAATCAGAAGCAAGAAAGGAGACCCGACATCCAAAACATCAGCAATACAAATAATTCTTAGAGACTATTATGAAAAACTATATGCCAACCAATTTGAAGACCTGAAAAAACAGATAAATTACTGGACACATAAAACCTGCCAAGATTGAACCATGAAGAAATATAGAACCTCAACAAACCAGTAACAAGTAATGATAGTGAAGCTGTAATAAAAAGTCTCTCATCAAATAAAAGCCCAGGACCTGAGGGCTTCACTGTTGCATTTTACCAAACCTTTAA
Source organism: Homo sapiens (assembly GCF_000001405.40). Lineage (NCBI taxonomy): Eukaryota > Metazoa > Chordata > Mammalia > Primates > Hominidae > Homo > Homo sapiens. The sequence continues at coordinate 44,518,171 of NC_000014.9, read as the reverse complement.
ACAAGAATTAATATCAATTCTCTTTAAACTATTCCAGAAAATAGAAGAGGAGGGAGGACTTCCAAGGTCATTTTACAAGGCCAGCGTTAATCTAATTCCAAAACCAGAGAAGGACACAGCAAAAAAGAAAACTACAGGCCAATATCACTGATGAACAAGATGCAAAAATCCTCAACAAAATACTAGCAAACTGAATGCAACAACACATTAAAAAGATCATTCAGCATGATCAAGTGGAATTCATCCCAGGGATGTAAGGATGGTTCAACATATGTAAATCAATGAACGTGGTATATCACCTTAACTGAATCAGGAACAAAAAGTACATGATCCTTTCAATAGATGCCAAAAAAGCACTTGATAAAATTTAACATTTCTTTATGATAAAAACCCTCATCAAAGTGGATATAGAAAGGACATACCTTAAAATAATAAAGACCACATATGACAAACCCACATCTAGCATTGTGTTGAATGGGGAAAAACTGGAACAAGACAAGCATGCCCACTTTTGCCACCATTATTCAACATAAAACTGGGTGTCCTAGATAGATCAATTAGGCAAGAAAAAGAAGCAGAAAGCATCCACATTGGAAAGGAAGAAGTCAAATTAGCCTTGTTCACAGATAACATGATCTTATACATAAAAAAACCTAAAGACTCCACCAAAAAACTGTTTAAACTGATAAATTCAGTAAAGTTGCAGAAACAAAATAAATATATAAAAATCAGCCACATTTTTATATGCCAGTAATGGACAATCTGAAAAAGAAATCAAGAAAGCAATCCCATTTACAGTAGCTGCACAAATATAAAATACCTTGGAGTCAATCTAGACAATGAAGTGTAAGATCTAGACAAGGAAAACTATACAACTTTAATAAAAGAAATAGAAGATAATACAAAAAATGGAAAGATATTCCATGCTCATGGAGTGGAATAATTAACATTATTAAAATTACAATTCTACTCAGCAATTTATAGATTCAATGTTATCCCTAACAAAATACCAATGATATTCTTTACAGAAATAGAAAAAAAAATTCTAAAATTTGTACGAAACCACAAAAGACCCTGAATAGCTAAAGCAGTCCTGAGCAAAAAGAACAAAACAGGAGGCATCATACTACCTGACTTCAAAATTTACCACAAAGTATAGTAACCAAATAACACAGTACTGGCATAAAAACAGACACATAGGCCAGTAAAACAGAATAGAGAACCTTGATATAAATCCAAGAATTTACATACAATCAAATCATTTTTGAGAAAGACAACAGGAACACACAATGGGGGAAAAGATAGTCTTTTCAATGAATGGTGTTGGGAAAACTGGATCACTATATGCAAAAGAATGAAAGTAGACTCCTATCTCTCACCATACACAAGAATCAAATTAAAATGGATTAAAGACTTAAATCTAAGATATAACACTATGAAACTAGTAAAAATACTCCAGGACATTGGTCTGGGCAAGCACAGGCAACCAAAGCAAAAACAGACAAATGGGATCGCATCAAGCTAAAAATCTTCTGCACAGCAAAGGAAACAGCCAGCAAAGTGAAAAGACAACCATAGCATTGGAGAAATCATTTGCAAACTAATCATGTGACAAGAGATTGATAACCAGAATATACAAGGAGCTCAAACAACTCACTAGAAAAAAAAACAAACCCAAATTATCAAATTAAAGAACGGGCAATCATTGTTCCAAAAAGATACCTATACTAGTATGTTTACCGCAACAATATTCACAGTAGCAAAGATAAGGAATCAGCTTAAGTGTCCGTCATTGGATGACTGGATAAAGCCAATGTAGTGTATATACATGTTAGAATGCTTTTCAGCCATAAAAAATGATAAAATTGCTAGGAGTTTCAAAATGGCAGAATAAGAACAGCTCCAGTCTGCAGCTCCCAGTGTGATCAACACAGAAGATGGGTGATTTCTGCATTTCCAACTGAAGTACCTGATTCATCTCACTGGGACTGGTTGGACAGTGGGTGCAGTCCATGGAGGGTCAGCTGAAGCAGGGCGGGGCATTGCCTCACCCGGGAAGCGGATGGGGTTGGGGGATTTCCCTTTCCTAGCCAAAGGAATCCGTGACAGGCTGTACCTGGAAAAAAATGGGACACTCCCACCCAAATACTGCACTTTTCCAATGGTCTGAGCAAATGGCACACCGGGAGATTATATCTCGCACATGGCTTGGCAGGTCCCATGCCCACGGAGCCTTGCTCACCACTAGCGCAGCAGTCTGAGATTGACCTGCGAGGTGACAGCCTGGCAGGGGAGGGGCATGTGCCATTGCTGAGGCTTGAGTAGGTAAACAAAGCAGCCTGGGAAGCTCAAACTGGGCGGAGCCCACCGCAGCTCAGCAAGGCCTACTGCCTCTGAATAAAAGGCAGCAGAAACTTCTGCAGACTTAAACGTCCTTGTCTGACAGCTCTGAAGAGAGCAGCAGTTCTCCCAGCATGGTGTTTGAGCTCTGAGAATGGACAGACTGCCTCCTCAAGTGGGTCCCTGACCCCCGTGTAGCCTAACTGGGAGAGATCTCCCAGTAGGGGCCAACTGACTTCGCATACAGGTGGGTGCCTCTCTGGGATGAAGCTTCCAGAGGAAGGATCAGGCAGCAATATTTGCTGTTCTGCAGCCTCTGCTGGTGATACCCAAGCAAAAAGAGTCTGGAGTAGAGCTCCAGCAAACTCCAACAGACCTGCAGCTGAGGGACCTGACTGTTAGAAGGAAAACCAACAAACGAAAAGGAATAGCATCAACATCAACAAAAAGGACATCCACACCAAAACCCCATCTGTAGGTCACCAACATCAAAGACCAAAGGTAGATAAAACCACAAAGATGGGGAGAAACCAGAGCAGAAAATCTGAAAATTCTAAAAACCAGAGCACCTCTACTCCTCCAAAGGATCGCAGCTCTTCGCCAGCAACAGAACAAAGCTGGATGGAGAATGACTTTGATGAGCTGACAGAAGCAGGCTTCAGAAGGTTGATAATAACAAACTTCTCTGAGCTAAAGGAAGATGTTCGAACCCATTGCAAGGAAGCTAAAAACCTTTAAAAAAGATTAGATGAATGGCTAACTAGAATAAACAGTGTAGAGAAGACCTTAAATGACCTGATGGAGCTGAAAACCATGGTACAAGAACTATGTGATGCATGCACAAGCTTCAATAGCTGATCAATCAAGTGGAAGAAGGGGTATCAGTGACTGAAGATGAAATAAATGAAATAAAGGGAGAAGAGAAGTTTAGAGAAAAAAGAGTAAAAATAAACAAACAAAACCTCCAAGAAATATGGGACTATGTGAAAAGACCAAATCTACGTTTGATTGGTGTACCTGAAAGTGACAGGGAGAATGGAACCAAGTTGGAAAACACTCCTCAGGATATTATCCAGGAGAACTTCCCTAACCTAGGAAGGCTGGCCAACATTCAAATTCAAGAAATACAGAGAACACCACAAAGATACTCCTTGAGAAGAGCAACCCCAAGACACATAATTGTCAGATTCACCAAGGTTGAAATTAAGGAAAAAATGTTAAGGGCAGCCAGAGAGAAAGGTCAGGTTACCCACAAAGAGAAGCACATCAGACTAACAGTGGATCTCTCAGCAAAAACTCTACAAGCCAGAAGAGAGTGGGGGCCAATATTCAACATTCTTAAAGGAAATAATTTTCAACCCAGAATTTCATACCGAGCCAAACTAAGCTTCATAAGTGAAGGAGAAATAAAATCCTTTACAGACAAGCAAATGCTGACAGATTTTGTCACCACCAGGGCTGCCTTACAAGAGCTCCTGAGGGAAGCACATGGAAAGGAACAACTGGTACCAGCCACTGCAAAAAACATGCCAAATTGTAAAGACCATCAATACTAGGAAGAAACTGCATCAACTAATGGGCAAAATAACCAGCTAACATCATAATGATGGGACCAAATTGACACGTAACAATATTAACCTTAAATGTAAATAGGCTAAATGCCCCAGTTAAAAGGCACAGACTGGCAAATTGGATGAAGAGTCAAGACCCATCAGTGTGTTGTATTCAGGAGACCCATCTCACATGCAGACACACACAAATAAAGGGATGCAGGAAGATCTACCAAGCAAATGGAAAGCAAAAAAAAAAAAAAAAAAAAAAAAAAGCAGAGGTTGCAATCTTAGTCTCTGATAAAAAAGACTTTAAACCAACAAAGATCAAAGGAGACAAAGAAAACCATTACATAATGGTAAAGGGATCAATTCAAAAAGAAGAGCTAACTATCCTACATATATATGCACCCAATACAGGAGGACCCAGATTCATAAAGCAAGCCCTTAGAGACCTACAAAGAGACTTAGACTCCCACACAATAATAATGGGAGACTTTAACACCCCAGTATCAATATGAGATCAATGAGATAGAAGATTAACAAGGATATCCAGGAATTGAACTCAGCTCTGCACCAAGCAGACCTAATAGACATCTAGAGAACTCTCCAACCCAAATCAACAGAATATACATTCTTCTCAGCACCACGTTGCACTTATTCCAAAATTGACCACATAGTTGAAAGTAAAGCACTCCTCAGCAAATGTAAAAGAACAGAAATTATAACAAACTGTCTCTCAGACCACAGTGCAATCAAACTAGAACTCAGGATTAAGAAACTCACTTGAAACCGCATAACTACATGGAAGCTGAACAACCTGTTCCTGAATGACTACCGGGTAAATAACGAAATGAAGGCAGAGAGAAAAATGTTCTTTGAAACCAATGAGAACAAAGACACAACGTACCAGAATCTCTGGGACACATGTAAAGGAGTTTGTAGAGGGAAATTTATAGAACTAAATGCCACAGAGAAAGCAGGAAAGATCTAAAATTGACACCCTAACATCACAATTAAAAGAACTAGAGAAGCAAGAGTAAACAAATTCAAAAGCTAGCAGAAGGCAAGAAATAACGAAGATCAGAGCAGAACTGAAGGAGATAGAGACACAAAAAAACCTTCAAAAAATCAATGAATCCAGGAGCTTGTTTTTTGAAAAGATAACAAAATTGATAGACCGCTAGCAAGACTAATAAAGAAGAAAAGAGAAAAGAATCAAATAGTCACAATAAAAAATGATAAAGGGGATATAACCACAGATCCCACAGAAATACGAACTACCATCAGAGAATAATATAAACACCCCTACAGAAGTAAACTATAAAATCTAGAAGAAATGGATAAATTCCTGGAGACATACACCCTCCCAAGACTAAACCAGGAGGAAGTTGAATCTCTGAATAGACCAATAACAGGCTCTGAAATTGAGGAAAAAATTAAGAGCCTACCAACCAAAAAAGTCCAGGACCAGACGGAGTCACAGCCAAATTCTACCAGAGGTACAAAGAGGAGCTGGCACCACTCCTTCTGAAACTATTCCAATCAATAGAAAAAGAGGGAATACTCCCTAACTCATTTTATGAGGCCAGCGTCATCCTGATACCAAAGCCTGGCAGAGACACAGCAAAAAAAGAGAATTTTATGCCAATATCCTTGATGAACATCGATGTGAAAATCCTCAATAAAATACTGGCAAACCAAATCCAGCAGCACATCAAAAAGCTTATCCACCACAATCAAGTGGGCTTCATTCCTGGGATGCAAGGTTGGTTCAACATATGCAAATCAATAAACTTAATTTATTACATAAACAGAAGCAACGACAAAAACCACATGATTATCTCAATAGATGCAGAAAAGGCCTTTGACAAAATTCAACAGCCTTCATGTTAAAATCTCTCAATAAACTAGGTATTGATGGAATGTATCTCAAAATAATAAGAGCTATTTATGACAAACCCACAGCCAATATTATTGTGAATGGGCAAAAACTGGAAGCATTCCCTTAGAAAACTGGCACAAGACAGGGATGCCCTCTCTCACCACTGCTATTCAACATAGTGTTTGAAGTTCTGCCCAGGGCAATCAGGCAAGAGAAAGAAATAAAGGTATTCAATTAGGAAAAGAGGAAGTCAAATTGTCCCTGTTTGCAGATGACATGATTGTATATTTAGAAGACCCCATTGTCTCAGCCCAAAATCTCCTTAAGCTGATAAGCAACTTCAGCAAAGTCTCAGGATACAAAACCAATATGCAAAAATCACAAGCATTCCTATACACCAATAACAGACAAATAGAGAGCCAAATCATGAGTGAATGCCCATTCACAATTGCTACAAAGAGAATAAAATACCTAGGAATCCAACTTACAAGGGATGTGAAGGACCTCTTCAAGGAGAACTACAAACCACTGCTCAACGAAATAAAAGAGGACACAAACAAATGGAAGAACACTCCAAGCTTATAGATAGGAAGAATCAATATTGTGAAAATGGCCATACTGCCAAAGTTAATTTATAGATTCAATGCCATCTCCATCAAGCTACCAATGACTTTCTTCACAGAATTGGAAAAAACTGCTTTAAAGTTCATGTGGAACCAAAGAAGAGCCCACATTGCCAAGACTCTCCTAAACCAAAAGAACTAAGCTGGAGGCATCCTGCTACCTGACTTCAAACTATACTACAAGGTTACAGTAACCAAAACAGCAAGGTACTGGTACCAAAACATATGTATAGACCAATGCAACAGAACAGAGGCCTCAGAAATAACACCACACATCTACAACCATCTGATCTTTTACAAAGAACTTAAACAAATTTACAAGAAAAAAACAACCCCATGAAATAGTGGACAAAGGATATGAACAGACACTTCTCAAAAGAAGACATTTATGCAGACAAAAGACCATGAAAAAATGCTCATCATCACTGGTCATCAGAGAAATGCAAATCAAAACCACAATGAGATACCATCTCACACCAGTTAGAATGGTGATCATTAAAAAGTCAGGAAACAACAGATGCTAGAGAGGATGTGGAGAAATAGGAATGCTTTTACACTGCTGGTAGGAGTGTAAACTAGTTCAACCATTGTGGAAGACAGTGTGGCGATTCCTCAATGATCTAGAACTAGAAATATCATTTGACCCATCAATCCCATTACTGGGTAGATACCCAAAGGATCATAAATCATGCTACTGTAAAGACACATGCACACATATGTTTATTGCGGCACTATTCACAATAGCAAAGACTTGGAACTAACCCAAATGTCCATCAATGATAGACTGGATTAGGAAAATGTGGCACATATACACCATGGAATATGCAGTCATAAAAAAGGATGAGTTCATGACCTCTGCAGGGATATGGATGAAGCTGGAAACCATCATTCTGAGCAAACTATTACAAGGACAGAAAAGCAAACACTGCATGTTCTCACTTATAGGTGAGCATTGAACAAAATAGAACACTTGGACACAGTGCGGGGAATATCCCACCCCAGGTCCTGTCATGGGGTGTGGAAAAAGGGGAGGGATAGCATTAGGAGAAATACCTAATGTGAATGACGAGTTAATGGGTGCAGCAAACCAACATGGCCCATGTATGCCAATGTAACAAACTTGCACGTTGTGCACATGTACCCTAGAACCTAAAGTATAATTAAAATTAAAAAATAATAAAGCTTAACCTGGTAGAAAATTTAAAAAAGTAAAATCATGTCTTTTGCTGCAACATGAATGGAACTGGAGGCCATTATTTTAACAGAAACAACTCAGAAACAGAAAGGCAATGCATCTTCTCACTTATAAGTGGGAGCTAAATAAAGCATCCACATGGATGCAGAGTGTTGAATGATGTAACAATGGAGACTCAGAAGTGTGTGGGAGATGGAAGTGGGGGATGATAAGAAATTACCTAATGGGTACAATTTATATTATTCAGGTAATTGTAACACTAAAATCTCTGACTCCACCACATGCAATATATCTATGTAACAAAATTATACTTGTACCACATAAATTTATACAAAAAATGGGCAAAATATCTGAATAGACATTGCTTAAAAGATGGCATAGAAATGGTAAACAGTGATATGAGAAAATGCTCAACATCACTAATCAGAGAAATGCCAATCAAAACCACAGTGAGGTATCATCTCACCCCTGTCAAAATGGCTTGTATGAAAAAGACAGACAAGAGAGGAAAACATAAAGATATAAGGACTGGAAATTGAGAATTCAATTTCATTGAAATGGACAATTCAGTTTAAGGAAATTTGGAAAAGTCTTATTTAAGTTAAAGAAGCAAAACTAATCCAATACATGTAATCTTATATTAACCCAATTAGTGCAATGTTGGCTTTGACATTTATTTCTTGTTGTGAATTGACCCAAAATAGACTTTGAAGATATTACATGAAATTTCAGAAACTTGATTACAAAACACACCTGCAATATTTGTCAGATATAATTGAGAGAAACACCAGGCTCTCTCTTTGTGATCACAAAGATGTTGATAAACAACCCAATGGAGATTGCCCCACCAATTGACCCTTTTATGAAATGTTTCTCTGTAGCATGCAATACTATTTTATAGTGTCATAACTTTTTTTCAAAATCAGAGTCAATCCTCTCAAACCGTACCATTGCTTTATCAGTGAAGTTTGTGGAATAGTCTAAATCCTTTGTTATTGTAACAATGTTCACAGCACCTCACTAGGAGTAGATTCCATCTCAAGAAACTACTTTCTTTGCTTATCCATAAGAAGCAGCCCTTCATCCATTAAAGTTTTACCATTAGATTGCAGCAATTCAGTCATGTCTTCAGGCTCTACATAAAATTTAAATTTTCTTGCTATTTCTACCACATCTGCAGTTACTCTCTCCACTGAAATCTTGAAGCCCTCAAAGTGATCTATGAGGGTTGGAATCAGCTTCTTCCAGACTCCTGTTAATGTTGATATTTAGACTTATTACCATTATTCATAAATATTCTTAATGGCATCTAAAGTGGTAAATCCTTTACAGAGGGTTTAAATTTACCTTCAATTTCAGATCCATTAATGGAATCACTATCTATGGCAGCCATAGCATTATGAAATATATTTAAATAATAACATTGAAAATCAAAATTAACCCTTGATCCATGCGCTGCAGAATGGATGTTGTGTTAGCAGGCATGAAAACAACATGAATTTCAAATGAGAGGTCTGTGATTCTTCTTTTCACGTGAACACTTAGAGGCCATTGTAGGGCTATCAATTTGCCTAATTTCAATATTGTTGTGTCTCAAGCAATAGAAAGGCCTGAGGAGAGAGAGAGAGAGAGATGGGGGAACAGCTGGCTGGTGGATTAGTCAGAACACATACAACATTTATCTATTAAATTTGTTATATATAGGGTATGATGCTGCAAAATATTTACAGCAGTAACATTAAAGATCACTGATCATAGATCACCACAGCAGATAGCATAATAATGAAAAAGTTTGAAATATTGCAAGAATTACCAAAATGTGACACAAAGAAATGAAATGAGCACATACTGTTTGAAAAAAATGGCATCAATGGACTTTCTCGATGCAGGCTTGCCACAAACATTCAATTTGTAAAAAGTGCAGTATCTGTAAAACACAAAAAAGCAAAGTGTAATAAAATGAGGTATGCCTGTAACTCCCAAAGATCCCATCTTTAAATACCATAACTTTGGGGGTTCCAACATATGAATTTGTGGGTAAGGAGACAGGGCCACAAACATTCAGCTCATAACACCAATGCATGTGAAAAAAAGGGGAATTATTCAATTCACTATGTTTTCTAGGGGCAATATGGCATAAAGAAATTTAAAAATATTCCCAGATTAATGCAGTCATAATTATTATTTGGCATATGGTTATTACATTGTCTCCTATAACTGTATTTTAAAAGTCTATTTTCTCTTCTTGATTTTCCTCAGACTAATGCACAATGTTTTTGCATACTGTTTGATCAATATTCATCTTTCTAGTAAAATTCTTGAGTGATATGAGTTAAAATTTTATCTGTATTCCAAATCTAATACAATGTCATCTACAATCTGCTTGACTGGAATTCCTCCTTTTCATAGCTTCAATTTAATGTTTTTATCTTCAGCTGGTGCAGTGGCTCATGCCTGTAATCTCAGCTACTGGGGACGCAGGGGTAGGAGTATTGCTTAAGCCCAGAAGATTGAGGCTGCAGTGAGCTATGATTGCACCACGGCACTCCAGCCTGGGTGACACAGTGAGAGCCTATCTCAAAAAACAAGACAAAGATAAAAATAAAGTTTTTATCTACATTGGGGCATTCATTCCCATGTAGGTACTCAGCAGAGTCTAATGTGACTACTTCAAAAGGTGCATTTTATCTCACTTGGCATGTATTTAGACTCATTCTTTTAGTTGGCAAATTTTGGATGCAACTACACTCTAAAATAGTTAAATAAAAATTAAAATATCTCATGATGTTTTAGAAGATAAACCTGCCTTCTATATTTTGATAATAGGCTGTTGTGTTACTGAAGGCTAAGGATGTAGAAAAGCAGCTTATATGAAGATGAACTTCAGAATTCAAGTTTTTCAAACAGTAGTAACTTCCTTTCAAGTCATATAAAATACATTGATAGAACATCCTCACTCATGTTATGGGTTGTTTTGTACAATTGAAAATAGGCTGCAGCATTCTGAGTTCTGCATTACTGTCTTTGATAATAGGATGAAAAGAACAGAATTGAAAGTTCAAAAAAGCATCAATTTCAGCAATTAGAAAGTGGCATTACTGGAATTTACCTGATGTTCTTTTGTAGACAAATGCTTTTTTTCAACTTGTTTCAAAAAGTAGATTCTCACTTGCAGCCATTACCTATGGATGTATACTAAGTTTAAAAGTCCTAGGAATACCACTGATGGAATCCTGAAGGCAGAACTGGCTATGATGTCATAGACCCTTGAAGGAAACTTCTAAAAGTGATATTTAGTTATAACAGAGACTAAAGAAGAAAGACGCTTACTGAATAAGGTGGGATCCAACAAGAGTGTAGTATGGAATGCAATAGCTTATGAATTACTTTTTTTCTGAGGGAGCTCAACAGAATGACACCTAAGAAAGGGAAAGTCTTTGACACTTGGTACGTTTGTGATTTTTGGTCATTACTTGAAAATTAATAAGTTTGAAATCACTACTCTTAGAAATGGAAGAAAGTGATGACTCTAATCAGCCTATCTCAGCGTGTAGGCAAGAAATTCGAAAGAGAAGATGACCCAGCAAACCAATGGTAGGCAAATCCCAGCAAACTGATGTAATAGAGAAAAAGAAACACATGGCCATACCAAAATCATCTAGCCCCAAAGCTACCCATCGTATTGGTAATACTTCTGGAAGCAAAGGCAGCTACTCTGCCAAAGCCTATGAGTCTATTAGAGTATCTTCTGAGCTTCAGCAAACTTGGACAAAGAGAAAGCATGGACAGGAAATGACTAGTAAGTCTCTCCAGACAGACACCATTGTAGAAGAGAAAAAAGAAGTCAAGTTAGTTGAGGAAACCGTGGTACCTGAAGAAAAGTCAGCTGATGTTAGAGAAGCTGCTATTGAATTGCCAGAGAGTGTTCAGGATGTAGAAATTCCACCAAACATACCTTCAGTTCAACTAAAAATGGACAGATCTCAGCAGACCAGCCGTACAGGATACTGGACCATGATGAACATCCCCCCTGTAGAAAAAGTGGACAAGGAACAACAGACATACTTTAGTGAATCAGAAATAGTGGTTATTTCCAGGCCAGATAGTTCTTCTACAAAGTCAAAGGAAGATGCCCTGAAACATAAATCGTCGGGAAAGATTTTTGCTAGTGAACACCCTGAATTTCAACCAGCAACAAACAGCAATGAAGAAATTGGGCAGAAAAATATCAGCAGAACTTCATTTACTCAGGAGACTAAAAAAGGTCCCCCGGTACTTTTAGAAGATGAGCTTAGGGAAGAAGTAACTGTACCTGTTGTACAAGAAGGTTCTGCTGTTAAAAAAGTGGCTTCTGCTGAAATAGAGCCTCCATCAACAGAAAAATTCCCAGCTAAAATACAGCCTCCATTAGTTGAAGAGGCCACTGCTAAAGCGGAGCCCAGACCTGCTGAAGAGACCCATGTCCAAGTACAGCCATCAACTGAAGAGACTCCTGATGCTGAGGCAGCCACTGCAGTTGCGGAGAATTCTGTTAAAGTTCAGCCTCCACCTGCTGAAGAGGCCCCTTTAGTGGAGTTTCCTGCTGAAATTCAGCCTCCATCAGCTGAAGAGTCTCCTTCTGTAGAGCTTCTGGCTGAAATTCTGCCTCCATCAGCTGAAGAGTCCCCTTCAGAAGAGCCTCCTGCTGAAATTCTGCCTCCACCAGCTGAAAAGTCTCCTTCAGTAGAGCTTCTTGGTGAAATTCGGTCTCCCTCAGCACAAAAGGCTCCCATTGAAGTACAGCCTTTACCAGCTGAGGGCGCCCTTGAAGAGGCCCCAGCTAAAGTAGAGCCTCCCACTGTTGAAGAGACCCTTGCTGATGTTCAGCCTCTATTACCTGAAGAGGCTCCTAGAGAAGAGGCTCGAGAACTTCAGCTTTCAACAGCTATGGAGACCCCTGCAGAAGAGGCTCCTACTGAATTTCAGTCTCCATTACCTAAAGAGACCACTGCAGAAGAGGCCTCTGCTGAAATTCAGCTTCTAGCAGCTACGGAGCCTCCTGCAGATGAAACTCCTGCCGAAGCTCGGTCTCCACTATCTGAGGAGACTTCTGCAGAAGAGGCTCATGCTGAAGTTCAATCTCCATTAGCTGAAGAGACCACTGCAGAAGAGGCCTCTGCTGAAATTCAGCTTCTAGCAGCTATAGAGGCTCCTGCAGATGAAACTCCTGCTGAAGCTCAGTCTCCACTATCTGAGGAGACTTCTGCAGAAGAGGCTCCTGCTGAAGTTCAGTCTCCATCAGCTAAGGGAGTTTCTATAGAAGAGGCCCCTCTTGAGCTTCAGCCTCCATCAGGTGAAGAGACCACTGCAGAAGAGGCCTCTGCTGCAATTCAGCTTCTAGCAGCTACAGAGGCTTCTGCAGAAGAGGCTCCTGCTGAAGTTCAGCCTCCACCAGCTGAGGAGGCCCCCGCTGAAGTTCAGCCTCCACCAGCTGAGGAGGCCCCCGCTGAAGTTCAGCCTCCACCAGCTGAGGAGGCCCCCGCTGAAGTTCAGCCTCCACCAGCTGAGGAGGCCCCCGCTGAAGTTCAGCCTCCACCAGCTGAGGAGGCCCCCGCTGAAGTTCAGCCTCCACCAGCTGAGGAGGCCCCTGCTGAAGTTCAGTCTCTACCAGCTGAGGAGACTCCTATAGAAGAGACCCTTGCTGCAGTACACTCTCCCCCAGCTGATGATGTCCCTGCAGAAGAGGCCTCCGTTGACAAACATTCCCCACCAGCTGATTTGCTTCTGACTGAGGAGTTTCCTATAGGAGAGGCCTCTGCTGAAGTTTCACCTCCACCATCTGAACAAACCCCTGAAGATGAGGCTCTGGTAGAGAATGTGTCTACAGAATTTCAGTCACCGCAGGTGGCAGGAATTCCAGCAGTAAAATTAGGATCGGTTGTTTTGGAAGGTGAAGCAAAATTTGAAGAGGTTTCAAAAATCAATTCTGTCCTTAAAGATTTGTCTAATACCAATGATGGACAGGCTCCCACTCTTGAAATAGAAAGTGTTTTTCATATAGAATTAAAACAACGTCCTCCTGAACTGTAGTCAGGTTGTACCTAAGCTAGCAATCAGAAGCTACATGGTTTTGGAAGAACATACTTTAGAAAAGGGTGGGCAGCGGGAAGTAGCTTTGTCAATAAGGCAAATTAAAGGGGACCCCAAGACTTGGAATACAGGTTGGAAAATGAACAATAAAAACTGTAGCAGCATAAAATTACTTGTGTTAATTTCATTCAAATTTATGGCATGAAAAATACCTATTTTGAAAGTAAGTTTATAATTGAAAAAAATTGCTTAAAATATCCTTCCTACAGTAAACTTGTTGACACGAGTAAAGTTTAATCTGCAGCCATCTTTTCTTGTCTTTGCCTTCCCTTTATAAGTAAATATAGTTTCTAGTGGAAAAGCCAATGTCTTTTCTGCAGATCTGTCATCTACTTTAAATTCCTTGAGTCTTAGTCACACATCTAAAGTTATGTGATGTTCTCTTTCTCCTTATTATAATTCATTGTATCTCTTATTCTCTTTTCATTCAATTCCTTCTGAGACAAGCATTACTTTCCTGGTTTTAGCCTAAGTGTTCTTCTTTATCTTCTTGCACGTTTTACATTTCAATGTCTGGATAGAAAACCTTATTTCTTTTGTAAAAATCTTCAGTTCAATGAAATGAAGATGGTCATAGATAAAGTACTAAAAAGTGTGCAAATAAAGAAAAATATATTTAGATGGCCTTGAGGGCACATCCCTGTGTTTAGTTTTTAATTTGATTTCAACTGAGAATGTGATGAGTCCTTGGGAAGTTTGGCTTATGCTTTTTGCTCTATGAACTGGTAATGAAGAGCAACTTAGAATAAAATGAAATTACTGTAGTAAAAGCTATTGAAGTTTTTAAAGGGCATCAAGCCTTAATAATACGTATTCTAAGATGTCTGTTATTAAAGGATATCTAGTTTTCCATGGTTATAACAACGTTGGGAAAATATTTTCTCTAGCTACAAATTAATTACAATGTGCTGAAATATTGAGATAATTTTCTCAAAAATTTTAAAATTTTGTCAGTGTATTTCTCTATTTAGTGAGAACTCTAGGTTGATGATTTCAAACCTCATTAAGCTTTGATGTCCTATCATTGTTGGATTTTTGTCACATTCTTCATTACCTCAGTAATCAAGAGTATATGATATTTTAAGTAAGTTTTTGAGAATTTTATAAAAATTATTGCAAGAACATTCTTTCTTGTATGTGCCAAACTTGAGGTTGAAAATGTTATTCTAGACTATGTAGAATGAGGGCTGTTTTTTTGCAATGTACAAGTCCTCCATTTTATGTTTTCTGAGATACTTAAATCCAGTTAAACTTGGTTTTCTAAATTAGGTCTTTTTGTTTCTATTTTGGATTTTCTGTTGTGGCTTGTTTTCTTTTTAAATTCAGAAGCCACATGAGAGTACAGAATTATACTAGAATGAGAATATGTTTAATAAAGATGGGATCTATCAATTGGCAACATGAGAAAGCTTTCAACACTTAAAAGTTGGATGTTTCTGGAGCTGAGGTGGAGCTTACATTTATCTGAATATATATATAGTACACTGTATAAATAGTAAACAAATATATTCGTAAGATTCTGGAGATCAAGTTAAAAAGTGCGGCAAATATAAGTTCTGACAGGAGTAGCTGTGAAAATTTAGGGCAAGAAACATTGATTTGATGCTTCTAAGAGACAGGTATAAGTAAGAAAATCTGAATACATTGAACATTGGCAAAAATTCGTGTGAATAGAAACACATACAGGTGATAGTCTCTACCAAATGGAAGAATGACGTCAGGCTGCTAACCATTAAATTTTTTTTCTTAAATGTGAGGTATTTTAAAGATAGCTTTCCTGAGATATAACCTACATAAAATAAATAACATTTACTTAAATTGTACAGTTCGATGCGTTTTGACATCATGTATACACCTGTGAAACCATCACCACAATGAAAACAATGAAGATGGCCATAAGCCAAAAGTTCCCACTATGATCATTTGTAACTTCTCTTTCCCTGCTTCTACCCCTCCACCCCATACATACAAGCAATTTCTGATCTGTTTTCTGTCACTGGAAATTTTTATGCATTTTTCTAGACTGTTATATAAATAGTAAAAATATATTTTTACTTTTATTGAGAAGTTGTATTCCATTATATGAATATTGCAAAATTTTAAAATTCATTTGATACACATTTGGGTTGTTTCCAGTTTTTGCTATTCTACATAAAGCTGCTATGAACATTCACGTATGAGTCTTTGTGTGGACATATGCTTTTATTTCTCTAGAGAAAATACCTGGGTATAGAATGGTCAGGCTGTGTGATAGGTGTATGTCTGACTTTAAAATACTGCCAAACTGTTTTCCAAAGTGACAAACCATTTACTTTCTGACCAACAGCTGTTGGAGTTAAAGCTGTTCTACATCCTTATCAACACTTGGGCTGGTTGGTCTTTTTCATTTTAGCCACTTTACTAGGAGGATAGTGCTATCTCCTTGTAATTTTAATGTGCGTTTCTCTAATGACTAATAATTTGGGGCATCCTTTTATGTGCTTATTTGCCATCTGCATATCTTCTTTGGTGAAGCCGATGCTTTTTCTTTTTTATGTGTCAAATTTAAGAAATCTTTGCCAAACTGAGTATTACTAAGATTTCTTCCTAAGTTTTCTTCTAAAAATGCTATTTTTCTGTATCTTATACTTAATTCTAAGATCTGTCATCAGTAATCTTTTTATGTGGTGTGAGAAGAGATATGAGGTTAACTTTTATTTTTTTAGATGTACAGGTAGCCACTTCTCCCAACACTATTTAAGTGATTATCTTGTCCTCATTGAACTGCCTTGGAGCCTTTGTTGAAAATTAATTGATCATATATGTAGGTGTATATTTTTGTACACTATTGTTCCATTGATCTTTATGTCTGTCTCTACATCAATTAACATTGTTTTGAAACCAGTAGATTTATAATCTTGAAATCAGGTAGTGTTAGTTTTCCAATATTTTTCTTCTTTTTAAAAGTTGTTTTAACCATTCTAGGTCTTTTGTACTTTCGTGCAAATTTTTGAATTAGTTTATTTCCACAAAACCGCTTGCTGGGATTGCACTGAATCTAAAGACCAACTTGGAAAGAAATGATATCCTACTAATAACAAATTTTCTGATTCATGAATACACTTATTAATATATATCCACATTTATTTAGGCTTTCTTTAGTTTCTCTGAGGTGACTTGTAGCTTTTGATTTTATAAAATTTATTAGGCATTCTATTTTTTTGATGCTATTAAATTTTTTTAAATTTTACCTTCCAATTTTTTGTTGCTATCATATAGAAATACAATTGACTTTTTGTATTGGCTTTGAATACTGAGATTTTCCCAATCTCATTTATTAGCTCTTGTGGCTTTTTTTGTAGATTACTCAGAATTTTCTTTTAATTTTTAATTTTTTTTTTTTAAGACGGAGTTTTGCTCTTGTTGCCCAGGCTGGAGTGCAATGGCATGATCTCGGCTCACTGCAACCTCCCCTTCCCGGGTTCAAGCGATTCCTCTGCCTCAGCCTCCCAAGTAGCTGGGATTACAGGTGTGTGCCACCATGCCTGGCTAATTTTCATAATTTTAGTAGAGACAGGGTTTCACCATCTTGGTCAGGCTGGTCTCGAACTTCTGACCTTGTGATCTGTCCGCCTCTACCTCCCAAAGTGCTGGGATTACAGGCATGAGCCACCGAGCCAGGCCGATTACTCAGAATTTTCTATATAGACAATCATATCACCTGCAAATACATGTTTTAATTTTTCCTTTCTTATTTAAATACTTTCCCTTGTCTTATTGTACTGGCTAGAACTCTTAATACAAGTGGTGAGAGCAAACAGTTTGCCTTGTTCCTGATCTTGGGGGAAATCATTAGGACTTTTTAAGTATGATGTTAGCTGTAAGTTTTTCATAGATGCCTTTTTCCTCTGGTTGAGGAAATTTCCTTCTATTTCTACTTAGCTGAGAGTTTTTTCATTCGAAATGAATGTAGAATTTTGGCAAATGCTTTTTATGGATCTATTAAGATCACCATATGGTTTCCATTTTTGGTCTGTTAATACAGTGAATTTTGTTGATTGATTTTCAAATGTTAAAACAACCTTTCATTCCCTGGAAAATTCCTACTTGGTCATGGATATGGTTTGGCTGTGTCCCCACCCAAATCTCAACTTGAATTGTATCTCCCAGAATTCCCACGTGTTGTGGGAGGGATGCAGGGAGAGGTAATTGAATCATGGGGGCTGGTCTTTCCCGTGCTATTCTAATGATAGTGAATTAATTCTCATGAAATCTGATGGGTTTATCAAGGGTTTCTGCTTTTGCTTCTTCCTCATTTTTCTCTTGCCGCTGCCATGTAAGAAGTTTCTTTCTCCTCCCACCATGATTCTGAGACCTCCTCAGCCATGTGGAACTGTAAGTTCAATTAGATCTTTTTTTTCTTCCCAGTCTTGGGTATGCTTTATCAGCAGTGTGAAAACAAACTAATACAGTCATAATGCGCTATTTGTTTTATATATTTGGGGATTTAATTGGGCTAAAATTTTGTTAGTAATTTTTACAACTATGTTCATGAGGAATAGATCTATAGTTTTTTCTTTTCCTTTGAATGTCTTTGTCTAGTTTGGGTATCAATATAATGCTGGTCTCACATGATGAAGTGAGAAGTGTTTCCTCTGCTTTATTTTTCTGATAGGTATTATGCAGAATTGGTATGTGTTCTCTGCTAAATATTTTACAGAATTCAGCAGGGAAGCCATCTTGGCCTGGAGTTTTATTTCTGGGGGAATTTTTAACTAAAAATTTGATTTCTTTAATAAAAATAGGGTTTTTGTGTTGTTTGTTATTTCCTTTTATCCTTCTTACGTCTATAGGATCTGTAATGATGTTTTATTTCTAGTTATGGTATAATTATTCATATCTTATATGGATAAATATTGGTAACTTCTATTTTCTCTGTCTCTGCCTTTCTGTCTCTCTTTCTTCCCAAATTAGTATGGGTTGAAATTTACTAGTTTTATTGATCTTGTCAAAGAACTGGCTTTTGGTTTTATTGGTCTTGCTATTTATTTTTTCCCTTATTGATTAACTTCCACTCTTTATTATTTCTATTTTTCTACTTACTTCTACTTATGTCCTCTTTTTATAATTTCTTCAGGTAAATCTGTGGTTAATAATTTAATATTTACTTCTTTTCTAATATAGGTCTTAATTTTTCTTTGGGCATGTTTTATTTGTATTCTACACATTCCAATTCTTTGTATTTTCATTTTCATTCAGTTAAGAGTTGGTAATTGTGTGTTTGATTTATTCTTTGACAGATGTGTTACTTAAGAGGGTATATTTTATTCCAGAATATTTTGGGGTTTTCTATATTTCTTTTTGCTATTAGTTTTCCATTTAATTACTTCTTTGTCATAAAATACTTGTCTAATTTGTACCTTTTTAACTTATTGAGACTTGTTTTATGGTTTAACTCGTGACCTCTCTTGGTAAGTGCTCTGTGTTCTAAAATATTCTGCTGGTTTTGGTTGAAAGGTTTTATAAATATCAACTTTAGAATCAACAATTGGTTGATAGGGTTGTTCAGTTCTTCTATATCATTACTGACTTCTATCCACCTGCTCTATAGATCATTGAGAGAGGTGTGTTGAAATCCTTGACTATAGGCCGGGCACGGTGGCTCATGCCTGTAATCCCAGCACTTTGGGAGGCTGAGGCGGGCAGATCATAAGGTCAGGAGATCGAGACCATCCTGGCTAACATGGTAAAACCCCATCTCTATTAAAAATACACACACACAAAAAATTAGCCGGGCATGGTGGCAGGCGCCTGTAGTCCCAGCTGCTCGGGAGGCTGAGGCAGGAGAATGGCCTGAACCCAGGAGGCGCAGGTTGCAGTGAGCCGAGATCGTGCCACTGCACTCCAGCCTGGGCAACAGAGCGAGACTCCGTCTCAAAAAAAAAAAAAAAAATTCTTGACTATAATATGTATTCATCTATTTCACCTTGAAGTTCTATCAGTTTTTGCTTCAGGTGTCTTGAACCTTTGATATTAGCTGTATAAATGTTTAGAGTTAGTATGTCTTCCTGTTAAAGTTTTGTTTTATCCCTGTTAATAGCCTCTCCTCAGTGATATTGTTACTTGTTTAGTTTAGATTCTTAATATCCTTTTCTTTGCTTACTTATGGCCATTATCTGCTTTTTCTATTTTAGTGTTTCTTCTTCTAATTAATCCTTTTTGTTATTTCCAGAGTTATTTTTTTTTAACACACAGATTTGCTCATGTAGTCATTTGCCTACAAAATACAATCTAGATCCCTTAAAAAGACAGTCATGGCCATTCACAATCTACTCTATCCTACTTTATGTCACTCTAAGTATAGAGTGGAAGCTGAGAGTATGACTGAAAGTTTGTAAATCCTGATTCCATCACTTATGAGCTGTTTGGCTAGTTCAAGTTAATTAACCTCCCTATGCCTCAGTTTATCCATGCAAAAACAGAAATAATAAGAGAATACCTAATCAATAGAATGGTTTTAACAGAAGAGTTCATTCATTTTAAGTTCCTAGAACAGTGTCTAGTACACTATCAGCAACAAATGTGGCTTTAGCTCTCATTATTATTACCTGGATACTTTCTTTCTTGTGATATCCTTTTTCTATTCTTGCTGTACTTGACAATGGTTTTCATACTCCCAGGCCTCTTCTTTGTTCATTGTCTTTTAGTCATTTGTATCCTGGACATTTTGCTATTAGTATGTTAGGACACACTGGGTCCTATTTAAATTTTTGATTTTAGCAGACATGCTTAGTTTTAGCAGACAGGTCTTGGCCATCTTTTGTGGACAGTGGTTCCAATGAAAATTTAATTATCAGAGCCTTTGTGGTGTTATTTTGGTCTGCTTAATTTACCTGAGACTCCTACTGTTTCCTACTAGTGCCATCTGACGGGGCAGAAGGAGCATCCCTTGGTCAGGCTGCCTGGAACCTATAAGCTGGGGAGGGAAGTTTCATTTCCACCAAAAAGAAGAAGCTTCCCATATGGGTACATCCACCCTATGTCTCTTATTGTGTGAGGAGGCCTCTGGGGACAAAGAGGCTTCTGGGCTAGCCAATTCTGTAGCAGGATTCCCCCTTGTCAGTTTCAGTACTGTTTCTAGGTAGGGAAATGTGTGTGTGTAGATTGGACAGAGAATGCTTCCTCTGGCTCCTCATTATCACTGGGGCTTCTGATTGATCTGCACTGCTGGGGCTGGGGTGGGGCCTGCAGGACTTGCCTGGTCTTGTGGGTAGAACTCTTTTTCCATCCAGGGGAGGAAGGACCCTACCTGGGCTGCCTTCTGTTGCTATGTGGGAAGTTGGGAAACATTGGGCTTGCATCACATCACCTTCTTCAGTTGGGTGGGGGTAAGAGATGCTCTGCCACTGTGTTTTTCCTTTAGTCCTGGGGTGGCTAACCAGTTTGCCTTTCACTCTCTACCTTTCAAAGTTATCTTTTGGTTGTCTCATTTTATTTCCAGTGTTTATCGTTGTACTTAGCATGGTAAAACAGAGAGAAATCTTGTTAGAACTAAAAGTCTTATTTTTCTTATTTTAAATGCTTTTGTCAACATTATCTCCAACTTATGTGATCCCATTTATCCTTCAACTCTTAGTTCAGCCAGTATCTTCTCTATGAGAACTCCCTTGAATCAAGTGGCCACCTCCTTTGACATGTACTCATTGTCAATAAAAATAATACAAGTAAAAAACAGAGTAGAACAGCTATTACATAGCATTACATTGTGTTAGGTGTAAGTAATTTAGAGATGACTTAAAGTATAGGGGAGGATGTGCTTAGGTTATATGCAAATACTACACCATTTTATTTGAGGGACTTGAGCATTCATGGATTTTCATTTCCATGGGGTTCTGGAACCAATCTCCCAAGGATACTGAGGGATGACTGTATTCAGTAGGCAGTTAAAAATGTCTTCTGTGGTTTAAGTAACACATAAATAAATGTTCCATATTAGGGATAACAGTCACATTTAGGTCTAAGCAAGTATCAACAATTTTAGTTGTAATAGTAAAGACAGAGAGATGTTAGATGTCTCTGGAATAATAACCATTAAGGAATCATTTTTAAGCGAGAGATAATTAATATATTTATATGGTAAGGAAAATATGTTTGTAGGTAGGAATACATTAAAGCTATATCAGAGGGCACAGTAAAAGAGAAAGAGCACATAATAAAAATGAAAACAAAATTATATCAGAAGGTATAATGAAGGCGAATAGCTGAGGGAATTGTATTCAGAGCACCTGATTAGTGTAAAGCAGGACTTCTTCCCTTATGACAAGAACAAATATGGAAAAGTATAGATTTTGGGGAGGATAGAGTTAAAGCTGTAGACCTATGATTCATTTCTGCCCTGATTACCAAGAGTGATGCTTTTGAGGGAAAGCAAAGAAGGCTCTTGAGCCAGTCAAATCTCCATGTAAACATGGTAACTATATTTTGGGTAAATAGACTAACATTTGTTAGGAGAAGAGTTCTTACCTGT
This sequence comes from Homo sapiens, assembly GCF_000001405.40. Taxonomy (NCBI): domain Eukaryota; kingdom Metazoa; phylum Chordata; class Mammalia; order Primates; family Hominidae; genus Homo; species Homo sapiens. The sequence continues at coordinate 44,495,943 of NC_000014.9, read as the reverse complement.
GGAATGTCCTTTACAGGTTGTCTCTGACTTCAGATTACTTATAATAAATACATCTATAGTTTACGGATTTGTAAGGCATGAAAACTATCGCATATGTTCTACAACTCTCTGAGGGCATAAAATAGAAATGGTTTGTAATCATATTCCCCCAAATGTGGAAAGTGACCACCAAGCCTCACTTAGAGACCTCATCTATTCTTCTCGGCCAGATGACTCCTGTCCAATGTGGAAAGAAAGGACCTGAGAAATCACGCAGGATGTTCTTGATTTCTCCCTTTGTCTGTGCCTCTTGATTGCTTATGTGCTTGACATTGTTAATAAAACTTGCTGTTAGGTAAGGTCTCTCATATGTGTGTTTCTGATTTTGTAATTTGATACTCATTGTGGTGCTCAGATGTTAACTGGGTGGATTAGGATAGGGTATTTTAATTTGGTGGATTGGGATACATGTATTTTCTCCACAGATTGTGAAAACCGTGCCCTCAGCTAAGAGAAAGGGATTGGAGGTGGGACTTAAATAGAATGTTAAAGACTTTGACTAGTGTGCATTGTGAAATGGGAAAGAAGAAAATGTAAAATGATTGCAAAGAGACATTCAGCTGTAGCTAAGGTAAGGTCAATGTGATAACTAAATGGAACAGCTGGGTTGTGCTAATAGAAGTGTGAGGGAGGTGCCTATCCTGCCCCACTCTGTACTAGAATGTTCATTTCTTCTGGGCTATAATACTCTAACTAGAAAACATTCATGGGAGACCAAGAAGATGTTAAGAACTTGACTCAATATTATGTCACATATTGAATAGTGGAAAGATTGGCAACATTTGGTTGAGAGAAAGGAAAACAGAACAGGCCTCAGGTGATTGAACATCTACCAATGATTGGAAATTGTGCAGAACCATTTTATGACTATATAATGAGGCATTTTAAAAAGCTGCCTAAAGATAGAAAGTGCAGCCTTAAGCTAGATATTCTACCACCTCTGGAGATTTTTAGTGCAGCAGAGCTGGTGAGGCTGGAGAATGTGTATCAAAAGGTACAAAGTTTCAGTTAGGTGGAATAGGTTCAGGTGATTACACAGCATGGTGACTATAGTTAATAATAATGTATTCTATATTTAAAAATGGCTAAAAAATAGATTTTAAATGTTCTCACCAGAAATAAATCATACGTATTTGAGATAATAGATATGTAAATTAGTCTGATTTGATCATTTCACAATGCATGCATGTACCAAAATATTACCTTGTGCTCCATAAAGATGCAAAATTATTCATCAATTAAAAATAAGGTAAATCTTTAAAAATAAAAACAAAACAAAAACAAAATCTGCCACATAGCCAGAACTGGGACCACTGAGCTGGTTCATGTAGTGAATATTTGAACATCTGGTGGCTGAATTAGATGATAGCTCATATTCTTTTCAAGCTGATATTGTGTGTCTGCAGTTGACCATATACTGAAGATCAACAGCAGTAGTTTTCAATGAGTACTGTCTGCTTCTTATAGCTTTATGGAACAGCTGGCCTCTGGATGATTAGTTTATTTTCTATGGCTGCCCAGTACTGGATATGGCCACTGCTTATGAAATATGACTCATTTATAGGATCTTAATCAGATGGTAGGAAGCCTGACACAAGTGAGCTGTCTAGATACTCATCAGTACTGAGCTGTGTCTGAAGTGCTTGAGTAAGAAATATTAGCAGAAGTATACTTCAAGGCTGAGTTATTGCACCCATGTCTAATAAGCTCACTTGGGAATTCTTTTTGAAGGGCTTCAACACTGGCAGAGTTGAGCATGTCATGAGCCCTTGTCTGATTTTCTTAATTGTCTTTACTGACCATTATGTTAATATATACAATTCTAGTTATAGAATCCAAAGTAGTGGCTAAATATTCTCCTGACAATATCCATAAGAAGGAAAAGTTACTGATGACACTTCTCTGTATAAAGTACATTTATAACAGAACCAGGGACAATACCTCCAAAGAGGAGAGGTCAAGCATTTTATCCTGTGGAGTCCTATCAGACTTCAATTTATTTTTGTAACCAAAAAATTAATGGTCCCAGCTCCTCTGGGATTTGATGGGCCAAATTTGGCTGCATATATATATATATATATATATATATATATATATAATCCACCTGCATTGGCCTCCCAAAGTGTTGGGGTTACAGGCGAGAGCCACTGAGCCCGAGCCAAGAAATCTAGTTTCAATTTTCTCAGCAGATACTGATGTGTAGCCCCTGTGAAGCTTAAATACTTCAGAATTTTATTTAAAATAAGGAAGAATATTTGATTTGGGTCTGTAGATAAAATTGCCCCCTTTAAATAAGGGAAGAGTGATATATTCAGAAAGAACCATGATAAAATTCCTTTGTACTAATCTTGGCGATGAAAGTTCAGTTTGAAACTAAGACTTATCTTAAGAGCAAGGTTTCTCAAACCTAGCATTACTGACATTTGGGGCTGGACAATTCTTCGTTGTGGAGGGGTGATCTGGTGCATTGTAAATGTTTAGTGGCATCTCAGGCCTCTATCCACTGGATGACAGTAGAACCCACCACCTAATTTTTACAACCAAAAATATCTCTAGATTTGCCAAATGTCCTTGGGGGAAAAACCACACTCATTTGAGTACCACTACTCTAGAGAAATGCTACAGCATTGATTGTAATTTAATAAAACTTCAACAATCTTTGTACCGAAAATAAAAAAAAAAAAACTGTAGTAATCATCTGGTCTTTTAGCTTGTTACCCCTCTAGATAGTTCCAGGACATTATATAGACTGTGAAGCTTGACTTGGTGGGATATAAATGCTTTCCAAATACAGAAAAGAAGTAGATAGGATGTAGTTTCCTGAATATAAAAATTGTGCGAGGTGTCACAGACTGTGGCCTGGATATGGCAACTTTGACTAATTCATCATGATTCTATAGAAAGACAAAATTTTGCTGTTGGCTTAACTCTTTTTTAATTATGCAAAAACTTGAATATTTGGATTGATCCTATGGGAATGGCCTTCAGACACAATTAAATAAACATATCTTCAGCCAACCAAAGATTGTTATTAGAGGTTTATCTTTTTATTGGTTAACTTATAATAAAAATGTATAATTGGTAGAATAGTAATGTTTAAGAAATGTTCAGTAATTCACTTATTTTATCTTTGTTTAAGGCTTTACAACAAATGGTAAAGTTTGTGTCGAGGGTTGTCATTTACATGAACTTAAATGATACAATATCATTTTACTCAGAGTTAGCAAAATGTGAGCTTTAAGGATACAGTCCCCAAGACTGTCCTTACTTCTGACACCAATTGCATCTCTGGGGAACTCCCAAAACCACCCTCAGTTTTGAATTCACCAGAATTACTCACAGAACTCATTGAAAGCTATTATACTCATGATTATGGGTTATTACAGATAAAGGACACAAATCAAATTCAGCCAAAGGAAGAGACAAATAGGGCAAAGTCTGGGACAGTTATAGATGTGAAACCTCTGGTGTCTTCAGGATGTGTTACTCTCTTAGCATTGATGTGTGACCATATGCACAGAGTACTGTTAACCAGGGAAGCCCACCCAAGCCTTAGTGTGCAGAGTTTTTACTAGGGCTTCATTACATAGGCATGACTGATTTATTCATTGCCCTTGTGTTTGATTTCAGTTGCCAGGTTGACAGATGCATGACCCAAATTTCACACTCCAAAGACAACCATATTTTAGGGTGTAAAATTCAGGGTGTGGCCAGCCCCTACCCCAAGCAAAGATACTTCTCTCAGTTATGACATACATTACATCCCAAAAATTGAAGGCAAAAGCCAGGCCTTTCTTTGGGCAAGGTTGAATTCTTTACTGCAGATTTGAGCAATACAAACTTATTTATAGAGCCTAAGTATGATACATATGTATGTAATTTTTAAGAATCCATTATGCTTCAGATATTTCCACACATACTATTCTTGAAATCCTACATCTACTTATAAGATAAGCCATAGTATTAGAGGCCGCAAGTATAACAATCTTATCTCATGTGTTGTACAAGTTGAATATCCTTTATCTGAAATGCTTAGGACAAGAAGTGTTTTGGGTTTCAGATTTTTTTCAGGTTTTTTTCAGATTTTGCAATATTTGCATATAAATAATGAGATATCTTGACGATGAGATCCAAGTCTAAACAGTCAATTCATTTACATTTTATATGCACCTTATATACATAGCCTGAAGGTAATTTGATATAATATTTTTAATAATTTTGTGCATGAAAGAAGTTTTGACTGTATTTTAAATGTGATCCCTCACATGAGGTCATATGTAGAAATTTCCACTTGTGGTGTCATGTCACTACTCAAAAGGTTTCAGATTTTGAAGCATTTCAGATATTACATTTTCAGATTATACATGCTCAACTAGCATTATTATTACTATTTTTTTAAAATTTAAACTTAAATCAGCTTTTGTATTTAAATAGTGGTAAAATGTCTCCCATTATTACAATGAGTTGTCACACCAGTTTTCCATTTTTCAAGACCAATGTTTCACATAAATTATATTCATCATAGTTTTAAAATATTTAAATTTAACATAAAACTTTAAATTATCATAAGTACCCATGATCGAAATCACACAGCTAGTAACAGATGAGCCAGAATTTGAACCTAGCTTTTTAAGTTCCATGGATTCTTTTGATCTCAAAGCTGTACAAACATCATGAAAGGCATTATTCACAAGACCCTGGAATCAGCTGAGAACACATGACCAGCCTTTGGAAAATATTGCCAGTGATTTGTTGGGACTCAATAGATGCTTAGAAAGGCTTCTGTTAGCCTGACATGATAAAGGCATTTGAGAAGCATTTTGTTTATGTGCCTAAAATGAATGTCCATATGGCGAATCAGAAAATTTGTTTTGGCTAGTGCCCAGGCCTACATAGTTTTGGTTTGTGATTGTATTTGTCATTGGACAGACTGGTTTTGTCTTCTCAGAGACTGAATAAAATTTGGGTCATGATGGTACCTTCACAAAGCAGCACAATCTTACTGACTACTTAACTGCTAAAGATGTGTTTCTATGCCTCCACTGAATCTTGGACACAATAGCGTTAGGGTAATTATCCTAGTTTACATCACTATTACAGCACATTCCTTCTGAATCTAAAGTTATTGTGACTTAGAGAATCACTCATGACTTTCTATTTTAAAACTTGGTCCTGGCCGGGCACGGTGGTTCATTCCTGTAATCCCAGCACTTTGGGAGGCCGAGGTGGGCAAATCACGAGGTCAGGAGTTCAAGACTAACCTGGCCAACATAATAAAACTCCATCTCTACTAAAAATACAAAAATTAGCCAGGGATAGTGGCGCATGTCTGCAGTCCCAGCTACTCGGGGGGCTAAGGCAGGAGAATCGCTTGATCCCGGGAGGCGGAGGTTGCAGTGAGTAGAGATCGCGCCACTGCACTTCAGCTTAGGCAACAGAGTGAGACTTCGTCTGAAAAAACAACAACAACAAAAAACTTGGTCTTAATGTTTACACAGAAACAAACTTTGTCTATTACTTGTCAGACCAAAATTCATGTCATTTTCCAAGACCATTGTCCTCCTCTGCTATCCCACTTAAACTGATTGCTATCTTCTTGTGCAGTTTGTAGTTAAAATTATTAAAAATTTTCTGGGCTATCAGTTCTAGTAGCTATTGAGTGACTCAGATAGTTTTAATACATTCACAAAGTTTAATGGGCAGATAGCTTTTCTGTATTAAGTTGAAAAAAAGAAATCTCACGCAGATTTTTAGCTAGTTTTCTTTGATGCCTTTTTCAATGTCCTGCAGTTGTTTCAACACGGAAACATTTCAGAGAAAAATGTGTTTGGGCTCCTGAAGACATATGTATTATAATTTTACAACCAGAAAACTTGGGCTTTGTAACTCAAATTGCAGAACTTATCTGAAGTTTACTTGTCTATCACCAGTAAGAAAAAAGAGTGGAAATAAATATATAGCTAACAATATCAGTGACAAAATGAAAAAGTAGTCAAAGTAGAATCTTTCCCTTAGAAGTAGTTTTAAAATTCTAGTTCTAGGATCAGATCCATTGGAATTATCTTGAGTATTTATTGAAAATATAGAATCTCCAGACATGGAACTCAAGAAATTTTATTTTTAGCAAGTGGTTCTAGGTGATTCTCGGATTCACTCAGATTTCGGAACCACAGTATCGGTGAAGCAGATAACCTGAGAGTTCTCTTTAGGGAGCAAGTATCTACAAATGGTGAAGAACTTAAATTAAGAGGTAGATAGTGTAAGGATTGGGAATAATTGATATTAATATAAGGAGATATAGAACACGGAGGTTACCAATGTTGAGATCAAGCATATCCCAAAAGAACTATATACTTCCTGCGTAACAGAGGGCCATGGCTAGAAGAAGAAATTGGCAGATCTACATTGGAATACATTTAACCAGGGAGGTGAAAGACCTCTACAAGAAGAACTACAAAACACAGTTGAAAGACATCGTACATGACAAAAATAATTGGAAAAACCTCCCATGTTCATGGGTAGGGAGAATCAATATCATTAAAATGAACTATACTGCCCAAATCTACAGATTGCATACAATTCCTATCAAATTACCATATCATTTTTGACAAAATTAGAAAAAACAATTGTAAAATTCATATGGAATTGAAAAATAGCCTGAATGCCCAAAGCGATCCTAAGCAAAAATAATAAAGCTGGAGGCATGACATTATCTGACTTCAAACTATATATACTACAAGGCCATAGTAACCAAAGCAACATGATATTGATACAAAAATGGACACATAGATCAATGTAACAGGGTAGAGAACCCAGAAATAAAGCCATAGTTACAACCAACTGATCTTTGACAAAATTGACAAAAAATAAACAATGGGGAATGGATACCCTATTCAATGAACAGTGCTGGGAAAAGTGACTAGCCACAAGCAGAAGATCAAAATGAGATCCCTACCTTTCACTATATACAAAAAATAACTCAACGTGGATTAAGGACTTAAATGTAAGACCTGAAACTATAATCCTAGAAGAAAACCTAGGCAAAATTCTACACAGTGTCCTAGGCAAATAATTTATGACTAAGACCTCAAAAGCAAATACAACAAAAACAAAAATAACAAATGGGGCTTAATTAAACTAAAGAGCTTCCATACAGCAAAATAAACAACAGAATAAACAGACAACCTGCAGAATGGGAGAAAATATTTGCAAACTATGCATCTAACAAAGAACTAATATCCAGAGGCTATAAAGAACATAAAAAAACCAAGAACAAAACAAATAACCTCATTACAAATGGGCAAAGTACATGAACAAATACTTCTCAAAAAAGACATACAGGTGGCCAACAAATGTATGAAAAAAATCGCTAATTATTAGATAAATGTAAATTAACATCATAAGATACCATCCCACATCAGTCAGAATGGCTATTATTAAAAAGTCAAAAAATAAACGGATATTGGCGAGGATATGGAGAAAAGGGAGCACGTACACACTTTTGGAGGGAATGTAAGTTAGTTCAATCCCTGTGTAAAACAGTATGAAAGTTTCTCAAAGAACTAAAAATAGAACTGCCACTTGACCCAGCAATCCACTATATATACCCAAAGGAAAATAAATAATTTTACAAAAAGACACCTGCACTTGCATATTTATTACAGGGCTGTTCACAATAGTGGAGTCATGGAATCAAGTTAAGTATCCATCAGTGATGGATTGGATAAGGAGAATGTGGTGTATATATACGCCATGGAATACTGCATGGACACAGAAAATAAAATCTTTCATTAATATTCATGTATTTTTATTCAATTCATGTCATTCACAGAAATATGGATGGAGTTAGAGCCAATATATAAATATTTTTTATTCAGAAACAAAATCAAATACCACATGTTCTCATTTATTAGTGGGAGCTAAACAATGGGTATATGTGGACATAAAGATGGAAATAATAGACACTGGGAAATCCATAAAGGGGATGAGAGGGGCAAGAGGTATTGAAAAAGTACCTATGGGTTACATTGTTCACTATTTGGGGGATGGGTTCACTGGAAGCCCAAACTCCAGCATTATGCAATATAACCACGTAAAAAAACCTGCACATGTACCCCTGGAATCTACAATAAAAAAATAATTAAAATAAAATGTACTTGCCTAGCTTATTTCTAACCCCAGCCCAGTCCTCTTTACAAAGTACAATCGACCTTTTGACCTCTCTGCAAGCACTTCATCTCTTTGAGTTTCTTATACTCCACAGGGAGAATATGCTGAATAAAACTGATATGATTTGGCTCTGTGTCCCCACACAAATCTCATCTTGAAGTGTAATCCCCATGTGTTGAGGGAGGGAAGTGATTGGAACAGCGATTTCCACCATGCTGTTTTAGTAATAGTGAGTGAATTCTCACGAGATCTGATGGTTTATAAGTGGTAATTTTTCCTGCTCTCTCTTACTCTCTTGTCTCTCTCCTGCTGCCATGTAAGATGTGCCTGCTTCCCCTTCCACCAAGATTGTAAGTTTCCTGAGGCCTCCCAGCCATGCAGAACTGTGAATCAATTAAACCTCCTTTCTTTATAAATTACAGTCTCAAGTAGTATCTTTATAGCAGTGTGAGAATGGACTAATACACAAACCTTTAGTATTTAACATTAAATGCCATATAATAAACACGAAAATATATACTATATATGTGAGCTTTAAAAAAGTGACTGTTGTATTTTGCCTATTTTATTTTTTTCATTCATCTATTTGCTCAGTGAACAAACTTCCAATAATTAATTATACTAAGTACTATTTTAGGCCCTGGAAATAAAAAATGATAAAGAACTATGAATATATAATATCTATTGACTCATGTTCCAGACGTGCTGTGTTTTGTATACATTAATTCATTTATTCTGGAAAGCTCAAATAATAAAAATTACATGTATTAAGTGCTTCCAATGCACTAGATATTGCATGACTGATTGTATAAAATAGTTATTTAGATAAACAACCAACTGAATGTATGTGTGTGTGTGTGTGTATGTAGTTGGTCCTATGTGGGTGTGTGTGTGTGTGTGTGTGTGTGTATGTGTGTAGTTGGCCCTACATGGATTCTGCATCCATGCATTCAACCAACCTCACACTGAAAATATTTTTTAAAAAATTGTGTCTATACTGAACATGCGTAGTTTTTTTTGTCATTTCCTAAACAATAAAGCATAACAATGATTTACACAGCATTTACATTTTTAAGGCATTATAAGTAATATAGAGATGATTTAAAGTATACAAGAAGATATGCATAGGTTATATGAATGCTGTATCATTTAATATCAGAGACTTGAGTACTTGCAGATTTTGGTATCTGTGAGAGGTCCTGAAATCAATTCCTCATGGATATTGAAGGATGACAGTGTGTGTGTGCATGTATGTGTGTGTATTAAGATAGAGTTAGAGAAAGAGAGGGAGAGGGAAATTTATTTTTAAAAATTGGCTTATGAGGTCATGGAAATTGGCAAGTCTGAAATCTGCAGAGAAAGAAGCAGGCTGGAGACCTAGAAAAGAGTTGACATTACAGCTCAAGTCCAAAGGCAGAAATCCCTCTTCCTCTGTGGGGGAAGCAGGAGGATTAAATCTTTTGCTCTTCTGGTCTTGAATTGATTGGATGTGGCCACTCTTGCCATGGAGGGTAATCTGCTTTCACTAAAAGGCTACTGATTTAAATGTTAATTTTATCCAAAGACAGATTGCATAGTAATAGGTAGACTGGTGTTTAACAAAATATCTAGGTACTACGGCCTAGCCAAGTTGACACATAAGGTTAATCACCACACTGCTTTACATATATTGTATCTTAGGAACTCTGTGAGGTATTATTATCAACTGCGTTTTACAGATTAAGAAATTGAGGGAACGAGGATAAGTGTTTTGCCTTGGAGGAGAGTAATTGTAAAGAGTGAAAGACATTCAAACAGTTGTTCCAATTCAAACCAATATTCTGAACAATAATGCTTTCACTTCCAGGGGAAGAAATTTAGGCAAATTGAGATTAAGTAACTTGCCCGTGCCACTCAACTAGTAGGTGATGGATTCAGAATTTGAATCCAGATCTGATTGTAAAGTCTCTGTTGTTACTCACCATACAATAAACCTTTTCAGTCTCTGTCCCTAGGCAGCTCTCAGTCTGTTAGAAAAGTAAGATATGAAAGTGAATAATTGGCATTGTTAGGAAATGATTATTTGGAGAGACTGGAGTCTTCCTGAAAAATATGGCCTCTGAACTTGGCTTTGTAAGTAGTCAGATTGAAGAAGACACCAGGAAATGGAAAGATATTCCATGTTCATGAATTGGAAAAATCGACATTGTTAAAATGTTCACACTACCCAAAGCAATCTACCGATTCAATCCAATCGCTATCTAAATACCAATGATATTCTTCACAGAAATAGAAAAAAATTATAAAATTTATGTGGAACCACAACAGAACTAGACTAGCCAAAACTATCTTAAGTGAAAAGAACAAAACCAGAGGATTCACATTACCTGACTTTAAATTATACTACAGAGTGGTAGTAACCAAAATAGCACGGTACTGGCATAAAAACAGACACACAGACCAATGAAACAGAAGAGAGAACCAAGAAACAAAAGTCCACACACCTACAGTGAACTTATTTTCAACAAAGTTGCCAAGAACATACACTGGAGAAAAGACAGTCTCTTCAATAAATGGTGCTGGGAAAACTGGATAGCCATATACAAAAGAATTAAACTAGACCGCTCTCTCTCACCATATGCAAAAATCAAATCAAAATGGATTAAATACTTAAATCTAAGACCTCAAACTATTAAACTACTACAAGAAAACATTGGGGAAACTCTCTAGAACATTGGTCTGGGCAAAACTTTCTTGACTAATATCACACCAGTGAAGACGACCAAAGCAAAATGGACAAAAGGGATCATCTCAAGTTAAAAACCTTCTGCATAGAAATGAAAACAATCAACAAAGTGAGAAGACAATCCACAGAATCGGAGAAAATATTTGCAAACTACCCATTTGACCCCATTTGACAAGGGACTAATAGTCAGAATATACAAAGGGCTCAAACAACTCCATAGGAAAACAATTAATAATCTTATCAAAAAATGGGCAAAAGATGTGAATAGTCAGTTTTCAAACCACAAATGGCAAACAGGCATATGAAAAGGTGCCCAACATAATTGATCATCAGAGAAATGCAAATCAAAATTAAAATGAGATAGCCTCTCACCCCAGTTAAAATGGCTTATAACTAAAAGTCAGGCAATAACAAATGTTGGTGAGATGTGGAGAAAAGAGAACCCGTGTACACTTTTTGTGGAAATGCAAATTAGTATAACCACTATGGAAAACAGTTTGGCGGTTCCTCAAAAAACTAAAAATTGAGCTACTGTATGATCCAGCAATCCCACTGCTAGGTATATACCCAAAAGAAAGGAAATGAGTATATTGAAGAGATATCTGTACCCCCATGTTTATTGCAGCACTGTTCACAATAGCCATGATTTGGAGACTACCTAAGTGAACATCAACAGATGAATGGATAAAGAAAATCTGGTATTTATACACAATGGAGTACTATTCATCCATAAAAAAGAATGAGATCCTGTCATTTGCAACAACATAGATGGAACTGGAGATCATTGTGTTAAGTGAAATAAGCCAGGCACAAAAGACAAATATCATGTATTCTCACTTACTTGTGGAATCTAAAAGTCAAAACAATTGAACACATGAGTAAAGAGTGTAGAAGGATCATTACTAGAAGCTGGGCAGGGGAATGGGGACTTGGGGGAGTGGTGGGGATGGTTAATGGGTGCAAAAAATAGAATGAGTAAGACCTAATATTTGATGGCACAGTGTGACTATAGTCAATAATAATTTAATTGTACATTTTAAAATAAACTAAAAGAGTATAACTGGATTGTTTGTAACACGAAGGATAAATGCTTGAGGGGATGGATACCCCATTCTCCTTGATGTGCTCATCTCACATTGCCTGCCTGTATATTGTTCCCCCTCCCAAGTAGCTGGGATTACAGGCACCCGCCACCACACCTGGCTAATTTTTTTTGTATTTTTAGTAGAGATGGGGTTTTGCCATGTTGGATAGACTGGTCTCGAATGCCTGACCTCAGGTGATCAGCCTACCTTGGCCTCCCAAAGTGCTGGGATTATAAGCGTGAACCACCGTGCCTGGCCACATGCCTGTATCAAAGCATCTCATGCACTCCACAAATATATACACATACTATATACCCATAAAAATTAAAAATAAAAAAATTCATAAAAGATACAATAATGAGGCTTTATTAGTTGGACAAAAGTACATTCCAGGAAAAATCTGGCATGTGAAATAAAATGAGTATAAAACAGCAAAGTGTATTAGGGAAAGAATGAGCATTTTGTTATTTCTCTAACTGATATAAAGTGGGGGTGAAGTGGGGTGGGGTGGGGTGGTGAGACAGGAGATCAGAATGGCCAGTTAGAGCTAGGCTAGATATTTTGTGTTGGTAGGGAGACGGGGGAGAGATTTTATTAGACTTTAGTTTTACAAACGATGAGAAAGTCTTTCAGAAAAAGTTGTGACTTTGAAGTAGACAAAAAACTGTACTAGGTGTCTTCAATCGAAATATATGTTGTCTAAAGGACAGAGCACACCCTTCTGAGTTATTTGATTCTATGGATTTTGCATCTTTCATTGTCTTTCAGCTATTTAAAATTCTGTAAATTGCAGATCATGTCGATGCAAATGACTCTTGTCCATAGATGTGCAAATGAATTGTCTGGAGAATGGAAAATTAATTTTCCTCCCTACTGTGGAAAAAGCCAGGCTTGAATATATTGGTAAATTCTTCTCAGCATCCCTTATCAACCTATGTAAGTGTGGTACTTTAACTTCTCCTTTGAACTCATTGTAACATCTTACTTGCTCCCTCATTCATTAATTAGTTAAATAAAATCTATGACACATGTTTATTTTATAGTTGTATGAAAGTTATCATGCTACCTTAAATTTTTTTTAACTTGTCTGTCCTAAGTGAAGAGACAATGTGCTTCCTATGAAGGCAGTGGTAGCACACGCAGATGGCGGGAAGGCAATAAAGTAGAGAGTGCTTTATACTGACTTTGTACTGACAAAACCTAGTGTACTGGCTTTGTACTGACAAGACCTAGTGTACAGGCTTTGTACTGATGAGACCTAGTGCTCTGATGAGACATGGGAAGTGATGAATTATGAGGGTTCAAAAATAATTCCCCGATTTCTGGCATGAGTGATTACATAGATAATTTCTTTTATCAAGATATGACCCACAGGACAAAAGATATCAAGGTAGAAATTACAGTAGGTTACTAGATATTTGGTTGTGGAGTTCAGAAGTACTGATGCTAGAGGTGCTGATTTGAGAGTCATACATTTATAGATGTAAATTTATGAGACTAAATTTAAACATTAAGGAAGAATTGTAAGGTGAAAAGACAGGTGGGCACAAACATTTTAAGGATGAGCAGAGTCAAAAGATCTAGTAAAAGAGATGGGAAATAAATATCTTTATTTTTGGATGATGTTAGAGAAGTCAAGGGAGAACAATGTTTTTAGAAGGAAACACTAGTGAACAGTGTCAAATGCTGGAATTTTCAGTCAGTTGGGTTTGGCAATGTGAAAGTCAGTGGTGGCCATTGCCAATCAAGTTTAAGTGTCATGGGGTTTGTGTGTGTGTGTGTGTGTGTGTGTGTGTGTGTGTGTGTGTGTGTAGAATGATAAAAGCAAAAACAGGATGTTGGGAATTTGAAAATCTGATAGACGGTAAGGAAAGCTGTGGGAAAGAAGGTATGAATCGTTGAAAAATCAAGGGAATTTTTAAGATTGAACATAGCATAAGGGGAAGGAGTCATCTGAAGACAAGGAAGAGAGAGAAGGAATTAAATTTAAAAAGCTCCAAGTTAGATCAAAATACATCGGACTCAGAGTCTAAGTGGAAACAACTTTCAAAAGGAGGAAGATGTTTTACCCTGAGGTTCAAGGAAAAGAGGAATAGCTGGGAGCAGCACAGGTAGCTTCTAAGGTTGCAGAGCAGGAAAGGTGAAATATATGTTACTTGGTAACTCTTAATATCATGTACTCAGAGTGAAGGAGTGAAATTCAGGAGGAAAGGAAAAGTATGCCTAATCCCTGAGTTGAATGAGAGTGGGAAAGCTGATAAAAGATAAACTCTTCATGGTAAAATTAATCTGGTATAAGTAGCTTTTCTCTTGGTGTACTGTTCTTTGCAAGGTTTTATTTGCAGGTATGAAATGCCTGGTTCGTGGATGGTTGCTAAGAGATATGCTTACTCTGAAATATCTTTTTCACCTTCCTTTACTTTTCACCATTACACTCTTTAGTTCATTAGAAAACTATGGGGGAAAGGATTAGTCTCCTCAAACATCCGTTAGATATGTATACCTGGCAACGGTCCCTCTAAAAACGTAGTACATCATTTTAGCTCCATTATTGAAACACAAAGTCATAAGATGATGTAATATACAACAGATGATTTCCAGTGGGGTAAAATTGTAACAACCACCATTGTGGGCGGGTGAGAACAAACACAGTGTATAGGTTAGGAAGGGCAGATCTTTATACTAAGAATGGAAGATATCCAAAAGGAAGGGGACGATACGAAGATGAACTTCATCTCACAGTTTTGCTTTAATAGCCCAGAATATGGATAATTATGGTTACTTACCTCTAGCAGTGTAGTATTGATAGGTAATGACATAGTCATTTTAGAATGATTCTTTCCTATGTGATATTCTCCCAGATCACTGCTCTAAGTGCTTTATGTGTGTTAAATTGTTTAATCCTTACAACCACACCTAAGTTAGATTATTATTCTTGTTTTACAAATGCAGAAGTCATTGAGTTAAAAGAAAAACCTTGTAATTCACATAGCTAGCATGTAGTGAAGCTTCAAACCCAGTTGCATTGATGCAGTTGTGGATACCCTACCTCATTTTGCCAGCTGCCTATGTGGACTACAGTAACTTGTTGCACTCCTTGTGTGCTATGCAGTGCCTGTTACAAGGACTCTCACTACAAGTCTGACTTTTTTATTTCACTTGCCTTCTCCATGTGCTGTGATTCTTCAACTTTACTGCACTCAAGAATCAAGGGAACTTACTTAAAAAGAAATCAGATTCCAGGGTTCCAACCCCAGAAATTCTAATTCTAGAAGTCTGACTATGTCCCATGAATTTGCACTCTAAGCAGACTTCCTAGGTAGCTCTGAAACAGGTGGTCTGTAGACCACACTTTAAGAATTATCTTCAAGGATTGGGCTAGTTTTAGTTTGTAGTGATTTCTTGTGTCTCTTAATGTAAGTAATTGGAAACTGTTGGGTTAAATTCCATAGTTAGTATTGTATAAGTATGTGTAAATATGTTTTATGGCTGAAAATGAAATGTTGAGTAATTTTTGTGGATTAGTAGTATCTTTAAAAAGCACTCCTATTTCTAGGAGACATTTTTATTACATTAATATGTTGTATGAACCTGGCTCTTTGTGGGGAAATCTTAAAAATTTTATATAAAATAGACAATTCTGCCAGAATTATGGCATTATAACTTACTCAACAGCTTTGGAAACACAATAAAAGAAATATTATGAACTTACTATTCTTTCTCTTTACTGTTGACATTAGGATGGGCCCTTAAAATTATAACTATGTATTTATACCGTATATGAAAATATGGATACATTTCATAGATATGAATATATAGGAGCAATCCACTTCTGCTTCGTTGCTTTTTACATTTTGTTTTCAGTTTTCTAACAAAGGTCATCTTTGTATTCAGTCCAGGAATCCAATCTCTATCTAGTGTTGACATAAGGGAACTATAGGCTGTTTTTAAAATGTCAGTTATAATCTCTGAATGGAGCGCTTGGGTGGTCAATTTCATGTTTCTGAATTTTGGTGGTGGTAGAGGTTTTTAGTGCCAGTTGTGCGGGGATTTGATTCCTGTGTAGAAGGATAAAGCAGGAACCAGATAAGATAGGTGCTGAGAAAATTAATTGGCCTTTACAAGCCATTTGTCACAAGGCACAGGGTAGTTCAATGCACAATGCGTAATGTGTGCAGCAAGACCAGGTGTGTATTGTGTTATCTATGGTAACATCCTGATAGCTACTTGAAATCTGGCTGGTACTAGCCAAGCAACAGAAAATATTCAGGTGGTTGAAATAAGATAGGTAATGACGTTTTTTTATTTAGATGATCTGTCCATTCAAGGCAGAATGCCACCCAGCGGTAGCCTGATAGGAGTGGCAAGGGCTTGGTGGTAAAAATGATGATGAAGAAAAAGCTTACAAGCTGTACATACCATAAGAGAACCTAGCACTCATTCGCAATGTAAATCCAGGTAGACCAGTGATATGTTTAGCTTGGTAAGAATTGGTGCAGGAATTGGGGTCAATGGTTCTGTACTGTTAGAGGAGGTTCATTGGCAAATACATTTGAGAATCTGGGAAACATTTCCCTGGAGAGCCTTTTTTTCTTTTTTTAAAGACATCATGACACTCTTACAAATACCTCTCCTAAGTTCTAAAGAGACAAGCACAAGTATACTGCATAAGCCATAATGACTGAAAAAATATAAAAGACAAGGTGAAAGGAAAATAAGGAAGAATAATAAAATGGGGCTATAAGAGAGAGAACTAGAGATATGTGCTATAAAATTCTCACAGTGTCTGAAGGTGGGACACCACATCAATTTTGAATTTCCTAATGAGCCAAAACCAAGAGGGAATCAGGACAAGTTGCAAGATTCAAATTGTCCATATGATAACATATACCAGCTCGAGGGGAGGCCGTGGCCTTGAAGTCTAAAGGAAGTTCCCCCATAGTTGTTGCAAGGGAGACAGAATGAAACAGTATGCAACAAGATTTTCTTACAACATTTTTATAGCATTTTTCAATATAGGATACGTCATTAAACAAAAGCACAATTTTTAAAAAGTGATTCTTTTATTGTCTAGGAAGGCCTAGACAATATAGTCTGGATTGATTGGATAAACACAGAGGAACAAGAGAGCGGCAGAATTGTACCATGCATGCAGCAGGCCATGCTCTACACGGGCCTCTCAGGATGCAGCAGAGAGGTACCCTGGGTAATTTCTGGCAAATCTTTCAGTATTGTTATTCTATGTTAGTGATGGTGGGAAGATTCATAGGTCTTAAATATTTACCAAGTACAGGATAAAGTTCTCATACTTTTATTAAAATAAAGGAGTGTAAGACTCTGTATTGAAGAGATAGCAGTCTATAGTTCCAACCGTAGGCAAAGTAAAACATTCCTAAAACTAGACTCATTTTTGTGTTGGCTCCAACACTTGAACAAATTAAAGACTGAATCCTCATAGTTTAAACCCTTAGAGCATCTTTGAGACTATCGTAGTTTGGAAAATTTCCCATGCAGAAATAATTAATTGATCATTAGGCCATAAAAAAATCTTACTCAGGATATCTAACTTTAATTATAGTGGTTGGCCAGTGATACATAGCTTAAATTACTCCTCAGTAACTAAAGGAGGTTTTCTGTCAATTCATATGAAAAATATCTGTCAAAATTTATGAGAGTCAGCATTCCTTCTGCTGTTAGCTCATCAGGCCCTTTGTCTCTTGAGACCAGTGTGAGTCTATTAGATCATATCCCTAGTATTGAGGAGAGCACTTAATTGTTCTTCTAGGTGTGAGGTAGGAATGGACTACATGTATTAGGTAATCTACACTGTGTCAGTGGGCGAGTGTACCCTATGTGATGATAATGATAATGATATCATAATAGTGATTTTACTGAATATTTACTACATATACTTGATACTTGCTAAGCACATTATGCACTTTATTTCATTTAATTTTTGATATTCATTTAGTTATTATTAAGTATAATTGTTTTCAATTTGCAGCTATGGAGACAAGAGTTTAGAGTTTAAAGAGCTTACTTACATTTGCACAGCTACAAGGTAGAATGTACACCCAGGTGGAAATAGGAAAGTCTGTATTCTTTTCTATTTGGAAAGAACAACATTTGCCTTTTCATCTTTGCATTTCACCATCTGACCTACAGATTATAGATCTCATAACAGAGTTCAAATTAAGGGCCTTTTGCTATTTAGCATGGAGGGAATGTGTTGCCAGGCCCAAGGCTTAGCCATTGTCCCTGCATGGGAGCCACCCGCCAAATTTCTTGAAACATAACTGTTAAATATATTATATCCAGCAGAGTAGATTCAGTTTTTCAGAAACATTTTCCATGTCATTTAGAATCCTTAATGATTAGAGTATTATTTAGAGATTTTAAATAATTTTATAGAACATGAATTATATTTTATTGTTTAAATTAAAATATTATTTTAATGTTAAAAAACTTTAAACTTCTTACTATGTCTTCAAAGTACTGTTAGTTATATCTATGATTTATTTGATGCTGGAGTCTTTGTCAGGTTCACTATTGGTAAGGTAGTCTTTCAATGGGCAACTTTGATTCACTCTTGAAAATCTTATTCACAAAATAATTTCCAGAAAGATATGATAAATAAGCAGGAATTACTTGTACATTTTATCTTCATAGTGTAAACCTTGGGATAGTGCAAAATGCTCTGATCTCAAGAAATGCTATTTATGCACACAAAAATGTAAGGATGAAAAATATTTGTCCGTATATACTGTTAAAAATTATTCTCTGCTGTTGTTGGTTTCATGCTGTAGAAACAAACCCTGAAGGGTACTGATAAGTTGCCTTAAGGCAATTATGCTTTTAGGCCATTTATCCTAATGCATTTCTAATATGAAGTCATATGCTCTTTTTCACTTTATAAGGAAACTGTCCTGGTGTCTGAGAGCTTAGAGTTTATAAAAGATCTATATGAAAGGGTTAATCAGGTGAGGTCTTTTGGAAGAGCTAACTTTTATACTAGATTGTAAATAATTAATAAAATAGACTATTCTATAAGGACAAAGAATATAGGAAAATGGAGATAGCAATTTAAAACACCAGGATGCTAAGGAGAAGGAACACTGGGTACATGATATACAGGAAATTAAGAAAGATGGAAGATGGCTGAACAGGAACAGCTCCAGTCTACAGCTCCCAGTGTGAGTGACGCAGAAGACGGGTGATTTCTGCGTTTCCAACTGAGCTTTGAAGAGAGTAGTGGTTCTCCCAGCATGCAGCTTGAGATCTGAGAACGGGCAGACTGCCGCCTCAAGTGGGTCCCTGACCTCCAAGTAGCCTAACTGGGAGGCACCCCCCAGTAGGGGCGGACTGACACCTCACACAGCCGGGTACTCCTCTGAGAAAAAACTTCCAGAGGAATGATCAGGCAGCAGCATTTGCGGTTCACCAATATCCGCTTTTCTGCAGCCACCACTGCTGATACCCAGGCAAACAGGGTCTGGAGTGGACCTCCAGCAAACTCCAACAGACCTGCAGCTGAGGGTCCTGACGGTTAGAAGGAAAACTAACAAACAGAAAGGACATCCACACCAAAAACCCATCTGTACATCACCATCATCAAAGACCAAAGGTAGATAAAACCACAAAGATGGGGAAAAAACAGAGCAGAAAAACTGGAAACTCTAAAAATCAGAGTGCCTCTCCTCCTCCAAAGGAACACAGCTCCTCACCAGCAATGGAACAAAGCTGGACAGAGAATGACTTTGATGAGTTGAGAAAAGAAGGCTTCAGAAGATCAAACTACTCCGAGCTAAAGGAGGAAGATCGAACCAATGGCAAAGAAGTTAAAAACCTTGAAAAAAAATTAGACGAATGGCTAACTAGAATAACCAATGCAGAGAAGTCCTTAAAGGACCTGATGGAGCTGAACACCACGGCACAAGAACTACGTGACAAATGCAGAAGCCTCAGGAGCCGATGCGATCAACTGGAAGAAGGGGTATCAGCGATGGAACACAAAATGAATGAAATGAAGCAAGAAGAGAAGTTTAGCGAAAAGAAACAAACAAAGCCTCCAAGAAATATGGGACTGTGTGAAAAGACCAAATCTATGTCTGATTGGTGTACCTGAAAGTGACGGGGAGAATGGAACCAAGTTGGAAAACACTCTGCAGGATATTATCCAGCAGAACTTCCCCAATCTAGCAAGGCAGGCCAACATTCAAATTCAGGAAATATAAAGAATGCCACAAAGATACTCCTCGAGAAGAGCAACTCCAAGACACATAATTGTCAGATTCACCAAAGTTGAAATGAAGGAAAAAATGTTAAGGGCAGCCAGAGAGAAAGGTCGGCTTACCCACAAAGGGAAGCCCATCAGACTAACAGCTGATCTCTCGGCAGCAACTCTACAAGCCAGAAGCGAGTGGGGGCCAATATTCAACATTCTTAAAGAAAAGAATTTTCAACCCAGAATTTCATATCCAGCCAAACTAAGCTTCATAAGTGAAGGAGAAATAAAATACTTTACAGACAAGCAAATGCTGGGAGATTTTGTCACCACCGGGCCTGCCCTAAAAGAGCTCCTGAAGGAAGCACTAAACATGGAAAGGAACAACCGGTACCAGCCACTGCAAAAACATTCCAAATTGTAAAGACCATGGAGGCTAGGAAGAAACTGCATCAACTAATGAGCAAAATAACCAGCTAACTTCATAATGACAGGATCAAATTCACACATAACAATATTAACCTTAAAGGTAAATGGGCTAAATGCTCCAATTAAAAGACACAGACTGGCAAATTGGATAAAGACTCAAGACCCATCAGTGTGCTGTATTCAGGAAACTCATCTCACGTGCAGAGACACACATAGGCTCAAAATAAAGGGATGGAGGAAGATCTACCAAGCAAATGGAAAACAAGAAAAGGCAGGGGTTGCAATCCTAGTCTCGGATAAAACAGACTTTAAACCAACAAAGATCAAAAGAGACAAAGAAGGCCATTATATAATGGTAAAGTGATCAATTCAACAAGAAAAACGAACTATCCTAAATATATATGCACCCAATACAGGAGTACCCAGATTCATAAAGCAAGTCCTTAGTGACCTACAAAGAGACTTAGACTCCCACACAATAATAATGGGAGACTTAAACACCCCTGTATCAATATGAGATCAATGAGACAGAAGATTAACAAGGATATCCAGGACTTGAACTCAACTCTGCACCAAGCAGACCTAATAGACACCTAGAGAACTCTCCACCCCAAATCAACAGAATATATATTCTTCTCAGCACCACGTTGCACTTATTCCAAAATTGACCACATAGTTGAAAGTAAAGCACTCCTCAGCAAATGTAAAAGAACAGAAATTATAAGAAACTGTCTCTCAGACCACAGTGCAATCAAACTAGAACTCAGCATTACGAAACTCACTCAAAACCACTCAACTGCATGGAAACTGAACAACTGGCTCCTGAATGACTACCGGGTACATAACGAAATGAAGACAGAAATAAAGATGTTCTTTGAAACCAACGAGAACAAAGACACAACATACCAGAATCTCTGGGACACATTCAAAGCAGTTTATAGAGGGAAATTTATAGCACTGAATGCCACAGAGAAAGCAGGAAAGATCTAAAATGGACACCCTAACATCACAATTAAAATAACTGGAGAAGCAAGAGTAAACAAATTCAAAAGCTAGCAGAAGGCGAGAAATAATGAAGATCAGAGCAGAACTGAAGGAAATAGAGACACAAAAAACCCTTTTAAAAAATCAATGAATCCAGGAGCTGGTTTTTTGAAAAGATCAACAAAATTGATAGACCGCTAGCAAGACTAATAAAGAAGAAAAGAGAGAAGAATCAAATAGATGCAATAAAAGATTATGAAGGGGTTATCACCACTGATCCCACAGAAATACAAACTACCATCAGAGAATACTATAAACACCTCTATGCAAATAAACTAGAAAATCTAGAAGAAATGGATAAATTCCTGGACACATACACCCTCCCAAGACTGAATCAGGAAGAAGCTGAATCTCTGAGTAGACCAATAACAGGCTCTGAAATTGAGGCAATAATTAATAGCTTACCAACCAAAAAAAAGTCCAGGACCAGATGGATTCACAGCCAAATTCCACCAGAGGTACAAGGAGGAGCTGGTATCATTCCTTCTGAAACTATTCCAATCAATAGAAAAAGAGGGAATCCTCCCTAACTCATTTTATGAGGCCAGCATCATGCTGATACCAAAGCCTGGCAGAGACACAACAAAAAAAAGAGAATTTTAGACCAATATCCTGGATGAACATGGATGCAAAAATCCTCAATAAAATACTGGCAAACTGAATCCAGCAACACATCAAAAAGCTTATCCACCATGATCAAGTGGGCTTCATCTCTGGGATGCAAGGCTGGTTCAACATACACAAATTAATAAATGTAATCCAGCATATGCACAGAACCAAAGACAAAAACCACATGATTATCTCAATAGATGCAGAAAAGGCCTTTGACAAAATTCAACAACCCTTCATGCTAAAAACTCTCAATCAATTAGGTATTGATGGGACGTATCTCAAAATAATAAGAGCTATCTATGACACACCCACAGCCAATATCATACTGGAAGCATTCCCTTTGAAAACTGGCACAAGACGGGGATGCCCTCTCTCACTACTCCTATTCAACATAGTGTTGGAAGCTCTGGCCAGGGCAATCAGGCAGGAGAAGGAAATAAAGTGTATTCAATAAGTAAAAGAGGAAGTCAAATTGTCCCTGTTTGCAGATGACATGATTGTATATCTAGAAAACCCCATCGTCTCAGCCCAAAATCTCCTTAAGCTGATAAGCAACTTCAGCAAAGTCTCAGGATACAAAATCAATGTGCAAAAATCACAAGCATTCTTATACACCAATAACAGCCAAACAGAGAGCCAAATCATGAGTGAACTCCCATTCACAATTGCTTCAAAGAGAATAAAATACCTAGGAATCCAACTTACAAGGTATGTGAAGGACCTTTTCAAGGAGAACTACAAACCACTGCTCAATGAAATAAAAGAGGATACAAACAAATGGAAGAACATTCCATGCTCATGGGTAGGAAGAATCAATATCGTGAAAATGGCCATACTGCCCAAGGTAATTTATAGATTCAATGCCATCTCCATCAAGCTACCAATGACTTTCTTCACAGAATTGGAAAAAACTACTTTAAAGTTCATATGGAACCAAAAAAGAGCCCACATTGCCAAGTCAATCCTAAGCCAAAAGAACAAAGCCGGAGGCATCATGCTACCTCACTTCAAACTACACTATAAGGCTACAGTAACCAAAACAGCATGGTACTGGTACCAAAACAGAGATATAGACCAATGGAACAGAACAGAGCCCTCAGAAATAATGCCGCATATCTACAACCATCTGATCTTTGACAAACCTGACAAAAATAAGCAATGGGGAAAGGATTCCCTATTTAATAAATGGTGCTGGGAAAACTGGCTAGCCATATGTAGAAAGCTGAAACTGGATCCCTTCCTTACACCTTATACAAAAATCAATTCATGATGGATTAAAGTCTTACATGTTAGACTAAAACCATAAAAACCCAAGAAGAAAAGCTAGACAATACCATTCAGGACACAGGCATGGGCAAGGACTTCATGTCTAAAACACCAAAAGCAATGGCAACAAAACCCAAAATTGACAAATGGGATCCAATTAAATTAAAGAGCTTCTGCACAGCAAAAGAAACTACCATCAGAGTGAACAGGCAACCTAGAGAATGGGCGAAAAGTTTTGCAACCTACTCATCTGACAAAGGGCTAATATCCAGAATCTACAGTGAACTCAAAAAAATTTACAAGAAAAAAACAACCCCATCAAAAAGTGGGTGAAGGATATGAACAGACACTTCTCAAAAGAAGACATTTATGCAGCCAGAAAACACAGGAAAAAATGCTCATCATCACTGGCCATCAGAGAAATGCAAATCAAAACCACAGTGAGATACCATCTCACACCAGTTAGAATGGCGATCATTAAAAAGTCAGGAAACAACAGGTGCTGGAGAGGATGTGGAGAAATAGGAACACTTTTACATTGTTGTTGGGACTGTAAACTAGTTCAACCATTGTGGAAGTCAGTGTGGCGATTCCTCAGGGATGTAGAACTAGAAATACCATTTGACCCAGCCATCCCATTACTGGGTATATACCCAAAGGATTATAATTCATGCTGCTAAAAAGACACATGCACACGTATGTTTATTGCAGCATTATTCACAATAGCAAAGACTTGGAACCAACCCAAATGTCCAACAGTGATAGACTGGATTAAGAGAATGTGGCACATATACACCATGGAATACTATGCAGCCATAAAAAATGATGAGTTCATGTCCTTTGTAGGGACATGGATGAAGCTGGAAACCATTATTCTCAGCAAACTATCGCAAGGACAAAAAACCAAACACTGCATGTTCTCCCTCATAGGTGGGAACTGAACAATGAGAACACATGGACACAGGAAGGGGATCATCACACACCAGGGACTGTTGTGGGGTGGGGGTAGGGTGGAGGGATAGCATTAGGAGATATACCTAATGCTAAATGACGAGTTAATGGGTGCAGCACACCAACATGGCACATGTATACATATGTAACAAACCTGCACATTGTGCACATGTACCCTAAAACTTTAAGTATAATAATAAAATTTTTAAAAAAAGGAAAGATGGAGGGGGAAGTGAATAGAAATGTAAGGCTTTGAGTTTAGGACTGAGACATTTAAATTAGAGTCATAGGTGATGTAAAATTGTATATTTACAGATATTTTTGTGCATCATATGTGGGAAAAACAAATGAAAGACTAATTTCGTAATTTTGTGTGAGACATGAGTAAAAGTAACAGATATTTGTTTAGTAAATTTCATGTTAAACTTCCTCTATTTGGTACTAATATTTAGTGATAAATAAATATTACTAAATATGATAAATATTATGACTCACTTTGGTCATAGTCTTAGAGAGGAGTCTGAAGTACATGGACTATAAAAGTAGGTGCTAGAATAACAAAAATAGATTAAAAATACTTCTGATTGAGAGAGTGAAGGCTATTTAATGGAGGTGACTTTTAAGCTGGACTTTCAAAGGTTAGTATCATTCCAATAAGCACAAGAGGAAAGCTATTCCAGGTGGAAAGGCCAGGGCTGGGTAAGGGTACAGACAGGACTGTTGGTCAGGAAGTTGGAAGGAGCACGCAAAATACTGAGAGATGTTTTAAGCCCCTTGTAAAATCACAGTCTCTTTACATTGACATGTAGATCAGCTCTGAGTAAATAAGAAGACATGATTAAATGTGCCAATGATTTATTCCTACTTGTTTCTTATGTGAGAATTATGATGTGATTGAATAGAATCACAATTCTGTTCACAACTGATAGAACTGAGGGGTAGAGTGCCAAAAAGCTAGGTAGGCTGGCATCGTAATGTCTTATACAAAACAGCAATCAAAAATTTATTCCGTGCCTTCACAGACATCTTCTAATTCCATTCTCTCAAAAACTTTATAAATTGGTGAGAGAAAATATTCTATCCCTTCGTGGCAATTTAGATTTACAAACACTTGCCAAGGTTACTTAACTGGTAAGTGGTGGAAAGGGATTTGTACCCAGGTTTTCTGGTGTCAGGTTTAGTCTATGCCACTCATGCAAAATGACAGAGATGTACCCGTTGTAACAGATTAATACTATGAGAGGAGAATTAACAAAGAGAGCAGTAAAGAATTTACCTGAAAATCTTTAATTTCCTGACAGTGGAACCTTATAGTTCTTGATTTTTAAGAGAGAGCATTCTTCTGTTAGTTGATAGGCTATAAAGAAGCCAACTGCTGCGATATACTATTAAACTGCTATATCTTAATTTGAAATCTGTTGGTCTGGTCATGCCCCATTTAGTTGTTATTTGAATGGACAATGGTGAACCTATCTTCTGTAACAAATAGAAATGAATGAGCTCTTATTAAGGGGATCCATATTCTATCAAGTTCATGTTTACTCATAATTTTATTACAAGGACAAAGGGGAGAGAAGGATCCTCTAAGGAATTACTGTAGGATGTTTAGAAAAACAAACACTCCCCCAAATACAGCATTACTGTCTTCCCTTATACACTCCTGTTTTTTTTTTTAAACAACATCAAGGAATTTCAGGTGTTTTATTGATAGCCCCATCAATCTTCAAAATATTCCTGTAAGTCAGGTAGGTGGCAAGAATTACTAGTAAGAAGAGAAGAAATTTAATATGTTTATTTGTTGCAAGAAAAAGACACATGAAGACAGGAGACTTGTAGTAAGAATACTTTACTTTGAAATATTACACATAATAGCAGGGGAATAAAGAATTATTCAAGGGAGAAGAAATTAAATATAATTAATCTTTTGGAATATGGAAAGTTTTCTCATAATAAATGAAAATAGAAAATAAATCATAATGAATATTAAAAATAGAAAAATATGACATTTCAGCTAAATTCAATAAACATTTATTGAGTGCCTAGTGAATTTAAGCTTTAATCATTTTCTCTTTTCATTTATATTGAAGAATGCTATTTCTTAAGTGCTGAGTGTTAAAAATATTTTTAAAATGCTGAAGGCATCTCTTGATAATATAAGCAGTATATGAAAATGAGCTTTAATAATGATTCTAGTTGTGGGTGGTTGTGAGGAAGGAGAGACAATAAAAATCCTTAGCAGGACCTCTGCTGAAGTGTTTAATACATTATAAAAGGGCAAATAAAGATAGGTATAACCTTTGTCTTTAAGCACAGAGTATGGAAAAATGTTAAAGGATAATGATTAGCTATTCACCCTCACCATGGGCATAATAAAAGGAAAAAAACTATAAGAAATTTTTAGTTGATAATGGGAAAGATTTCTCAACAATGATCATTGCCTAATGCAGTGCTAGATTGGGCAATTAATGCAGGTTGTGGAACATTTTTAGACAAGAAAAGAGGTGAAGATATAGGCATATGTGACTATTAATGACCCTAGCCTGAGTGTGTGAGTGTATGTATGTGTACATGTATTTTAAGACTGTATTTTTGAGAGATTGCTTAATTCTTTTTATGAAATATGGGGGTGGGGAGGAAGTTCAAGGATGGATTGTTGATCTTTTTAGTTTATTTCTTTAATTTTTCTGACTCTGTAAGTCTAGTAAAATGTTTTAATGTTAAAATTTGCTATTCCTAGTGATCAAAATTGTGTCCAAAGCAATTAAGTGAAGATGGAAAAATAAGTTGCAATGTGTGTATGTACATATTGTGAGATGTCTGCAGATTTTAAGGAAGGCTGAGACATCTTTTGTCCATGTCAGTTAGAAGTCCAAAGCCATTTAAGCCTAGTGGTTCATGACTGACAGAAATAAAGGGTCTCCAGCTGATAGTGACTTGATCTTTCAGAAGTATATATCTCTTCCAGAAGCACATAGATTTTAAAAGAGAAGTTGGTGAATAAGGCAATTCTTAACCTAAAAGATAGGAGTTCTAAGATTTCAAGAGTGGGGCCAGAAGGCATGGGGAAGACATAATAATAGCAGAAGTACTTTCAACCATATATAGGAGACCACCCATAATAAAGGTGAACATAGGAACAAGAGACAGTAAAATAGTAAATTGATAAAGTGACTAAGAAAATGGGAAGAGTGAAAGAAATCACAAAAGGATAAGAAAGCTGAGCAGAGAGAGAGAGAATCTGGTTATGAGTGAGACATGAAGATGCAGAAGGACTAAAAAAGAGACAGAGGGTTGGGCACGGTGGTTCACGCCTGTAATCCCAGCACTTTGGGAGGCCAAGGTGGGCGGACCACCTGAGGTCAGGAGTTCAATAGCAGCCTAGCCAACATGGCAAAACCCCATCTCCATTAAAAATACAAAAATTAGCCGGGTGTGGTGGCGGGTGCCTGTAATCCCAACTGCTCGGGAGGCTGAGGCGGAGAATTGCTTGAACCTGGGAAGGGGAGGTTGCAGTGAGCCAAGATCGTGCCATTGTATTCCAGCCTGGGCAGCAAGAGCGAAACTCCGTCTCAAAAAAAAAAAAGAGAGAGAGAGAGAGAGAGAGAGAGAGAGACAGAACCCTCAAAACTATGTTCTGGTTCTAAAGTAGCTAAAGGAAGTGTCTACACATTGCTAAACAACCAATGAATTAAGTGTAAAACTTAATTAAAATTGTTGTTTTGCATTTTGCAGACTTAGTCTTAGCTACCTTTTTTTTAAAAAAAACTTATTTTCATCTCCCCTTATTCTCTCCTCATCTCTTGTTCCCACTTCTCATTGTATGTATGTATGTATGTATGTATGTATGTATGTATGTATCCATCCATCCACCTATCATCTAGCTATTTCTGTGTATTTAATTTGATTCTTATATCAAATCCTCCAAGATGTAACAGGTTAAAGTTGATTGTAGTTGTCATAATATTAAAAGCTCTTAAATAATTTGAATGTGAACCCAAAATTAGATCAGTGTTTCTCTAGTGTGGTTCAAACCTTGAACAAGTTATACTTCTATTAAAATTTAGATTAATTGATTTAGAATCTTTAGAGATGGTTATGGTGATAATCTATATGCTAGACTGTATTTTAAACACATTTACACGATGAGATTTATGCACTTTAACGTTTGATAAGTATTACTATAGAGTAAATATATAGACACCTAGAAATGATAAACTTTTCTGATTTTAGATATACAGGCTTTTTGGAATACTGATGTGAGTGTAGAGGCCAGAAAAATGAAGCTAGGTGGTATTGGAGGAGAATCTCTGAAGACTGCTCTCAGTAGGCTGACAACAAGTTAAGATGAATGTGTAACTGTTTTCTACATTCTTCTTACTGCTATAAAAATAATTGAAATGCAGAATGCTTAACTTCATTCAGCTGTAAGCCTTGTAAGAACATCAATAAAAATTTAAAAATTCTATTCCTGTTCTTTCATTTTTCTAGTTTCCCTGGGTGTCTCTCATCACCCTGCCTAATCCTTTCCTACAAAACTTTTCTTCTTGAAACTTGAGCTCTACTTTTATTACTTTTTCCATTATGTAAAAGGTAACTTAAAAAAATGTATAAAACGTTTATGTGTTTATGTTACAGTTTTGACAGTTGTGGAAAAAAGTGAAATTGGTTATTGCTACCTCAATGAAATTATTTTGTTAATACTTCAAAGATAATTTTTATGTAATTCACACTGGAGACAAGTTTGATTATTGATTTCTATAATAGAACATAATTATTTTGGGTGGGAACATTTAAATTTGCCTGAAAAAAGGCTGTTTTTCATCTAAGCCTTTAAAACGGCTGGAATTTATCACATGTTAAAAGTTTAGGGTCTGACCAGGTGATACAGAAATGACCAACCATTTCTTCCATAAGCTTACTAGTAAATGGAGAAGGCATTTTTGGTAAATACTATAATCTTCTCTTGCATTAGATTGATTAGATTTTTCCTTTTTAAAATTTCTTTAAAGTGACAAGTGTAAAAATAGACTAGTGAGGACTAAATTATTTCTACTCAGAATGATTTTATTTGTTCATAACTATTCTAGAAGAAAGTGAAAAACTTTAAGTATATATGGAGTTTGATGCAATATGAAATGTATGAGTGTGGTATTTTAGCTATCTGGTGCAATATAAGGTCATTACTTTGGAAGAAAAATTTCATATCCTTATAGGTCCCCATGATAGTCTTTTGCACCAATGAAAGAATATAAAACATTAGCTCAGCCTCTTGGTTTATAATCTGTGAAGTTTTGAGTATATTGTTGAGTTTTAAAAACAAGGAAACGTGAATTATAAAGAAATCTTAAGTGTTGCGGTTGAATGCAAAAGTTAGTTCATTTGGGGGAAGTATATTGGCTCAATCCTATAGGCTAATTATCCAAATTTTATTAAGATTGGATATATTTCCATCACAGATTTCTTTATTTCTAGTTGACTTAGGATAGTTTCATACTGGTAACAATAAAAAAAAGAGAGTTAAAATAATTACCAGAATACTTCAAGTGAGAAAGTGATTCTCCTTAAATATTAAGTTTAATGAGGCTAAAAATGTTCTTTTGGGTAACCTCTGAGCCAGTCTTCCCTAACCCACCTACAGTAGTGAACCAAATTTAGTACCTAATGCAAATATATTTTTGAAAAAAAAAAAAAAAAGAAAGGGGGCCTCTATAAGAGATAGTGGACAGAGAAGTAGAAGAAAGCTGACTTTCTAGTTAGTGGACAGCTCCCTATGCCCGCTAGCTCCCCTGTCTCCAGGCTGTGAGACAGGTTACTCACACATTCTAAGAGTTCTCCTGCACAGATGGAATGGAGCTAAAAGGATTTCATGGTTCTCCTGCGAACCATTACATGGTTGTTTCTTGTCACCAAGGTTCATCCCTGTGCTTCTATCATCCTCTCCTCTACTTTAGTTTATTAATATTGGGGTGTTCTCACTGTTGCAACTTCCAAAGCATTTATATAAGATACAGGGCTTAATTCTCATTTTTTTAAAATATAAAAGGATGCTAAATTGGAGGTTTTAAAAGAGACACCCATATATCAAACACCAATGTCGGTCATGAAACAGATGATGCTGTAGGAAGTTTAAGCAAGACCAGCCTGGGCAACAGCGTGAGACTCCCATCTCTACAAAAAAATTAAAATAGAGTGGATTTTTAAAAATTGCACAGTAACTCTCTTCCCATGGGTCATGTCTTCCTTCATTTTTAAGCAAGAGAGGGGGGATTCAGGAAGCTTAATTTGGATATCTGCTGACAAATGGGCTGAAGGGGACATTGGGCTCAGACTACACACCTACAGGTTGTGAAGGCCACATCCAAGGAAAGGTTATCCTAGACTGGAGTGGGTCAGGATCAAGGGAGCTTAAGTAGGGCTAGGGTGATCTATGGGACATTCAAGAGAAGACAGAAGTGACTGCAAAATTTATAGAGACTTAGGAAGTAGTAAAAAACCACTGGGAAGGAGTGAATTTGTTTGGGTCAAGGAGCTGCATGTGAGAGTCAACACTATTGCTGGACATCTCTGAGGAACTCCAAAATTCACCGCATCAGATAAAACCAGCTGTAAATATCTGCTGGATCAAGAGTGTGGGAAATCAGTTTAGGGCTGTGTAATCAACAAGCACTGAGGAAACTGTGGGACCTGACTGAGTTTTTGCCAAAGGGAGAGGAAAACTACCCCCAGATAATACATTTAGAGGGCATTCGAGGCAAAAGCATAATGTGTTCTGATTATATTCCATGAATTCTACTTGGTAAGATACTATGTGCGTAAGTCCCAAGACCTCCTTAAATAACTAAAGGTTAATAATTATTATTGGCTCAATGGCTGTAATCTTAATAAGGAAACAACATTTAGTAAAACTGGAAATTGAAAGCCTTAATTTTCAATCAGTACCTTTCTTTATCTAGTTCATGTAATAAAGTATTACATTCTAAACACAAATACTTATGACTTATTTCAAGGTTAGATAATCACAAATCACTGGGATGTTGTCACATAGTACGTTCTTGTTTAATTATGCATAATCAAGTTTTCCTTTATTTTATTATAGTGTAGTTTAATATCTCATTTATAGATACTTATAAGAAGAAATTTTTTTCTAATCTCCCCAAAGCCTTGCAGAGATAGCACTGAGGGAAGCCGGTAGACCTAGAGGCCACTACCAAGTTCCCCTCCATGTGATTTGTTGAATTCCAGGTAGGTGCTCTAATTTTTGGACCATACTCTGAGATTGGCATCTTACAAGGCCAAGATGGTAGTGCCTGTCTTTGTGCCTGATATAGACTTTGGTTTTGCTATTTTATATCAATTATTTTAGACAATTAAATATTGCAAGATATGTAATCTTAAAAAAGGAAAGTAGTCTCTCCTTATCCATGATTTTGCTTTTCCTGGTTATGGTTACCCATGGTCAACCATGATCTGAAAATGTTAAGTGGAAAATTCCAGAAATAAATAATAAATTTTAAGTCGTATGCCATTCTGAGTAGTATGTTGAAATTTCACGTCTCATTCTGTCTGCCTGAGACATGAATCATCTTTTTGTCCAGCATATCCATGCTGTGTATGCTAAACATCCATTAGTCTCTTAGTAGCCTTCTCAGTTATCAAATTGACTGCTGTGATATTACAGTGCTTGTGTTCGACAGACCAGGAGCACCATCACCTTGGACAAACACTGCCTATTTAAGTTCCAGCTCCCTTTCTAGCGTCATGCATTTCAAGGAAATCACTTCTCTTATTACAAACAGCCAGAAAGAGCAGACAGTAAAACACAGATGAGACAGCTGGGGCACAGAGGGAGGTTGGGGGAAAGTCTCTTGGGTAACTGCCAAACTTCACCCTCATACAATGGGCCCAAGTAAAACAGTGGGCCTTAATAAGCACATTCCTTTCCCTTCAGGTGCACTAAGATGGGGAGGCCAAAAGCAGACTGAGGGATATGCCTGCAGCTGCAGAAAGATGTGTGGGAACAGACACACAACTCTCCCTCCCAGATAAGCACAACAAAGAGACACAGAAGCAGTCCAAGCCTCTGCTAAACTCTCCCACCCTGAATCCTTAAAAACTCTTAATCTGTAAGAGTGTGGCTCTGATCTAACTCGGCTAGCCGCCCCTCTCAGGTTGATTTAAAATAATCCTGTCCCTGTTGACTAAAAAGCCACCCTTCGTGTTTCTCTCCTCTTTCTTTAATTCTTACAGTGTTTATTTTACTAAACCATTCTATTTTATTATTAGTTATTGTTGTTAATGTCTTAGTTTACCTAATTTACTAACTAAACTCTATCATAGATAGGTATGTTTAAGAAAAAACACAGCATATAGAGGGTTTGGTACTGAGTTTTCAGGCATCCACTGGTGGTCTTGGAATGTATCCCCTGTGGATAAATGGAGACTTCTGTATTCTATTTATATATCTGACAATAAATTGACCACACTGTTTGTAACTACTCCACCTTGCTCTATTTTCAGTTTTGTCGTTTCTGTTGCAATGGTCAGAAACACCTATTATGGATGGCTACTAATACCATTCTCTTTCATTATTGTCATCTTTCTTAGACTTCTTGGCATCCCTCATTCATATGGTGGACATTGGTGTCCCTCATTCATATGATGTTTTTCCATTTGAATTCTCCAAAGTTTATTTTAAAATTTTTGTTGTGGATACAGTTCATGCTCTATCCAGGTCCTCTTTAACTGCCAGTGCACTCAATTCAACAGCTGCTGTTGATGTTTGCTGCCAATGCCTCACAACTGAGCAAATATTCTCTAAATATTTGTCTGAATAAGGAGCCACCTCCCCTGGGAGCCATGACCTGCTTCCTTCCCAGTGCAGCCTGCAGCTAACACTTCTCTGATGGGAGAGGGGCTCTAAAAGGTTGGCCTCCTTGCTTAAGGTGGGGCCGACTCTGTAATATCTTGCAGATTCAGAGATCCTCATGGAGCTAGGCTTTGTCTAAGACCACATACTTGCATAGCTTTTTTTCCTGCATTACTTTTCCTCACTCCCCATCTCCTGACAGCACTCCTTCAATAAATAACTTGAACAAAAATTTACATCTCGGACACTGTTTCTAGGGAACCCAACATAAGGTGATCATTTTGATCTCTCCTTAAAGCTTTCTCTAGGCGATCCCATGCTTCAATAAAAGCTAATATGCTGACTTTCAAACTCTGCACATCATATTGTCTCCAGTGAAGGGTGTCCAGGTTCTTGGCATCTTAAACAAAGAATTGGACAAAACACACAAACAAAGCAAGGAAGGAACGAAGAGATTTATTGAAAATGAAAGTACACTCCACAATGTGGGAGCGGGCTCAAGCATAGGGGCTCAAGGGCCCTGTTACAGAATTTTGGGGAGATTAAGTACCCTCCAGAGGATTCCATTGGTTACTTGGGATATGCAGTAAATGTAAATGAGGATGAACTAAAGTTACAAAGTTAGTTACTTGGCCTACACCCTATGGAGAAGATATTTTCCTGTCATATCTGAAGTGTGAATTGGCCTTATGTTCCCTGCCTGAAGACCCTATTTGCCTGCCTCAATATGTCTTATCTAAATTTCAGACTGAGAAGCACATTTGTCTACTTTTTGAGGATTTTTCAAATTTGGAACTGCCTCCTATCTCTGGACAAGGTTGCATTTTGATTCTTTTAGCTGTGTTGATTTAGAAATTTCAGAATCATAAATTATTATCAAATACAATAGTCTTGTGAATATAACATCCTATGGCATATAAAGATTGCAGGCTGGGCGTGGTGGCTCACGCCTGTAATCCCAGCACTTTGGGAGGCAAGGCAGGCAGATCACCTGAGGTCAGGAGTTTGAGACAAGCCTGGCCAACACAGTGAAACCCCGTCTCTACTAAAAATACAAAAATTAGCTGGGCATGGTGGCGCATGCCTGTAATCCCAGCTACTTGGGAGGCTGAGGCAGGAGAATCGCTTGAACCCGGGAGGCGGAGGTTGCTGTGAGTAGAGATCACGCCACTGCACTCCAGCCTGGGCAACAGAGCAAGACTCCATCTCAAAAAAAAAAAAAAAGAAGAAAAAAAAAGAAAAGATTTCGGACAGATTACATATCTTGCAATATTTAATTGTCTAAAATAATTGATATAAAATAGCAAAACCAAAGTCTATATCAGGCACAAAGACAGGCACTACCATCTTGGCCTTGTAAGATGCCAATCTCAGAGTATGGTCCAAAAGTTAGAGCACCCACCTGGAATTCAACAAATCACATGGAGGGGAACTTGGTAGTGGCCTCTAGGTCTACCGGCTTCCCTCAGTGCTATCACTGCAAGGCTTTGGGGAGATTAGAAAAAAATTTCTTCTTATAAGTATCCATAAATGAGATATTAAACTACACTATAATAAAATAAAGGAAAACTTGATTATGCATAATTAAACAAGAATGTACTATGTGACAACATCCCAGTGATTCGTGATTATCTAATTGTAGTTTTGATTTGTGTTTTCCTAATGATTAGTGATATTGAGCATTTTTTTCATACAGCTGTTGGCCATTAGTATGTCTTCTTTGGAGAAATGTCTCATAAAGTATTTCAACCATTTTTTAATGAGTTTTCTTTTTGGCTGTTGAACTGTTTAAATTCTTTATATATTTTGGAAACTTACCCCTTTTCTGATGTACAGTTTGTTTCTTTTATTTCCTTCTTTTGCCCAATTGCTCTGTCTAGGACTTCCAGTACGATGTTGAATAGCAATGTGGGCATCCTTGTTTTGTTTCTAATCTTAAAGTTTTCAATTTTTCTACGTTCAGTATGGTATTGGCTGTGGGTTTGTCAAATATGGTCCTATTGTGTTGAGGTATATTTCTTCTATACCCAGTTTGTTGAGAGTTTTTATCATGAAGTGTTGTTGGGGTTGTTGAATTTTGTCA
Organism: Homo sapiens; assembly: GCF_000001405.40. Classification (NCBI taxonomy): domain Eukaryota; kingdom Metazoa; phylum Chordata; class Mammalia; order Primates; family Hominidae; genus Homo; species Homo sapiens. The sequence goes on along the minus strand of NC_000014.9, from coordinate 44,460,450 downwards.
CACACTTTTTCTGCATCTGTTGCAATGATCACATGGTTTTTGCCTTTCTTTCTGTTAAGGTAATATATAACACTTATTGATCTGTGTATGGTGAACCATCCTTGACTCCCTGGGATGAATCCCACTTTATCATATGAATGATCTTTTTAATGTGCTATTAAATATGGTTTGTTAATATCTTGCTGAGAATTTTTGCATTTATGTTTTATCAAGGATATTCACCTGTAGTTTTGTTTCTTTGTTATGTCTTTGTCTGGTTTTGGAATCAGGGTAATGCTATTCTTGTAAAGTGAGTTTGGAATAATTTCCTCCTCTTCAGTTTTCTGAAATAGTGTGAGGAGAATTGCTGGGTTCTTTACAGGTTCTGAAGAATTTAGCAGTAAAGACATCAGGTCCAGGGCTTTTGTCTGAAGGGTGACTTTTTATTACTGATTCAATCTCCTTACTTGTTATTAGTCTGTGCATATTTTCTATTTCTTCATAATTTAATTTTGGTAGGCTGTATGTGTCCAGGAATTAACTCATTTCTTCTACGTTATCAAATTTGTTTGTGTATAGTTTTTCATAACAGTATCTTATGATCCTTTGTATTTCTGTCATATCAGTTCTAATGTCTCCTTTTCATCTCTGATTTTATTTCTTTGCACCTTCTTTTTTTTCACCTAGATAAAAATTTATTCTTTTTATCTTTCCAAAAACCAACTCTTTATTTCATTGATCTTTTGAATTTTTAAGTCTCTATTTTGTTTTTGTCTTCTCTGAGCTTCATTATTTATTTCCTTTTACCATTTGGGCTTAGTTTGTTCTTGTTTTTCTAGTTCCTTGAAGTGCATCTTTAGGTTTTTTTACTATAATTTTTTTATATGTAGGCATTTATTGGTATAAACTTTCTTTTTACAACTGAATTTGCTGTGTCTTGTAAGTTTTGGTATGTTGTGTTTTCATTTCACTTCTCTAGGAAGTTTTAAATTTCTCTTATAATTCCTGTATTGACCCATTGCTTATTAAGGAGCATGCTGTTCAATTTTAATGTATTTGCAAAGTTTTTGAAATTTATCTTGTTGATTTCCAGATGTACGTGGTTTTACTCAGAAAAGAAGAAATTGTGTTAGTCCGTTTTCACACTGCTATAAAAGAACTACTACCTGAGACTGGGTAATTTATAAAGAAAAGAAGTTTAATTGACTCAGTTCCACAGGCTTAATGAGAAGCATGACTGAGAGGCCTCAGGAAACTTATAGTCATGGTGGAAGGTGGAGAGGAAGCAGGGAGCTTCTTCACGTGGTGGCAGCAGAGAATGAGAGAGTGTGAAGGGGGAAGTGCCACACACATTCAAACAACCAGATCTCATGAGAACTCACTGTCATGAGAACAGCAAGGGGGAAGTCCACTTCCATGAGTCGGTCACCTTCCACCAGCCCCCTACCCCGACACATGGGGATTACAATTTGAGATGAGATGTGGGTTGGGACACAGAGCCAAATCATATCAGAGATGATCTCTGTCTTCTTAATTTGTTAAGAGTGTTTCCTGACCTAACATATGATCTATATGGGAGGACATTACATGTGAAGTTGAGAAGAATGTGTATTCTGTAGCTGTTGGATGGAATGTTCTGTAAATGTCTGTTAGGTCCCTTTGATCTATGGTGCAGTGTAAGTCCAGTCTTTCTTTGTTGATTTTCTGTCTGGATGATCTGTCCATTATTTAAATGGACTGGCATATGCTTCAGCTAGGGAAAAAACAGTTCTGAGGCACTAAGCTGAACCTAATACCTTACATTTGCAGTACTAAGAATATTTGCTTTACATATTTGCATGCTCCAGTGTTGGGTGCATATATATTTGCATTTGTTATATCCTCTTATTAAATAAATCCTTATATAATTATGAAGTGACTTTGCCTCTTTTTACAGTATTTTAGTTAAAATTCATTTTATCTGTTATGGTCACTCCTGCTTAGTTTTGGTTTTCATGTATGACGAATGTCTTTTTTCCATCTCTTCACTTTCACTGTTTGTTTTTAAGAATGAGGTGAGTCTCTTGTAGGCAGCATGTAGTTGGGCATTTAAAAAATTTATTTAGCCACTGTTTTTTTTTTTTTTTTTTTTTGAGATGGATTCTAGCTCTGTTGCCCAGGCTGGAGTGCAGTGGTGCAATCTCAGCTCACTGCAACCTCCGCCTCCCGGGTTCAAGCGATTCTCTTGCCTCAGCCTCCCAAGTAGCTGGGATTATGGGTGCCTGCCACCACGCCCAGCTAATTTTTGTATTTTTAGTAGGGACAGGGTTTCGCAGTGTTGGCCAGGCTGGTCTCGACCTCCTGACCTCGTGATCCACCCCTCTCGGCCTCCCAAAGTGCTGGGATTACAAGCATGAGCCACCGTGCCTGGCTCCTCTAATTGGTGAATTTAATTCATTTTCATTTAGAAACATATTGGTAGGTAAAGACTTCTCCAACTTTATTGTTTTCTGGTTGTTTTAAAATCCTTTGTTCTTTTCTCTCTCTCATTGTTTACCTCTGGTTTATAGGTTTTCTGTGATGCTACACTTTGTTTTCTTTCTCTTTCTGATTTGTGCATCAGTTATAATTTTTTTTATTTGTAGTTACCATGGACTAACATAGTCTTGTAATTATAATAGGCTATTTTACACTGATAACAACTTGACTTTGGTTGCATGAAAATACTTTAGAATTTTTTCCTCTGCCCCACAGTTTATATTTTTGTTGCCCTAAAATTTTAAAATTTACATTTTTATCTGCTAGCTATTTTTTTAATATTGTGTCTTTAGCCTTTCATACTAGTAAATTGGAAGATTTATAAAGCATCATTACAGTACTGTAGTATTCTGAGTTTGAATATGAATTTTCCTCTACTGGTGAGTTTTATACCTTCACATGTTTTCATGATAGTAATTATTGTTGTTTTGCTTACAGTTGTAGAACTCCCTTAAGCATTTCATTCTTTCTTTTTTTCTGTCTCTCTTTTTGAGACAGGATCTCACTGTGCCACCCAGGAGTGTACAGTGGAGTGCAGTAGTGTGTGATCATGGCTTATTGTAGGCTCGACCTCCTGGACTCAGGCAATCCTTCCACCTCTGCCTAATGAGTAGCTGAAACTGCAGCCATATGCTACCATGCCCAGATTATTATTATTATTGTTTGTAGATACAGGGTCTCACTCTGTTTTCCACACTGGTCTTGAACTCCTGGTTTTCAGCAATCCTTCCACCTTGGCCTCCCGAAGTCCTGGAATTATAAGCATGAGCCACAATGCCTGGCCCCTTAAGCATTTCTTATAAGGCCAGTCTAGTGGTGATGAATTCCTTCAGCTTTTGCTTATCTGTGAAGGCCTTTATTTTCTTCTTATTTTGGAAAGATGGTTTTGCTGAATATGGTATTATTAGTTGACGATTATGTCTTTCAGCACTTTGAATATGTCATCCCATTCTCTCCTGGCTTGTAAGTCTTCTGCTGAGAAATGTTCTGATAGTCTAATGACAATTCCCTTATATGTAACTTAACACTTTTGTCTTGCAGCATTTGGAATTCTCTATTTTTGAAAGTTTAATTATTATGTGCCTTGGAAAGGGTTGAGTCTAACTGAGGACTTTTGGGTTTCTGAGATCTAGATATTCATATCTATTACAAGATTAGGAAGTTTTAAGCTATTATTTTATTAAATAAGTTTTCTGTGCCTTTTTTTCATCTCTCTTCCCCTGGAACTCCTATATTGTGAACATATGTTTGTAAATGGTGTTCCCAAAGTCCCATAAGCTTTCTTTATTCTTTTTTATTCTTATTTCTGTTTTCCCTCTGACTGGGTTATTTCAAAAGAGCTGTCTTCAAATTCAGAAATTCTTTTTTTCTGCTTGATCTAGTCTGTTGTTGAAGGTCTTAATTGTATTACTGTATTTTTAATTTACTTTTTGAATTCCTCAGCTCTAATATTTTTGTTTTCTTTTTTTCTTATTTCTTTCTATTGAATTTCTCATTCATATCATGAATTGCTTTTCTGATTTCATTGAATTGTTTGTCAGTATTCTCTTGTGTCTTGCTAAGTTTCATGAAGATAATTATTTTGAATTTCTTTTCAGGCATTTTGTAAATATCCTTTGTGGGGGTTTTACTACTCATGAATTATTGTGTTCTTTTGGGGGCGTCCTGTTTCCTGGAGTTTTTTGTTTGTTTGTTTCTCATATCTACTGATATCTACACATCTAGTGGAACAGGTTGCTTTTTCCAATTTTATGGAATGGTTTTGTAGGGGGAACATTTTTTTTTTTCCGTAGAAGATCCTGGGTGTCAGTTGGGTATGGTGCCTTGGCTTTGTGTCTGTGTGGACTCAGTAGTGTGGTCTCTGTGTAGTTTCTTCAACTATATTTCTCATCGGCCGATATTTGTGTTAGCCTTGGTGCCTTAGCTGTGGGAGTTTGTGACAGCCAGGGTGCATTTTTGCTGGGGGAAGGGCTGCCAAGCTGGTTGCAGGGCCAGACACATGCAGGCATGGTTGGTCGGCCAGCAGTGTGGCAGTCTCTCCCAGAGCTGGATTACCAACAGACTGGCTGTCAGTGTGGGCACAGATGTGTCAGGCCATTGTTAGTGATGGACCCTCTGGCAAAGCAGGGCTCTGCTGAAGTGGCTGTTAAGCTGTCCACAGGCTCTCACATGTACTGTAAACTGCCTGGCTGCCTGACGGGGGCACATGTGGGAGCAGTAACCTGGCTGGTAGTTTGGTGGTGTCCCTGTTGTTCAAGTCTGCTTATTTCCCAGAGGAGCTGGTTGCCATATGGTTTCAAACACTTGGGTTTTAATCATTTTGTCCAGCCTATACTGCTAGTACCCAGGGTCATAGTGTTTCAGGCATGCATGTGAACATGAAAGAATGATGTTGGGACCTAGGCAATGGATAAAGGCAGTGTGTTCTGGCCCCCAGGGCAGAACACATTCTAGCAGTTGGTCTGGTGTTAAGATGGTGCTATGTAGTACAGTTTACATCACAAGAGTGGGGGATTCACAATGTGGGTTCCTATTCCAGAGCAATGCAGCTGTGCCAACTTCTAGCAACTCTCCAAAGTGAGTTTGGGTCCTGTGAGGGCTAGGGGATTCTTCTATAGAAAGGACCACCAGCATCTGTGATGATAATGGGGCTCCTGGTTCAACTTTTCTTTTTCCTGTAAGAAGAAATCCCTCCATCTCCGAGCTTATCCTGGTGGGGGAGACATTGTAAAGTGGCAGGGTAGCTTGCACCCCTCTCTATGGTGGTATCCTAATTGTCTGTGGTCCACAGGGTTTTTACCACTCCTTGGTGTTCTCTAGGGTACTTGATTAGTCACTCCACTCAAAATATAGTTGTTGTTTTTTTTTTTTATTGTTTTGGTCCCTTTTTGTTGAGGTGGGGAGAGCCAGGTAACTCTAGTTGGCATTTCACTGATGTCACTCCATGACTTTTCTATTCCAGTTTTTGCCAGCTACAGAAATCAGTCTTCATCTAAGTCTTCCCTTTCAGTTCCTAAGTGTATCAGCTAAGATTCTTTCTGTTGCACAAGACAGAATACTAACTAACTGATTTTAAAAATATGGGGGATTTATTGTCTTATATAACTTGAAAATCCAGAGGATAGTTTCATTTTAAGTGTGGCCTGGTTATAGGCTCAAACAATGTGATCAAGATTTTATTCTCCTCTTTATTTCTTATCTTTTTCCCTGTTGGTTTCATTCTTAGTCTTCAGGGGTGGGAGAAGAAAGTTGTCACACAGAAGTTTTAAACCTACATTTTCCTGGGTTAGAATCCCATAGAAGTGAAAGTGTCTTTTTCTGAGTATTCTGATCAAATCCTGGCCTTCATTCTGATTGGAACAACCTGGGTACATGTCTAACCTTGAACTAAAGAACTAGTAGGGCATGGGTTTCTGCCCCTTTTTGAGGTTGGATCACCACTGGAACCAGATAGATTGAGAATCAGTTGGGTGTCGTTTTCTAAAGAAATTCAGGGTGTGGTACCCTAAATAACGCCAGTAAAAGCTTGGTGGGAAATATACCAAATGTGCATTGAACTAAGCATATCCTAAATGAGTCTGAGTGATTCTCAGTGGCCTCAATGCCATCAGTCTACACTGGATGAGTCTTGCTGCCTTGAATCCAAGTATTCAGCTTGCTCAGCATAAGTACCTGTGTGACCACTGAACCATTCTGACCCTAATCCGTTATGGAAATACATTCAGAATTTGCCTGTTTTTTTGTTTTTTTTTTTTTTAAAGTTAAGTAGATTACCTGTCAGGTTTTCCAGGCTTTGAGTAAAGATGTTGGTTGTGGGCATCTGCCTTTCCATACTTATCTTACCTGCTATATAGCATCTGTGCATTTTTAAAACCACTCCTTTTTGCTAACTACTTTATTGATTATTCAATGTACCCATTTACAGTGCCTCAAGCATGATAGTCTAAGATGGTAAAAGCAGAATAGAAAGTAGATGAATCTCTAGTTTCATTTTCCTCATTGATGATAAGAATAACTCACACTGAGGGCTCGCTAAATAGTAAGCAGGTTTATTAACAATTTAGATATATTAACTTATCCTCACACAAAGCTGTGAGGTAGATACTATTCTTCTTCTTATTTTACTTGTAAATAATTTGAAGCAGAGAGATATTAGATAATTTTCTCAGGGTCACAAGAATACAATGATGTGAAGAATGAATTCTTACCCAGGTAGTTTGATTTCAAGATCTGCTTTCCTAACAAGTACACAATGCTGCCTCTGACGGACACTCAATATATTTATTCTTGATCATTTCCTCACCTTGCCAGATGGCGCCCTGACTATACTGTTAATGGGCTTTCATTATTCAGATGAGTCATAGTGGCACAGCTTTCTCATGCCAGATATTTTTGCGGAGCTGCTGAAACTTTTCATGTACCTTCTAGGTACAGAAACAAACTTGGAGTCTTTAGCATATCCTGTGTTCCAAAGCTTGGAATTGAACAGCCAGCTCCCGTGTAGAAACGTATCCAGCCTATTGACTCTTTTGCACTTCTTTCTCACATTAAACTTCCCATTGCTTCAGCTGTTCTACCAGCCCTTGAGGGAGGCAGAGTCATATAATGGGACAGGGAATCACTTGGAACTCAGGTCTCGGTTGCAGTTCTAACCTGGTAGTTAACATATGTGTGAATTTTGGTATATTCACCTTCTCTGTGCTTCAATTTTTTCATATGTAATGTGCTGAGAAAATAGAATTTATGAAACAGAAAACTTGATTCAGTGTTGGCTAAAAAGAAAAGAAACCACATTTCACAAATAATGCTAATGAATAAGGTTTAGGAGGAAATAATTTTGGAAATACAAATAATGTGCTGATGAGATAATGATAGAGACAGGAGGCAGGGAAATTCTGGGCACAATAGGGCTGGTCCCGGACAAGGGCCCCACCCTCAAGCCAAAAAGCCTGATACTGCGGCCCAAAGTGAGAAGGTACATCCCTGTTTTCCTGCTTGAATGTTGTCTTTTCTGATACCACCCATAGCCCACTCTGCCCCCATCATGTGCCTATAAAAATCCCAGAACTCAGCCAGGAGAGAGGAGAAGCAGCTGGATGACAGAAACTATGGTTGGACATTGGAGGGAAGCAGTTTGACTTCAGAGGGGCAGCTTGACAGTGCAGCTTCAGAGATGAGTCTGGTGCAGCTTCAGAGAGGAGTCCAGGAATGGCCAGACTCCAGAGGAAGATTACCTTCCTGCTCTGTTCTTCCCATTGAGAGCCACTCTCATCAGCAATAAAATCCCCTGTGTTTACCATCTTCAGTTTATTCACGCGACCTCATTCCTCCTGGACACTGCACAAGAACTTGGGTGCCACAAGTGCAGGTGCAAAAGGCTGTCACACTAACCCTCCACTGAGCTGTTAACACTTAAACTGTCTGTGGACAGAAAAGCGAAAGAGTCACTGTAACACTCCTTCTGGGGCTTCAGGGGTCGTGAGCAACCCACTAGATGCTGCTGCAGGGCACACACGGAGTTTTGCCCCTGCCAGAGCCCAAAAGTGCTTGCCCTCACTCCTGCACCTGCTCACCTGTGCTCCCCATCCCACAAGGAGTGGAACAAGGGGTGGAAAAAAAATTATATTCTGTGATCACAGGTAGTTTCAGAAAAACTCACAATCCTTGCTTTTCTTCTCCTGTCACGCCACCATAACAATAAGCATCAACACAGAAGAAGACTTTTGTGACCAAATATGTGGTTTTTTCCCCACCATCAAGCTAGTAACTAATTCTACAACAGACACTAACTGGGTGTCCTCCAAGTCAGTTTCAACACTATCTACATGGAAATAGTGTCAGATCCCACAGGTTGAGGGCTCAGTCCCCAGGACTGCCCTTTAGACATCAGTCACAAGTCCAGGCCTCTGGCCTCTGGAACTTCTTTTTCTTTTAGAGACGGAGTCTCACTCTGCCACCCAGGCTGGAGTGTAGTGGCATGATCATGGCTCACTGCAACCTCCACCTCCTGGGTTCAACAATTCTCCTGCCTCAGCCTCCCGAGTAGCTGGGACTACAGGTGTATGCTGCCACACCCGTTTAATTTTTTGTATTTTAGTTGAGATGAGGTTTCACCATGTTGCCCATGCTGGTCTTGAACTCCTGAGCTCAGGAAATCCACCTGCCTTGGCCTCCCAAAGTGCTAGGATTACAGGTGTGAGCCACCATGCCTGGCCTGGAACTTCTGATTGATGGTCTTCAATTTGGGGTTTTAATTTGCTGGATTGGCTCACAAAAATCAGGGAACACTTAGGTTTATCATTTATTGTCAAGGATATTACAAAGGATACAGATGAAGAGACTCATAGGATGAAGTATGTGAAAAGGGGCACAGAGCTTCCATGTCCTCCCTGGGCCTACCCTCCTCCAGAAACCTCCATATGTTCACCTATCCAGAAGCTCTTTGAACTGTGTCCTCTTGGGTTTTTATAGAGACTTCACTAAGTAGGCCTAAATAATTAAACCATTGGCCATTGCTGATCAGCTTGACCTTCAGTCCTTACCTTTCTCAGGAGTCTGGGGGTTGGGGCTGAAAGTCCCAACACTTTAATTATGCCTTTGTCTCAGGTGATCATCCCCACCCTGAAGCTATCAGCCAACATTAGCATGCAAAAAGATAGCACTTTGGAAATTCCAAGGATTTTTAAAGTTGTATACCAGGAAACATGGATGCAGACCAAACAGGTATTTTAAATATCACAGGGGTACACAATCAAAGATGATTACTCCCGTAAGAGCAGACATGTGGGGAAAAGGCCATACTTAACTTTAAATATATATGGACTCCGTCTCTTGATATAACCCTGAGAAGGAATGCAGGTGCTTCCTTTTTAAGAAGACAAGACAAATTCTTCTTAAGACATTTAAAATTCCCTGTTTAATTTTTCTGGAACTTAACCTTCATAGGCAAGCACTGGGAAGCCTTATATTTTCATTTAATTTATCAAATAGATTTGGTTTAGGAGATGACATTTCTTCCTTTGAGCTGTAAATGAACTTACCAGCCTTGGGTAAGCAGAATGGGCTCCAACCTGAGTTTCCCTGAGGGCCTTCAGCGAGCAATAGCAATAACAACATAAAGTATTTCCAGTGGATTCAAATCCAAACATGATAGAAGCTTTGTTTCTTTGACAATAGTAATAATTAATAGTGGCTTCCTCAGGGGATGTATTGAGTATATAACACTCAGCAAACACAGTGTCTTTAATGTCAGGCCTCTGAGCCCAAGCTAAGACATCATATCCCCTGTGACCTGCACGTATACATCCAGATGGCCTGAAGCAACTGTAGGTCCACCAAAGAAGTGAAAATAGCCAGTTCCTGCCTTAACTGATGACATTCCACCACTGTGATTTGTTCCTGCCCCACCCTAACTGTCAATTGACTTTGTGACAATACACCCTCCAGGCCCTTGTGATAATGTGATAATGTACTTTGTGATATTCCCCTGCCCTTGTGAATGTACTTTACATGATACACCCTCCCTACCCTTGAGAAAGTACTTTGTAATATCCTCCCCCGCCCTTAAGAAGGTACTTTGTAATATTCTGCCCCGCCCTTAAGAAGGTACTTTGTAATATTCTGCCCCGCCCTTTAGAAGGTACTTTGTAATATTCTCCCTGCCCTTGAGAATGTACTTTGTAAGATCCAGCCCCTGCCCATGAAAAAATTGCTCCTAACTCCACCACCTATCCCATACCTATAAGAACTAACGATAATCCCACCACCCTTTGCTGACTTTCTTTTCGGACTCAGCCTGCCTGCAGCCAGGTGATTAAAAAGCTTTATTGCTCACACAAAGCCTATTTGGTGGTCTCTTCACATGGATGCGCATGACAGTTAAATATAATGAATCTCAAGTTTCTCTTCAAAGAATCAGTATGTCAGTATGTTCAGCTCTCTTACTCTTTGATTCCCCATTTTAAAGTTTAACTTCCTGGTTCTCTTACTTCCCTTGCTTCCAGTTTCAGTAAACAACTTTCCTGCCAGTCCTAATCAGTAGTTCACATCTGTTCCCTGGTTACCTGCTCTGTCCTGACTCATCCCGGTCACCTGCTTTGACCTAAGTCACCCCGGTCACCTGCCCCATCCTGACTCATCCCAGTCACCTGCTTTGACCCAAGTTACTCCTGGTCACCTGCTCTAACCTAAGTCACCTCTAGTTACCTGTTCCTAACCATCCTTCCCTCCAAACCACTTACCCCACCACTCTGGCTTATACCCCTGCCCTCTTTAAAATAGCCAGTCGGAATTAGCTAAGACTGTGCAGTCCAGCCCTAGCCAGTAGGGGAACAACACAGCAGTAGGGGCTACCTGCGTCAGGAATAAGAGCTCCTTCCCTTCCCCTGTCCAGGTGTGTTCTCGCCATTACCCCATTTGTGAGTCACACCCTTCTATAGAAGTAAAAATTGCCTTGCTGAGAGAATTAAATTTACATTCAAGTGCTATTCCTTCACGGCACTGAGGAGCAAGCATTTTGCATTTCCAGCAGTGTCATAAATATTTAATAAGTGAGGAGGGAAAAAAGGGAAAAAAATTAAAGAAAGAAAGAAAATAGAGATTAAAAAAGAGAAAAAAACAAGCTACCTGTGTTAGGCTGATTCATTTCAAAGGCAGTAACAGGCAAAGTTTCGATAACGTTATCTAAGAGCCACAGCTCAGAGGAACGTGCTCTGAAGACTCTCCCAACACTCCCTCAACATAAGGATGTGAAGAGATAAGTGTTCCTATCTCTCCTTTAGTGTAAGTAAACTTCCCCCTTGAATCCCATCCCCTCTGCTATGTAAACTATACCTTGCTCCTTGCTCTGTAAGTTTTATGAGTTTCTGTTTTTCCTATAGTTAATGATTGTAGGTTCCTGCTTCTTGATCTAAGCAGTATAGCCTGAGCAGTTCTAGCTTGTAGCCAGCTAGGCACCGTGGTAGGGGTCGCAAGATGAGTCTTTGTGAAACTCCTTTGAACTAACCAGATAACGACCATTTGGGCTGCATAGTAATGAGTATACTAAACCTGAGTTATAAGCTTGTCTTAGTTTGATTAACGGCCTTTGTCTTGCCTCTGTACATTCGCATTTGCGCCACTTAGGAGTAGGTATATAAGCAAAACCTTGATTTTGTTCTGGGCCCAGTTTTTTGGACGTTGAGTCAGCTGGGCTGGAGTGCACTCAATAAAAGATTCTCCTGCTATACCCTGAGGTCTCCCTTGCCCTCCTGATTTTCTACAACATGAGTAGTAGTTACTCTTAACTTGCTGCATGTATTAACTTATCCAGAAGCCTATCTTTGTATTTCCTGTCACACACTCCCCAACGCCTTCCATCCCCTCCTTTAACTGAGAACTCAGCTTCTCTCCATTCTTCTGCAAACCAAAAATCAATTTCTAAGCCCTCCAACAGACTGAATGGACTCCTCTCTTGGCCAATGGGATTCCCAAGAAATCTGAAAAAGTATTTCAGGCCATGATGGGAAGGGGGTTGGACATGCCTCATTATACTCTCCTCCCTTTGGAATTCAGACACAACCAACCAGCACTAACATTAAAACGGATCTTTAGACTGACAAAACTGACTGTTTGTAGTAAGAAGATAAAAAATTCCAATCTGACTGTAGTATAGCATCACATGACAGATAGCAGGCCCTGAAATAAATCAAAGTATTTTACCCTAAAATTTATTTCTTTGACATATTTTGAAATGGCCTCACAAAACTCTCTTGTGGGGGATATTTATGCTTTGTAGAGAATCCCCTTCCCAGGTCTTTTTCTGATCCCAAAGAGATTAGCTGAGAGTCTAACACTTTTTAAAGGTCAGAATAGGAAACTTTTGGTATCTCTTGCCTCTAAGGGCAGCCACCTGTAAGACTTTATAATAAAGACTTTGGTCTCTACAATCCCTTATCTATTTTTTTTCTTTGTTTTGAGACAGAGTTGCACTCTTGTCACCCAGGTTGGAGTGCAATGGCACGATCTTGGCTCACTGCAACTTCCGCTTCCCTGCCTCAGCCTCCTGAGTAGCTGGGATTACAGGTGTCTGCCACCACGCCCAGCCAATTTTTGTATTTTTAGTAGAGACGGGGTTTCACCATGTTGGCCAGGCTGATCTCGAACTCTTAACCTCAGGTGATCTGCCCACCTCAGCCTCCCAAAATGCTGGGATTACAGACGTGAGCCACCGCACCCAGCCCACAACCCATGGTCTTAACCCAGACACTCCTTTCTATTGAATCAGGTCTTTAGATAATAATTTAACTTTTTCAGACAATTTCCAATCAGAAAATCTTTGAATCCACTGTTAAAGCAAACTAAATACGGCCTGAGAAGGACTCCATACTTCCATATTTGAGTCCTTGTGAATGAACTGCAACTTAGCTTAATAGGCAGACGAGATTGAATACCTAATTTAGGAGTATGTGCCTGTAACAATAGCTGACTGCTGATGCCTTGCCTAAAACATATTGTGCTTTTTTGTATGTCAGCAGGAGTTGGTGGGTATTTATCCTTAAGGTCGTATCAATGTTTCCTGCTAGGGTCTGAAAAGGCACCTTAATTATTCCTAATTCCTACCCATGTGCAATGCGTTTTGTGCTCTTTCACAGTCACCAGCCTTAGGTGTAACGGGGTATTCTGGCAGCTCCCAAATCTTGTAAACTGAAAAGACTAATTTCAGTGTTCCTAAGTCATACTGATAATGTTAGCATGTGGAATTTGCACTGGGTAAGCAGGGCTGCCAATGGTTATTTCTAGCTTCTCAATGGCAAAAGCCACAAAAGCCACAGAAGCCACAGTTTCATATTCATTTTTTTCTTACCTATGTCTAGTACAGTGCCTAAAATTGAAATGTTTAGCAAATGGCTTCATAATTGTGTCAAATAAATGAATTCCAAAAAGATTCATAGTGCAAAATAAATAAGATCTAGGTACAAGAAAGATCACTTAAGAGCAAACACAAATGTAATTTTCTGTTATTTTTAAGGAAGCTAGTTTTTTGACCTGGGGTGTTTAACAAAGATTTCTCTTTTACCTGCAGTGTTTTGTTCTCAGTTATTAATGGATCAGCATTTTTTTTCCAGAGCACCCACCTATTTTTTCTGTAACCTTGAACTTCTACTTAATTTTTCTGTGTTAGTTGCTTCTACAAAGGCACTGCAGTTTCTGAAAACAAAGCGATGCAACTTAAGCCCTCCTATTGTGGATGAAACAGGACTTTGGGATGTGGCCATTGTCAGCAGCAGGGAATCAGAGATCACAGGAAAATTGAAGTCTAGACTCATGGTATACTTGGAAGGATGACTTACTATTATTGTTTTTTGTATGAATACTTCCTGCAGTGGTATAAAAGAGACATGAGATAAGAGAGATGGGCCGTCCAAATCATTTAGACCAAGTGCAAAATTAGGACAAAAATGTCTCTCTCTCTCTCTTTTTTTTGAGTCAGTGTCTCACTCTGTCACCCAGGCTGTAGTACAGTGACATCATCATGGCTCACTGCAGCCTGGACACCCTGGGCTCAAGTGATCCTCCTGCCTCAGTGTCCCAATTATGTGGGACTAGCCTTGTGTGCCATCATGCCCAGATAATTTTTTAGTTTTTAAATATTTGTAGAGATGGGGTCCTACTATGCTGTCCAGGTTGGTCTTGAACTAGCCTCAAGTGACTCCTGCCTTGGCCTCCCAAAGGGCTGGAATTACAGTTGTGAGCCACCATGCCCAGCTTAAAATGTCTCTTTTTTGTTTTGAATTTTTCATCTACATTTTGTCTCTCTTCTATTCCTCACTTTGCTTTTATGAAGAACTCAAATATAGGCTGACTGAAGCCTTATTTTCCTTAGTGTCACCTGACTTCATTTCCTTCTCATAATTTCATAGTTAAATATTCAAATTTTTTAATTAATAACTTATAAATCCATAATTTAATGTAACCTATAGGGAATCTTTTTAGTTACTTTACGTATATGCATTTTCTCTGTACTAATCATTCCTGAAAATCTGGCTTTAAAATAGAATTTATATATTAAATTTCTTATTAGCATTTGAAAAAAAACTTGCTTATTTTGGAAAGCATGTAAGTTATTTTTAAATTTTTTGAAAAGTTATCTTGATATCGGTCCCCAATCTATTTCTATTGTCTAATATTGGGTCCCATCATACATTACATTACTTTTTTGGATCTTATTATTAGTATGAGATCCCTACGGTTAACAGCTCTAGGCTGGGTGTGGTGGCTTATGCCTGTAATCCCAGCACTTTGGGAGGCTGAAGTGGGTGGATCACCTGAGGTCGGGAGTTCAAGACCAGCCTGACCAACATTGTGAAACCCTGTCTCTACTAAAAATACAAAATTAGCTGGGTGTGGTGGCGCATGCCTGCAATCCTAGCTACTCAGGAGGCTGAGGCAGGATAATCACTTGAACCCAGGAGGCAGAGGTTGCAGTGAGCCAAGATCATGCCATTGCACTCCAGCCTGGTGACAGAGCAAGACTGTGTCTCAAAAAAAAAGCTCTGAAGTGGGGGATGGTTAGGATGTGTATCAGCTTTTTATGAATTTGGCAATTACTTCCACCTGTCTTGCATTCATCAAAAAGTACAAAGTATAACCATGATGAGAACTAACAACTGGTAAAGGGAGAATATAAGAATTAGGCGTTATTATTGGACCTATTTTACATAACACTACATAAGAGGGTACTTACAGTAATACAAAACTTTTCCAAGGTTGTGTATATTTAGCAAGCAGATGGATTTCTATAATAATGGTATCTGTTTTTTTCTCTTAAAATCAACTTTATTACTATAATTTGCATACAGCCAAGATATTTAAGTGTGCAGTAGATTAGTTTTAATGAAAGTATGCAGTACTCCTCCCTCACCCACAGGAAATATGTTCCAAGACCCCCAGTGTATGCCTGAAAGTGCAGATATAACCAAACCATATAAATACTATATTTTTCCCTATACATACTTACTATGATAAAGTTTAATTTATAAATTAGCCACAGTGAGAGGTTAACAATAACTTAAAAAAGAACAATTATAACAATATACTATATTACATGGTTTATGTCTCTCAAAATATCTTATACATTCTTAAACATTTTCAGAAAGCAGTTGGTGTAGATAACTGAAACTGCAGAAGAGAAAACTGTGAATAAAAGGGAACAACTGTACCCTTACAACCACCACTGTAATCAAGAGGTATAACAGCTTCATCAGTTCAGTAAGTTTCCTCATGCTCCTTTGCTTTGATCTTCACTCCCTACCCAACCCTAGGCAACTGCAAATCAGCTGTCACTATAAATCACACTGCCTGTCTGAAATAATACAGTATGTAACCTTTTGTATATAGCTTTTTCATTAAGTATGTTTTAAGATTCTTCCATATTTTTGTAAGTATCAGTAGTGTGTAGATTTTTATTTTTTATTTATGGAGTGATATTCCATTGTAGCAATATACGATAGTTTGCTAATTTATTTACCTGCTGATGATAATTTGGGTTGCTTATAATTTTAGGCTATTATTAATAAAGCTGCTACAAACATTAGTGCTGAGGTCTTTCTTTCTTTTTTTTTTTGGAGACGGAGTCTTGCTCTATCGCTCAGGCTGGAGTGCAGTGGTGCGATCTTGGCTCACTGCAAGCTCCGCCTCCCGGGTTCACGCCATTCTCCTGCCTCAACCTCCCCAGTAGCTGGGACCACAGGCGCCCGCCACCACGCCCGGCTAATTTTTTGTATTTTTAGTAGAGACGGGGTTTCACTGTGTTAGCCAGGATGGTCTCGATCTCCTGACCTCGTGATCTGCCTGCCTCGGCCCCGCAAAGTGCTGGGATTACAGGCTTGAGCCACCGTGCCAGGCCTAGTGCTAAGGTATTTCTATGGGAATAGATTTTCATTTTTCTCGGGGAAATATTTAGAATGAAAGTGCTAGGTCATATGGTTTGTATATTTTCAACATGATTAAGAAACTGGCAAACTGTTTTCTACAGTGGTTATACTACTATTTTACATTCTACTTAGCAATGTATCAGAATTTTAGTTCTATCAATTGGTATTGTCAGTCTTTTAAAATAAGTGTGTACTGTTATTTCATTATTGTTTTAATTTACATTTTCCTGGTGACTAATGATGTTGAGTATATTTTCATGGCTTATTGGCCAGTTGTATATCTTCATTTGTAAAATGAATGTTCAAATTTACTTTACACAGACTAATTATGAGAACCCTGACTAGAGAACTAGAGAACTAGATAACCCTCTCTAGAGAACCTTGACTAATACAGATTTTGGTTGCAGGGGTGGTTTTAGAGGAACAGAGTATTAAGGATGGGGTCCTTTCGTTGGTTTTAGGGTTTCTGGAGGTGACTGTTTAATATCATTAGACCTTATTATTTGCTTATTTTAAAAATGTGTGTGTTTGTATGGGTTTTTTGTTTGTTTGTTTTGTAGATAGCATGTAGTTTGTTGGTCCTGCTTTGTTCCACAGCCTGACAGTCTGCTTTTTAAATTGGGGTGTTTAGACCATTTACATTTAATTGGATGATCAAAATAGTGGGGATAAAGTTTTGATCTTGCCAGTAGCTTTGATTTGTCCAACATTATCTCCTTTCCCCCATATTATCCTGCTTTCTCTTGGATTCAGTATCTTCTACTACTTTATTTTATAGCAACTGTTGGTCTATTAGCTATACTTATTTGTTTTAGTAGTTTCTATAGGGTTACAATATACATCTTTAAGTTATCATAATGTAATATTAACTTTTCACATATTTTAGCACTTCATAGTATAAGAACAGTATGTTTTCATTCTTACCTCCTGTCCTTTGTGCTATTATTATCAAGTGTTTTATTTCTACACAAGTTATAAACAAAATTTATAGATTTTTCTTTAAACAGTTATCACTTAAGTAAATTTTAAAATGAGTAATATATCTTATATTTACTCACATACTTACCACTTTCAGCACTCTTTATTCCTTGTGCACATTTAAATTTCTATCTGGTATAATTTTCCACCAGCCAGAAGAACTTTCTTTAACATTAATTATGGTGCAGGTGTGGTGGCAATGAATTCTCTGTCTTTATTTGTTTAAAAATATCTTTATTTGCCTTAATTTCCAGAGTTTTTATTTTTTAAACTGGCTTACCAACTTTTTTTCCTTTAGTGTATGAAAGGTGTTATTCTATTTTCTTCCAACTTATATTGTTTAAATAAATTCTTATATTTATTCCCTGTATTTAAAGTGTCTTTTTTTCTCTGGCTCCTTAAGATTGTCTCTTTATCCAGCTTGAGGTTTGCTGATATTTGAGGGTCTGTGGGTTTATAGGGTTTTTTTTAGGGCTTATGTATTTTATTTTTTATTGCTTTCATGTTTATTTATTTTTATTTATAATCACTTATGCCTTAGGATTGTCATGAGTGTACATTAGAGTACTATAATATCAACTTTTATTTTAGATTTAGAGGGTATATGTGCAGGTTTGTTACATGGGTTTATTGCATGATACTCAGGTTTGAGGTATAAATGATTCCATCACCCAAGCAGTGAGTACTATATAGTACTCAATAGTTAGTTTTGCAGTCCCTGCACTCCTCCTTCCCTCCCGCTTCCAGTAGTCCCTGTGTCTGTTGCTTCCATCTTTATGCACATGTGTACCCAATGTTTAGCTCCCACTTCTAAGTGAGAACATGCAGTATTTGTTTTTCTGTTCCTCCATTAAGTCACTTAGGATAATGGATTGAAAGACTCAATATCATTAAAATGGGCATACTTCCCAAAGCAACCTACTGATTCAATGCTATCACAATCAAACTACCAATGTCTTTTTCGGTAGGAGAACCTTGACTAGTTGTGAGGACCCCTAATTGCATTCATGTTGCTGTAAAGGGCATGATTTTGTTATAACTAGAACATCATATTTCAAGTTCTTCAGTTTTGAGACTCGGACTGGCTCTCCTTGCTCCTCAAGCTTGCAGGCAGCCTATTGTAAGATCTTGTGATCATGTAAGTTAATAATAAACTCCTCTTTATATATATAAAATATATCTATATATTACATATGACAGCCATAAACTCCCCTATATATATATAGGGGCATATATATATATATATATATATATATATATATATATATATATATATATAAAAGGGCATATATATATGTATACTTATATATATATGTATACATATATATACACACTTTTAGTTCTGTCCCTCTAGAGAACCCTGACTAATACATGAATGCATGTATTTTTTTTGTAGAGTGATTTATTTTCTTTTGGGTATATACCCAGTAATGGAATTGCTGAGTCAAATGGTAGTTGTTTTAAGTTCTATGAGAAATCTTCAAACTGATTTCCACACTGGCTGAACTGATTTACATTCCCATCAATAGTGTATAAGTGTTCCTTTTTCTCTGCAGCCTCACCGGCATCTATTATTTTTTGACTTTTTAACAAAAGCCTTTCTGACTGACATGAGATAGTATCTCAGTGTGGGTTTGATTTGCATTGCTCTAACAATGAGTAACATTGAGCATTTTCTCAGGTTTGTTGGCTGCTCATATGTCTTTTTCTGAGAAGTGTCTTTTCATGTCCTTTGCCCACTTTTTAATGGGGTTGTTTGACTTTTGCTTGCTGAGTTGTTTAAGTTCCTTATAGATTATGGGTATTAGTTTTTTGTTGGATTCATAGTTTGCAAATATTTTCTCCTGTTCTGTAGCTTATATGTTTACTCTGTTAATAGTTTTTATTTCTGTGAAGAAGTCCTTTAGTTTAGTTAGGTCCCTTTTGTCAATTTT
Organism: Homo sapiens; assembly: GCF_000001405.40. Lineage (NCBI taxonomy): Eukaryota > Metazoa > Chordata > Mammalia > Primates > Hominidae > Homo > Homo sapiens. The sequence goes on along the minus strand of NC_000014.9, from coordinate 44,441,129 downwards.
TGTTTTTGTTGCAATTGCTTTTGAAGACTTAGTCATAAATTCTTTCCCAACGCTGACATCCAGAATGATGTTTCCTAGGTTTTCTTCTAGGATTCCTATAATTTGAGGTCTTACATTTAATTGTGTAATCCATCTTGAGTTAATTTTTGTATATGGTGAAAGGTAGAGGTCCAGCTTTATTCTGCATATGGCTAGCCAGCTATCCCAGCACCATTTATTGAATACAGAGTCCTTTCCTCTTTGCTTATTTTGTCAACTTTCTTGAAGATCAGATGATTGTAGGTGTGTGGCTTTGTTTCTAGGTTCTCCATTCTGTTCCATTGGTATGTATCTTTTTATACCAGTACCATACTGTTTTGGTTACTGTAGCTTCATTAGCATAGTTTGAAGTTTATATATATATATATATATATATATATATATATATATATATATATATATATGTAATGTGATGCCTCCAGCTTTGTTCTTTTTGCTTAGGATTTCCTTGGCTACTTGTACTTATTTTTGTTCCATATGAATTTTAGCATAGTTTTTCCAGTTCTGTGAAAAAGGCCATTGGTAGTTTGATTGGGATAGCTTTGAATAAGTAGGTTGCTTTGGAAGTATGGCCATTATAATGATATTGATTCTTTCAATCCATGAGTGTGGAATGTTTTTCCATTTGTGTCATATGTAATTTCTTTCAGCAGTGTTTTGTGTTTATCTTTTATGTGCAGTATACAATCTGTTGTCAAGCAAATGCAGTAGTTTTTAAATTTCAAAATTATGGTTTTCATCTCTAGATGTCTTTTTTTAATCTTCCCTTTGTCTCCTCATTATCTTCACATTAAAAAAAATTCTGAACATATTTGTGATAGCTTTTCAAAACCTTTTGTCTACTAATTCCATAAGCTCTGTCATTCCTAGGTCTATTTCTATTGACTTGTTTTCTTTTACTTACATGTTACATTTTTCTGCATCTTTTTATGTTTAGTATTTTTTTTTTTTCTTTTGAGACAGAGTCTTGCTCTGTCAATCAGACTGGAGTTTAGTAGCACAATCATGACTCACTGCAGCCTTAACCTCCCAGACTCAAGGATCCTTCTATTTCAGTCTCCTGAGCAGCTGGGACCACAAGTGCATGCTACCATGCCTGGTTAACTTATTATTATTTGTAACCTAGAGTTGGCATTTCCTTGTCTGTGTAAGTTGGGGTGATAGTGCCTACTTCATAGAAATACCAGTGATTAGAAATAATTGTGTAAAATGGTCTAGCATAATTCCCAAAATGTGGTAGGAAAGTACTCTTACTGATAACTACATGGTTAGGACCTTCATCACTATCATCATCATTAGCAGCATCATTGTAATTGGTTGCTTTGTTACAAAGAATATGTGTGTGTGTGGATAGGGGTATATATATATATATATATATATATATATATATATATATATGTATACACATACACACTTTTGGTTTTGTTATGTTGCTTAGAAGACTGATGGGACTATGTTAAATAGTTTAGCTTATATTACATAATTGGTTATGTCCTTATAATAAATAAAAACAAATTTTTCTTTTACAGAAATGTTATGGTGGTAGTAATCATTGAGAGATTCCTCCCAGGATCCCCCTCCCTCCAAATATTTTTTAGTGAGTGGCGTTATATGCAAATACCATGCCTATTGAATTTTTGTTGTGGTGATGGCATTTCATATAAATAAATTACTTTGACCTTTAATAAATCATTTAACTATTGCCTATCCAGATAGCATTAAGTAAAATCTAAGAAATGTACCAAGGATACCACTTATATATTAACTTCAGCTTAGAAACTCTATGTGCCACTTTTTTTCCCTTTATTATTTTCAGAGGGAATATCCTCTCTGTTGCCATGTATGGTGATATTGATGTCCAATTTCTGTCAGCTGTCTTTGTGACTCTAAATCAGAGATCAGCAAACTATAATCCATGAGCCACACTTGACTCACCATCTATTTTTGTGATAAAACTTTACTTGAAACACAGGCACACCCATTTGTTTATGTATTATCTATGGCTGCTTTTGTGCTATAGTGGCAGAGTTCAGTACTTGCAACAGAGAATTTATGACCTATAAAGCCTAAAATACATTCTTTTTCAGAAATGTTAACTAGTATAGTTGTAGTAATCATTGAGAGATTCTCTGGTCTTTTACAGGCATTTGCAAATTCCTTCTTTAAATCAATAAATCCCACACTTTGGAACTCTGCTGGTCCTTGTGGGCCATATGTTTGGTCAGCCTTTACGATTCATAAACTAGAAACAGCAATTTCCTAAGATGAGCCCTGAAATAGTTTCAAACTGTCCTTTTAAAATATAAGCATTGGTATCACGATGTTTTGATTTTTAAAAAGTCATTTGAAAATAATTTGTAACATAGTTTTTTAGCTTGATATATATCCTTACTTAACAAATGCTAATAATAATTTTAAGAAGGGTGGGGTGGGCCTATATTTTCTCTGTAAGGATATAAATAATCCATACTCTACTTGTAATTTTACTTGTAATTATTTCCCATATCCTCCATTTCCTTTCAAAGCAAGGGAAGTGTCACTGTTTTCCAGAAAAGTCTTGTTTTCTCTCAATTGGTAGCCTATGCTTGCTGTGCAATGATAAGAAGTTCATTTTGCAAAGTAAGCTCTTAGAGATACATGGTGTAATTATCATGTGATGATGGAACAAAAGCCAACCAAGTATTGCCAACTTATCTGGCTAGGCAATTTTTCTCTTCAGAGAACAGACTGCTAACACTGTATCATGCTAGTTACATTGGCTACTTTCAAATTTGTAGGATGAAATTGAGAAAGCAATCATTGTTGAGGGTATGGGGCGTGGAATGGGAATGAAGAGCTCTCTCTCCTCTCTCTCAAATCTTTTGAGAAGAGAAGGCTAAGTTCAGGCAGCTAGAAAATACACACAAACTCTTGATTTTAGTAAATCACTTGAGAGCAGACAGGTGCATGATACAACAGGTAGCTCTAAAAATGTTAAAATACAACAGCATAGATGCCAAGAGATATCCTCTCCCTAAAGCCAGCCTCCAGTTTGATTTTGTGCCAGGGGTTAAATATTAGAAGCTTTAGGCCAGGTGCAGTGGCTCACGCCTGTAATTACAGCAATTTGGGAGGCCGAGGTGGGCGGATCACCTGGGGTCAGGACTTGGAGACCAGCCTAGCTAACATGGCAAAACCCTGTCTCTACTAAAAATACAAAAAGCCCGGCATGGTGGTGCATGCCTGTAATTCCAGCTACTCGGGAGGGTGAGGCAGGAGAATCACTTGAACCTTGGAGGCAGAGGTTGCAGTGAGCTGAGATCGTGCTACTGAATTCCAGCCTGGGTGACAGAGTGAGACTCCATCTCAAAAATACAATACAATACAATACAATACAATACAATACAATACAATACAATACAATACATAAAAAAATAAAATATTAGAAGCTTTATAAAAAGTCATTTTGTTTCTAAAGCAACTTTGCATTTTAAAGATCCATCTCTTTTGTATCCATCTGAAATAAATTTTGCACTCTCTGATTCATTTCCTATTTCATGATGATACTTTTCCTTTCTAAAACTTTCTCTTAATATTTTTAGAATTATTAATATCTTTCATTTCTTTGCTGTATGCCATTTTTCTGATTTAATTAAAATAAACTTTTCCATTCCCTGTTTCATCTAATTTCTTCCAAAAGTTCTGGGAAAATATTTCCTCCCATGAAAGGTATCTACATTTTTAATAGATTTAACTTCAGCATATTCAATGCTTATTATTGCCAAGGTGCTGTTCCAGGAGATTTTGGGAGATAAAAGGAAAGGACAAAACATGGACTCTCCTCAAATTTTTTATGTTAGTTATATGTAAATTTTTGCTAGTTATAAAATTTGGGAACAATGATAGATGGGTGGATATTAATAGAGTAGAACAGCATCCATGTTACATTATATAAGTAGGTCATAATAATAGTGTAGACAAAATATACTGCTGTGAAAGCATTAGCAGTTTATTTTTGTGTAGTTTTAAAAGGTGGTCATCGTTCACATGTGGAGGGCTTCGCTCTCTCTCCCATGCCATCTTCACATCAGAAAGAATCCACGTATCTTATCTGCTTAGTTATTATTCTCTGTCAGTCTCTTTGGGATTACAGTTATTCTGCTTAGTTCTCTTAAATCTGTGGCATCAGAGTGGATCTACTTTATGTGTTTTTCATTCTCTCTCCAAGTAGATCCATGTCTGGACTGGCTCTAGCATCTAATTTATGGGATTATCATTGCTAATCTAGCAACTAGTCCTTCCTCTCCTCCATCTTCTCTGATTTATTTCCTATAAACAGAGCTAGTTAATGAATAAATTACCTTGTTTATGTGCCCATAGGGATCATAATAGTAAGAACTGTCATATACTGGAGAGAGAATAGAGTAATGGTTAAGTCTTTAAATCCACATTGCCTAGGTTTAAACCCTTGCTCTGTTACATAGATGGACAGTTGCAGGCAAGTCATTTGCCTTTCTGTTTCCTATGTCAAAAGGAAATATTGACAGCATTTGACTCACACTCAGTGGAGCAGATTAAATGAGGTTATTCCTGTAAAGTGTATAGAAGGGTATTAGGCATAGAGAGACCACTTGATAAATGATGTTTTATTACCATTAAAGATGAGCAGGCAGGCTTGGAAAAAGATCTCCCTCTTCTACTTTTGATTTTGAAGATAAAAGCATGTCCCTGTCCACACTTTTAGGATTTCACATCTTTGTGGTCAGTATTTGCTGTGGGAGGCCATGAATAAATGTAATAAATTGGGATGACTTTCTGAAAAACAAAAGGTTTAGGTTGTGATTAAAGAAAACTTGTGATAGGGCGAACAGTAGGAAAGAAATTGCCAACTGTGCCAGACATCAGTATTGAAGAGTAAAGAACAATTGTTAGGATGCATCTAAAATTAATGTGGCTGGAAAAGTATGCAGAGTTTATGAGGATGATGAAAATTCTCATCTTTAGGAAAGTCATGTTACAAAAGGGAAGGTCACCTTGATGACTGCCATGGAGCTGCCTGGTATGTGATGATATAGGGCCCAGCTGTCCCAGTATAGATTGTTCCATGATGGAGAGTTTTACATCCTTTGTGGGCAAGTCTGTACTGAAGCCTGGAAACCAGAATTGGAAATTCTGGATTAGATCCATTTGGAAAGTCTTGATTATTTCCTAGTTTCATGTTTTAGAATTTTTCTACAATGTGTTGACAGTTGGCCTCTGCCTTAACATCTCTTGAGCTCTAATGGATCCCTGTACAGCAGGATTAATGATTCCTCTTTTGAACAGTTCTGATATACAGCAAGGCATTTTAACTTTCAGCTACTGATAGTCTCCTCATTATTTATACTCCTAGTTGTAGAGTTTCTTCTTTTCCCTCTGCTATGGTCTGAATGTTTGTCTCCCCAGAAATTTATTTGTATGTTGAAAGCATAACCCCAAAGGTGATGGTATTAAGAGGTGGACTTTTGGAAAGTGATTAGGTCATGAGGGTAGAGTCCTCATAAATGAGATTAATACCCTTATAAAAAAAGGCCCAAGGGGGCTTGCTAGCCCCTTCCACCCTGTGAGGACACAATGTGAAGGCACCATCTATGAACAAGAAAGCAGGCTCTCATCAGACACCACATCTGCTGCTCATTGATCTTGGACTTTCCAGCCTCCTAGAACTCTGAGAAAAAAAATTCTGTTGTGCATAAGCCATCCAGTTTGTATATAGGAATTTTTTTTATAGCAGTGAGTAAGCCAAATGGACTAAGGCTCTCATCGCAGCTTGATCGTATATCTATCCCGGCAATTACCATAATTGTTTACTTGCCCCAATAATGTTAACATATCACAATTACACTGACCAAGACTGATCTTTGACAAGTCATCAAAACTTTGAGGACAACTGTGACTGCAAACTAGTCTCCAGCAATTTTTATCCACCTTACAAAAAATGTTATTTGTGAAAATATATCTTGGTGTATATTTTTAAAAATTTGATTGTTCTCTTTAAGTATTGATATTTTATGCTTGTTCCAGTTTGTGTACATCTTGAGAGAGTCATAACACTGTTGATTACATGTGCTGCTTACCTCCTTAAATCATTATTGTAAAGCCTTCTGGCTTCTTTGGCTAACCTTACAAAACCATAGGACGTTTTGGTATTCATTCCAAATAGGCTATGATATCTTTAATTTCAGAGATATGCCTTTGTTTTTTAGGAGCTCTTGTGCCTAACACAGTGCCTAGCACTGTTAAAATTTTCAATATGTTTCCATGGATGAATAATAAAATGAAAATGTCACTAAATTATTAAACATTTTTTCTTAGAGAAAAGGAGACCCTACATTACTTTTACTTTTCCTGAAATATTTAGGAAGCTCCCTGATTCTTCTGGGAATGTAACATTAGTTGAAATCATTAGGACTTTAGTATTTTTGCTTATGATTGTTTCTTTTCATTTCTTGAGTGCACATTTTGAATTAGTTTCAGAAACTGAGTTTTGGAACCTCTGAGCCATGCTATTAACCAAGTCATTTAGCAGTATGAAAGTGTTTTCAGGGAGATAGATCCAGAGAAAATAATTTCCCTTCTCACCACTGAGTAGAACTTTGGAAACTGCCATTTTACCTCCCGAAGTTAGTGATAGCAGTGAGTAGCTTCTGTATCTATTCTAAACGCAACCTTCCACAGTGCTCTTATAAAGCTCACATTGGCATCCCTGAACATCCCCGTTAATTAAGAATTCGCAGCCCTGTTTCTCCTTCATTCTCCTCCATGGCTGTGCTGTCAGGTTTTGCTCTTCTTCCTTAGTAACAGAAACTGAAATTAGAATTCCGAGTGGAGGCATCACTCCCTGAGGAGACTGAGAACACCACACTCTTCTGAACTTGCTCTTTCTCAGAGCATCTGTCAGTTATGGCTCACTTGTTAAAATGTGGACATTTCACCATTCTGTCATTCACTTAGAAATAGTGTATACCCCTTGGGCAAGTAGTTTCTTTGCAGAAAGAAGTGTAACAGAAATTCTTAGTTAATAAATCATTATTTTAACCATGCCCTCATGAACATAACCAACACTTTTCTCAAATAGCCTGTTGGTAGATAACTCCAATTTAAAGTCCTTTTGACATAAATGCGGGTATTAATATCTACCTCACTGGGTTGTTATAGCTATTAAGTGGCTAATGTATTTAAATTGGTTTGCATTATGGCAGAGAAATAACAGGCAATTAATAAAGCTTATTATTTTTAATATTTTTATAGTAATAAGTTCATATGTAACTTAAATAAACTGCTAATTATTTAACTAAATTTCCAGAGAGCCTAGGGAGAGAGCAATAATCTTACTGTAAGTCAGCCCTAAAATTGCAGTCATAAACGTGAAGGATCAACCTGTTTTTATTTTGTACATTTCTTTTAAATCAATTAAATTTGATGAATTTTGAATAGAAAACAGATAGTTGACAAGAAAGGAGCTATCATATCACTGTTAATGAATGCATGGGTGCAAAAGGAGTTTGATGTATCATAGTGAAGACGTAAGTTTGTTCCCGGACCAAACCGAGGGTCAGGCTGCTTATTCTCACAGCCCAATAACGAGATGCAGATGAACTGGGAAAGAAGGGAGGTTTTCATTTCTGTAACTGGTTACAGGGAGAAGGCCTGGAAATTATTAGCAGACCAACTCAAAATTACAAATTCCAGAGCTTGTATATCTTCTAAGCTTCATGTCTACATGTAAGTGTGCATTAATCTAAAGACATAAGTGATTAACTTCTTTTAATCTGTAACTAAGATCTGAGTCCTGAAGACCTTCCTCTGGAGCCCCAGTAAGTTTACTTAATCTAGATGGGTCCAGGCGCCAGGGGTGATTACCCTTATCTTGTCTCCTTCTAAATCATGGAGGTTTGGGGAGTTCCTTCAGTCCCCAATAAAGCTTGTTTGTGGAGGTCTGGGGAATTCCTTCAGATCACCAATAAAATTTTTTTAATCCTAAACGAGTTCTATTAAGAATTCCTTTGTTATCTTGTCGTGTTTCAAGGCCCAGGAAAGGCCAAAGCCAAACTCTTGGTGGGCTTTTGTTACATTCCAGCCTTTGTATGAGGGCACTGGCTCTATCAGCTGTTAACATTTAATCTAACTACTCAGTCAGTGCTGAAACAGTTGTAATGGAGGCCTGCATTAGTGAGACCTGGCCTGCCACTAGTTGACATACCTGCACCTTCCTATAATGTAGTATTTTTATTTTCTGTTTTAAAGCCCAAGGAGGACTGATTTTGGTAGCTCGATTTTAAAGGCCATTTCCTTTCTTAACTTCAGTTTCAGCTTAAGTATGTGTTTAAAAGCTTAATAAGTATACATAAAGCTGCTAAGTTTATATTTAATGTAATACACCAAACATATATAGGCTGTTGATTTTTTTCTGAATAATATTAATTTTGTCTTTATTTTACACACCTCCAATTTAATGTGCAGTTGAAGTGATAACTGTTTCTTATGAAGAAATTAACTGATTATTTCACTTAAATTTGTGTTAAGAGTTACAGCAACTTGCTTTCCAAAAATAGACAAGCAGTAAGGTGGAAAGGATTTTTGTTACGTTTACCGTATTGTTTTTGAAAACGTGGTACCTTTTCTAAAGTTTGTAAACTTGTTAATTATCTTGGCATTTTCTGGGGTTGGAACAGTTTCAAAATAAATTCACATATTTTCACTGTGATAGTCGGAATTTCTTTGCCAAAATTGACTTAAACAGGCAAAGCTTAGTATGGTTTACAAAAGAGGATTATTTAAATTTATTTTTAGTAATCTGCCCCAATTCCTCATTTGCTATTATGAACTTGCTGAGGCAGACATGTAATTTCTCTGGACCTTTTCAAATCTTTATGTGAACCTTTAAGTATGTAATTGAGGGCAGTTTTCAGTCTCTCGCTTGTATTAATTCTACGTGTGTGTTTAAAAAAAGGATATGTAATAGATTGGTGCAGGAATCCCATACAAAAGGCAGAATTGCACGTAATTTTTACCGTAAGTATTGAAACTAGGGATCACATTTATATGCCTACATAGATAAGTCATCAGGTGTTTTGGAAAATTAGAGACAAAAAGTTTTGTACAATATTACTTTTCTGTTGTTGTTGCAGAAATTCAGTCTCAGGAGGTAATGGTTTTGCAAAGGTGCTGGGAAGTGGTAGCATTCCAGATACATTCTGAACATAGAGACCACAGGATTTCCTGACGATTGGATTAAGTTTACGAAAAATACAGGCATCAAGAATGGCCCTAAGAATTTTGGCCTAAGCAACTGGAAAGATGGAGTCACCATCCTGTGAGAGAGGAAGACTAAAGATGAAGCATTTTTTCAGGCAAATATTGAATTTCAGAGATGTTATTTTTTTTTTTTTACTTAAAGACTTGTGTGATAGTAATAGAAATGTTCATTTTGAGATACCTATTACACATCAGTGAATAACTTCTCTTTGTTTTCCAGAATCCTCTTCTACTCTTCTCCTTTACCCTATTCTCCAATAGACTGATCTATGTTCATTTCATTGGTAGATCTCTATGCCCTTTGGCTCCCGATTATGTTCAGTCAATGGGGAGCGCACAGATGGGAGAGGGAAGGAAAGTGAGGTTTTTAGATCTATTCTCCTGGCTTCCTCACGGTCCTATTTTTTTCTCAGGTTCTCTGTATTACTTACCCGAGCACATGTTACCACTATTCTCCTGGTGGCCTCATCTATATGATTCTCTCCTTCCAGTTTTTAGTAACTGCCTCTTCCCCTTACTGTTTTGGACCTGCAGGTCTTAACGGCTCTGTTGCTGCTGACCCAGAGTCATTGTACTAACTACCCTCGATCCCCCATCCCCTCCCTACAACTTTGTAAATAGTCACTTTGTAAACAAACCTTCCTCAAATCTTCTAAATTTGGCCTGCCTTCTTGTTCTTATCAGGACCATAAATGCTATAACATCCAAGTAGAACCATTCTCCCTCTCTGGGAAGTGGCTGGGGTTAAACGCATTGCTCATGTTCATGTCTCTTTCTCCTTTGGAATGGCTAATCAGAAACTCAAAAGAATGCAGCCACTTGTGTCTCACCCATCTGTGCCCTAGAAGCTACCTCCCTGTTTCCAGTCTTCCTGCCTTTGTTTCAAGTTGTCCCACCTTTCCAGACTGAACCAATGTACTTCTTACATATATTGTCTCATGTCTTCCTAAAATGTATAAAATGTATAAAGCCAAGCTGTGCCCCAGCTACCTTGGGCACATGTCGTCAGGACTTCCTGAGGCTGCGTTATGGGTGCGTCCTCAACCTTGGAAAAATAAACTTTCTAAATTAACTGAGACCTGTCTCAGATTTTCTGGGTTCACATACTTTTCTCTGCAGCTGAGTCAGTCCTCAGAGTATTGACCTCACCTCTGTATTCCAGCCTGATTTCAGTCCTAGTGAATGAATGGCAGAGGTGGTTTTTGAATGGGTAACAGGTGGAGAAGGAGGAGGAGTGGGGTTTGGGGCTGAATGCTTGGAAGCAGGAGGGGCCACCAGGGCGGAGGATTTGGATTGGTAAGGAGTGGATGCAGGGGGATAAGAATACAGAGGGGGTTTATCTGCAGGGTCAAAAGGAGTTTTGGAGGAAGGAGAGACCTGGGGAGGGTTTTTATTAAGAAGAAAGATTTTGTGAGAGGTGCAAGCTTGACACAGGGAGGGTTGATATTTAAGGTAAAAGTAGAAGAAGGCCTGAATATAGAGAACCTCTTGCCATTTTCCATTCCTGGTTATAAAGTTGTTCAATTCCTGAGAATTTGCAAGTTAAAGGTGCCATTTTCAGGCCATTGGCTGTCATTATCTAATGTGTTTTGGTGCCAGGCCGTGTTACAGTAAAAGACTAAACACTTAAGCCAAGTTTGGTGAGGTCATGAAGGAGACAGCACAGTGGAGAGGGTATAGGAATGTGGGATTTTTTAGCATCCATGTGGATTCGTGAGAAGCAGCCCAGGGTGTCTGTTTTTGTTCTAGGCATCCCCAGACAAAAGACAGAGACCCAGAATCCTCTTTCTAAAGAGGATGGTCAAACTGAGAAGAACACTGGGCATCCCCAAGACTTCTTTTAGCTTAGTCTCGCTGGTCCTCCGAGGACGTGGACAGTGGACCTGACTTCCCGGGTACTGTGAGAAAACCAGGGGAGGGCAGATCTTACCAGTCAGCTGGATTAGTGTCCGATGTTGGATGTTCCAGTTGGAATCAGCAAAGGACCTCTTGGACTGCAGCTGCACGATGGAGAGAGAGAGAAAAAGAGAGAGAGAGAGAGAGAGAGAAAGGGAGGATGAGGGAAAAGTGAAGTGAGAGAAAAGACAGGGCAGGTGGCCAGAGACCCTCAGGATCCAGGAGTGAACTTAGGATGAGCGGCCATTGCCCACTGCTTCCCGGGTTGCAAGGGAGCCTCTGCCCCCAGCACTCGTCCCAGGTTTTGGCACCAAATGTAAGAGTTAAAGAAAGAGGTAAGAAACACGAAACGTGCCACATTTTCTTAATCCAGTCTATCATTGTTGGACATTTGGGTTGGTTCCAAGTCTTTGCTATTGTGAATAGTGCCACAGTAAACATACATGTGCATCTGTCTTTATAGCAGCATGATTTATAATCCTTCGGGTTAAGAAAATGTGGCACATGTACACCATGGAATACTATGCAGCCATAAAAAAGGATGAGTTCATGTCCTTTGTGGGACATGGCTGAAGCTGGAAACCATCATTCTCAGCAAACTATCGCAAGGACAAAAAACCAAACGCCACATGTTCTCACTCATAGGTGGGAATTGAACAATAAGAACACATGGACACAGGAAGGGGAACATCGCACACCGGGGCCTGTTATGGGGTGGGCGGAGGGGGAGGGATAGCATTAGGAGATATACCTAATGTTAAATGACAAGTTAATGGGTGCAGCACACCAACATGGCACATGTATATATATGTAACAAACCTGCACGTTGTGCACATGTACCCTAAAACTTAAAGTATAATTAAAAAAAAAAAAGAAAATGTTAAATAAACACTCTTTGATGAACTAAAAAAAAAAAAAAGAAAGAAACACGAAACGTGGCTTGGCAGTCAAAGACAGGTTTTCTTTAGTTAAAACCTGAGAGGTGCTCCTGGCCGATTGAGGTCAGGAGTGCTTTCTCTTACAGACTAAGAGTATATATTGATTTTAGGGTGAGGGGGGGTTTATCATAAGCTTGGAATGTTTATGTGTGTAAAGAAGTTTATAGTGGGGTTGGAATCTCTCTGGGAGGAGGGGAGGTTATCTGGGGCAGACATCTTTCGGGTCCTAAGAGGGGTTATCTCGAGGCTAGCATCTTCCCAGCTGGAGGGGCTTATCTAGGGGCCAGCATGTCTGGTTGGGGAGGAGTTTGGAATGTGTCTGGTTGGAGATGTTATTTGTGGTTTATGGTTATGCTGACCTTAGCCATTACACTGATGCCCTTTGGATTTAGGTGGTTTTTTATTAATGTGAACTTTAGAATGAGGGGCTTGTCCAAGATGGCAATGCTCCTGCTCTGTTAGTAAGTGCTTGATCAATATTGAATAAGTTAACAAACTGTGATATAAAATCTGTGATAAGACAATTCTCACATTCAGGGAAGAGTATGAGGGTTCAAAGGTTTAGAGGGAGTTGGGTAGGGTAGTAGTGGAAAGTGAAAGTGAGATACAAAAGAGGAATTTAGGTGCAGGAACTATCAATAAATTACCAACTTCACAGTTTTGTCTAGACCTGCCCATGCTGAACTTTTAGGAAAAAAACTAGAGACATCATGATAAAGCTGGAGATTAGCATATTTAGAGGATCTGAAGTAGTACATTGTATTGCATAGGTTGGAAATGGGTATTTTGTTCCTTAAATATTCAGATAGTAGATATAGACACAGTTTCTGGAGAAATAACCCTCAGCATATTCTATCTATATCAGGGAAAGTTCCACTGAAAGAGGCTTCCAATCCTCTGTGATTAAGGGTGAAACTCTATAAAATTTCAAGCCTGTGGAATGAAAAGATACTGTTCTTATTCCCACATGTTTGGTAGATTTGGAGAGTTTTGGTGTTGAGATTTTACTGAGCTGTGTCTAATGTTATACTAGGTAGGCTGTGTTTACAGGGACCAGAAGGGATTGTATGATTATTTCAATTTAAAAACTCAACTAATAATGGAATATATTAAGCTACAATGCCAAGAAGGATTTAAATGTTTCTTGTTTCCCATTTCTAATTATACAATTGTCTTTTCTGCTTAATTTTAGAATGCTCATGGTATGATTTAATATGTTTAATTTTACTACCATCATATTCTGAGGATAAAGATTAAGGATTTTTGTTTTATTTTCTCCAACGTTTGTTATTTTTCAGTAGATTTTTACTTAAATGTGCAAAATGGTGATATTATTTATTTTAACCTTTAGATTAAGCAAATGAATTAAGCATCATACAGGTAATATTGAAATTCATATTTATTTTGCCCTCTTTTAAATAAAAATGGAGAACTTAAATGTGCTGGAACCACAATTTGTATTGTAAAAAGTTTCTATACCATGTACTGTGTTTGGAATATAGCTTTCGGTACTTTATGCTTTTGGGGAAAAATTGAATATCTTAAAATTCTACCCTTTACACTACATGCAGTAGTTATTAGTGAAGTCAACATATTGTGTGACTATCTTCATTATTACTTTATGACCACATGTGTTTAATAGCTTTTATTTTGTTTTATCCTTCCAATGTGCTAAAACTTTCAGAACACCCAATACAGCTTTTCCATATAATGACACTGCCTCATTAGTTTGATGCATTTGGGCATACATACTAATAAGGACAGTCGCAAGGTAAAAATACTTTATTTCATTCTTCCCTGGTGTTCCTTTTTGAAATAAGAACATTTTCCACTAGTGGATGTAGCAGCTCAAATGTAACCAAAGGAAAAAGCTCAGGAAAAGGCACAGATGGTCTCATTGGACTCTAGAGGAACTACTTGTCTTATCAGTGGCACTTTCTTCATGGATTTTCTACCTAACTGTTTGCACAGCATAAAATTAATTTTTCAGGTAACACTTCCATAGCCATAATTAATGTCAAGGCTGTAATTTCCTAGCATGGGCAGATGAAGAGTTACTCAGCTAAAAATAGATTGGCTTAACGGTCCCTATAAAACCTTGTGGCCCCTTTCAATTAAGAGATTTTCCTGCGATGGATGGCAGCACACAGTGCATTATTCATATGTATTTTTGCTTCAGCCATTGGTATGCATCATGAATTACACCACGGGGCTCACCTTTTTCTGAGGAGGAGACAGTATCTTCCTTTCAGACAAATCCTAAATTGGATTTTCTGGGCCATAACTGACATTGATGGTTTTGTCAGTAATAAACTTGAAAAAGTTTTTTCCCCACTCTGGAATCTTCTATTTGCTAGAAAACTGTCAATAGACAAGTGGAAATTCATGTTAGTTTAATTGAAAATTAATGTCCATTCAATTCCACTGACAATATTTTCTGAAAGAAGGTTCCTATGTAAATTGCAAAATTCAGGAAGAGAGAAATTTTAAGCTGCCAAACTACAGCTGCAACCAAACACTAATCTTTATTAAAAAAGACTTTCATGGCTAGGAAGGAAATGAAATCTGTTTGGAGATTCACTTTCACTGTTCTGTATCTTGATTCATTACTAGACTCTGCTAAATTTGGTTTCTGTTAGTCTTTTCTTAAATACATTGATTTTTTATTAACTTTAATTTTTTTTAATTTTTAATTTTTGTGGTTACATAGTAGGTGTACATGTTTATTGGGAACATGAGACAGCTAGATATGGTATACAATGCATAATAATTGCATGAGTGTAAATGAGGTATTCATCACCTCAAGCATTTATCCTCTTTGTGTCATGATCAATCCAATTATACTCTTTTAGATATTTTATAATGTACAAGAAATTATTGTTCACTGTAGTCACCCTGTTATGCTATCAAATACTAGAATTTATTCATTCCATTTAAATATATTTTTGTACCCACTAACCATCTCCAGTCCTCCCCACTCCCAGACCACACAACTATACTTCCCAGCCTTTGAAAACCATCCTTCTACTCTCAATTTCCAAGTTCAATTGTTTTTAATTTTTAGCTTCCAAAAACAAGTGAGAACATGAAGTTTGTCTTTCTGTGCCTGGCTTGTTTCACTTAACATAATGTCCTCCAGCTCCCTTCATGTTGTTGCATATGATAGGTTTTCATGCTTTCCTATGCCTGAATAATACTCCATTGTGTGTATGTACCACATTTTCTTCATCATTTCTTTGTTGTTGAACACGTAGGTTGCTTCCAAATCTTGGCTATTGTGAATAGTGCTGCAATAAATATGAGATTACAGATATCTCTTTGATATATTGATTTCCTTCCCTTTGGGTATATACCTAGCAATGGGATTGCTGGATCATAGGTAGTTCTATTTTCAGTTTGTTGAGGAACCTCCATACTCTTCTCTATAGTGGTTGCAGAAATTTACATTCCCACCAACAGTATTACGAGGGTTCTCTTTTCTCCACATCCTCACTAGCATTTGTTATTGACTGTCTTTTGGATAGAACCCATTTTAACTGGGGTGAGATGATATCTCATTGTGGTTTGATTTGCATTTCTCTGATGATCAATGGTGTTGAGCTCCTTTTCATATGCCTGTTTGCCATCTGTATTAGTTCTTTTGAAAAATGTCTATTCAGATCTTTGGCCCATTTAATAATCTGTTTGATTTTTTTCCCATAGAGTTGAGTTCCTTACATATTGTGGTTATTAATCCCTTGTCAGATAGTTTGCAAATAATTTCTCCTATTCTGTGGATTATTTCTTCACTTTGTTGATTGTTTCCTTTGCTATTCAGAAACTTTTTAACTTGACATGATAACACTTGTCCATTTTTTCTTTGTTTGCCTGTGCTTGTGGAGTGTGACTTAAGAAATCTTTGGCCAGACCTGTGTCCAGGAGAGTTTCTCTAATGTTCTCTTTTAGTAGTTTCATAGTTTGAGGTCTTAGATTTACATCTTTAGTCCATTTTGATTTGATTTTTGCATATGGTGGGAGATAGGGGTCTAGTGTTATTCTTTTGCAAATGAATATTCAGTTTACTCAGCTCCATTTGTTGAGAAGACTGTCCTTTCCCCAATATATGTCTTTGGCACCTTTGTCAAAAATTTGTTTACTATGAATGAATGATTTATTTCTTGGTTCTCTATTCTGTTCCATCAGTCTACATGTCTGTTTTTATGCCAGTATCGTGTTGTTTGGTTACTATGGCTCTATAGTATAATCTGAAGTCAGGTAATGTGATTCCTCTAGTTTTATCCTTACAGCTTTGGCTATTCTCGGTCTTTTATTGTTCCATATACATTTTAGATTTTTTTTTACTTCTATGATGAATGTCACCAGTATTTTAATAGGAGTTACACTGAATCTGTAGATTGTTTTGCATACTATGGACATATCAACAATATTGACTCTTCTAATCCATGAACATGGAGTTAGATTTCTATTTTTTGTGTGTCATCTTCAGTTTCTTTCATGAATGTTTTAGTTTTCATTGTAGAGATCTTTTATTTCTTTGCTTATGGTGATTCTTAGGTACTTTATTGTCTTTGTAGTTGTTATAAATGAGATTACTTTCTTGATTACTTTTTCACATTGTTCAGTTGACATAGGAAATACTACTGATATTTGCATGTTGATTTTGTATCCTGCAACTTTACTAAATCTATCAGGTCTAATAGGTTTTTTTGGCGCAGTCTTTAAGATTTTCCAAATAAAAGATCATCTGCCAACAAGGATAATTTGACCTCTCCTTTTAATTTGGGTGCCCTTTATTTCTTTCTCTTGTCTGATTGCTCTAGCTAGGACTTCCAGTATAGTGTTGCATACCAAGGATGAAAGTGAGCATCCTTGTCATATTTCAGATTTTAGAGGAAAGGCTTTCAGTTTTTCTACATTCAATGTGATACTAGCTGTGAGTCTGTTCTATATGGCTTTTATTGTGCTGAAGTTTTGATATAGTTTGGCTGTGTACCCACCCAAATCTCATTTTGTAGTTTCCGTAATCCCCACGTGTTGAGGGAAGAAGCTGGTGGCAGGAAATTTCCCCCATGGTGTTCTCATGATAGTGAGCGAGTTCTCATGAGATCTGATGGTTTGATGAAGGGCTTTTCCCTCTTTGCTCAGCACTTATGTCTCCAGTTGCCATGTGAAGAAGGATGTGTTTCCTTCCCCTTCTGCCATGATTATAAGTTTCCTGAGGCCTTCCACACTATGCAGAACTGTGAGTCAATTAAACTTATTTCCTTTATAAATTACCCAGTCTCAGGCAGTTCTATATATCAATGTGAGAACAGACTTATACAGCAAATTGGTATTGAGAGTGGGGTGCTGCTGTAAGAATACCCAAATATATGGAAGTGACTTTGGAACTCGTAACAGGCAGAGGTTGGAACAGTTTGGAGGGCTCAGAAGAAGATAGGAAATGTGGGAAAGTTTGAAACTTTCTAGAAACTTGGAGGGCTCAGAATACAGGAAGATGTGGAAAGGCCTGGAACTTCCTAGAGACTTGTTGAATGGCTTTGACCAAAATGCTGATAGTGATATGGACAATGAAGTCCAGGCTGAAGTAGTCTCAGATGGAGAAACTGTTGGGAACTGGAGTAAAGGTGACTCTTGCTATGCTTTAGCAAAGAGACTGGCAGCTTTTTGCCCCTGCCCTAGAGATCTATGGAAATTTGAACTTGAGATAGATGATTTAGGATATCTGGTGGAAGAAATTTCTAAGCAACAAAGCATTCAAGAGGTAACAGAGCATAAAAGTTTGGAAAATTTGCAGCCTGATGATGCAATAGGAAAGAAAAAACTATTTTCTGGGGAGAAATTCAAAATGACTGTGGAAATTTGTGTAAGTAACAAGGAGCCAAATGTTAATCACCAAGACAATGGGGAAAATGTCTCCAGGACATGTCAGAAACCTTCAAACAGCCCCTCCCATCAAGACCTGGAGGCCTAGTAGGAAAAATTTGTTTCCTGGGCCAGACCCAGGCCCCCCTCTGCTGTGTGAGCCAAGGGACTTGGTGCTCTGCATCCCAGCCACTCCAGTCATGGCTAAAAGGGGGCAAGGTACAGCTCGGGCCATGGCTTCAGAGGGTGCAAGCCCCAGGCTTTGGCGGCTTCCACGTGGTTTTGAGCCTGCAGGTGCACGGAAGTAAAAAATTGAGGTTTGGGAACCTCAGCCTAGATTTCAGAGGATATATGGAAATGTATGGATGTACAGGCAGAAGTTTGCTGCAGGGGTGGGACCCTTGTGGAGAACCTCTGCTAGGGCAGTGCAGCAGGGAAATATGGGGTTGGAGCCCCCACACAGAGTCTTCACTAGGGCACTACCTGGTGCAGCTGTGAGGAGAGGGCCACCATCTTCCAGACCCCAGAATAGTAGATCCACCAACAGCTTGCACCGTGTGCCTGGAAAAGTCACAGACACTCAACGCCAGCCATGAATGCAGCCTGGAAGGGGGCTGTACCCTGAAAAGTTAGAGGAGTGGAGCTGCCCAAGACCATGGGAGCTCACTTCTTGCATTGGTGTGACCTGGGTGTGAGACATGGAGTCAAAGGAGATAATTTTGTTATGGTTTAATGACTGCCCGATGGATTTTGATTTTGCATGAGGCCTGTAGCCCCTTCATTTTGGCCAATTTCTCTCATTTGAAATGGGTATATTTATCTAATTCCTGCATCCTCCGTTGTGTCTAGGAAGTAACTAACTTGCTTTTGATTTTACAGGCTCATAGGCAGAAGGGACTTGCCTTGTCTCAGATGAGACTTTGGACTTGGTCTTTTAAGTTAGTGCTGGAATGAGCTAAGACTTTGGGGAACTATTGGAAAGGCATAGTTGTGTTTTGAAATGTGAGGACATGAGATTTGGGAAGGGCCAGGTTGGGATGATGTGGTTTGACTGTGTCCCCACCCAAATTTCATCTTCAATTCTAATTTCCATAATTCCTATATGTCATGGGAGGGAACTGGTGGAAGATAATTGAATCATTGAAGGCAGTTCCCCCCCATATTCTCATGATAGTGAGTGAGTTCTCATATTATCTGATGGTTTTATAAGGGGCTTTTTCCCCTTTGCTTGGCACTTCTGTCTCCTTCAACCATTTCAAGAAGGACATGTTTGCTTTTCCTTCCACCATGATTGTAAGTTTCCTGAGGCCTCCTCAGTCATGTGGAAATTGAGTCAATTATACCTCTTTATGCATTACACTGTCTTGGGCAGTTCTTTATAGCATTATGAAAATGGACTAATACAGATACATTCCTTCTATACTCAGTTGTTTGAAGATTTTTATCATGAAGGGATGTTGAATTTTATCAAATGCTTTTTCAATATCATTTGTCGTGATCATATATTTTTGTGCTTCATTCTGTTGATATGATGTATCATATTGCTTTGCTTATGTTGAACCATCCTTGCACCCTAGGATAAATCCCTCTTGGTAATAATGAATGATCTTTTAAATGTGTTGTTGAATTCAGTTTGCTAGTATTTTGTTGAGGATTTTTGCATCAATATTCATCAGGGATATTGGGTTGTAATTTTTGTTTTTTGATGTGCCTTTTATTTTAGTATCTGGATAATACTGGGCTTGTAGAATGAGTTTTGGAGGTATTCCCTCCTCCTCTATTTTTTGGAATAATGTAGGTAGGATTGGTATTAATTCTGTAAATGTTTGGTAGAAATCAGCAGTGAAGCCATCATTTCCCAGCCTTTTTTTTTTTTTTTACCAGGTGGCTTTTTATTATGGCCTTGATCTTATTTCTTGCTATTTGCCTATTCATATTTTGAATTTCTTCATAGTTCAATCTTGATAGGTTGTATGTGTCTAGAAATGTATTTATTTCTTCTACATTTTCCAATTTATTGACATATTGTTGCTCATAGTAGCCTCTAATTATGCTTTGAATTTCTGTGGTATCAGTTGTAATGTCTCCTCTTTTTATCTCAAATTTCATTTATTTTAGGCATCTATCTTTTTTTTCTTAGCCTGGCTAAAAATATGTCAATTTTGTTTAACTTTTCAAAAACTACTTTTTATTTTATTGATCATGTGTATTTTTCTTCATTTGTATTTCATTTATTTCTACTCTGGTCTTTATAATTTCTTCTAATCATTTTAGGGTTGGCTTGCTCTTGCTTTTCTAGTTCTTTAAGATTGTTAGGTAGTTTATTTAAAGTTTTTCTACTGTTTTGATATAGGCCATTGTAGATCTAAACTTTCCTCTTAGTACTGCTTTCACTGTATTCCACAAGTTTTGACATATTGTGTTCCCATTATTATTTGTTTTAAAACATTTAAATTTCCTTCTTAATTTCTTTATTGACCCACTGGTCATTCTGAAGCATATTGTTTAATATCCATGTATATATACAGTTTCCAAGATTCCTCTTGCGATTGATTTCTAATTTTATTCCATTGTGGTCAGAGAAAATACTTGATATGATTTCATTTTTTTGGAAATCTTACAGATTAGTTTTGTGGCCCAACATATGGTCTAATCTTGAGAATACTCCCTGTGCTGAGGACAAGAATGTGTATTTGGCAGCTGTTGGATGATGAAATAGTCTATAAAAAACCTATGAGGTCCATTTGGTCTATAGTGCAGATTAAATTCAATGTTTCTTTGTTGATGTTCTGTATGGATGATCTGTCCAATGCTGAAAGAAAGATGTTGATGACTCCAGCTATTACTGTATTATGGTGTATCTCTCCTTTTAGTTCTATTAATATTTTGTTTACATATCTGGGTGCTCCAGTGTTGGGGGTATATATATTTAAAACTATTTTATCCTCTTGTTGAATTTACCTTTTTGTCATTATAGTGACCTTCCTTGTCTCTTTTTGTAGTTTTTGTCTGAAATCGCTTTTTTTCTGATGTAAGTATAGCTACATCTTTTCTTTTTTGGTTTCCATTTGCATTGAATATTTTTTTCCATCCCCTTACTTTTAGTCTATGCATTTCCTTATAAATTGTTGGTTCTTTTTTAACTTATTTATTCAACCACTCTATGTTTTTTTATTGGAGAGGTTAGTCCATGTACCTTCAGTGTTATTATTGATAAGACTTACTTCTGCCATTTTGTTTGTTTTCTGGTTGTTTTGTGGTCTACTATTACTTCTTTCCTTCCTTCCTGTCTTCCTTTTAGTAAAGGGAATTTACTCTGGTGGTGTGTTTTAATTTATTCACTATTATTTTTTGTGTATCTGTTGTATATTTTTTCAATTTGTGGTTACCATGAGGTTTGCAAGTAATACCTTATAATTCATTCTTTTCATCTGATGACAACTTAGCCTAGATTGCAGAAACAAACTAATTAACAAAGAAGCACAGAGAAAACTTATAAAAACTCTACTTACAAATTTATCCCATTGCTTTTTAACTTTTTTTTTTTTTTTTTGAGATGAAGCCTCACTCTATTGCCCAAGCTGGAGTGCAGTGGTGTGATCTCGGCTCACTGCAACCTCCATCTCCCAGATTCAAGTGATTCTCCTGCCTCAGCCTCCTGAGTAGCTGGGAATACAAGTGTGTGCCACCATGCCCAGCTAGTTTTTGTATTTTTAGTAGAGATGGGGTTTCACTGTGTTGGCCAGGCTGGTCTTGAACTCCTGACCTCGTAATCTGCCTGCCTCAGCCTCCCAAAGTGCTGGGATTACATGTGTGAGCCACTGTGCTTGGCTGATTTTTAACTTTTTATTGTTTCTGTTTATATCTTATTGTACTGTCTATATCTTGAAAAGTTGTGGTTATTATTGCTGCCAAGTCTGTCCTGCAGACTCTGGCCGAGTGATGGTTGAGAGGAGTACTCAGACACAGATATCCAGTGAAAGAGCGGGCTAGGGGACTGCCGGAACTAGGGGCCAAAAAGAGTTAGCAGTCCCCCTAAGCTGGCAATGCTCGCATTTATTTAGTACAAATTTAGTGACAAAGTCTTGGAGCAAACACAATTTGTAGATAATAAACATTGTCGACCCCCAGAGTAAAAGTTCTGTGCACAAATGATCAAAGGTTGGTTTCTGGACACATAAGTAAACAGATATATCTAGATAAGTTCCTTTACATTCCCTTGTTATCTGCCCTTTGTTCTCAGCCCCCAGATAAGAGAATTTGGCTGCCTTCAGCCATAATCCTCTCCTGAAGCTTTTGCAAAACCTCCTGGCCTTCCAAGAAGGTTTGCATCTTTTCCTATAGCTTTTTTTCTTACAACTTTTCCCACCACCCTAACCAAACTCCTACATCTCCCCCTTTTCTGTTTTTTTGCATCAGGTTTTGTTGATAGAAGAGTACAGATGTGTGCAACAACAGGTTTGTCTGGCGTTGCAGTCACTGTTTGTATTCTGGCTTTGCATCCTAGAATTAGTAAATAACATAAGACAAACATGAGTATAATCAGTAACATTCTTTTCCAATCAAGGAGTGTTACTTGGCACCTCAGTTCAATGTGTGCCATTACTAAGGAACCCCACTGGGGGTATGTTAACCCCTTCCAGCCAAGCAATTACATTATTAGAGGCTAGGAAGGTGGTGCCTACTGAGGTAGCAGTGCGGAAGAAAGGCGGATTTAGAAGATGGTCCCAATAGAGTGTAGCAGGTACCAGTTGCAGGTAGAATGAGGGAATTTAAAAAGGTTAATAAAGCTCTGGTAAAAATAGAAAAGTGGCTGTCAGGTGGACTCGCCAGGAAGAGCATGTGCGCTAATTAGGTGAGACTTGGTATCAACAGATACATGTTACATATCTTAGTTTTACAAATTCAGGGATGTGTGTAACATCTGTTTGCCATAACTGATTAGGCTGTAGTCCTGTAGGGTTAACACCTGTTGAAGGAAGGGATGTGCCTGTGAACTGGCAATCTGGGCATTGCAGGATAATTTATTTAGCTAGTCTTTGGGTAAGTTGAAATTGTTTAGTTAAGTTCCTCCAATTTTGGTGGAAAAATTGATGAGATTGAGTGACTTGGTCAAGCAGTGACGTCATAACTTGCAGGTCTTCCTGTTCATTGCCATAAGCCAAAGTGCCAGGCAGTGAGCTGTGGGCTAAATATGTTTGATAAAAATAGGATGTGTACATTGATCCAGCAATTGCTGAAATAGAAGAATAAGTGCACACAGGGTGGGCTGTTTCAAGGTTCTGCAATAAATAAACAGAGCAAGCAGAACACTAACAATATTGATAGGCTGAGCAGAAAAGGTATCCATGGCCAATATTAAGGCTCCAACTTCAGCTCTCTGAGGACTAGTAAATCCAGAACAAGTGAGGGAATTATGTGGTCTCCACCAAACAGCCACTTTTCCATTTTTACCAGAGCCATCAGTAAAAAGTGTTAAAGTGTTAGGTATGGGGGAGTGAACTACTTTTGTAGGCGCAACTACAGGAGTATGACATAAGAACTGAACTAGTTTGTCAGCAGGAAGAGCATGCTCTATATGGCCTGTGTAATCAGAGAGTGCTATTTGCATGTCTAGAGATATGTTAGTATGTATCTAAGATATTTCCAAGGAGAGGACAATGGTACTTTTTCAGGTGCTATGATTAAACCTCTTAACTGTGTATTCATTACGACAGAGGCATATAAACTTAAAAGTACTGGCTCTGTTGGGGGTGCTAGTAAAATATCATCCATAAAATGAATAATCTTGCAATTAGGAAATTCTTCTCTACTGGGGAGCAAAGCCTGATTTACATGATACTGACACATGGTAGGACTGTTCAGCATCCCTTGAGGAAGTACTTTCCAGTGAAATCATTGAGCTGGCCTTTCATTATTGATAGCTGGTATTGTAAATGCAAATTTTTTCTCTGTCATGTTCTGCAAGGAGAATAGTTAAGTCAATAATGACTACAGGCCAATCTTGAGGAATCGCCATGGGGGAAGGGAGGCCCTGTTGAAGGGGCCCTATTGGTTGCAAATTAGCATTGATAGCCCATAGGTCATTCAAAAGCCTCCATTTGCCAGATCTTTTGGGAATGACAAAAATGGGTGAATTCCAAGGGCTGTTTGGTGGTTCTACATGGCCAGCTTTTAATTACTCTTCAGCTAATTCATGGGCTTTTTGCAATTTCTTTCCCTTTAAAGGCCACTGTTCTACCCAAATTGGATCTTGAGAGAGCCGTATCAGAGGTAGAGGAGGGATAATAACAGTGGCCAAAATTAGAAAGAGGTCTGCAGAGTTACCTCAATTAACCCTTTCGTAAATGAGCTAGTGGCTCCGTTTTCTCTAATGCTTTTTCTTATCTCTTTATAAGCATCAAAAGAAATGGGTTCATACACCTGATTGGCTTGTCAGTCTTGCATTTACTGGGCAGGCTAAGAGCTCTTCTTCTAATGCCACTTGCCTAAGACAGGGTCCCATAGTTGTAGCATATCCATTGTCTTTTTTCCAATTTATTTGAGAGGGCTCAGACAAAACCTCCATTTCCACTTGGTTATTTTTCCCTCTTAATGGCGGGGCTGAGGGAGAAGGAGGTGGTGGTAAAGTAGGTGACAATTCCTCCTCCCTTACCTTTTTAGGCTCTTCTGTGTAGAGTGAGACCAAAGCAGCCCTAACGAAAGCCCATAACATCGAAGATGTTACTGGGACCCATTGCCCTTGCACATGATGTTGTTTAAGATTTCTCCCCACTTGTTCCCAGAGCTCTATGTCTAGTGTACCTTCTTTTGGAAACCATGGGTTATGGGAAACAACAGTTTGCTTTAGGTCCCTTAGTTGAGCCTGCAAAACCGAGGCTCCGCTAGCTTTAAGCAGCTGTTTCAATACTTTTATATACTGTTGCTGTTGAGCTGATAACTGTTGTCCCTTGATGAAACCCTAGCCTGAACAATTCCCTCAAACATAGAAATCCCAAGCGGGCATCAATGACTTACTGACTGTGCAGTCTCTTCACCTTCATTTTTGAGGGTTCTATTGTGATCTGTTGCAGCGTTCCTCACACGGTGACACTCACTTGGCTGCCGCTGAGTCTGTCCTGTAGACTCTGGCTGAGCAACGGATGAGAGGAGTACTCAGACACAGATATTCAGTGAAAGAGCGGGCTAGGGGACTGCTGGCACTAGGGGCCGAAGAGAGTTAGCAGTCCCCCTAAGCCAGTGATGGTTGCATTTATTTAGTACAGATTTAATGACAAAGACTTGGAGCAAACACAATTTGTGGGTAATAAACATTGTCGACCCACTGAGTAGAGAGCAGTCCTGTGCACAAATGATTAAAGGTTGGTTTCTGGAGACATAAGTAAACAGATTTATCTAGATAAGTTCCTTCACATTCCTTTGTTATCTGCCCTTTGCTCTCAGCCCCCAGATGAGAGAACTTGGCTGCCTTCAGCCATAATCCTCTCCTGAAGCTTTTGCAAAACCTCCTGGCCTTCCAAGAAGATTTGCATCTTTCCCTATAACTTTTTTTCTTTCAACTTTTCCCACCACCCTAACCGAACTTCTACATATTATTTTGGATCAGTTCATCATTTAGTTTTTCTACCCAGGATAAGAGTAGTATACGTATCACAATTACAGTGTTACAATATTCTATGATTGTCTGTGTAATTACTATTTCCAGTGAGTTTTGTACCTCAAGATAATTTTTTTTTGAGACAGGATCTCACTGTGTTGCCCAGGCTGGAGTGCAGTGGCATGATTACTGCTCACTGCAGCCTTAACCTCCCTGAGCTCAAGTGATCCCCCCACCTCAGCCTCCCCAGTAGCTGGGACCACAGGTGTGTGCCACCACACCTGGGTAATATATGTATTTTTAGTAGAGATGGGGTTTCACCATGTTACTAAGGCTGGTCTCAAATTCCTGAGCTCCAGCAATCCACCCACCTCGGCCTCCCAAAGTGCTGGGATGACAGATTTGAGCTGCCACACCTGGCCTCCAGATATTTTATTGTTGCTCGTAATGTCTTTTTCTTTCAGATTTAAGAACTCCCTTTAGCATTTCTTGTAGGACAGGTCTGGTGTTGATGAACTCCTTCACTTGTTTGTTTGTTTGTTTGTTTGTTTTGGGGAAGTTTTTATTTGTGCTTTATGTTTGAAGAATACTTTCCTTGGATATATTATTCTAGGATAAAAGTTTTTTCTTTTAGCAATTTAAGTATGTCATAGTCTGAACGGTTTCCAGTGAGAAGTCTGCTGCCAGATATATTAGAACTCAATTATATTTTTGTTTCTTTTCTCTTGCTGCTTTTAATATCCTTTTTTAATCCTTGACCTTTGGCAGTTTGATTATTAAATATCTTGAGGTAATCTTCTCTGGGTTAAATCTACTTGATGTTCTATAACCTTGTACTTGAATATTGAGATCTTTCTCTATGTTTGGGAAGTGCTCTTTAATTATCCCTTTGAATAAATATTCTACCACTCTCTCTTTCTCTCTACCTCCTCTTTAAGACCAATAACTCTAAGATTTGCCCCTTTGAGACTATTTTCTAGATTCTGTAGGAATACTTCATTGTTTTTTATTCTTTTTTTCTTTTGTCTCTTCTGATTGTTTATTTTCAAACAGCCTGTCTTTAAGCTCAGTAATTCTTTCTGCTTTATCCATTCTACTTTTAAGAGAATCTGTTGCATTCTTCAGTATGTCACTTAAACTTTTCAGCACTAGAATTCCTGCTTGATTCTTTTTAATTATTTCAATCTTTTTGTTAAATATATCAGATAGGATTCTGAATTCCTTCTCTGTTATCTTGAATTTCATTGAATTTCCTCAAAACAGCTATTTTAAATATTCTGAATTCTCTGAAAGACCTCATATCTCTTTCTCTCCAGGATTGGTCACTGGTGCCTTATTAGTTTTTTTGGTAAGGTCATGTTTTCCTAGATTGACTTGATGCTTGTGGATGTTTGACCACTGTCTGGGCATTGAAGAGTTAAGTATTTATTGTAGTATTCACAGCTGGGTTTGACTGTACTCATTGTTCCTGGCAATGCTTTCCAGTTATTCAAAGGGGCTTGGGTGTTATAATCTAAGTTTTTGTCACTGCAGCCATATTTGTATTAGCAGGCACCACAAGCCCAGTAATGCTGTGGTTCTTACAGACTCACAGATGTCTGCCCTTGAGGTCTTGTATAAAATCTGGAAGAATTCTCTTGATTACCAGGCAGAGTCTCTTTTTGTCTTCAACTACTTTCTCTCAAACAGAGTCTCTCTCTGTCTCTCTGTCTCTGTCTCTCTCTCTCTATCTCTCTCTCTCTCTCTGTGCTGAGCTTCCTGGAGCTGGGAGAGGATGAACCAGCTCACACAGGGCCCACAGCAAGTACTACCTGGCTACTGCTGTGATTATTCACAGACAAAGTTTCTTCAGTCAGCAAGTAATAAATTATGTCAGAACTGGGCCCTTCCCTTTGAGGCAATGGGTTCTCTTCTGGCCCAGAGAGTGTCTACAAATGTCATCTGGGAGCTAGGGCCTGGAATACGGGCTTCAAAACTCTGCTTGGTGCCCTATCCTATTGTTGCTGAGTTGATATTTAAGTTGTAAGACAAAGTTCTCATTACTCTTTTCTGTCCTCTCATCAAGCAGAAAGAAGGAGTCTAGCCCAGAGTTGGGAGCTGCACTGCCTGAGGTTAGGGAAGGGGTGGCACTAAGCACTACCTTGGCTGCCCCAGCTTGTGTCTTACAGGTCACATGCCCCACAAGTATACTGGCTTTGAGATCAGCACAGTACCAGTACTTGCCAAGGAACTGCTGTCCTTTTGGCCTAGACTGCCTTTTTAAGTTTACTTAGAACCTAGAGCATTTTAGCTTGCAGTGATGAGGATTGCCAGAACTTAGGTTCTGACCACTGAGATCAGTGATTCCTCTCTGTGTAGGACTGGTCTCAATGCAACCTCCATGGGCATTGACTGAGTTCTGCCTGATATTTCTTTCTGCTGTGACAG
The DNA here is from genome assembly GCF_000001405.40 of Homo sapiens. Taxonomy (NCBI): domain Eukaryota; kingdom Metazoa; phylum Chordata; class Mammalia; order Primates; family Hominidae; genus Homo; species Homo sapiens. The sequence continues at coordinate 44,413,091 of NC_000014.9, read as the reverse complement.
GGTAGCACTGAGTTCCAATGCAAAGTCTCACAATCACTGTGCTCTCCCTTCCCTAAGTGCACAGTTTATCTCTACACTCCATGGGGCCCACTGCTGTAGGATGGGGGAGGGGTGGCATCAGCAATTCAAGACTGTCTTTTCTACTCTCTTCAGTGCCTCTTTCAGTGACATGAAGTTAAAACTAGGCTCTGTGATCACTCACCTGATCTTTGGTTCTTATGAAGGTGCTCTAATTGTGTGCATACTAGTTCAATTTGGTGTTCTTGTGGGGGAGGGGATGATTGGTGTAGGCTTCTATTTGGCCGTCTTACTCTGCCTGATTTCTCTTATTCTTATACTATTAATTCTATTTTAATTTGTGTAATCCTGCAGAACACTGAACACCCAAAACTTTTAGATATAACAACTGCAAAGAGAGAAGTACAAGACTTGGAAAACAACAGTGATTACAAATTCACAATATTTATTTCATTTATACTCTTATTTGGTCCTAAAAGGATTTAATGAAGGTGGTTTTTCTTTTCAAAGTGTAAAATATAATAAGATTAAGTGATATGAGAGCAACATTTAGCAGTACAGAAACATCGTGAAACTGTTTTGTTTGTTTATTTTTAGGGTCTATTAGAGGCTCAATATAATCTTTCTATGTTAAAGAGAAATGAATGGAAAGGAGATAAAAGCGGTAGACTAGCTAACAAAAATATCTGTGTCAGCCAGAAGGGCTGCCATGGACAAATGGTAAGGTAAATCCCAAGATTCATATTTTCTTCTAGGCTAATTCTTTCTAGCCTGGGAGGTTAGAAAGCTCATGCCCTCTGCTGATTTTACCTAAAATCCACTTGGAAGAATTCTTATGGTTGTAATTTGCTTTTTGGAATCCCTCCTCCATGGCTCAGTGCCTGGCATATATTAAATACTTAGTAAATGTTAAATGTTTTATTGCTAGAATGCATCATGCAAATTATATGGAGCTTTATGATTTCAGGAGAGAATGACATGAATATTCTGGATTCTTTGTATTCCTAAATCTATAGAGCATTTAAATGTGTCTCCAAGGATACACCAATAAAAAACACTTTTCCTTATTTTATTATGGATACAGTTATCCGTTAATTAAAATAACCTTCAAAATGTTTTCCAAATGAGCAAAATTGTCCTTTATAGTTAATACCTCTGAATCTGACCAATAAACAATTTAGAAATAAGATTTAGAAGTGGGATGTTATATCTGTAAACAAAAAAGATCACTTGCTCTTTATGCCAGAGGCGAATGGTCCTAACTCCAAAAAACTTATTAAATTTAAGTCTTAGTTAAAAGGCACCTATAAAATCTTTATTAAGCATTCCAAGAGATGAAAGTTGTCCACATTAAATTGATATGTGAAATCTGAAGCCTTATCTAAGCAACCTGGTTAGAAAGTTGTTCCTTATTCCTGCATAATACACCAGTTACAATGGGAGCTGAGTCCTAGGGGTCTATTTCTTTTACAATCATTAACATTGGAGGAGACACATAAACTTATAATTAAGTGTGAGATAAATAGTATAGGCTGATCCACATGGCTATAGAGTGATTACTCATTAGGGATAATGAAGAATAAGATTTTTAAAAGATTCCGTAGATTAGGAGAGATATTAAAGTGGGGGGGTAATTAAAAACTTGGAAGAGAAAATAAAAGGAAGCTGAACACCTGTCCAGAAAGGTTATTTGAGAAAAGTGACCACATTTAGACAAGATTGTCTTTTGTATTTTATTTCTCTATTTGGATAAATGTATAATGGTGTTATGGATTTTATTAAAAATTGCTGTAACATCATCACATAATTCTCATTAAGAATTCTGCCCTATTCTTTCATCCTGGGTCTTTGCCTGAAGTACACGTTCACACTTTTCTCCTTCTCCCATCTTTCTTTCCTTCATACATGTATCTGTATATGCTCATTTAATATTTCCCAATTAAGTTTACTTTCAGTTATACAAGTAATACAAAAGTACATCTAATAAAAAAATCCAAGTGACAGTGATGAAGAGTAAGTCTCTTTTGGGGGCAACCTTCCTACCTCATTTCTTTGCTTCCATCTATGCTACTTTATCACCAGGGGTAATCCCTGTAACTAATCTATGTTTATTAATTCCCATAACTAATTTATGTTTGGATTATTTTCTAATATTATTTTTAAAGAAGATACAATTTTTCCTTCTTGAGAGCATTAGGAAAAGCAAAGCTGATGCACTGAGATAAATTCTTCCAATTCTGTGCTTCTATGTGGATTTAGAGATACCTGACCTCTGGCTGATTATGTGCTGATACTTAATTGACAAAACATTTTAGAGTATTTTTAGTTCTGGTGAGAAAAGAAAACCTTTCTCTTACCACATTTTTATACGTGACATAACTCTTAAAGGAAACAAATATTCTGATTAATACCACTTTGGCTACTTATATTTATAATATATGAAACAATCTTTTAGTAAATTTAATTCTATCCTTTACTTAATGAATTTTCCAAGAAGTTCATCATAACATGCATTTTTTTAGTGACTTAGAAGCACTTTAATTTTTATGGATGCCTTGTAATAATTATAGAGAATAATTGAATGAAGAATGGATAGGTTGACTCTTACAGTGAGTAAAATTCCTTCTTTCAAGCTAGTGGTGGGCATTAAATGATGAGTATTCCAGTTAGCAGTAGGCACACATTATAAGGTGATTTTCTTATCACATCTTAGTTAAATGGAGATGCTCTTAGGACAACATGTCATTATGTTCTTCCAGTAACATGAACTACTTTTGAAACATAGAAATTACTCTCTTGCATTGCATGGTATATAAACAACATATTCTGTAGTATAACTTATTTCTACATGCTGTTTCTCATAGTCAGTAAACTCAAGTAAAAAGTTAAATGTACATGGCAGATGCTTAAAATCTATTTTTTTGGAGTTTCTAAAATGTAACGTGCCAATAGCATGCCAAGAGCCAGGAAAGGAATGGTACGCAATAGTCTTTGCAGGGAGGGAAGTTCTACATAGTTTTGATGTGAACTTAATTCTGAAGTCTTCAAATAAGCAGATGTCATGTTTACTCTGTAAAGTCACTCTTCCTTACTTGCATTGCACCTTGTTTCTTGAATGGTAAAGAAACGAGTGGAACCACAGTTGGAAACTCAGGTATTGTGCATATTCCACAGCCCAGTTTAACACAGCCTACCTTATGCCTTAGCATGAGGTAACTGACTACAACTGATCTATCACTGACAAAGTGACTGCAAATTATTCTAGTGCTTATAGAAATTTGCAGCTATTTCCCTGTCTTTTAAAATTTTACCCATGGATCAAATTTTCTAGTAACTTAGAAAATGAGATAAGACGAAGAAAAGATGAATAACTTAATCCTATGGAAAGTGAAAAACAAGGATAGAATGAACATTTTGATATGATTATGACCAAATTTAAAGGCAGACAAAATATGTTGTAATACACACACATATAGAGATATGCATATACACACATTTATTTATAAAGTATGTAAATTTGGGGGTTTTCTTTTGATGTAGAGAAGACTGATCTATAATGTAGAGCCTTGTGTGTGGATTCACTTTGTCACATCAGTCAATTATTCCAAGCAAGTTCAGAGATTTCTAGATCTAAATCATAAATATGCTAAACAGAAGTAAAAAAAAAAAAATCTGGGATTTTGACCTTGCCTGTTGATTTTTGACCTCGCCTCACTCAGCTGTGATGGTATGATCCATGTAAAAGTTCTTTCTTTTTTTTTTTCATCCTACAGTGTGTGGCTTCATGTAAAAATAAAGGGAGGTAGCATGGGAGGGGCTTACTATTTCCCCAGCCCAGCCCATGGGTTGTAATCTTCCCCGTCAATAAACAGACTTTTTCCTACATGTTTCATTTTGCATATACCACCAAACTGAACGTACTTTGTGTTCCCAAGGAGACATTGAGAAAATCTCTATTGAAGACTTTAGGTAGTGTTCCCAAAGGTAGAGAGTTGGAGACCAGGGAGGAATTTTTAAACTGTCTTGGGTATTGTGAAGAGTAGATTTTTTTATTTTTTATTTTTTATTTTTGAGACGGAGTTTCGCTCTGTCGCCCAGGCTGGAGTGCAGTGGCGAGATCTCAGCTCACTGCAAGCTCCACCTCCCAGGTTCACGCCATTCTCCTGCCTCAGCCTCCCGAGTAGCTGGGACTATAGGCGCCTGCCACCATGCCCGGCTAATTTTTTGTATTTTTTTTTTTTGGTAGAGACGGGGTTTCACCGTGTTAGCCAGGATGGTCTCCATCTCCTGACCTCGTGATCCGCCCGCCTTGGCCCCCCAAAGTGCTGGGATTACAGGCGTGAGCCACCGCGTCCGGCCCCTATGAAGAGTAGACTTTTATTTCCCTCTTTATTGACAGACTGTCAATAAAGGTAAACTAATTCTTTCCATACTGTGGCGAAGGAAATTTGAAATGTGGCATCCTAATCTCTAAATTGATAAAGGTCGTGTATCAAAATAAGAACCACAAACAATAACAACCATGCACAAAACCCCACTCAACTCTGGTTTGATTAGTGTGGTCATTTGTGAAATTAAAATTAGACGGAGGAACCAAAATTTTTAGCCTCAAATTTAATTCCTGTTGTAAAATCTCAAATAATATTGGAGGTCATATTTGCATGCTATAAATACTAAATATTGCCAAAAATTAAACCACTAAAATTAAGCATCATTAGCCAGAGTTTCCTAGTTTCCATTAGCGGTACCATTTTTTAGTGCATCTTTTCAGAAGTGGTAAGTTATATATGTATAAACATCTTCTTCTTTTGTTATAAATTCTCTTTTCTTCTAATACTTTGGTATGATAAATTTATGTGGTAAGACCTGAGTTTAGCTGATGAAACTGGTACTGTAGACAAATTCTAGAACATGGCTTTTCTGTTTGTGGGTCTACTGGGGGAGATTCTAAAATTAATTTATTTGTAAAAAATAGGAAACTTCCCTACCCCCTACTTTTCCAACCAAATTGAATGGTGTCAGACTTTATATACCCCGGCTTCTTTTCTGGTTATGTCTTCATAATACTTCATATTGCATAAGTAATTAAAACCCCAAGCTAAACATAACCTCAGTGAAAGTTTTTCTGACCAAGCTTTCATAAATCCTAATAGTCTTGCCAATTAGAGAAACTTTATCAACTGTTTGAGTAGAGCCCATCTGATGGGATTTAATCTCTGTTCCATTCCTTCATTTTTAAAAACAGCTTTATTGAGGTATAGAGAAATTAGATAAACTTTATCAACGGTCTGAGTAGATCTCCTCTGATGGGATTTAATCTCTGTTCCATTCCTTCATTTTAAAAACAGCTTTATTGAGGTATGATTGATATACAGAGAACTGCACATATTTAATGTGTATACTTTAATAGGTATGGATATATGAAAGTACTCCTGATACCACCACCATAATCAAGGTAATAGACATATTCAACACCTCTCAGTTTCCTTACGTCCCTTGTGTGTGTGTGTGTGCATGTGCGTGTGTTAAGAATATTTAATAAGAAATCTACACTCAACAAATTTTGAGGTGCACAATACCATCTTATTAACTACAGGCAATACGTAATACAGAAGAACTCTAGAACTTATTTATCTGGCATAAGTGTAACTTTATATCTAATGAACACCTCGTTTTCTCCACTTCCTAGCCCCTGCCAACCACTATTGTATTCTCTGCTTCTATGAGTTTGACTGTTACAGATAACTCAGAAGTGGAATCATGGACTATTTGTCCTTCCATGCCTGGCTTATTTCCCTTAGGGTAATAGCCACCAGGTTTATCCAGGTTGTTGTAAATGGCAAGATTTCTGTCTTTTTAAAGACTGAATAAGTTTCCATTGTATACATATACCACATTTTCTTTTTCCATTCTTCTGTCCATGTCCACTTGGGGTGGTTTTCATATTTTGGCTATTATGAATAATGCTGCAATGAACATGGATGTGTAGGTATCTCTTTGAGATCCTGATTTCAATTCTTTTGAATATATACCCAGAAGTGGAATGGCTGGATCATATGATAGATTTATTTTTAATGTTTTGAGGAACCTCCATACTGCACTAAATAGCTGCTGCACCATTTAACATGCCCACTAACTGTATAAAAGTGCTTCAATTTCTTCACATTCTCCCCAACCTTTATTATCTTTGTTTGGTTTTGATAACAGTCATCATAACAGTGTGAAGTGGTATCTAACTATAGTTTTTTTGTTTGTTTTTTGTTTATTGCTATAAACTCTCTTAAAACTGCTTTTATTAAGTAAGTAATAGTATGCTGTATTTTTATTTCCATTTATTTCAGGATCTTTTCAGATTTTCTTTTTGTTTTCTTCTTTGACCTATTTGTTGTTTAGGTGTGTAATGTGTAATTTCCAGGTATTTGTAAATTTTATAATTTTCCTGATGTTATTACGTGCTAGTTTAATATTATTGTGGTTGGAAAATATGTTGATATAATTTCAATCTCTTAAAGTATATTTACTTAAAATTGTTAGGACTTGTTTTGTGGTCTGTCCTGGAGAATATTCCATATGCGCTTGAGAATAATGTGTATTCTGCTTATGCTGGGTAGAATGTTTCGTATGTCTGTTAGGCTCATTTGGTCTACAGTGGTGTTCAAGTTCATTGTTTCCTTATTGATTTTCTGTCTGAATGTTCTGTCCATTATTGAAATCAGGGCATCACTTCATTCTTACTGAGGACAGTTGTTTACTCCATTCAAATTATAGATAATTATATTACTTTATTTCTTGATACATTTTTTGTAAGTTTGCCTTTTCCCAAGGGGTTACAAGTCCTAGGCACTGTTATTTCACTATTCACCACTGCCAAACACTATTATGATTGTATTTTCCCAGGTATATCTCTATATATTGTCTTTAAGGCTCTGTGGGCAATAAGTATGTAAAGGGCCAGCCCCCCAGCAAAGGCTTTTGTTCCAAATCCCTGGTTGAACTTGATGACTTAGACTTGACAAATGGATAGCTCCTTTGGCCCCTTTATAGTGACAGTAGGAAGAGTAAAATATATTTTTCTTAAAGCAAGAGAAGAGCCAGCTTAATCTGCCTGTACCAGGATTTTTATGGTGGCAACGATACTAGCCAGAACTCTCTCAGATCCTCCTACCTCAGGTGTATGGGAGAAAGACTTAGAAGAAAAAGAGAGAGGAATGGTGGGATTCTCTCAGAAGGGTAATATGCAACCTAAGCAAGCATGTATAAGAAGACAGTCAGCCATTTTTCTGGTCTTCACTTCCTTATCATGATGAATGCCCCACTCATTAGAAGAATTGACAAAAAATCTATTTTTTTGTTTGTTTGAGGAACACTCTCCTCTCTTTGGAACAAATTGATATAAAATATTTTTGGACACAGATGGCAATAGTAGGGTGAAACAAAATTTGTTTTTTGGCAAATGGGCATGGTATTTTGTTAAAACGTTAAAATTAATCTAGCTTAAAATTATTATGCTCTTATCATATGGCAACGATCTTCGGCACTCTGATGATTCCTTTTTTTGTGAGCAGGAGAGTAATTGCTTTTTGAAAAGAATCTTGGCCCTTCCCGTAGGTACTCCCTTGTTTATCTCTATGTGCAGATGGAGTGGCTTTCTCTTCAAGCATTTGTTCTTGTCAGACTTGTCAACTTTCATAAGAAAATGTCAATCCGGCCTCTGGGTTGAGGAGCTGTTAAAACATATGGCTTTGCACTTAACCGGAAAAACAGAATAGCTTCACTCCAGGTACTTGTCAGAGAATATAATCTTCAACTCACTGCCATTCAACATTTTTCAGAAGCTCAGCTGGGAGAAACAATATTTATGAAAGATTGCCTGAAGGACGTGGTGTCTGTCCATTCACCTAGCTCCTCTTAAATCTATCGTGTCTAAGCCAGGCAAGCAAAAATTCTGTAACACTGTTCTGGTTCCTGTGGGAATGTGCTTACTAAATTGTGGAGTGGCATTTTGCCATAAGCTTATGCTGAGTGATGTTAGAAGAAACAGATTTTTGAAAGCCACTGTGTTTACTGTGAGACTGTCATTTAATGATTCTTCACTATATTACACACTTTTTTCTTTAAGAGGGCCCACAGGAGAAACTTCTCTCTCATGTGAGTACCAGCCATGAGCGTGTTCTTCTTTGCAACTTGTATATTTATAAGCATGTAGACACTGAACCATTACTGATCCTGCCAATGCCTTTATTTGCTAGCAAGTATAAAACTAAAGTTGTAAACCATTTCTGGAAAGCATGCAGGAGTTTACAACATATATTTTGAGAGCTAATTACATGCCTGGCTTCACCTTGTTTGATTTTACCTGATTTACCCTTTGTTCCGAGTTGGATGGAGAAAGATAAGGAAAATCTTCAAAGGAAAGCTGATCAGTCGAGTCTGGAAGGACAGTAGTTCCTGGAAAAAGAAGATGAACTCACTCCATTTGTAGAGCATAATGCTTTGGGTCCACAGTTAAATCCACGCTTAAATGACATTTCATAGAAATCCAGGTCATATTATCATGTCTCACTCTTTTGTCATTGTCTGTCTGGGGCTCAGACATTCCACCTCTGGTGACCCACTTTTTATTTCTTCTGGGCCTCCACTAAGGGAAGAGTCTTTCTGGGGAATTGAAAAGAGAAGCATTTGTCAATGGGATGAGTGAGAAGGAGATACATTCTGGAGATGATAAGGATATATAATCCACAGGAATTACTTTGTTTTCAGAGTCTCATTCAGGAGTTATTAAAGTAGAATCATCTGAGTCTGAAGCAAACCATCCAGATAAAATACTGGCACCTGGCCACCAAGTGAATGTATGAGCCAGGCCATTAGTCACACAGATGCTTCTTTCACAGCTTGTGTCAAAATCTGTCACTGATTTTGGCAGCCGCAGGTTAAGTCACTCTTTTAGGGACATAGCCACATGCTACAGAAATGATAAATCTTGATTTTCACCAAATGTTAAAAGGCCTTTTTGCTTTCTATAAAATAATAATTAAAAGCAAATTTTATTTTCCAAACTCGAATTTATGAAAGATAATAAGAACTTTCTTTTACTAGTTTGTCATGTAATGACAATGTGCTATAAGGGTAATGCAGTGAGTTTTTCTTGAATCTAAAATTATTTAATTTAAAAGTAAGTCTGTGTTTCATTCTGAGATTATGTACTTCCTATTTTGGGTGTTCATGGCCAAATTGTCTTTATGAAATTGTAACATATTTTTTAAAAATTGCCTCCTATTGTTAAATAATAATAACAACAACAGTAATCATAACAACTTAAGTTAGTCTCTAGGGCTGGCAAGTATGGTTGTTCAGGTTGTATACTGCATAAGGCACATGAGTTACATATTTGGTGATTATTCAAATTCTGGAAACCACTAACTAAAAGGATGTCAGCTTTTTATGAGCCATATATATCCTTTCTCCCCCCTAGTTGGAAAAGTTAGCTGTTGTTTCCCACTAAACAATATCATCTCATGAAAGATTTCTGTGAAAACATTGTGGAGTAGAGAAGGTAATTACCTACACCTTTTCAAGCAATGTGGAGCAGATTAATATGCTTCACTGATGTGATGATGACGGCTGGAACCCTTTAAAAGACAGCTTCTGCAATTCAGCACCACAACTTTCCCAGTTGTCAATAGCAACGCCTCTTTCTCTGATTGTTGATTGGCACTGAAAAGCCTTCGTCAGCTCCTAAAATTTATTTAATGTGATACAACAGCATAGAAGACAGGAGAGCTTTTAGGCATTATATGCTGCCCTACTGTGTCTCCAGGAAATAAATTTAAATGATTTTCTACTTGGCTTCTGCTTCTCTTTTTATAAAGACATGCAGTGTAGTTAGCCTTCATGCACAAGTACACTTACACATTCACAACTAAAATGTGAAAGGCTCAGAGTTCTTGAAAGGTGAAGACAGCCTATTATTATGCCCTAAGCACACTGGACACAAAACCAGCACTTCACCAATTTTAGAAATTAAGTTTACAAGGTCCTACAACTAACACCACTACATGTCACTGCATGATTCTACAAGGATAAGGAACCATGCCTTTTTGTGTCATTGAAATTTCTGTAGAACTCTTAATCCTGACTCAATTCACTACAGTGAAAACCTGAATAAATACATCTCATTCAGGAAGGGATTTTGCAAGGTTGAATGACTGCAGGTGATATTTTAAGCAAAAGGATTTTTCATTCTCTCTCTACTGGAAAGGCAATAATTTACCCAGTGTAGGTAAAATATGCTACTAGAAGCAGTCTTCCTTATAGGTTGTAGTTTTATTGTCACATTTCTAAAAGAGAAAATTGTCAAAATATAGTAAAAATTGACTGGCAGATTCCTATATTACTGGATTTGTGGATAATTTCTGATGTGAGAGATTAAAAAGTTACTGTGCAGCAATTAAATTAGTTAAGAAAATCACTTTAATAAGGCATTAAGGTTTGGCTTATCCTTCTCCAAGAAAATCATGTGATAAACCATTTCTTCATCCATAAGCTGTTGAGTTCTAAAACAGAGTGGTACATATTTTATAAAAGTTTACATTACTTTTTAAATATGAATGAAATGTAAGTCTAGTTTTATTTGAAATGCCAGTAATAATCTCAATAGGTTATTTTTTCCTAAAAATTTAATAGGCATTGATAGTTCTAAGTATTCTGGCCCTAGTAAAGCTTTTGGGAAAAACGTAAATATAAATAAATATTAAAATTAGATTTTGTTAATTTCATAACAACACATATCTTTTTCTATTCTCTCTCTCTCTCTTCTTTCCTTTACCTTCGTTTCTTTCAATCCTATCTCTTCCTACATGTTTCACTTTTGTTTCCTGTTGGAATATTTTTTCCTTCCAGCCACTCAGATCTCTTTGACTATAAAGACTCTGTTCTTCCCTTTTGCAGCACTGATTGCAAGGGAGGTGGTTGCTAGGGTGAAATATCTATTTCCGGAAATATTTAAGCCTAACTTTTAAGAAAATCTAGAAAATGTATGCCACTTGCAAGTAAGGAGATAACTGATTTCCTCAAAGGGACTCTTCTAACATGATGACTTCATTTTCCATCAAGAAAAGTCTCATTCATGACAACATATCCATAGAATCCAAATCATTTCCAAAAAAAATGAGATACATATTGATAGGAAACAATGTAAAATTAAAATGAACCATAAACTTTTCCTCTTCCCAAAAATAGAAATGAGAGATTCTACTATCATGTTTGGTAAATTTTTTACTAACTATTTATTATTTTTACTTTTGGAATAAAATTTGGATTCAGTTTCCTCTAGAGTATTTTAGAGTCTTAAAGATCAATAAAATAGGCATTTATACTAATTTTTTATTAGGCTGGGAAACTGAAATTTACACTTTTATTTCACTGGTGCTCTACTCCAACCTTCTGTAATATTTATTTCCTTATTTCACTTTGAGCTCATTATTTTATTCTTCTTATGTTATTTATTTGTTTATAGGCTTTTTAAAAAGAATGGTCCATTTGGAAAGCTTAAGTGAGGAATTTATAGAGCTAACCAGTTCAAATAAAAAAAAACACACAGTATCTCTACATGACAAAATAAAATAATTTAAAAAATAACTACTACAATATGTTAAATGTAAACCATAGTGGTAAACATTACTTTAGATCATGGCAACTGAAATGTCTTTTTTTAAATAAGTTTCCAAAAGGCAAAGTTAGTACAACCTGATCAATAATGCTGTTTTAAAATAAAAAAAAACCCAAAAACCTTGAAAAAGGGTTTATAGATGGGTAAATATGTTTTCTCCTCAGCACTTTGCAATACTAATAATTTTTCCCTCTCTTTTCTGCTGTGGTTGAGTAAAATAGACAATAGCAAAACCATTTTTTTTTCCTTGCTTTAAAACTTGCTTACCTGGGTTAATATACTAACATCAATCAAGCTGATGTTCAGGAGGCAATAAATAGCTATAAACTGTCCTACATGTTTAATCCTTTCTGCAGCATGGAAAATGTGAACTTGATTCCTGTGTTTTAAAAAGAGTTATGACTTTATATAAAATTAATTTAAAAATTTGTGGGTGAAGGCATTTGTATATTCACATCCCTCTATCTTCTCTGGTTATAATGCAGTTAGTCACTCTTCAATACCATTTTATCGCCATGTTTTTTAAAGTGGGGTTCATGAACAACTGGTGTCCTTGAATTATCAAAAATGCAAGTACCAGCCAATATCTTAAGTTCCCAGTCAAAATGGGCAGAGAAGGAACTAGAAGTGGGGCAGGGGTCAATTTTTATCTCATTGCAGTCAGTTGATCACCTTCATTACCTGGACCTTATATCACTTTTTCCACATGACATAGACTTCCCTTCATCTCCCTTTTCCATGAAATACAAATGAGCAAAGAATGTGAGTGCTCTGTTGTCTTTCTTTTTTTAAAAAAAATATGGGTACGTTGCAGGTATATTTATATATTTATGGGGTATACTAAATATTTTGATACAGGCATACAGTGCATAATCACATCAGGGTAAATGGGATATACATGACCTCAAGCATTTATATTAAAGTTGCAAACATTCCAATTATATTCTTTTAGCTATTTAAAAACATACAATAAGTTATTGTTGATTGTAGTCACTCTGTTGTGTTATCAAATACTAGACCTTGTTCATTCTCTCTAACTATATTTTTGTACCCATTAACTATCCTCACTGTCCCCCACACCTCTGCTGCCCTTCCCAGTCTCCAGTAACCATTCTTCTATTCTCTATCTCCATGAGTTTAATTGTTTTAATTTTTACCTTCCACAAATAAGTGAGAACATGCTAAGTTTGTCTTTCTGTGCCTGGCTTATTTCACTTAACATAATGACCTCCATCCATGTTATTGCAAATGACAGGATCTTATTCTTTTCTATAGTTGAATAGTACTCCATTGGGTATATGTATCCATATTTTCTGTATCCGCTAGTTTGCTTATGGACACTTAGGTTGCTACCAAATCTTGGCCATTGTGAATAGTGCTGTAATAAACACATAAGTTCACATATAACTTCAATATACTGATTTCCTTTCTTTTGGGTATATACCTAGAAGTGAGATTGCTGTCATACTATAGTTCTATTGTTAGTTTTTTGAGGAAACTCTATACTGTTCTACATAATGCCTGTACTAATTTACATCTCCACCAACAGTGTATGAGGGTTGCCTTTTCTCCACACCCTTTTATCCAAACAATAGGCATTCATTATTGCCTGTCCTTTGGATAAAAGCCACTTTAACAAGGGTGAGATGATATCACATTGTAGTTTTGATTTGTATTTCTCTGATCAGTGATGTTGAGAATCTTTTCATATACCTGTTGGCCATTCATATGTCTTTTTTTGAGAAATATCTATTCATATCTTTTGCCTATTTTAATGATTATCAGATTTTTAGATTATTAGATTTTTTCCTGTACAGTTGTTTGAACTCCTTATATATTCTTGTTATTACTCCCTTTCAGATGGATAGTTTGTAAATATTTTCATCCATTCTGTGGATTGTCTCTTAACTTTGTGGATTGTTTCCTTTGCTGTGCATAAGATTTTTAACTGTGTGTGATCTAATTTGTCCATTTTTGCTTTATTTGCCTTTGCTTGTGGGGTGTTATTCAATAAATCTTTGCCCAAACCAATGGCCCTGAGAATTCCCCCATTGTTCTCTTTCATTAGTTTCATAGTTTGAGGTCTCAGATTTACGTCTTCAGTTCATTGTGATTTGACTTTTGTAAATGATGAGAGATAGGGGTCTAGGGATTAATGTTATTAATTTGCATATGGATCTCCAGTTTTCTCAGCACCATTTATTGAAGAGACCATCCTTTTTGTAATGTATGCTCTTGGCACCTTTGTCAAAAGTGAGTTCACTGTAGATGTATGGATTTATTTCTGGGTTCCCTATTCTGTTCCATTGGTCTATCTGTCTGTTTTTATGCCATTACTATGCCGTTTTGGTTACTCTAGCTCTGTAGTATACTTTGAAGTCAGGTGTATTAGTCCATTCTCAGACAGCTATAAAGAAGTGCCCGAGACTGGGTAATTTATAAAGAAAAGAGGTTTAATTGACTCAGAGTTCTGCATGGCCGGGGAGGCCTCAGGAAACTTACAATCATGGAAGAAGGGGAAGCAGGCACATCTTACATGGTGGCAGGCAAGAAAGAGTATGTGAAGGAGGAACTGTCAAACACTTATAAAACCATCAGATCTCATAAGAATTCACTATCATGAAGACAGCATCGAGATAACTGCCCCTATGATCCAGTCGTTTCCACCAGGTCTCTCCCTGGACATGTGGCGATTATGGGGATTACAATTCAAGATGAGATGTGAGTGGGGACACAGAGCGAAACCATATTATCAGATAATGTGATTCCTCCAGTTTTGTTCTTTCTGCTCAGGATAACTTTGGCTATTCTCAGTCTTTTGCAGTTCCATATAAATTTTAGAAATTTTTTTTCTATTTCTGTGAAGAATGTCATTGGTATTTTGACAATAATTACATTGAATCTGTAGACTGCTTTGGGTAGCATGGACATTTTAACAATATTCAGTCTTCCAATTCATGAAGATGGAATATCTTTACTTTTTTTGTGTTTTCTCCAATTTCTTGCATCAATGTTTTATAGTTTTCATTGTGGCATCTTTATTTCTTTGATTAAGTTTCTTCCTAGGAGTTTCATTTTATTTGTAGCTATTGTTAATGGGATTACTTTCATGATTTCTTTTGTAGATTGTTCACTGTTGGCATATAGAAATGCTACTGATATTTGTATGTTGATTTTGTATCCTGCAAATTTACTGAATTTATCAGTTCTAATAGTTTTCTTGTGGAGTCTTTAGGTTTTTCCAAATATAAATCATATCATTTGCAAGCAACTATAACTTGAATTCTTCTTTTTGAATTTTGATGTCCTTCATTTTTTCCTCCTGTATGATTTCCCTACTTAGGACTTCCAGTTCTATGTTCAGTACCAGTGGTAAAAGTGGGCATACTTGTCTTGTTCCAGATCTCAGAGGAAAGGCTTTCGGTTTTTCTTCATTCAGTATGATACTAGCTGTGGCTCAGTCATATTGCTCTGTTGTCTTGAAGAGCTGATTTATTTGTGGCAGATGAGGCTCTTTGAGGGCCAATGTTGTAAGAGCTGCTTTGCTAATGCAAAGGTTGGGGAAATTGTGGATAAATTTGGATTCCAAAAGTGGCATTTAGTGACATAGTAACTTATACTGGAATTGAAGCCATGTAGGCATATTTTGTAAACTGTAATGTGCTTTTACATTGCAAAGTACTAGTTGTTTACTTAACACTGCAATCATTTGATTAATAAATTATGTATTTATATATCTACATATCTATCTCTCTCTATATATATATCCATCAGCTGCTTATTTAGAAGTCAGTTTGGCTGACTGGTTCAATTTAAGCACTGCATTAAAGTAAATTCTGTATATTTTCACACATTTCATTGAAGACATCCTAAATTTTTTATAAATAATTTTATGGAAATCTTTAGTAGAACTACATTTTCTTCTATTTTAAATGAACCATTGGACACTGGGAGGCCATTTCAGTAGCAGAATGGTAGTCAAATATCTACTGTTCAAGGCACTATTTGTTTCTAATCAATATTAAAAACAGTGATAATAATACAAGCAAAGAAAAATGTTGTAAACTGAAACCAAACAAAAATCAGACATTTGGCCAGGTGTGGTGGCTCACGCCTGTAATCCCAGCACTTTGGGAGGCTGAGGTGGGCGGATCACGAGGTCAGGAGATCAAGATCATCCTGGCTACCACGGTGAAATCCCATCTCTATTAAAAAAAAAAAATACGAAAAATTAGCTGGGCGTGGTGGCGGGCACCTGTAGTCCCAGCTACTTGAAAGCGGAGGCAGGAGAATGGCATGAAGCCGGGAGGCGGAGCTTGCAGTGAGCCGAGATCGTGACACTGCACTCCAGCCTGGGCAACAGAGCGAGACTCCGTCTCAAAAAAACAAAACAAAACAAAACAAAACAGACATTTATTTAAATAACTACTCATTTAAGTAATTGCTTTCTTTTTCTGATTTTAAAAGATAATTATTCATAGCATAGACAATAAAGACGTATAGAAGGGAGTGAATTCCGGCATAGTGAAGATGGGGTGATGAGAGTGGGAATAAGGGGTAAATGGGAAAACAGATAGCGAGAATGGGCAGCAGAGACTATGCTTCTTCCCTCATCAGGTTATTTGAATATTTGAATTAAAGAAGGAAATTATATATTGAGTGGGAAAATAAAGTTATTTTTACAAACATAGTGACATTTTGGCTGCATTTTATTAGGAAATTTATGTGATATTTAGAGTTGTTGAACTATTATTTTATAGTTGTGGGTTATAATTCTAAAAGAGTAAACATGTATCTAAAATATTAGATGTAATTTTAATTATACAATATTATGTTTAATTAAATCTGTAGCATGTATAGGTGAGTTTTATCTCAACTGTGACTTGGTGTTTTCAGTTACCACCTCTTGCCTACATTCGTCTCTTAGTATTCTGGTTGCGAAATGTTTACTTAATAGTATAATTGGTACTTCTCTTTATTGCTTCATTCACTCCTCCAACAAGTATTTGTTGAGAAGTAACTATGTGCTGGGTACTGTTCTCAACCTGGGTATGTGGCTGTTAAAGCAACAGATAAACTTCCTATTCTTGTGTAGTTTAAATTCTAGCAAGTGAGATGGAAAATATATGAATATCAATAATGCCAAGGGATAAGTGTGATAAAGGAAATAAAGGAAGGGGATGGGAAATGATAGAGTGTGCATTTTAAAGGGAGGGGGCAGGAGATATTTTAAACAAAGTCCTAGAAGGAGCTGAGGGAATGAATCAAAGGAAAAAGTATAAATGAAAGATTAGAAGTAAGATTAGGATAAAGTACGCTAAATGTCTGTAAAGAAGACAGCACTGAAGTTCTAAGTCAGTAATTCAATTCTGAAATAAATCGTATTTTTTCAAAAGCATATTTGGTAGCTTCTATTTATATGACTGAAAAAGCTGCATTACTGCAAGCTAGAAACATTTTTCATTGAAAAATGCACTCTATTCATTCTTTAGGCAATTTCAAGTTAACTTTCTAAAATGAACTAAGATTTAATTTTATCATGATTATATTGAAATGTTAAACTTTGCAGTTCATTTAGATTTATGAAGAAAAAGTCATATAATGAATTCTAATGTGATTTCAGCTAAATTTGGAAGTCAATTTCTTAAGAAATGAAGAAATGTGTTACATTACTTAGCAGAGATCACTAAGACTCAGCCTGGTTTCTCCAAAAACAAGTGATGCTGAATTAGCTTCATGTCCTTTTTTTGACAGAATTGTTAGGCTGGTAGATCAGGGGAAGGATAGAGATATAATTTATTTGTATTTATTAAAGTAATATAACCTTTCTTTAAACTTTTGAAGAGATATGTACTTGGTGTTAGCACAGCTACATTTCTTGGAAACTGACTGATAAGGTATATCCCAGATTGCTACGTAACAGATAAACTTGGCTTGGAGAAAGTTTCTGGTAATGTGGCTTAGGGAATCTATCCTTTCCCTGTACGTCAACTTTTTTTTCCTAATGACTTAACTAAATGAATCAGGTTCTAAGCTAAACTTGATGTGCTAGAATGATGTGGCAGAGCAGCAAAATGAAGTTTCTCGGGATTAAACATTAAAGTTTTATCATTGGATCAAAAAAATCAGCTCCAACAAAGAATACAGAAGAGACATGGCTTAGAAAAAGCATGTGTGGAAACTAAGATTTTTGTTCAATGAGGGTAAGCAGTTTAATGTGCTGCCATGATTGCACCTTGGGCTGTGTCATTACAAAAAAATCATGTTTGGAAGATAGGTGATTTATTCTTTGCCTTACTTTGCATTAGGCAGGTCACATGCTATTTTTAATTTTATGCATAAGACTGTATTTTTAGGAATGCATTAGAAGAGAGATCAGGATAGCGAAATAATATGATATGAAGAAACATTTTCAAGTCAAGAGGCTACCTACCTAGAAAAGAGAAGACCTGACAAATTGTAAGAAGCTGCAGAGAAGGACATAAATAGAAACCAGATGAAGTCAGATTTAAGCTTAATATGACTGTAAGCTAAGGATAAATTGATCTAAAGATGGACTGTATTAGTTTGTTAGGACTGCTGTAACCAAGTACCACAAACTGAGTGGCTGAAACAACAGGATTCCAGTGTTTGATGGAAATCTTTGCATTCCTTGGCTTGTAGGTGCATCACCTCTATCTCTTCCTTTATGTTCACATGGTATTCTTCCTGGATGTGTGTCTATTTTCAAGTTTCCCCATTTTATGAGGACACCAGTAATACTGGATTCAGGGCCTACCCTACTCTACTAAGAACTCATCTTAACTAATTATACCTGCAATGATCTTTTTTCCAAATTAGGTCACATTCTGAGGTACTGGGATTAGAAATTCAACATATGACTTTTTGAGGGTTACAATTTAACCCATAACAGTGACTAATAGCTGATTATCCTCCTAGGAATAAAGACATGTGAATATGTCTCAAGGGTTTGTTATTCTTTATAAACACCAACATCAAAAACAGTAAGATAGTCTGCTTTAGAAATATACATATTTTAAAAATATTTTCTATGATTAAGAAGAGGGTAGGGAATATTTTTTGAAAAATCCATAAAATATCTTTAGGGGTGAAATCTCTCATATGCAACTTCTACTTAATCATTGCTACTTGTTCGGTGCAAAAATAATTGCAGTTTTTGCCATAATGTAAAGTCAAAAACTGCAGTTACTTTTGCACAAAACTAAGAGATAAACCTAAACTCTGCATTATGTCTATCAGATATTCTGATGATGAATGTGCATGCTGAATCCTGACAATTATGAGGCTCATCTCAAATGTGACTGCTCACTTTTATTCCCACTTATTCAGTACTTTTTTTTTTTTTGGCTTGGTAAGATCCAGTTATATTTGTTCCCAAACCTGTGTATTTCAGACATTCTGATAGAATTATGTGATTTTACAAATATTATCTAAACCCACAGTATTCAAGTTAGTAAAAAGTAAAGTAGTTGAAATGAAAATAAAGTTTATTCTTTGGAAATACACAATGAAGGCAAATTTTATTTTTTAAAAATATTGCCAAATTAGATGTGGGGAGGAAATTGTGAAAGCCTGGAAAAAAAATTGTCAAACTATGAAAGGATATGCATTAATTCCCTAACAAATGTCTTCTTTTCTCTTCAAAGACACTGAAACTGGACATTGTAGAAGATGAATTATGAGAGTGATTTATGAAAGAAAGACAGTGGAGAATTGCAATCGATGGAGACATTCAAAGAAAAGACTTTGGCACTACATCAAAAGAGAGTAGAATAAGTAGTCTTTGCTTATACATTTTAAATGAAAATAAATGTTTATCATACATATTTGCTGTTTTTTAAACTGTAATTCAATTACTAAGGCTGAAGGGAAGAATGGATGTTGGATAAAGAACTTTCGATTCTGTCATTGTTAGTATTATTTGTGTGCGTATGTGTGTGTGTGTGTGTGTGTGAATGTTGAGCTTCTCAGCTTCAATAGTTAGCAGGAAAAAGCACTGAATCGTGAAGCATAAACTACAAATATAGCATCTGTATGATATTCTCTTTAAAAAATGGTAAAATTCTAGGAAACAGTCTTTGGTGCTTGCTTTTTTAGAATGATTGGCATGGGATCTGAGTCTTAGTTTCAGCTTTTATGACTGCTTTTTACTGCATCAAATATTTGACCAGGCAAAGTACATTTCAATGAACAGCTTTACTCCCCTTTAAAAGAATCTGAAAGTCCAGCTAAAACTCCTCATCAAGTTAGCTGGGATCATGGTGTTCATTTTGGATGAGGCAATGTACTAATTCATTCAGTCAGCTCGATTTGACATTTCTGGGTTAGGGTATCTTCCTTAAAAGTTACACAATAAGTTGGAATTAAAGTGCTCTGCTTGCTTTTGATAAGACTGATCAAAAGAGTGATAGGAGTAATCACTACTTAGAATCCTATTTAATAAGTATTTTCCATTTATCTAACTCTAAGGAGAATTTAGGCTATTTGTCTAGTGAAATCCATTTGATACCAGGATTTGTTATGGCCATTCTACAATCAGGTGTTCCTAATGTAATGAATGAGATAAAAAATAATTAAGCTAACATTTATATGATGCTTACTACTTCCAGAAACTGTTATTATGCATTATTAACTGACTTAATCCTCCTTACCACTTTAGGGGGTAGATACTATTATTATTCCTTTTTTTTTCAGATGACGAAACTAAAGCACAAAGAGATTAAAGAACTTATCCAAGGTCATGCAGCTGGAAAGAAGTGGATTTGGGATTGTGAACATCACAATTTCACAAACTACATTTCATGATGGGTAGAGCTAGTCAAACGTCTGAAAATAAAGTTTGGTTTAAAGATGACCATCGTCTTGTTAAGAAATTATATAAATGAGTATCACTAAAAAGTCTCTCTTTAAACTCACCAAGCACTCTTCACTATGGACAAGAAAGTGTGAATATGGTTATTTTTTATTTAATATTTTCATGATGATTAACTGAAGGATCTGACAGTAAATAGTCTTTGGGTCTTTTTAAACTAAAACTCCTGTTGTTGTTGATAGCAATTGATGCAATTGATAGTAATGTGCTGTATCCCTCAGATGTATTCCAGCTGAAGAAGGTGGAGAGCCACTAAAATTTATTGTTCTATGTCATTTTTCCAAATCATCTTTTGATGACTGTCCATCTACATATTGCTCAGTGGCTTTATATTTAGAACATTATTTGGGAAATTGTAATTTCAAATATTTTAACCTATAAATATTCAATGAAGCCTTGGCAATGAAGAGTAAGACTTTATAAAACCTTGAATATATGAATAGCACAGTTCTGGTTATCTATGTAACAACATCCCCCATAGTAACCTAAAACAATGACATTACTATATCCCATGATTCTGTGGATTGCCTGGGCTTAGGTGGTAAGTTCTCAGGGTGTTGCTCATTGTCACACCCAGATAGCAGCTAGAACTAGAGTCATCTGCAAACTCCTTTTTCTTGTGTGGACCATCCAAGGTAGGTTTCTCATGCACATATCTAGTGCTTTGGTGCTTCTTGGCCTCTCTCTTTCCACATTGTATCTCATCTTCCTGGCCTCTCCACATGGCTTGGGCTTCTTGTTGCATGGTGTTACGAGGTACTCACACTGCTAACACAGTAGCTGACTTTCAAGATACACAAATTGGACCCTTTTAGACCAATTAAGGGCTATGGTGAAACTGGAGCAGTATCACTCTCATTGTATTCTATTGGCCAAAGTAGCAGAGGGCCTGATCAGACCCAAAGAGGTAGAGAAATAGATTCTACTTCTCAATGGGGGAGTACCAAGTTCATATTGCACAAGGGGATGTAGAATGGGAACTATTGTTGTTATCATTAGGTAATACAGTCTGCCTAAAGTACTATATCACCTAATTAGACTTGCTTTGCACATGATGACCAGGAGGAAACAAGATACTGTTTTGGAATGTACTCACTAAGCAGCTGCCTAGATGCTGCTTACCTAACAAGTGCCTTGTTTCCACTCAAGGTCATGGATCTTTGGGAGTCTAATAAGAGTGATGAAAAATTATTCATAGGTCTCCTTCCTTTACTATACAATCCTCGCTGCTAAGAGAAAGATGGGCAAAGGACCTGGGATGGATATCTTTGTGAATCTATCAATAATGGATAAAATATCTCATTTGTCTGCTTTCCTTATTATCTAATTCTTCCCTCTTAGAGGAGTCTGAGCAAAGGAGCCTAGACTGGGTGTATGGTGGAGAGTCAGTAACTAGGAGTAGAATCTAAATCAAATCAATAGTGTCCTAGTTAACCAAATCAAAGAGTAAATGTACAGAAACACAGGAAACCATGCAGGGTAATCAAGACTAAAATTCTGGGTTATAAGGAACAGCCTAAAACAATTCTGAGTTGCAAAATAAATGGCACCAATAATCTTATACTAAATTTCAGAATGTTAGGATAGGCCTTATTCTGCTTAAGATCAGAATTGGTTCAAGATACTGGGTTGGAGTTGAACTAGAAGGTTGTAGGTTGGTAGCCCCAGCTAGAAGGAGAGGCCTAGGAGGATGCCAAGGAGTAATTGGTAAGTTGCAAATGTTGAGTTCCTACCATGGACTTCTGCAGCAATTGGTGACTGATTTGTTAGATGTTGCAGAGAGACTCAAAACAACTATCAATCATCCTGTTAATTAAAAATATTCATTGGATTTTTAAATATATTATATTATATACTTTTGATAGGAAAACAATAGAATGGTATAAAATAATAAATTTTATTGTTTTACTTACATATTCTTTAATTTCTAGTAATCTGATATTTTTTCTTCTTCTTTTTTTTTTTGAGACGGGGTCTTGCCCCATCGCCCAGCCTGGATTGCAATGGCGCAATCTTGGCTCACTGAAACCTTCGCCTCCCAGGTTCAAGCAATTATCCTGTCTCAGCCTCCCGAGTAGCTGGGACTACAGGTGCCGCCACCATGCCCAGCTAATTTTTGTATTTTTAGTAGAGATCAGGTTTCACCTTGTTGGTCAGGCTTGTGTTGAACTCCTGACCTCAGGTGACCTACCCGCCTTGGCCTCCCAAAGTGTTGGGATTACAGGTGTGAGCCACTGCGCCCGGCCTATATCTGAATTTTTAAGAACTAAGTTTTACATTTGAAGGTAATGTAAATAATATATACATTTATGAATATCCTTGGTTGCATTATTTTTAATAGATTAATACTTATAATAGTATGAATCTACATTAGCTAAAAATGACCTTATGTATAGTTGATTTAGTTCTGGTCATTTTATCATTTTGATAAATTATGAAATTATATCATTGCATAGACTGGTTGATTTTTATACAATTGTTTGTGTGACTAATTGGGGAAAGACTGGAATGCTTACTACAAGGGTGATTTAGTTTTTGAGTTTAAACACAAGCTAAGGTTTCAATTTCCTGCAGTGGAAGTGCTTTCTGAGCTTGCCTGAATAGGACTAAAATCGTTCTAGCCAAAGAGGTGTTGAATAATGATGAATTTTTCTTAAGGTCAGCTGATCTATTTTTAAAGATAACATAGTGAATGAGAATCAAAGCTTATCATTTCTGAAAAATGACAATAATAATAAATTGCAATATACTTTTAAAGAGTAGCAGTTATATTTGGACAGAACTTTATTTTTTCCAGCATGTGAATCATTACCTAATAATATTTCATTTAATTAATCAGAAAATTGTGAGTCAATAGCTCTGCTTACAAAACCTATAAACAGAAACTCCAATTCAACCTTATCGCTACTAAATTTTAATGTTAAGAGACAACACAAATTAATTAAAGACAAAATGATTCACAAAATAATTACAGCCTCTTGTTGCCTTAGGGAATAATAAAGAACTAACTTATTTCAGTAGTGAGGCTATTAATGGTGTGCATGACAAAGAGATAAACCCAAGTATAGTTAATTCCATTTAAAAATTGCCTCTGGCAAATGAAGAAAATAAGTGAAGAAAAGAAGTGCTTGTGTATATATGTGTGTGTATATACATATATGAAGTGAGAGAATTAGTAAATTTTAACCTAATTTGTTTTTTAAAATAATTAATGTATAGGCCTTTTCTGTTGTGACTTTGAAAAAGTATTTGAAAACACTATATTTATTTTGCTGTTTATTTATTTATAATCTATATATCTATTATATAATCTATAATTATGTATCTATTAAATTATTTATAATTTATTAATGATTATATAATTGCACATGAGCACTGCTACTTTTTCATTTTGTGTTTTTAATATAAAATTCCTGTATTTTACAAATTTTTAACTAAAACAGCTACATTTAGTTCATTAGAGAGTTTCTTAAAAGTTTCTAAAATTTCAAAATATTTTGTTCTATCTTTTTTGTTTAGAATTTACATCCTTCCTGTTTTTCAAAAAAAATTGAAGTGGCTTATGAGATTACGCATAATACAAAATAAGAGAGTTAGAAATAGAATGAACAGATATCATCTAAACCATAGCAGAGGGAATGAGGTGAACAGACACCCAACATGAGTTGATAGAACTGGGGCACTGATCTTTGCTCTAACTTTCCCGTCAGCCAAGAAGAAAAGGAAAAATTTACAAAAGTACAGAACTTTAATTTCTGACTAGAGAAAGCATTAGGATATTAGGGTTTTTTTTTTAAATTTACTGGGCTCAAACTCAGATTGTGTTTTGGTATCTTGTCTAAGGGATGTTGTCTAAGGTACTGAGAAGTATTTTTGCTCCAATTTGAGACACACACATTCATTCTGTTCAAATATCATCATAAAATTTCATGCCTCCAATTAGAGGCATGGGATGCATGGCTCAAGGATCTGGCACAGCAGGCTGGCAGTCCCAACCACCTGCTTTTGCAGGAGCCTTCCCCTTCCCCTGCCAAGGGGTTTTACTCCACTGGGCAGTAATTGAACTAGTCTCCCTGGTGGAGGAACCACTTGCATAAGAGTAAGAGGTTCTTCCCTAGGCATTTTTAAACTGTTTTTTTCCTTTCCTCTTCTCCACCCCATCAGCAGTTTTTAAGCAAGTTTTGTTTTTTTCCTTTTAGAAGATGTTTTGCTATGCCAGGCCCCCCAACTGTCACTGTTTATATTTTCTGTAAAGCTTTAATTGTGAAAAAGGGTTTGTGGGGCTAGTCTTGGGCTGTGGCCAATCTGGTGTGCCAATTAATGCTTTCTTATTTGAAAAGTAATACATGTGTGTAGAAATAAGAATGTAAACGACCAAAATGGCATAAAATAAGAATGTTAAATTATTTAATAAAAAGTTAAAGTATTTTTAGATTCCTTACTTTCTCTCACCATCAGTCCCTTCCTCAGAAGTAGCAACTTATGGTATTTTAAGTTCTTTTGGTGGTTATGTCTATAACACTAAATAATATAGTTACACTTTATTTCTTGATTGTCAATTTAAGCAGTATTTACAGATTTTCTAAAATTGATAATGAAGGGGGCTCACTTACTCTTTTAACATTTCATTCTTTCAATCTCTCTCTCTCTCTCTCCCATTTTTATTAGTTATTATATTTTAATTCTTTTATTGATAAGCTGCAAATTCAGCTTCAAATATAGAGTAGAATTTTATTATTGGCATTAAAATCTTTATTTAAAAGAGCAGGCTGGATGCCCTGGTCCACACTTGTAATCCTAGCACTTTAGGAAGTCAAGGCCAGAGGATTCCTTGAGACTAGGAGTTCAAGACCAGC
The DNA here is from genome assembly GCF_000001405.40 of Homo sapiens. Classification (NCBI taxonomy): domain Eukaryota; kingdom Metazoa; phylum Chordata; class Mammalia; order Primates; family Hominidae; genus Homo; species Homo sapiens. The sequence continues at coordinate 44,387,656 of NC_000014.9, read as the reverse complement.
CTGGGCAACATAGCAAGAGCCCATCTCTACATTAAAAAAAAAAAAGAAAAAGAAAAACAGTAGTACTTAACACATATATTTTAAAATATATAACTGAATTATTTCAGTTAACAGAATAATTGATATCTTCTTATAGATTTCTGAGAGGAGTTTTGAAAGTCAGTGATTTTTATGTGAGGTGTATTTCAAGAACTCATTTTTTTCTTTGACTGCCTTTCTCTGATCTTTTTTTTAATCTAAAATTTTGATTTTGCATGTAACAGGGCTGGAGTTTCTTACTATGCAATACAGTCTACACCATTCTTCTGTTAATTGAGCTCATTTTCATCAAAGTTTTGGCCTATTCTTCAAAGAGCTTAGTTTAGTGGAGATCTCTAAGGCTTGAGAAAATGACATTTCTTCCATACATGTACTGTCTCCTGCAGCTTGTTTTTCTTGTATACTTACCTTCTGTCTTGTAACACTGTCTCCTTTTATTTATTTATTTTCACTTTTTTTTTGGTTTTTACTCCTCCTATTGATGTTTTGCTTTCTATTCTATGTTATGGGGCAATAATATTTTATTTTTTCTTATAGTATTGGCATCCTAGCAGAGATATAACAGGAAAATCAGAAAAAGAGAAATTTCTTTCATGGCAGTTCTTTTTCTATATTAGATTTCTCCCCTAAACCCAGAAAATTTGTTTTTTCTTTAAAAACTATTGGCTGCCTATTCCTTTGATTATATATTGGCCTCAAGACTTTCACATTTGAGTCCTTTAGTTCTCTCTGTGTGTTGCATATGAGTAGATGTGATATGCCAGAGCTTCTGAAGCAGAAGCTTTAAAAGGCAGCACACGTTTTTGGCCAGCTCTCTCACTCTTCCCTGTGGCATATCTAAAAGAGGAGCTAGTCCTGCTTTGATTCAGGAATTAGAAGTCCCATCTAGCAGAACCACAACCAATTCATAATTTAGGGGCAATGTGAGTGAAAAATAATTTTATAAGCCACTGGGATTTGGGGGTTGTTGCTTGTTACTTCAGCAAAGCTGATTAATATATGGGTCATATTTAAGCCTCAACCTTTGAAATATCTGGGCAAGGAGGAGCTACTCAGAATTTGAAATCACATGTTATTGAAAAAAGATGTCCAATTATCACATAAGTTTCTCAGCTGGTCTCTTTGAATACCTGAGTAAGAAGCAAAAAGCTGAAAAGATATCCCTCCTAAAATGATTCATCACATTAAATCTTTCTGATGTAAATTGTGAACTTATCCATAAATAATTTTCACTGTGTATAATAATCTGATATTCTTCATTGTAAGGTATAATTCTCTATGGTATTTTCTTGATGTGGGAGGCAGATCCTTCCAATTTCAGTTATTGATTTTATAATCTGGAACTGGAACTGACCAATAATAAAAGAAAATTCTGCTCCCACTGAGACAGCCTGGTGGGAAGGGGGTCCCTGGAGAGACACCAACCAGCCTGCCCACTGGGGTGGTGCCTTGGGAAGTTCAAGACATTTGCAGCAGGGAGGAGCCTGGCGCCTCCTCTTCCTGTGTGAACCTAGGATTTGAATGCGGGCAGGAAGTGCTTTAGCAGGAACTCTGGCCTAGCAAGAGTCCCTGTTTCCCCTTTTTCTTCCTTTTCATCCAATAAAGCTCTGTCTCACTCACCATTCAAATTGTTTATGAGCCTGAATTTTCGTGGCCATGGTGTGTCCGGAATTGGTGGGTTCTTGGTCTCGCTGACTTCAAGAATGAAGCCGCGGACCCTTGCGGTGAGTGTTATAGCTCTTAAGGTGGCGCGTCTGGAGTTTGTTCCTTCTGATGTTCCGATGTGTTCGGAGTTTCTTCCTTCTGGTGGGTTCGTGGTTCTCGCTGGCTCAGGAGTGAAGCTGCAGACCTTCACGGTGAGTGTTACAGCTCTTAAGGCGGCGCGTCTGGAGTTGTTCGTTCCTCCCGGTGGGCTCGTGGTCTCGCTGGCTCAGGAGTGAAGCTGCAGACTTTTGCGGTGAGTGTTACAGCTCATAAAAGCAGTGTGGACCCAAAGAGTGAAAGAACAAAGCTTCCACAATGTGGAAGGGGACCCGAGGGGGTTGCCACTGCTGGCTAGGGCAGCCTGCTTTTATTCTCTTATCTGGCCCCACCCAGGTCCTGCTGATTGGTAGAGCCGAGTGGTCTGTTTTGACAGGGCGCTGGTTGATGCGTTTATAATCCCTGAGCTAGACACAAAGGTTTTCCACCTCCCCACCAGATTAGTTAGATACAGAGTATGAGGCAAAGGTTCTCCAAGGCCCCACCAGAGTAGCTAGAAACAGTGTCCACTGGTGCACTCACAAACCCTGAGCTAGACACAGGGTGCTGATTGGTGTGTTTACAAACCTTGAGCTAGAGACAGAGTGCCGATTGGTGTATTTACAATCCCTGAGCTAGACATAAAGGTTCTCCAAGGCCCCCACCAGACTCAGGAGGCCGGCTGGCTTCACCCAGTGGATCCCCAACCGGGGCGCAGGTGGAGCTGCCTGCCAGTCCCACGCAGTGAGCCCGCACTCCTCAGCCCTTGGGTGGTCAATGGGACTGGGCGCCGTGGAGCAGGGGGTGGCGTTCGTCGAGGAGGCTTGGGCGGCACAGGAGCCCACGGAGGGGGTGGAAGGCTCAGGCATGGCGGGCTGCAGGTCCCAAGCCCTGCCTCACGGGAAGGCAGCTAAGGCCTGGCGAGAAATCGAGCGCAGCGCCGGTGGGCTGGCACTGCTGGGGAACCCAGTACACCCTCTGCAGCCGCTGGCCGGGGTGCTAAGCCCCTCATTGCCCAGGGCCGGCAGGGCCTGCCAGCTGCTCCGAGTGCAGGGCCCGCCAAGCCCACGCCCACCCGGAACTCCAGCTGACCCGCAAGCGCCGCACGCAGCCCCGGTTCCCGCTGGCGCCTCTCCCTGCACACCTCCCTGCAAGCTGGGGGAGTGGGCTCCGGCCTTGGACAGCCCAGAAAGGGGCTCCCACAGTGCAGCGGTGGGCTGAAGGGCTCCTCAAGTGCCGCCAAAGTGGGAGCCCAGGCAGAGGAGGCGCTGAGAGCAAGCGAGGGCTGTGAGGACTGCCAGCACGCTGTCACCTCTCAGTGGGACAAAGAACCCCGTCTTTAACTCAACTAAGGAAAAGTCCTCAACATTTTTGGTGCGCAACGTGGGGGCTCGAGAAGTGGTGAGTGAGATGCAAACCAACAATTCTTTTTCCCTCTCCCTTCTGAGCCTTTTCATCCTTATGGTCTTTTCCTTCCTTTTTCGGGCTGCACTGGCAAGCAGCAGCTCCTCACGGCTCTCCCCTCCATGCCGGGGCTGGGATACATGGCCCAAGGATCTGGCACAGCAGGCTGGCAGTCCCAGCCACCTGCTTTTGCAGGAGCCTTCCCCTTCCCCTGCCAAGCGGTTTTACTCCACTGGGCAGTAATTGAACTAGTCTCCCTGGTGAAGGAACCACTTGCATAAGAGTAAGAGGTTCTTCTCTAGGCATTTTTAAACTGTTTTTTTCCTTTCCTCTTCTCCACCCCATCAGCAGTTTTTAAGCAAGTTTTGTTTTTTTCCTTTTAGAAGATGTTTTGCTATGCCAGGCCCCCCAGCTATCACTGTTTATATTTTCTGTAAAGCTTTAATTGTGAAAAAGGGTTTGTGGGGCTAGTCTTGGGCTGTGGCCTATCCCATGAGCTTTGCATGTCTGTATGGTTTGTGCTGCAAGCCTCCATGTTGTTTTACACACTGGGGGCATGGCCTGTAACTGCTTGGCAAGGCTTTGTTTAGGAATCCTGCCTTAGGGAATAAATTTCTTTCTGGTTTGATATCTGCAAGTTTTCCTAGCCCTGTCTCTTAAAGGGCCCCACCTAGCAACTGGGTTTTCTTCTGCCTGTGTGTGTGTGTACTGTGTGTAATCTCTGTCAAAAGAGCTTTAGTTAATTTGGCCTAAAGAAAGACATGCACTTGGATCTAATATTTTTTAAAGGGAAGTTAAAAGCTGTGGAAACTTTCAGTTGATGACTTTAAGAAATAAAGAGAGCGCTAAAGACTACTGGTGAAATGCAGGTCAGGTGCAAGGTTTGCTAAGTGTTTTGAGGTTACAAACTGCTTTTTGGGTTTTGAGAACTATTCGACTTGCTGGCTTCATAAGTGGTGAGGCCTGGGGACATATGGAACTAACCACTCGTTAACTAATAAGGCAAACCTTGGCTGCAGTTAGCACACAATTAAAGCAACTTACCAAGTTTTACCTTAAAGTTCAAAATTGCTAGGAGTTAATTGGAACTACTAGAAATATATTTACATGCAGAGTGTGTAAGAACAGTAAAATGTGTTTTTTAATAAAAGTTATAAGAAGGCATGGAAATGTAAACTTTTGCCTCCAGTTAAAGGATTGTTATGAGTTAAATTAGGAAAAAGCTAAAGGTTCAAAGAAGTCTTGCAGAAGAGGTTCTCTGTGTGAACATACTGACTAAATTCGAAAAAGGGTATTATATGGTTTTTCTGTAAATTTAGTATTGAAATAAAACCATAGCAAGGTTTTCCTAAGGCACTAATCTGCTCTTTGGCAAAATTTGTAAGGGGTTATAAAAGGTTTTTGCTTCTTTAAATTTCTGAGCCATAATTTTTGGCAAAATAAATAACTTATGGTAATCTGGAATTCTATTTCATAATATCAAGTATTTTAAACCTTGAACATTTAACAGCCTTCCTAAAATTAAACTTCAGTTTCAAAACTGTCTTTCCTGACACGTGGCTTTTTGGATAGTCCAGAGGGCCCCTGGAATGTCCAGAAAATAGAGGTAAACAGGATTATTTGACATATTTAGGTACATGAAGTTGTCAAAATGATGCTCAATCTCCTTTAGGTTATATCCTGGTGAATAATGCTAATATGTGTTGCAGAATTGTATGGGATTTCTAAAATTCTAATGTCTAAGTATATGCTACCAATCATAATTAAGGTTTTTATTTTGTTATGATAAACCATGGAGATAACCAAACTTCTTTGTCAGTTGTGTTTCTAACTGTAACTAACCTGGACATTTTCCTATTCACAGACAATTGTTTTCTTATTTTAATCCTTCCTAAAAGATGGTTTATAATGACCTGTAGAAGTTTAAGAGATACTCTTAAATACAGCCTTCTGATAACTTTAGAGATTGTAACATTGGAATAACGGAAAATGTACAAGACTCATGAAGAGCTGAAATGCTCATGAATATCAAGCAAAACAAGAGTTAACTAAATGAATTGAACTCAGGAAACTGAAGCAAATCTTTTTAACCTTTGCTTGGAAAATTGCTGATCCATGTTTTGTTTTTTGGAGTCAAGGAAACTTTGAACTATTTATGGACTTTAATAATTAAGTAGGTATACTCCTGTGTTCAAGATTTGGAGCATGTTTGTTTCTCTCTGCCTGGTTCCTCTAGAATTTGGAAACTATCTGTGAGTACTACTATGACAATATTGTTGTTTGCATCAGTGCAATAAGAATCCATTGTCTTTTGGAACAGGACACAATTGGAGAAAGTGGTTGTTTTACCAAGGCTTTGACTGAAAGGGTATGCTCCCCTTTAAGGAGTCAATCTCAACTTGCAGAGCTGATAAAAGCCCCATGGGAGAAACTGGCCTCATACCCTTGTCTATGCAGTCCCTGTACAGGGTTCCTGATCTGTGGTCAGTAAAGAATGTCACTTTCTAACAGGTCCAGGAGCTCCAAGTTTATCCTGGGACCTTAAGAGGAGAGGATCACCCAACTCACAAGTATTTGAGGATAAACCATGGCTGGGCTAGGCTTTAAAAGGTCTTATCTGAGATTCCTTATGGAGCAAACTTCCAACAAGCCAATCAATCCAAAAGGTCTATGTAGAAATCATTATTCTTGCTGCACTTTATGAGACTAACGTCTATTTTGCAAAAAAACCCATTCAGCCCCATGATGATTTGTTTTTTTAAACAAACATGAGGACTGGAGAGAGAGAAATCATGTTTCAAAACTTGTCATATTGTAATGCCCAACCTTGTTTTTACTAACCCTGTTTTTAGACTCCCCCTTTTCCTTTAATCACCTAGCCTTGTTTCCACCTGAATTGACTCTCTCTTAGCTAAGAGATCCAGACAGACTCCATCTTGGCTCTTTCACTGACAGCCCCTTCCTCAAGGACTTAACCTGTGCAAGCTGACTCCCAGCACATCCAAGAATGCAATTAACTGATAAGATACTGTGGCAAGCTATATCCGAAATTCCCAGGAATTCATCTGATTGATAACGCCCAAAACCCCGAGTCTATCACCTTGTAATAGTCTTAAAGCCCCTGCACCTGGAACTGTTTACTTTCCTGTAACCATTTATCCTTTTAACTTTTTGCCTATTTTATTTCTGTAAAATTGTTTTAACTAGACCCCCCTCCCCTTTCTAAACCAATGTATAAAAGAAAATCTAGCCCCTTCTTCGGGGCCGAGAGAACTTTGAGCGTTAGCTGTCTCTTGGTCGCCGGCTAATAAAGGACTCTTAATTCGTCTCAAAGTGTGGTGTTTTTCTAACTTGCTCGGGTATAACAATATATTTGTCATTAAATTCTAAACTCACTAGTTGTTTTTAAGTTTTTTGCCTACATTTTAGACTAACCCTGCTTGCTTCTGTGAACCAACCAGCAATCCCTGGCTGCAGCTCAGAAAGAATAGGAGGGATAGGTAATGTAGAAATTCTGATCAGTATTCTAGCTCTGAGCAATTATCCTGTAAATCCTGTTAGGTGATGGGAATGAATAGGATGCCCATCACTCAGAGGTTTCCTTTTGGAAAAGTAAGGCCAAGGGAGCTAACCAAAGCCAAGCACCATGCACCCAAATCTTAGCAAGCATAACTATAGCCACCACTTATTTGGGTGTGTCACAAGACATCCTTTCCTCTCCCTTTTTGGAGGAGGACTCAGTTCCACAGTTTCACCTTAGTTCCACAGTTTCACCTTAGCGTTTGGTTTATGATAAGGAGTCCATGCAACACCCGAGACACATTTTTGTCCCAAAATCAATTCCAAGCTTCGGGGTCAAAGCCCTAGGAAGGAAAACTGTACTGAGGGGTCCAGAGGCAAATGACAATAGAGGTTAAAAAGCACAGCACAGATGAGCGTGGCTGATTCATGCCAATTAAGCCAACCCCAAGCTTCCTGTTTCATTGATAAAGGCCACGTTAATATCCATGGCATAAATGAGGTAAAGGGAACTCCAAGGCTACTGACAGTAGGTGGAAAAGAGACATAGGTGAGAGTGGGTAATTCCTTTTCTCTAGGCCCCCCTGCTTCATGGGTGCAAGCCACTTTAATACCCATGGCAGTGCCTGCCAAGGTTGCTGGAACTCGGGCATGCAAGAATGGAAAAAGGAAAGAGGATGCTCTTCCCTCTCTCCCTCACGTACTCCGGGTATCTGCTAGAAAGAGACGGGAACCAGGGATGCCTGCTCCCCTTTTTCTAGATGGGCAGCCATTCATCTTCAGTCTGTACCCCTTTCAAATGCATCCTGAACCCCTGGGACTTCCTTGAAAGAACACCTTTTTCCTTTCTCCTTCTCAATTCTCTCTTCATTAATAGGTAATTATGTCTTCATACTATGAGGTACTCCCCTCAGATGCATCCTTCAATCTGGAAAGAGTTAATTTTCTAAACCTTAAACTGGTTGGCTTAGGATTGAGCTCAGGTGAAGGGAATCCAGAAGCCCAACACAGCAGCAAAAGGGTAAAGTTTTTTTTTTTTTTTACCAGTCGGGCTTTTGGCCTCCCTTTCCCTGTGTAAACTGGTAAAAGGCCTCAGAATTTTTGAGCTGTCTTTACACCTTGGCTTGTTTTGTTTTGATACATGTTTTCTAGTAACCCGGCTTATCTTCTTGCCTTCAGGCCATCAAACTCCAAACAGTCATGCAACCGGAGCCTCTGATGGTGGCTCCTTAAATAGGACTCTGGGGAAGCTCTGACTGCCATTTTCCCAAAACTGCACCCTGTCAGCAGGAAGCAGTTAAGATCGGTCTTCATCTGTATCCTAATCTAATGGCAGTTAGATGTACTTCCTTAGAGGGAGGGATGAGACAGCCAGATGGGAGGGGTTCCCCAGAGAAACTCCAGCCAGCCTGCCCACTGAGGTGGAGCATTACAACTTTCACAACATTTTCAGCAGGGAGGAGTCTGGCACCTCCTGTTCCTGTGAGGAACTTGGGATTTGAATGGTGAGAGGGAAGCACTCTAGCAGGAACTCTGGCCTAGTGAGAGTTCCTGTTTCACACTTTTCTTCCTTTTCACCCAATAAAACCTTGTCTCACTCACCAAATTGTCTGCGAGCCTGAATTTTTGTGGCTATGGGACAAAGAACCCCATCTTTAGCTGAACTAAGGATAAGTCGTGCAACACCACCATAGGAGTTTATGAGCATGTAAATACACAATTATAATGCCAATGCAACATCAAGGCAAAATTTTGCCACATTAAAAAAATAGTTTTGTCAGTGCTTACTAATTTTTATAATCATGAAGTTGTTATGTAGATCCTTATACTGTATGAGGAAAACATCTTTATGTTTTGTCTGTAAGACAAAATTTTAAGAATCACGTTTTTGTAATTGTTATAATTTAGTTTTAAACTATGATAATAATTTTAAAGTATTTTGAATCTGCCTGTAGACTGTATATAATTATATTGGACAAAGTCCAACATGTACTGGCAAAGGGAAAGTTGAGTTGATATTTGAAAGCTTTTCAGTATTGGAAAAAAGGTGTTTTTTCTCTTCTGTTGACTTACATATTACTTTCATTGACCATAACAAGTATGATATATTAGTGATCAGGTGTAATTTGTAAATAAAATATCTTTTACTTTTCTTTTAAGATTATATATTAGTGTAAAGTTATAGTGAGTGTGCATTTATGGTGAATTGCTGCCAACAACAAGCAATTTGACATTTGATTTTTACTAGAAAAAAGAATGAAATTTAAACTTTAAGCAGTATCTTTTTTGCCAATATTTTACCATGAAATATGTCAATCATTTAGCAAGCTTAAAAAATGTTATTGGGAAGACTTGTACTCTCACCACAAAGATTCTTTCATCAGTACTTTACCAATATTTGCTTTATTGCATATTTACCCACCTATCACTGTAAACTTCCACCAATCCATCTTATTTTGGGGTACATTTAAAAGGAAATTGCAACATTACAGTTTTTCCTAAATATTTCAGCATGCATATAATGAAATAGAGTTCATTATTTGTTTATAATTTTTCTTTTGATGCAAAGTTACATGAAATATGCACAAGTCTTAATTGCATATCAACAAAGTTGTGACAAATATGTATGCTTGTGTAATCAAAACCCCTAACAAGATATAAAACATTACTTTTATCCCAGACAGATTCCTTATCCCTTTTCCCAGTCAATTCCGCCTGATATGGTTTGGCTGTATGTCCAACCAAACCTCATCTTGTAGCTCCCATCATTCCCACGTGTTGTGGGAGGGACCCAGTGGGAGATAATTGAATCACGGGGATGGGTATTTCCATGCTGTTCTCATGATAGTAAGTCTCACGAGATATGGTGGTTTTAAAAATGGAAGTTTCCCTGCACAAGCCCTCTTCACTTGTCTGCTGCCATGTGAGATGTGCCTTTTGCCCTCCACCATGACTGTGAGGCCTCCCCAGCCATATGAAACTGTGAGTCCGATAAACCTCTTTCTTTTGTAAATTGCCCAGTCTCAAGTATGTCTTTATCAGCAGCATGAAAACAAACTAGTACAGTAAATCATTACCAGTAGAGTGGGGTGCTGCTGAAAAGATACCCTAAAATGTGGATGCGACTTTAGAACTGGGTAATAGGCAGAGGTTGGAACAGTTTGGAAGGCTCAGAAGAAGGCAGGAAAATATGGGAAAGTTTGGAAATCCCTAGAGACTTGTTCAATGGCTTAGACCACAATGCTGACAATAATATGGACAATGAAATCCAGGCTGACCTGGTCTCAGATGGAGATGAGGAACTGGTTGGGAACGGGAGCAAAGGTGACTCTTGTTATGCTTTAGCTAAGAGACTGGTGGCATTTTGCCCGTGCCTTAGAGATTTTTGGAACTTTGAACTTGAGGGAGGTGATTTAGGGCATCTGGTGGAAGAAATTTCTAAGCAGCAAAGCATTCAAGAGGTGACTTGTGTGCTGTTAAAGGCATTCAGTTTTAAAAGGAAAACAGAGCATAAAAGTTTGGAGAATTTACAGCCTGATAATGCAATAGAAAAGAAAATTCCATTTTCTGAGGAGAAATTCAAGCTGGCTGCAGAAATTTGCATAAGTAACAAGGAGTGGAATGTTAATCACCAAGGTAATGGGGAAAATGTCTCCAGGGCATGTCATAGGTCTTAACAGCAGCCTCTCCCATCACAGACCCAGAGATTTAGGAGGAAAAAATGGTTTTATGGGCCAGGTCCAGGACCCCCCTGCTGTGTACAGCCTAGGGACTTGGTGTCCTGTGTCCCACTTGCTCCAGCCATGGCTAAAAGGGGCCAAGATAAGCTAAGGCTGTTGCTTCAGAGGATGCAAGCCCCAAGCCTTGGAAGCTTCCATGTGGTGTTGAGCCTATGAATGCACAGAAGCCAAGAATTGGGGTTTGGGAACCTCCTCCTAGATTTCAGAAGATATATGGAAGTGCCTGGATGCCCAGGCAGAAGTTTGTTGCAGGGGTGGAGCCCTCATAGAGAACCTCTTCTAGGGCATTGCAGAAGGGAAATGTGGGGTCAGATCCCCCACACAGAGTCCTTGCTGGGGTACCACCTAAGTGGAGCTGTGAGAAGAGGGCCACCATCCTCCAGAACCCAGAATGGTAGATTCACTGACAGCTTGCACCATGTGCCTAGAAAATCCACAGACATTCAATGCCAGCCAATGAAAGTAGCCAGGAGGGAGGCTGTACCCTGCAAAGCCACAGGGGAGGAGCTGCGCAAGACCATGGAAATCCACTTCTTGCATCATCGTAACCTGGATATGAGACATGGAATCAAAGGAGATAATTTTGGAGCTTTAAGATTTGACTGCCCTGCTTGATTTCAGACGTGCATGGGGCTTGTAGCCCCTTTGTTTTGGCCAATTTCTCCCATTTGGAATAGCTGTATTTACCTAATGCCTGTGCCCCCATTGTATTTAGGAAAAGTAACTAACTTGCTTTTTATTTTACAGGCTTACAGGCAGAAGGGACTTGCCTTGTCTCAGATGACACTTTGGACTATGGCTTTTGAGTTAATGCTGAAATGAGTTAAGGGTGGAAGGGACTTGCCTTGTCTCAGATGACACTTTGGACTATGGCTTTTGAGTTAATGCTGAAATGAGTTAAGGGTAGAAGGGACTTGCCTTGTCTCAGATGACACTTTGGACTGTAGCTTTTGAGTTAATGCTGAAATGAGTTAAAACATTGGGGGACCATTGGGAAAGCAGGATTGATTTTGAAATGTGAAGACGTGAGATTTGGGAGGGGCCATGGGCAGAATGATATTGTTTGGCCCTCTGTCCCCACCTGAATCTCATCTTGTATCTCCCATAATTCCCATGTGTTGTGGGATGGACCTGGTGGGAGATAGTTGAACCACGGAGATGGGTCTTTCCCATGCTGTTCTTGTGATAGTGAATAAGTCTCATGAGATCTGATGGTTTTAAGAATGGGAGTTTCCCTGCACAAACTCTCTTCTCCTGTCTGCTGCTATGTGAGATGTGCCTTTTACCCTCCACCATGATTGTGAAGCCTCCTCAGCCACGTGGGAATGTAAGTCCAAAAACCTATTTCTTTTGTAAATTGCCCAATCTTGGGTATGTCTTTATCAGCAGCATGAAAATGGACTAATACTCCACCCTACCTCTTGGCAAACTAATAATTGCTATAATTTTTTTTCACCATAGAATAATTTTGCTTGTTATGGAATGTAGTATAAATGAAATCATACAGTGTGTACTCTTTTGGGTAAGGCTTCATTTACACAGCATAATGTTATGAGATTCACGTATATTTTATGTGTATTAAAAAATTGTTTATTTTTATCATTAGTATTCCATTGTATAAATATCTAACAATTTGTTTATTCTTTTGCATATTGATGGATATCTGGGCTGTTTCTATCTTTTGATATCATGAATACAGTTATTATGAGCATTCCTGAATAAGGTTTTTTTTTTTTTTCAACCTTTATAAAAACCATTTTTATTGGGTAGATACCCAGCATTGGAATTAGTAGTTCATATGGTAGATATATGTCCACTTTTGTAAAAAAATTTCTAGACCTTTTCCCAAGTGCTTGAATCATTTTACTTTCCTACCAATTATGTATGAAAATTTCAGTTACTCCAGATCATCACCAACATTTGGTGGTGTTAGCTTTAATTTTAACCATTGTAGTGTGTGTGTAGTAATATTTTATTGCAGTTTTCATTTGTATTTACCTGATTATTAATGATATTATATGTTACCCAAACAGCAAGAGTTAGCTCTAGGTCTTGCTGCTTGCCCAACAGAAAGCCAGTCACTGAGACAATGAGTATTGCCAGGGAAAAAGGTTTTATTCGGGTGCTGCAGTCAAGCAGATGGGAAATCAGTCTCAAATCTATCTCTCTGACTAAAATTAGAGATTTATTCAGCAGGGAAGAAATGTAATAATGTATGGGAAAAACCAAGTCCTCTGACCCCTTCCTTAGAGGTAAGGAAGAGGAGTTGGTCAACAGGAAGCAGGAAGGGAAGCAGGAACAGGAAGTCAGTTAGGCAATCATGATTAGTGAAGGGTCTGGCATCTCATTGCCCAGATGTGGTGATGTGGTAAGTTTCACTTTCTTGATAGTATCTAAGAAGTTTGATGGTTGATTTCCTGAGAAAGGAATTCAGATAAGAAAAATGTAACTTTCTCAAGTTTTAAGACTGGTAGAGTCAATTTCTACATTTATTCAAAAGAAACCATAAACATCACTTCTATGGGACAGTTGGGCCATATTGCATTGCTATAAATATCTGAGACTGTGTAATTTATAAAGAAAAGAGGTTTAATTGGCTCACATTGTGGAACATTGTACAGGAGGCATGTCTGGCGAGGCCTCAGGAAACTTAAAATCATGGCAGAAGGTGAAAAGGAAGAAGGCACATCTTACACGGCCAGAACAGGAGGCAGAGGGTGAAGTGGGAAGTGCTGCACACTTTTAAACAACCAGGTCTTGTGAGAACTCACTCACTATCACAAAAACAGCAAAGGGGATGTCTGTCCCTATGAGGATCTAATCACCTCCCACCAGGCCTCTCCTCCATTATTGGGGATTACAATTTCCCATGAGATCTAGGCAGGGATACAAATCCAAACCATATCAAGTGAGTTTCATGTCTTTTCATGAGCTAATTGACCATTTGCAAGATTTTGTGACATACCTATTCATAACCTTTGCTCATATTTAGCTTTTTTTCCTAGAACTATTTCAGTTTCCATTTTATTGCCTTCCTTAAAATATGTTTGTTTATCCCTTGAATTCAAAAAGAAATTGAGGTTTATTTGTTTCAAGATTGTGAGTACAGGGAAGAATCTTATATCTGTAGAATTTCTCATAATTTGGTGGTCTATTGGAGAGCTCCAAATCCTGTATATAATTTCTAAAACTATTGTACTAGCCTTCTGGTCACTGTGGCAATTTGGATATAAATGTTTCACAACTTCACTTTTCAAAAACATGGTTTTAGACTTAATAAAAGGTTTAATTAGAAAACAGCATCTCAAAAAAAAAAAAAAGAAAATAGCTAATTGTATGTTTTTTTAAAGAAAATATCACTCTATAATCAGTATATGAGTTGCTACTGAATCTGAAAAGAAAGTACTTGTAGCAACAATTTTTCTCATACCAATAATTTCATAATAGTGTATGTTGATAACTACAGACTTTTCTAATGAAATGCCAACAAGATTTTTGTAGAGTTACTAAAGTCATGGACTGTTCTTTAAAAACTGCTTAACCTATTTTAAAATATAACATGGGTACTTTTCTTCTGTTTCCTTTTCTTCTCTTTTAATAGTGGTGGTAATAATACTGATAAAAACTATAAACTGATTGTTTACTATGTGTTAGATACTGTGCTACATGCATGAAACATTATTTTATTCTATGATAATAAACTTTAATTATACCTAATTTATTATAAATGAAGAAACTGAATGAGGGTCAAGTTTTTATCTCAGCTGAAAAGTGAAGGCATTAGAACTAGAACCTAGTTTTTTCTTTTTCTGCCTCTTAACTGTGATGTGCTGCTTTGGAGATCATAGACTTCTGAACTTTGGAAGATGAAACATGATTAGTGGTGCTATTATACTTGTGTGAGTCAATCTAAGGAGTTTAAGATGTGTGCGATAGGCATTCTATAGGAGTGTTCTTATTTAGTTTGTCTTCTGTGGGCATCAGAATCTTAATTGAATTGTCAATTGTGGTCCACCTGTTTCAGGCATGTAGTTATAATGGTATCTGAAAGAATTCTTTAGTTCAAAGACTTATAAGTACAGCAAATAGATTACCTAAGAGTGAATATGCTATTTAGTATTTAGAATAAATGACAGTACAGAGCACCTAATACATACTTGGTGTTCTATTAAACAAAGATGAATAAGGCCCAAAGGAATTTACAGTCTAGTGGGAGTTACTAATATGTACATAGAGAATTTCTTTATAATATGGTTAAGTGCTATGATAGAGGCATGCAATGACTATAAATACTATATCCTTTGTGTTTCTGATAATATCTGTTAGTCCCTGCTTGCTAAGACATAGGGAAATTTGTGGTTAAAATTTCCTGAGGGAAATGATCACTGATTTCAGTTTTGGATTTTATGGTCTTGCTTAATTGTATTTGGCACTGGAATGACTAATACTAATTTCTGATAATCCTCTTTTTTTAACCACTACTCAAAATTTAGAATTTGTTAAACATTGAATATTAAACATTAAATCTGTCTCTTAAGAGAAAGTGCACAAAATCCTGATTCGATTTCTCTGCAGCCTTTCAGGCTCCATTCTTACTAAGGGTTGGTTGTTCTGTTTGCTCAAGGCTGCTAAGAAACTCATATCTTTCTGTGAAGAGAGACTAAGGCAGAGAATAATCATGGGGAGTAAGGGACATAGAGAAGATCCAATGTTTGGATTTATTATTGGATTTTATTGGGAGAAAGGATAAGGAAACATCTCTTCTTATCTGAAAATGCAAAGCTAACACTCTTTATGGATAAACTATGATCTGATGATTTATCAGGATCATGTGCCAACTGGAGGGTCAGGCTTTTGATGCTTGCATTTTTGCTATTATAGAGTAGTTAAAGGGATGGAAAATACAAGAATGGTAAGGTTGAATTGTTCCTTTTGGAGCACTGGGTAAATTACAGCATGACAGATAAACTCAGGTCCCCAAATACTTGGCTTATGGAGCAAAAGGAAACACATTTTGTAAAAATGGTGCGGGAGTTCCCTTCTGCCTGCAGCTGGTGCACCAAAACTGATGAAAAGAAATTGCAGAAATTGATGTATAATAAGCACATTTTACCTTGGCTTTAGCACACACATTTGTATGGGGTGTGTGTATGTGTAAGCAGAAACAAGTTTCCAGAAACAATGCTAACCCTTATAAAGTTCCATTCACTGTGATCTGTTATGTTCTATTCTATTCAGAGGGAAGAGTGTCTTTTTACTTACAAATGTAGCCATTAGATCATATTAGGGGAGAAAATTATTGAGTATTTGGAGCAGTATATTTGAAAGGCAAGAATAGAGGGTTTAATGTACTAGATAAGCAGATCATAACAGTCTTTTTCATTCCACTTCTGATCAATCCACTCCAACTTTGCTTTCTTCCTGCCTTTGTACCGTTTCTACCACATGAATCTGTCTACCACTGGCCAAAGCTTATTGGACTATGGGTAGATACTTGGCCCCAAAGAAATCAATCCATAGGCTGAGCTTTGTCAATCAGATGCCTAGAATGTTCAGATTTTTCTAGGATTATGATAGATCTATATCTCTTTACAAGTCCATTTTTAGAGTCAATTTGAAATTTCTCTTCCTTATATGCAAACATGACTTGGCAGATGTACAGATATTTCCATGAGTGTCATTGAAAGCTCAATCCATTCATGGATGGACATACTGTCTTGTAGCCTATATTATTACTTTAGAACACTGGCTGATAAGTTTTATTCCCAATTAAATGCATTAAATTATTTTCTTTTTCTAGGCGCTTCATCACCTCTTCTGACAGTCAAGCTAATAGGATCACATTTTCTCTGAGTCAGACTCCATTTTTTGCTGGCTAAGTAGTCAGTAGTTTCTGTTGAGTGACTGGCAGGTCACAGCTTCTCTTTCTTCAGAATGTCTTTTCTTTTCTTTTTTTATTTCCTTTGGTTTTATTAGATGGAGCTTGTATTTTCAACTTAACCACTTCTCCCTTAGGGCTGTTAGATAGATCTTTGATGTCCTGACATATCAGATAGTTTAACCATGAAAAGGATTTTTAGCTTGCCCTTTTTCTCTTCATGCAGCATGAATTTAGGACTACTCTAGAATTCTAAAGTTTCTTTAATATTTGGAAAATTGACTTATTGAGAATAGAATGATATTAAGCACCTCAGGAAGTTTTAAACATTTCAAAAGTCACCTGTTTTCAACTTAAGGTTAATTTTTCAGTTTAAAAGTCCTTAGAGCTCTTTCAATTTGGCCTGATGCCAAATATTTAGGCACACTGCAAAAGAATTCCATTATGAATCTCTCATTCAATTATCTGTTTTCAAAGGGCAGGAGAGAACAGAAATTTAGTTTCTTTTGTGAGAAGAGCAGATAAGAGTTTTATTTGCCAAGTGGTTTTTGAAAGAGAATTTTGAACAACTTTTGCCAATGAGTTTCGTAGTGAATACATGTTTTATATTAAAATTCCTAAGATGCAGTTTCATTTCCCTTCTTATTTAAAAATAAACAAGAGTGGAGAAAGTATACTACTGGTTGGTTTGGAAGACATATTCATGTCTATATTTTAATAGAAGTATTATAACTTGTGATTTTATTCCAGGGATATTAGATAGGTTTTTGTTTAATATTTTATGTGGGGATTTACATTGAAGTAATATTATGGATAATATTTTGTACTCAAAGACTTTTATCTATCCCTCAACCTTCCCCATTCCATAAGATTTAGAATGGAGTCAATTTCCAAATAAATCTCAATCATATCTTTATTCTGCTGGTAGGAGAAATCTAGAAAAATGCAACCACTTGTCTAGTCTTGTTTCCCCTGATACACTGCTATAGTTCTAGGGTTAGTAGTTTTTCAGTTTAAAATGCAAGAGTTTAGAAGATAAATATAAAATAGCTTTAGGCATTCTAACAGTCCTTGATATTATTAAGATGACGCAAAGAATTTTGCTATCAATAGATTTTAACAACTTAGATTACAAATCTTGCAAGACTGGGTAATATTTTACTCACACTTAATTTCTGCAATTTATAAGATACTATGGAGTTCATTTCTATTTTCTTTTATTCTTGTAAGAAAAACATGATTTCTCTAGGGAAGTACCCATATCTCATTTTGTGCAATCTTACTGTAACTGCTAATCAAAGTGTCCTCTAGCCTGCTGGAAAAAGACTTGTTGTTTTACCTAAGATAAGACAATCAGAACCTACCTTCCAGAAATGTAAATCTGAGTCATAAAATCTTATAATAGAAAACAGTTGAAGATTATTAATCATGGGGTGCATGGTGAAAAAATGTGTCACTCAAGTGTCATAATTCCTTGAGTCACTGTGATTCTTATACTTTTAAAGTCCTGATCTTTTGCATTTTCTTTTGATTATAAGATTATTATTTAGCCTATATTTCTTTTTCTTTTAAGAAAACTGACCTTTTTATTTTAAAACAAATACAGAAAATCACATGAAAATTAAAACCAAATAAACTATTATAAAATGAACACTCTTATAACCACCATCCAGGGAAGAAGCAGAAATTGATAGCAGAAAGGAATAGAGCCACCATCACAATAGCCCCTCTGCCACCTAGTGCCCCATTTCAAGCTCAACCACTATCTTGACATTTAAAGCAATCACTTCCTTGAATTTCTTTCTAGTTTTACCAAATAAGTGTAGATCCCTAGACACTATAGTTTAACATGGCCCACTGAAAAAAATGTTCATATGTCTTTTAAACTCTTTTGATTGGTGTATTTTTTCTATTTTTAAGTTTTAATGTGCTTATATCATTATATTTGAGGTGAATGTCTTGTGGACAGCACATCAATGAGTCATATAAAAAATCTACCCTGATACTTTCTTTTAACTGGTATATTTTGACAATTTGCATTTAATGTAATTTTTGATATGTTTTGGCTCAAGTTTATAATTTTTTTCTGTTTATCCTCTTTTGTTCTCTATCATTTTTCTGTCTTCCTGTGGCATACTTAAACATTTTTTAAAATTTCACTTTCTACTTATCTGTAATGTTTTGTGTGTATCTCTTTGTATAATCTTTTAGTGTTTGCTTTAGGTATTATATTATCCATCCATAACTTATCAGTCTACTGATGTCATGCTCTTTTCATACAATGCAAATGTAGGATCAGATATACAATGGTTAACTGCCTGGTTTAATGCTAATTCAAGTAAAACAAGACTTTTTTGATGCTTTAGTGAAAAATGCAGTAATACTAATCAAAATTGATAATCATGGTTTGTACAATAGGTTTGAATCTCATGCCAATTTTTATGTTATAAAAGTGAATCGTGAGGTTACTTGTTCTGATGTGAAAAATACTGAATTACATCCTAAAATAAAAAAATAGAATTATAGTATAGCACAGGTGTATTTAACTTAAGTTAAACTTGATTATTTAAAAAATCATTTTCTTAAAAAAAGAAAAACAATGCTAAGTTGTAAGAACAAGATTGGCTTATAGTCTTTGAAGTTAATATAGCAGGACACTGAAAACTGAAATAATTACTTGTTTGGCATTCAGAAAATTCATGTTTATTTGAAGGCCTTGGTTAATACATATAATTTTTTGAATTGTATAAGACCAAGTTGAACAAAACTTCTGGAACAGAACCATTAAAACAGTAAGCAACTAGAATTTTCACATTAATTTGGTTTTAAAGTTGGTGTGATCATTAGCTACTGATTTTACAGGAGTGTTCCCAAATCTTACCTATCCAAGTTTAAACTGTGTCTTACATATTCTTATAACATTAAGTTTCTGACTTATGTATTAGTTAACATTTTTAGTATTTGTACTCACTTTTTACTGCAACAAAAATGGTAAAAAAACAAACAGCCACAATAGAATGAGTTAGAAAGACTACTTAGTAACTAATAAATTGGAGATTAGTTCAACTGTTTCTTAGAATGGAGGAAAACAGAATGGGCATTCAATTACCACTGGACATGGAATAGTGCCTTAAGTCTGTTTCGTAATCATGCATACCAGCAGACCCCCAGAATAGTTCTTGGCTTTCTCCAGAACCTTCTGATTTATAATTATCTTTCTGCCGAGGATACTCTGACTTGGAAATGCAGCATATTTAAAGTTGACTAGTTCTGCCAGGGGTGCTCCTGCTGAATCCTAAAAGTCTTTGTATTCATGGTGGTCTCCTGGATTGCTTTTTAGTTTTTTTAACACCATTTCCTTTACATTTTGCCTTATTGCACATAGTATTGATTCATAAGCCTCTGGTATATTGTCAACTTTTCTCTGAGGGACAGAAAATACAAACAATGAAATGTTTTCTTATTGAATGTGCACCTGCTGCTCAACTTCTGTTGTGAGTTGAAATTGAGAATATGATTATTTATGTCCATAGTTTTTGGCTTGAAGTATCTTATATTCATAACCATTGTACAGGTAATGGGCCAGGAGCAGAAGCATGTTCTTGATTCTTGGAGACCCTGGAGTGGTGTGTAGCTGGAGCAGGAATGAGCATAAATCCGGGTCTTCTCTCTGCCTTCATTATGATTTACTCTATGTCACTCTCAGAAATATATTAATGGATATTTATTCCTTGCTAAGTTTTAGGGAAGCCTAATGTTTATATGTTAGTTGCTTATTTCCAAAATTAATTTACTCTTCTTACTTTAAGCTTTCATGTAGATTTTTCTTTCTCATTGGAAACATCTTTCAGCTAAGATAAATGAACCAAAAGGACGAGTGCTCACTGATGTGTCGTCTCTTCTTGCTGGCTTGATGAAATCTCTTTTTTTCTTTTTGGAATAGACTGTTCAAGATCTAGTATGGCAGGAAGTCAGTCTCTGCAGTATGTTCTCTGCTGGAAACATTGATCTTCATTCTTTTTCTCTTTTTAGTTCTTCCTTCTTGATAGTGGCCTAGGGACGGTAATTCCTGATTGTGACTGACAAAACTCCTTATATAAAACATTCTCTTTCTTCACCTGAGCTCTGCCTCAGCAGAGACCTGCAGCTGAGAGGCTATCTGGGGAAAAATCTTTGTAGTTCTTCCCCAGTTATTCACAGCTCTCATTATTTGGACTCTCTAACCTCTCTGTGTTGCTGGGGAAGTTTTTACACTTAGAAATGGCAAGTACTGGGAAAAAATTGATAGGACATTTGCCTAGCCACACTTCTTGTTGTTTCAAGTCATCATATCAGATGATTGTAGAAACAATGGTTATAATTGACTAAAAATGCTAAAATGAAGTTTCAAAATAGAGTGACATCATTCTGGCAGACATATTTTAAAGTCTGACTTAGAATCCTAGCTATTAACCTGAGGACAAAATGAGCACTGTGAAGTTTGGACTGACTTAATGAACCAGGTAATATCACTACTCTCCTGGAGTATTTAATGATTGTAAATAACATACCAGCTAAACAGGTGAGTATGCATCGGTAATTAGAAATGGACTCAACGTAGCTTGGTTATAAAAGGGAATATTTTATCCACAACTTTTGAAATGAAATAAATTGCCAGTAAGAAAAGGATTTTCAGGCCGGGCGCGGTGGCTCACGCCTGTAATCCCAGCACTTTGGGAGGCCGAGGCGGGCGGATCACGAGGTCAGGAGATCGAGACCATCCTGGCTAACACGGTGAAACCCCGTCTCTACTAAAAATACAAAAAATTAGCCGGGCGAGGTGGCAGGCGCCTGTAGTCCCAGCTACTCGGGAGGCTGAGGCAGGAGAATGGCGTGAACCCCAGGGGGCGGGGCCTGCAGTGAGCCGAGATTGCGCCACTGCACTCCAGCCTAGGCGACAGCGAGACTCCGTCTCAAAAAAAAAAAAAAAAAAGAAAAGGATTTTCAGCATAGTGAAAATGATGAAGTTGTCAAAACAACTTGAAAATGCACAACTATCCAAACTTCTAAGCAACACTAATCATTTCTTTGACACTGTAAGTACTTTAACAAAACTTAATTTCTTTATATTATTTGCAATGTAATGTTAGTTTTACACTTGAAAACCAAAATCTATGCTGCATGAAAATGTGTTTTAGTTGTTTATAGAGGAAACATTATTTCTTCGGATTGATCACATGAATGCCTTATATTGTAGTTGGATAATTTTCAGCAATCTATAGTCTTTGATAGAAATCTATAGAAGCCATTATTTCCCATGAATTAAAACATTCGGCAGTTTTAAAATCTATTGTATTTTATAACTTTATTCCTTCTTATTCTTAGATATAAACATTGGATAGAAATATTTGCTCATATTGTATGTCATCATATATTCTTCATTAGGCCTTCTAAAACTACACTCTTACATTCTCCATCTTGCCTGTGCCCTTGGGGACAGCTTTTCCCTTGCTCTCTTGTGTTCCTTGATTTGACCAATGAGAGTCATTAGTAGATCAGGGTGCAGAAGGGAGAAGTCAGGGTTATTTCTCTCATTTTCTTCCTGCTGTGTCATAGGCTGCCAGTGGGTGCTTTTATTTGTTTAAGGCCACAGCTTCTGTAGATAGCTCTCTTCTGCAGCTACAGCTTTTCTCTGGTTGTGGTAACTTCTCCTTCCTTTGATTTTTCAGACATGGGGATGGTAACGATCTCTACTTTTGTTTTACTAAACTGGGTACTTCTCCATCTCTAGATAGTTTTTCTTTTCTCTGCTACACCCTGATAAATATTATCTGTATTAGTTTCCTAGGACTACCAAAACAAATTACCACAAAGTTGGTAGCTTAAAACAACAGAAATTATTTCACAGTCTTGGAGCCCAGAAGCCCAAAATAAAGGTGTTGCTTGGCAGCGTTGGTTTATTCTGGAGAGTAGGAGGAAGAGTCTGTTCCATGCCTCTCCCTGCGATTCGGGTGAATGTCAGGAGTCCTAGTTCCTTGGCTTATGGATACATCACCCCAACACCTGTCTTTATCTTTACATGGCCTTCCCTTCTATGTGCGTATTCTCCTTTTCTGTTCCTTATAAGGACACCTATTTGTTGAATTTAGAACCAAATGTGGCTGATCTAATCTTGAGAGTCTCACTTTGATTACATTTGCAAAAACTCTTATTCTAAATAAGATCATATTCTGAGGTTTCAGGTGAGAATATTTGGGTGGATGGGGGGAACATTCAACCCGCTATAGTCTCTTCATTAAAATTTCCTCATTTAATCATGTTGAATTCCTGACTAATAGAGGTGCTGGTTTTACTATACCAAAATCTGAAAAATTGAAAGATTATAATGAGCTACTTGATGAAAGAAGACATTCAAAATTAAGTATTGGCACAGCTAGACTTGCTGCAATAGAAACTAGGAATATATTGTATAAAAAGCACACTAGAGAAAAGTGGATTTCTACTGTCTTTAAAAAATACTTTTCTTTAGAGTTCCTTTAAGACAGTGTATTTCTAGTCCCATTTAAAATGTTATTTTAGAGAAATAAGATTTATTTGGAGTTCTTCACTCTCCCTACCAGAGAGGGTTTAATTTAAAAAACAAAACCCCTCTAATAAAATGGTTTAGTTTTATTCTTTAGTCTATTCATGTGAACTGTTGGGGTACAGATACAGCCCTCACATTCCTGAGTCAAGATAATTAAGCAGCAGACCCTCCTGTCTATGATCTTAGCAGCTCAAAAATGCTTAATTGAATTGCACAGTATATCAATATCACTCTGTAGTAGAAGAAATCAAGAAGATCCAAGACCCCAATTAGAAAAACATTTATTTCCTTATAATGGAAGAAAACATGTACAGAATAAAAAAGAGCTAGTAATAAGAACAGCCATGGACAACCTAAGTCAGGGGGGAGTGAGATCAAAAGCTTTATGTAGAAACTATAGAAATAGAAAACCTGCATAGGATACTCAGAAGAGGAAGCACAGTCAGAGGCCCCAAGAATCTGGACTCAAGCAGCCAAGACTGTTATTTGAGTCACAATGCATTAAAACAAGTTTCATCGTTTAAATTTTCCCTCTTTCCACCACATATTATATATAAAGAATTGTTGCTTATTTTATAGAAAAAAATGTATAAGGTCTTAGTCAACCTTGTCAACAAAACCCTTCCAGGTTTTTTTTTAGGATAATTATTGAATACATCCTTTCCATTTATATAAGTCATTTCTGGCAAACCAGAGAAAAGTAACATTATTTTTATCCACCCCTTTTAGAATGTTGTTCTAATGAACTGTTTTATAGAAAACCTGCATATGCTGCATGGTGTACAAGGACAAGGCCTTGTTCTTGTCATTCATTTGTTACACTAGAATGTTTGAATAAAGGAAAGTAATTTCTTTTTTTGTTTCTCGATTGTTCTTTGAGGAAGCTATTTGGAATTGACATTTGCTTCATTATAAAAAATGCAAGATTTCTCATATTTTAAATGTTTTATTTGCTTGAACAATCTAGTAATATTAAAAAGTCTTTCTTCTTCCATGGCAGAAATGAAAAATTGTGAAACTATAAATCTGTGCATATAGTTATTCAAATAAAAGAAAATGAAATACCATTTTAAGTGGTAAAGATGTTTTGATGAGTAACAGAGATAAACATGGCATAAAATAGATTACTTAATAAATAGTTTACAGCTGTGATTTGTTTAATACATTATAGTTGACTCATAGTGCCTGCTCACATTAAT
This sequence comes from Homo sapiens, assembly GCF_000001405.40. Taxonomy (NCBI): domain Eukaryota; kingdom Metazoa; phylum Chordata; class Mammalia; order Primates; family Hominidae; genus Homo; species Homo sapiens. Next base: position 44,363,572 of record NC_000014.9, on the reverse strand, counting down.
GGTTGAACATAAACTATCTTTGTTGTTGAAATTTTATTCAGATTTAAAAAGAATAATGTAGTTTATGACAGATTAACTACAACTATCCACTCTGTACCATCCTGTTGCTTTCAGATTGTAGGTTGAACATATGTTTTAAAAATCGTAATATGTCATAAAATCAAAAGTGTTTTGTGTTAAAATATGGCTTTGTTCATCTGATTACAGTACTGGAAGAACATTAAAGTTTTATGAGAGTCCTATAAAATTCAACAGTTTGATGGAATACTAAACAGAGTGATCACTGTGCTTATGAAACTTTATTCTGAGATGAGATAGATTTTCTCCAGTGGTTATTAGGTGGAGTGACTATTTCAGATCATTAGATACCACTTAGCATACATGAGCAAGGATGGTGCCTGGGTCTGGAGTTGTGGAAAATTAAAAATATCTCTCAAAATATTATATCATCAAAAAGTGACTCAGACTTTTGAAAGAGACTGTCTTAAGTATGTGATGATAGGCATTTATAATCTCTTGTCTTCTTTTTTTTTTTCCAGGGGATCAGCAAACTTTTTCTGTAAATGACCAGGTAGTAAATATTTTTGGTTTTATAGGCCATGTTCACAAAGTCACTCAACTCTGTGCTTGTAGTGTGAAAGCAGCATAGATAATATGTAAACAAATGAATGTGGCTGTGTTTCAGTAAAACTTTATTTACAAAAGCAAATGGCAGGATTGATTTCACCAGCAGGTTGAAGCTTGCTGACACTTGCACACCTTTTCTGGTTAGCTGAAACTCTCTTGATGACTAGGAAGACATATCAAGGCATCAGGCTCTTCCAGTTTTCTTCAATTTTTGTAGCCAATACCCAAAACCACCAGAACAAGAGAATGAGCTCTACCAGTCCTGGGATTTCCAATTATGTGATATTGACCACATGAAACATTTAGTTTACTTTTTCTAGCTAGTGAAGTCAGTGAATGAAATTATCACTGTATCTGTATCACTGTGTCACTTAGAAAAATACCAGCATGAGGTTTATTAAATTATATGCAACCCCCCAAAATTATTTACAAGGTCCAAACCATCACCTCTGATCTTACTAATCTCTTAAATCTTTCCAAATTTCTTTGTAAACATCTTGCGAAGGTTTCTTTCATTTGCGTGATGCTTTTCTAATTATAATCATGTGGGCAATGGGGCTCTGTTACCTGACTTGTAAACTGGAGAGATCATGTCTATTTTAATTTTAGTGGAGAACTTCATCCCACTGAATTAAACTAGTACCTTAACTTATCTGCCAATGAATGTAACTGAATCTTCTTCCTCATGTTATTTATGTTGGCAGCCATTTAGATAGATTCTTTCTCTTTATTTTACTGACCAGGGCATTTTAAATACTCTTTTCTCTTTGCCTGTAATTTGATGTGTATTTTCTTTATTTTACAAATTTCTAATTTTGTGAGATCCTACCATCCACAACTGATCTTGTAGCATTCAGCCACCATAGTTCACCTGTGGTGTTTAGTGATATACTGACTTCAGGGGAATAAATAGTATTCTTCAGGCAGCATCAGAGGCCTCCATCAATATCTAAAACATGAGGAGGGATGGGGAGGTTTCCTGGACTGCCTCTTGCTGGCTTATTTTTTGTGAACTTTGTCCAATTTATTTGGACAATTTATTTTGTCCTAGGGTTCAGTCCTAGGATCTTAGTCTTCAGGTGCTTTTTGGTTTCTTTTTCCTAGCTTCCGTTGGAATTGATGGTATCTGGGTAGATAGTGCATACCATGTAATTATATAAAAACATTAAAAGATCAAATATTTTTTCATATCATTTATTTAATACATATTTATAGATAGGTTGGTCTTGACCATATAATTTATTGTGCAAATCATAGCCCTTTTTTTTCCTGAAAAGAAATAAAATAGAAAATAAGGGACCAAAAAAAGGTATTGTGTTTAATGAATGTTTCCTATGCCTATTCCAGACACCAAAGATGCAGCAGTGACCAAAGCAGTCAAAGTTTCTGCCCCCAGTGTTTATTATCTGTCTCTCCCAACTTTTTTTGAGGGCAGAGACATTGACTGCTTTGGTCACTTGGAGTAGGGAGAAACAGATAATAAACAAGGAATAAAACAACCATTAAAAATAACTTTTCCTACTGTATTAGTTTGTTTTCATGCTGCTGATAAACACATACCTGAGACTAGGCAATTTATAAAAGAAAGAGATTTATTGGGCTTACAGTTCCACATGGCTGGGCAGGCCTCACAGTCATGGTGGAAAGTGAAAGACACATTTTGCATGGTAGCAGACAAGAGAAGAGAGCTTGTGCAGGGAAACTCCCCTTTTAAAAACCATCAGCTCTCGTGAGACTCATTCACTATCATGAGAACAGAGCAGGAAAGACCGGCCCCTCATAATTCAATCACCTTCCACTGGGTTCCTCCCATGACACATGGGAATTATGAGAGTTACAATTCAAGATGAGATTTGAGTGGGGACACAGCCAAACCATATCACCTGCTTATGTAAATTTAAATGTATTTTTTATAACAAACTAAATGTATAGACTTTGTTTTCTTCTCTTATAGGCTAGTATAAAAATGATTAAGAAAAGTAAACAACTGGTAGTTAAGGAAGTCTAAAACCACACTTCTTGGTTTTGAGTCCTGCCTCTCCTAGTTGGAATACTGATGAGAATAAATGCGCTAACACATGTACAACAGGGCCCTGCATATAGTCCTGGCACCAGTAAGCACTCAGTAAGTAGTGTGTTACTTTTATTATTACTTGGCAAGAGGACTCTGCTGATGAATCCTCTGAGAATCTGAAAATAAGATCATCTTCACTGTTTAACTGCAAAATCAATACATCAGAGTACAGATATACACATAGTCTTAAAACAAAGGACAGTTTTCCAGAGCAAAAGGACAATATAGTAAATCTTCAAATGAATCAAAATAACTAAAAAATTACTACCTCAATTGAAGTGCTCTTTGTTAGCAATGGAGGTGTAGAGAAAAGAAAGCCAGAGGGCAAATGTTGGTATTGCCTAGACAAACGCTCCCCAGGAGGGAGGTAGTCTTAGCTTGGTAACTTCTCTAAGTGTTCCCCTTTGTTTGGTAGAGGTACCTGCAACAGGTTCTCTAGAGACTTGTGCCCGAAGAGAAAATCCTTTTTCTTTTTTCTTTTTGGTCATAAGATATTTCTCTAAAGTTGTTCAAGCTTGTAATGAGAGCTTGGCTGATCAATTTTTTTTAATAAAAGAGTTGCTGTGCTTAAAATCTAAATTGGATTCAAATTTGACCATATTCTTTAAAGAAACAGTTGTCTTATTTTTACTGGGGGAGTACAGAGTCTGAGTTTATAACCAACTTTGATATATAGTTTCAACCATATGAAATTTCCATTTTTGTAGGTCAGTGTGGTCCCACACTGGCAATATCACATGGTTTAATTGAAAAATTGGGCAGCCAGACTGAAGTACCGAGTTGTGTAGTTATGCTCAACATGATTCAGCTTCTTGCCTCTTTTTGGCTGGCCACAGTCAGCCAGAGAGAGGACTTTAACCAGCCAGTCAAATGCAAAGGTCCTTGGCTGTCTCTCCTGGACAGTGAGGGCAAGGGGACACATGCTGCCCTTGCAGCCTCTTGACACCTGGTTGAGAGTGGTTAATGCAAGTACTGCTACCACTCTTGCCAGACACAAATGGACTCAGCTTCCTCTAGGATCAGCAAACCGTAGGGATGGATCCATTATTCAGGCTCAGTTGTCTGTATGTACCACATACTTTGTCTAATGATGACAAACTGTAACTCTTTATCTCTCCTCTTCAGCTAGGCATCCTTTTCTTTGCTACTGGGTCTTGGTAGGCTACATTTAAGTTCTTTCTCTTTTTTTTTCTACATTCTATAAGCTTATGTTTTGTATGAAGGCCCCATCCTTTAAGGCAGGGGTCCCCAATCCCCTGGCCATGGACCCTTAGTCTACGGCTTTTTGGGAACCAGGCCACACATCAGGAGGTGAGAGGCAGCCCAGTGAGCATTACCACCTGAGCTCCACCTCCCGTCAGATCTGCAGGAGCATTAGATTCCCATAGGAGCCGAGACCCTACTGTGAACTGTGCATGCGAGCGATCTGGGTTGTGCACTCCTTATGAGAATCTAACGCACCCCCCCATCTCTCTGCTACCAAAACTGCTCCCTGGTGCCAAAAAGGTTGGGGACTGCTGCTTTATATCACAATGGGACTAAGAACTAGTAAAAGCTTCCTTTTGCTTAGTTCTAATATTTTCATATGTATTGCTCCTCCCTCCTCAAAAAAACCATTTTGCAAACCTTACTGCAAAAAAATTTGAAGGATTTTCTGCTTCATTTTAGGAAGTTCTTAACTGAGAAATATTTAGAATATTATTTTTGAAAAAACATAATTATAATATTGATAAATGACTGTACAATATACCACTTGTATAGACACACCAAAATTTGTAGAACAATACTATTGTTATTTAATATCCAGGTCTTTATATACTTTATTATAAATACCTTTATGATGAAGCATTTTAACATGTGCTTGTGCACATCTACCATTTTTTCCCTTAGTATGAATTCCTAAAAGTGAAATTTATGACTCAATATGTACAATAATTTTCAGGTTTTTGATATATAGTTTAGTTTTTTCAATGACAGTATTAATTAACCACTGTGTTGGTTAATATTAGGTGTCACTTGATTGGATCGAAGGATGCCTAGATAGCTGGTATTGTCTCTCAGTGTGTCTGTGAGTGTGTTACCAGAGGAAATTGACATTTGAGTTGATGGACTGGGAGAGGAAAACCCAGCCTCAGTGTGGGTGGGCACCATCCAATTGGCTGCCACTGCAGCTAGAGCAAACCAGGTGGAAGAAAGTGGGATAAACTAGCATGTTGAGCCTTCTGGGTTCCTTCTTTTCTCCCATGCTGGATGCTTCATTCCATTCCTCCTGGCCTTGGACCTCAGACTCCAGGTTCTTGGGCCTTTGGACTCTTGGACTTACACCAGTGCTTTGCCAGGGGCTCTAGGGCCTTTGGCCACAGACAGAAGACTGCACTGTTGGCTTCCCTGCTTTTGAGGCTTTGGGACTCGGACTGAGCCACCACCAGCTTCTTTCTTCCTCAGCTTGCAGATGGCCTATCATGGGACTTCACCTTGTGATCATGTGAGCTAATTCTCCATAATAAACTCCCTTTCATATATACATATATCCTACTAGTTCTGGAGAACTCTAATGAAGCCACAAACTTTGAAGGAAACTCCATTTCACTGCACAGTCCCCTATACTAGTTTTATTCATATTTGTGAATCTTTGCAATTATTATAGCTAAAACATAGTACTGCATTCTTAAAAGTAGCTTTTAGCTGATTCCTAATTAGACTAAATTTTTTCAAGTGCTTTTGGCAATCTTCATTTTTCTTTATAAGATTTTCATATCCTTTGTATTATTTTATATTTGCATATTGTTTTAAACTATACACTTTAGTAATTCCAATACTTTATATGATTATAATTCTTCATGTTTATTTTTTCTGATTTTTAATATACAGGTTTTATCCAGTCATATCTACTAATCTTTTCCTTCCTGATTTCTTTGTGACTTACAAAATTTTTCTTCACCCTAGAACAGATTGTGTTCTGTATTTTCTTCTCTATCAAACTTAGAAACTTATTTTTACTATTTATTCAGTTAATATGAGGTAGGAATCTAATTCCCTCTCCCTCTCTTCCTCTTTCCAAGACAATTTACTCTCTCAGTAGCACCTGTTAAATGTTGACTATCCCTTTTCCATGTGAATTTCTTATTTTTTTTTATTATAACCTAAACTCTATAATATGTGGTCTATTTCTGCCATCTAGTCTATTTATGTTTCTTGTATTTATACTCTTCCTGCCTTCTTCTCTTATTTTTCCTTTTAAAACAGCCATCTGAAACTTTAAAGGAAGCTTCATATGAGAGTCTATTTTTGTGAGTTCTGTAGAGTATTCCAGACTGAACTACCTGACTTTTATTTTTTTTTCTTAGTATTCCACTTAATTTAGAGTTGCTGGTTTGCTCCTGCTTGATGAAGTGTTAATGAGAACTCTGATGGTTTGTTGTGTGGGAAGAGCTCAGGCTTAGAGTCAGCCAGATTTGAGTGTGAACATTTGTATTAGTCCATTCTCATGTTGCTAATAAAGACATACCCAAGACTGGGTAATTCATAAAGGAAAGGTTTAATTGACTCATGGTTCAGCATGGCTGGGGAGACCTCAGGAAACTTACAATCATGGTGGAAGGGGAAACAAACACATCCTTCTTCACATGGCAGCAGGAAGGAGAAGTGCTGAGCAAAGTAGGAAGCTCCTTATAAAACCATCAGATCTCGTGAGAACTCACTATCATGAGAGCTGCATGAGGGTAACCACCCTCATGATTGAATTACCTTCCACTGGGTCCCTTCCACAACATGGAGGCATTATGAGAACTACAAGATGAGATTTGGGTGTGGACACAGCCAAACCATGTCAACATTGTATTGACACTTACCTAAACTTGTATTCTGGCAACTTAGTCTCTCTGAGCTTCCACTTCTTTATTCATACTAATATGCCCTGAATGATGTAATATGTTCTGTATTGTCCTCTTAATTATGTAGTGTCGACTGTTGAATGGATCAATGTAACTCTCCTGGCACTTGAGGCATTTAGTAAAGGGGGTAATTATTACCACTGTCTGCATCGTGTTTAATCTATTGTCATCTTGATAAACTGGTGTTTTAGAGTTTGTTTTTTCAAAGGTAAGGAAAAATGGAGGCATGAATCTTCTGTGTATGAACCCTCATAAATCTATTTCTCTGTGTTGTGGCATTGAATAAAACGATGCTCATTTGAAAAGGCAGACCTCAGGGCACACACTCTATGTTGGCACCCCCAACATGGAAGGCTCAGACCCTCAGGAGATATGGGCAAGGGTTTTAACATAACCCACAACACATTTCTGCCACCTGAATGACATCTGTGCAACAGCGAAAGAAGAGAGAGTGACAATCCGAGTTGTCTGATGCTCCAAGACACCAGTTATTTGGTTACTTGCTTTTATCTCGGGTGATGGTGGCCCCTCGGGCTGTAGCTCTTCAGTGACAGACTCCTGTGGCTAGAAGACCAAGCCCATTTCCTTCAGAGCTTTTATTATTGTAGCTGAAGCTTTTATTATAGCAACTGATGCCTTTTCACATAGCACTGAGGCTATATCCTAGGCTTCATGGGGAGCTACTCAATTTTGTATCCAGGCATACCTCGTTTTACTCTGCTTCATTTTGTTGCACTTTGCAGATATTGCATTTTGGACAACTTGAAGGTTTGCAGCAACTCTGTGTCCAGCAAGTATACTGGTGACATTTTTCCAGAATCACGTGTTCACTTTGTGCCTCTCTTTACATTGTGTAATTCTTGTAATATTTCAATTTTCTTAATTATTATTACATCAGTTATGGTGATCTATGATCATTGATTATTAATGTTACTATTGTAATTATTTGAGGCTTCATGAACCATGCCCGTATAAGACAGCAAACTTAACCAATGAATGTGTATGTTCTGACTGATCCATGATCCAGTCATTCTCTCATCTCTCTCCCTGTCCTCGGGCCTTCCTATTCTCTGAGACAAAACAATATTGAAATTAGGCCAATGCATAACCCTACAATGGCCTCTAACAGTTCAAGTGGAATAAAAAATTACATGTTTCTCACTTTCAATCAAAAATTAAATGTGATTAATCTTAGTGAAGAAGGCAAATAAAAAGCCAAAATAGGCAGGCCTTTTATGCCAAACAGCCATATTGTGAAAGCAAATGAAAAGTTCTTGAAGGAAATTCAAAGTGGTACTCCAGAATACACAAATGATAAGCAAAACAGCTTTATTACTGATACAGAGAAAGTTTTAGTGGTCTGTACAGAAGATCAACAAAGCCAAAACCTTCCTTTAAACTAAAGCTGCATCTCTCTTTAATTCTATGAAGGCTGACAACAGTGAAAAAAGTACAGAAGAAAAGTTTGAAGCTAACAGAGGTTGGTTCATTGGGTTTAATGAAAGAAGCCATCTCTGTAACATAAAAAAGTGCAAGGTGAACCAGCAAGTGCTGATGTAGAAGATGCAAGTTGTCCAGAAGATCTAGCTAAGATAATTGATGAAGGTGGCTACGCTAAAAAAACATATTTTCAATGTAGATGAAACAAGCCTTCTATTAGAAAGGGGTTGCTTCTAGGACTTTCATAGCTAAAGAGGAGAAGCCGATGCCTGGCTTCAAAACTTTAAAGGACAGGCTGACTCTCCTATTAAAACCTAATGCAGCTGGTGACTTTAAGTTGAAGTCAGTGCACATTGACCATTCCAGAAAACCTAGGGACCTTAAGAATGATGCTAAATCTACTTTGCCTGTGCTCTATAAATGAAACAACAAAGCTTCGATGACAGCACATCTGTTTACAGCATAGTTTACTGAATATTTTAAGCCCACTGTGAAGACTTACTGCTCAGAAAAGACCCCTTTCAAAATATTACTGTTAATTGACAATGGACCTAGTTACCCAAGAGATCTGATGGACATGTACCAAAAGGTCTATGTTGTTTTCATGCTTGCAAACACAACATCCATGGACCAAGGGGTAATTTCAACTTTCTAGTCTTATTATTTAAGAAATACATTCTATAAAACTATTACTGTCATAGATAGTGATTGCTCTGATGAATCTGGGCAATGTAAACTGAAAACTTTCTGGAAAGGAGTTACCGTTCTAGATGCCATTAAGAACATTTGTGCTTAGCAAGAGGAGGAGGTCAAAATATCAACGTGAATAGGAGTTTGGAAGAAGTTAATTCCAAGCTTCATAGATGACTTTGAGGGGTTCAAGACTTCACTGGAGGAAGTAAGTGCAGATGTGGTAGATACAGCATGAGAACTAGAATTAGAAGTGGGGCCTGAAGATGTGACTGAATTGCTGAAATCTCACGACAAAAATTTAACAGATGAGGAGTTACTTCTTAGGGATGAACAAAGAAAAGGATTTCTTGAGCTGAAATCTACTCCTGGTTAACACTGTTAAAACAACAAAGAATTTAGAATATTATATAAATTTAATTGATAAAGTAGTGGCAAGGTTTGAGAGGATTGACTCCAATTTTGAAAGAAGTTCTTCTGTGGGTAAGATGCTATCAAAAGGTATCTTATGCTGCAGTGTAATCTTTCCTGAAAGGCATAGTCAATTTATGTGTCAAACTTCATTGTCATATTTTAAGAAATTGCCATAGCTACCCCAACCTTCAGCAGCACAATCCTAATCAGTTAACAGCCATCAACACTGAGGCAAGACCCTCCACCAGCAAAAAAGATTACAACTCGCTCACGGCTTAGATGATTATTAACATTTTTTAGCAATAACGTATTTTTAATGAAGGTATGTACATTGTTTTCTTAGACATAATGCTATTGCACACTCAATAAACTAATAAGCTGCAATATAAACATAAATTCTATATGCACTGAGAGGCCAAATTCATATGACTCATTTTGTTGCAATATTTGCATTATTGAAATTGTCTGGAGCTAAACACACAGGATCTCCAAGGTATTTGTGGATATTAAATGTAAACTTCTCACAAATAATTCAAATAATTTAGATACTTATACCATTTTTTCAGATGTGCATGTCAAGCAACAAACCCAACAGTGGCATTTATTGCATCATCCCAAAGCAAACATTCTCCTAAAATGAATTAAATTCAATATCTTTAAAAAGCACATTTTTGCAAATATATAATTTGAAGTATCATTCCAAGATAATTTGTTTATAATTGTTGGGCCTACTAAAATGACCTAAAGCTAATCACCTTGAAAACATTACAGGATTTCTTGATGAAGAAATCAGTTCTTTAAAAGATACTTTCTAATATGGCCTTTAGACTCCCTCTTGTCTATGGTTCTTGTACTTCTGAAGAAAGCCTGAAGCATGCCTCTCTAAATGTCAAAATGCTTAATCTCAACCAGTGCTCTTTTTGTTCTGAATCCTAGCTCTTCTCTTTAGAGTAGCATAGGAAGCAAGGCTGTCATTTATCTCTATATTGGTTTCCCTGACTGAGAATTAAGGCCTTCCAAAAATGCTACAGCTTATTGTGCATTTGTTTATTTATTTTTCTACTTAGCCATTTCTTTAATACTTATTCGTATATTTACTAAACATTTTTTTCTCTTTTAAAATTGACAAGTAATAACCGTACATATTCATGGGGTACATGGCGAGTGATGTTTTGGTACATATTTTGTATAAGTGATCAGGGTAATTAGATCAGGGTGATTAGCATATCCATCATCTCAAACATTTATCATTTCTTTGTGTTGGGAATATTCAATATCTTTCTTCTAGCTATTTGAAACAAAGTTACAGTTACAGTGTTCCATACTTCTTGTTTCTGTTTTTTCATTACCCTTTCAAACCTCAACCCACTTTAATTTGAGGTTTGATTCTGCTTCCTTCTTGAGGCAGTTCTTCCTAGAGGCACTGATAAGTTTTTAATCAAATAGTCTATTTAAAGTATTTTCTGTCTTTTCCTTTCTGTAACACTAGCTAGCCACTCTTAATACTTTCTTTCTTCCATAACTTCCGTGTCACCACTCTGTCCTGCTTTTCTTCCTACCATTCTGAATATTTTTTTGAAGGTACCTTCACAGGCTCCCTTCACTGAGGTTATTTCATGAATCTCGGGATTCTAGAATGGCTTCTCTTGTTCTTTTTTCCCCCCATCTCTTTCTCTACCTATATATATCCCCAGACAATCTTATCTTCATCCATGACTTCAAATACCATCTGTTACTGTATACTGTATACATTCTACTGAGTGGGAAGTATAATACAGAATACACAAATCAGACAGTTATAATGCCAGAGGGAAGTTATATGTATATGTGTATTTTTTGTCAAGGTATGACCTGCCCCCAATCATTTCAATCTTCTTAACAATTTACATGGATTATGATTTGGCTAAGTTTAATATGTCAATTAGAATAAAAACACTCAGTGAAAGAGATTACTTGTTTCATGAGAGCAGAAAGAGCTGTACTCCTTTGGTTCCCTGTAAGACTTAGCATTAGGGGTTTATACATTCTAGGCACTCAGCAATTTTATGATGCTTGTAAATAATCACCGTGACAGTGTGTGCCTATGCTTGCCTGAGAAAGTTCCTCATAAAATAAAGTATAAAGGATAAAAGTAGATGTCACTCTTGCCAAATGCAATTTTCCAAAGATTATTCTTTGAAAACCTAAGCTAAAGAAATAACTTTCAATTATACATAATAGCTTTGTATTCAAATGTGACCTGTTCCTGGAAAGTTGAATAGAAAAATAATATTCTTTAAGCTACTAGGCCCCAGGAACATTGTAGATCCCATATCTTGCTGGCGATTTTCATTAAGTCGTAGATGAAAGTGATTTTATATAATCATGTTAATCAAAAGATGAAGATGTAAAAATGTATGAGCTCTTTAAGCATTGCAAATGATTTCAGAAATACTCTGGTCTTCATTTTATATGAGAGAAAATTGAAGCCAGAGGGGTTAAATGAGTTTTTCAATTTAACTTAGCTGATTAGTGGCAAAGAAGCAATAAATCTAAGTTTTAAGGCTCAGAGTTTAATGTTCTTTACGTTATACAACAGTGCTCATAAATATCCAAAGTTGTCGTCAATTGAGGCAGAAAAATTAGACCTGCTTTAGCATCATTCTTTAATTAAATAAATAGACCTTCCTCCCTACATCTGAATTTACTTATTTTTTCCACTTAGACTTATAAAGTGCTATGCAGGTGAAGGAAAGTGGGACAATTGCTTTACTCAGTGTGGTGAGTAAAGTTATCAGGTGAAAATAATGTTAGTGATTTTGTTGTGTTTTTCAATGACGTGTTTTTTTCCGCAAATGCACTATGTAGCTATTTTATACTACTTAATTTACTCCTTATGTAATCAGTAAATATTCATTTAAAAAGTACTTTATTTCAGTCATAATGCTGGAGACAGAGAATTATGGTGCAGTCCCTATGTATGAAGGTGATGTAAGCATCCTTTAAGAATTAATTGACATAACATGTGGAAGCACTCTGTTCATCGTAAGTTATAGTATGTACAGTCCAAATAATTAAATGCAATTTAAACATTATAGGTGATCTAAAAGTATATTTAAATATATGATATCACATGGATACAAATGTAATAGAAGTGGGAAACGGGGAAGCAAAAAAGCCATCATGGTGCCTGTAACTTCTAGATTGAGTCGTGAACAGTCAGTACTTGCTCTTGATAGGATGATAATGGAAGGAAGGTGGAATGAAAAGCAAGAAGTAAGGTGTTGTAGGTAGAGATGGCATAGGAAGCAAATGCATGAAAATGTGACTTTAAAGCAGTTCTGTGTGGTTAAAACTTAAGAGACAGGTGGGGAATGGCAAGAAGTAAGGCTAGAGATACAGGGAGGAGCCAGATTTTAGAGGGCTTTATATGTCCATGGTAAGGAGTCTGGTTTTCATCTGGACTTTGGGTCTATAATCGTCATTATTTGAAAACATCACTGAGCACACCATGTATGTGTATGCCTTTATAGTATTCACAATGGTATGGGAGTGGAAAATCCTGGCCTTGAGATAAGTAGACCTGAGTTCAAATTGTTGTTCTGCTCCTTCCTAGTAATGAAATCTTGGTCATTCATGTAACTGTGTGGCATTTCAATTCTTCTATTTGTAAAATGAAAATAACAAATCATAAATAAGAGATAAATTTAAATAAGATCCAATTTGAAATTTAAAAATGTTTATAGTGATACAGCATCACTATTCTCATTAATTCAAGGTCAGAAAGCTTCTGGTGAAATGAAAAGAGGGAATGAGTTGATGAAGATGTTGGACTTCAAATTTGCTTCCAATTGGTCCTCTGGGATTGCAGAGAGGTATAGCATGCATTGTTTTAGTTATGTTCAGTCAAGAAAACAGAAGCCACTCTATATATTCTGGTTTGGGTTTACAGGATTATTGGAAGAGATCATGGAGTAGATGTCAAGAAAGCTTCTACTGAAAGTTAAGGGAGCTACCTTTGAAAGTCAGAGAAGTTGACAATTAAAATTCAACCTGAAGTACCTAAGTGGGTGGTTTTCAAAGGCTTGCCTGGAAGTCACTCTGAAACTCACATAACATGACCTACATCCTTCAATACAGATTTTAAAAAGCTTTGCAATATGTGAAAGTTTCTATAAATAGTGAATCATTAATTTCTATGATCACAGGATGAAGAAAGCAAGTAACATTAACAGAAGTAGTATAGGAAAATGTCCCAAGTATTTCATGGATTTCAGTAAACAGAAAGTTAAAATATCCTAAACATTTCAAATACAATGTATGCAATTTCATGAAAGACATTGCAAAGTTTAAGGTTAAGTATAGCATGAACATTTTGATGATTTCCATTTAAAAGAATATTTTGCAACTGGAATTGATCATTGGATTGACGACTGAAGATGGACAATTTTAGTTATGATTTTTAAACAGAGGAAGAATATTGAGTTTGTAATTGAGTTTCTTGAGCCGATCATTAAAAGAATGATTTTAATGACTTTAATGAATTTAATCACTAATAAATGAAAGCCAATTTAGGGTCTGTGGTAGCAGGCCTCCAAGATAGATACCAATGACACCCACTTTCTGGTATTGAGGCCCTTGTGAAGTGCTCTCCTTTTGAGTACATTCTGAATCTATTCTGTATTTACTTATAATCAGTAGAAAACATCACAAGTTTAAGGATGCCATTTCTGACATAAGATTACAAAAGACTCTAGCTTATATCTTGCTAAGGTTCTGTCTTGCTTGCGCACTCTGGTGAAGCCATCTGAATGCTGTGAGCTGCTCTATGGAGAGGCCCATGTGGCAAGTAACTGAGAGAGTCCTATAGCCAACAGCCAGTGAGGAATTGAGTCTTTTAGTCAAAATAGCTCATGAGGAATGAAACCCTTCCTAAAAGCGTACAAATTTTGGACATGACTAATCCTAGGGTAGGCCTAGCAGCACATGCTTACAACAAAGCTTAGGAGTTTGCTGTTCTCTGGGTGAGTCTTGAGTTGACTGTTGTTACTAGGCCCCTTGATTTTAGTCTTGGGAAAGATTCTGAGCCAGAAGACTCAATTAAGACACACTCAGATATCTGACCCAAAGAAACTGTAAGATAACAAATGTTGTTTCCAGCCACTAAGTTTTGGGGAAGTTTATTATATAGCAGTAAATAACTCATTAAATAACTCACATGTGATTACTTTTATAATTCATGTTAGACTACTCTCATTTTATTCTATGAATAAATTATTTGAGAAAGTTTCCCTTCAATAGTTTCTTACTGCAGTTAGAATACCTTTAAAGTCCTTGCCATAGTTTCTGACTCTCCACAGCCTTATCCTTGTCTGAGCTACAAGATGAGATTTGGGTGGGGATCCAGAGCCAAACAATATCATTTTGCCCCTGGCCCCTCTCAAATCTCATATCTTCACATTTCAAAACCAATCATGCCTTCCCAACAGTCTCCCAAAGTCTCATTACAGCATTAACTCAAAAGTCCACAGTCCAAAGTGTTATCCAAGACAAGGCAAGTCCCTTCAGCCTATGAGCCTGTAAAATCAAAAGCAAGTTAGTTATTTCCTAGGTACAATTGGGGTACACGTGTTGCATAAATACAGCCATTCCAAATGGGACAAATTGGCCAAAACAAAGGGGCTACAGGTCCCATGCAAGTCCAAAATACAGTGGGGCAGTCAAATCTTAAAGCTTCAAAATGATCTTCTTTGACTCCATGTCTCACATTCAGATCATGCTGATATAAGAGGTAGGTTCCCATAGTCTTGGGCAGCTCTGCCTCTGTGGCTTTGCAGGGTATGGCCTCCATCCTGGCTGCTTTCATGGGCTGGCATTGAGTGTGGCTTTTCTGGGGGCACAGTGGAAGCTGTCAGTGGATCTGCCATTCTGGGGTCTGCAGGACAGTGGCCCTTTTCTCACAGTTCCACTAGGTGGTGCCCCAGTAGGGAACCTGTGTGGGGGCTCCGACTCCACATTTCCCTTCTGCACTGACCTAGAAGAGGTTCTCTATGAGGACCCCACCCCTACAGCAAACCTCTGCCTGGGCATACAGGCATTTCCATACATCTTCTGAAATCCAGGTGGAGGTTCAGAATTTTTGACTTCTGTGCATGTGCAGGCTCAACACCACATGGAAGCTGCCAAGGCTTGAGGCTTGCACCCTCTGAAGCCACAGCCCAAGCTCTACATTGGCCCCTTTCAGCCATGGCTGGAGCACCTGGGATGCAGGACACCAAGTCCTTGGCTGCACACAGCAGAAGGACACTGGGGCATGGCCCATGAGACCACTTTCTTCTCCTAGGCCTCCAGGCCTGTGATGGGAGGGGCTGCTGCAAAGGTGTCTGACATGCTCTGGAGACATTTTCTCCATTGTCTTAGTGATTAATATTTGGCTCCTCTTTATTTATGCAAATATATGCAGCCAGCTTGTATTCTCAGAAAATGGGATTTTGTTTTTTATTGCATTGTCAGGCTGCAAATTTTCCAAACTTGTATGCTCTGTTTCTCTTTTGAAACTGAATGCCTTTAACAGCACTCAAGTCACCTCTTGAATGCTTTGCTGCTTAGAAATTTCTTCCACCAGACACCCTAAATCAATCTAAGTTTCACAGATCTTTAGGGCAGGGGCAAAATGCCACCAGTCTGTTTGCTAAAACATAACAAGAGTTACTTTTGCTCCAGTTTCCAACAAGTTTCTCATATCCATCTGAAACCACTTCAGCCTGGATCTTATTGTTCATATCACTATCAGCATTTTTGTCAAAGCCATTCAATAAGCCTCTAGGAAGTTCCAAACTTTCCCATATTTTCTTGTCTTCTTCTGAGCCCTCCTAACTGTTTCAACCTCTGCCTATTACCCAATTCCAGAGTTGCTTCCACATTTTCAGGTATCTTTTAAGCAGCACCCCACTCCTGGTACCAATTTACTATGTTAATTCATTTTCACACTGCTAATAAAGGCATACCTGAGACTGAGCAATTTATTAAAAAAAAAAGACGTTTAATGGACTTACAGTTCCACATGGCTGGGGCAAGGAGGAGCAAATCACATCTTATGTGGATAGCAGCAGGCAAAGAGAGAGCTAGTGCAGAGAAACTTCCATTTTTAAAACCATCAGATCTCATGAGGCCCATTCACTATCACAAGAATAGCAAGGGAAAGACCCACTGCCATGATTCAGTCATTTCCCACCAGTCCCTCCCGTAACACATGGGAATTTTGGGAGCTACAAGATGAGATTTGGGTGGGAACATGGGGACACAGAGCCAAACCATATCAATGTGCAACTTTGTTTTCTTATTGCCATACAAGAGAAAGAAATTATTCCAGGTTAAAGAAAATATGCTAGTTGCCTACTCAAACTTTCTCACTACCAGAACCCAGTCTTTGCAAAAGTCAACAAAATAACCAGCTAGAAGATGTGATTTCTCGAGAGTCTTTGCAGCTAATTATAGATATGAAACATAGTTCTGTGATGTAAATATAGTCTAATGAGTGGGTTCCTGGGAAAAGTTATAGTTTCACTGATAAAAGAAAAAGACTCAACTGGCATGCAGTCATTATGTTAGCATAAAGGTGAACACTACACAATAAGAATTGTGGATCAGGAAGCTACGTAGGACTTAGGGCCTTAATGACTTTTTTGTGCTGTTACACCTATCTTGGACTGCCTTCCTCCATACTTCATGTTATTTGTCAAAAATCTATCCCATTGGATTAAGCTACTGTTTGTTGAGTTTCTAGTATGTGTAGCTTAACTGATATTCCTGATTTATTGCCTAAAGCAGTGATTCTCAAATACCAAAGCCACCTTGAGGAAACAGAACAAAGCCAGAACCATCATGGTACCTGATTTAAAAATATATTATAAAGCTCTGTAATCAAAGCAGCATGGTACTAGCATAAGAACAGACATGTCAACCAATGAGCAGGATAGAAAGCCCAGAAACACATTTATAGACAATTGATTTTTGACAAACATGCCAAAAACACATAATGGTGGAAAGGACAGTCTTTAAAAAAACACAGTCCTGGAAAACTGTATATCCACCTACAGAAGAATCAAATTAGATACTTAATTCATACATACTATATGGAAAAAATCAACTGTAAGTAGATTAAAGACTTAAATATAAGACCTTAAACTATAACATTACTAGAGAAAACATGAGAAAAGCTTCTTGACATTGATCCAGGGAATGGTTTTTTTTGATATGACACCAAAAGCACAAATATAAACAAGTAGGACTACATAAAGCTAAAAAGCTTCTGCATAGCAAATATTTAATAATTGAAAGAGTTAATATGAATATTAATACTAAAAGATGTAATAATAGCAGTGATACAGAATGGGAGAAACTGTTGATTTTCAGTTTCATGGTTTTAATGGGAAGATATGAATGCTGAGTAAGAGTATCATCTGATCAAGTAAAGATGGGATTTGTAAAGAACTTACTCCTGACTATAGAACATCCCTTAGTAAGGTACCACTTTATTCTCTCTTAGCTGGTGTCCATCAAGACAAACCTAGCTTCTTAATGGTCTCCTTTCTCCAACATTGGAAGTGGAGGTGTGGGATTAATGTGTTTAGTTATTAAGAGAAGATATGGCAATCCTAGAAATCAAAACATCTGAGACCTCTTTAATTTGGTATACATTTAGTCCCAAACATACATACTAAATCCTATGGTTTAAACATGTCCCCCGTAAAGCATGCATTGAAAATGTAATTCTCAATGCAACAGTATTGGAAAGTGGGGCCTCATGGAAGGTGTTTAGGACCATGAGGGCTCACCCTCTCTAATGGATTAATGCTGATTATAAAAGGGTATGAGACTGCAAGTTCAATCTCTTGTTCTCTCTTACCCTTTCTTTGCCTTTCCTCCATGGGATAACACAGCAAAAAGGCCCTACCCAGATGCTGGTCACGTGATTTTGGACTAACCAGCCCCCAGAACCATAAGCCAATAAGATTCTGTTCAATACAAATCACCCAGTCCTGTGGTATTCTGTTATAGTAGCACAATATGAACAAAGACATTATCTCAAGCATTAATATAGCCTTGGTTTGTTTTATCAACAGGGATAAGGAGGTTCATGATGACATGCAATAGGGAAAACCCTGTGTACATAGCTTATTATCTGCTCTTCCATATACCATCATACCAAGACACTCAACCATGGAGTCTTAAGAAATATCCTCTCTATATTTTTATCTAACCATGAATTTATGAAAAATTATTCTAGCTGGAACTATACAACATTTATAGTTCTTGTTGCTAGTCCCATCAAGTAGCAAGCAGGATAATTTAGGCCTTGGGAAAAATATTAAATGTCAGAGGTTCGTAAGTTGAGCTGTGGTCTTTGTTTTAGTAGAAATGTCTAGAGGCATTGGTAAAAAAGTCCAGAAGGCTGGCTTTCCAAATTAAAGTTATTGACATATGTATAACTTGGTAATGATACCTCAGGTGGTTAATTCCTCTGCTTTGGAAACTCTTTCTTTCCTGTTTACTTATCAGAACAGGGAGAATAGCTTCATGGTACCAAAAAGGAAAAAACAAAAACAAAAACAAACAGAAAAAAATACCTTAAAAGAAAATGATTTATAAATGTATGTCAGCTTTCACATTTATGACTGGGGCAGTTGTGGACACTGTGGAAGAGCAGTGCTTTCCAAGGGACATTAGTGCTCTCTTATCTCATAGGCCCATGCTTTCTTTTATCAAGATACTACTGCAATCAAATGATTAATCGGAAGTATGCTTGGTGAGCAAAGGGACTTGTGTAGTTCTTCAGGATATTTAATCTGGACTGGCTGATGTGGAGGCTGATGACCTTCTTCCCACATTGTACACTTTCCTATTGCTTGAAACACAAAGGTTTCTCAGTCAGTGGCCTTCTGCATAGGCCTAGGGAGACTCTGATAACATGGTCATCTCTGGCTCTCTTTTTTTTCCAGCTTTATACAAACTGCTATCTTTCTGTTATGAAAACATCTTCTTGACAAATAGAATATTATGTCATTTTTAACTTAATACTAGTTAAAGTTTAGATATTGGATACCATTTAAAAGAGAAACTTATTTTTTATCCTTAAGAAATATACTCTATTTTCATTAGAAAAAAATCACAAATAATTTCTTGAAATGTAATGCATCTTTTAAAAATGCCATTTATCAACTTATTTTTTCTCCATTACAATGAAGGCCTAAGATGGATACAGGAACACAGGAAAACAAAAACCTAAAAATGAAAATAATATCAGACACATAACAATTGAAAATATTTTCTTACATATTGTTCTTCTTACAAAAATGGTAATATGTTGACCATGCCATTTTATATGCTAAATTTTAATTGTATTGTAGTTTGCTATGGCAATAAATATTATTATAGAATTGTTTTTTAATTGATGCATATTATTACACTACATGGAGATATCATAATTCACCATATCCTATTAATGGACATTTAGATTCTTCCCAAATTTTTAATATTATAGATAATGCTATGAGTGTCTCTTTTAAAATATCTATTATTTGCATCTTTGATTTTTTCCTTAGCATTCATTTCTAGAAGAGTTTCCTTTTATGTATTGGCTAGACGGGTGTATCACTCTTTCTCATGGCTAGTTCAATCCATTATATATTGATGCCTTATCTCAAGTCAATAAGGTGTTCTTTCTGACTGTGGTCTCAGAATTTGGTTGTTTTGTGAATCTGCAGCCTGCAGTTCCCTAGAGGGCACCTCAATGCAAGCAAATCATTAGTTCTATATAAAAGTCCTCAGAGTGTTATTTTTGTTGCATTTTGAATAAGTTCCTATTTAAGTATACTGTTATATGTGCGTCCCTGTGTGTGCGTTTTACATATCATATGCATAGCTAAGAAAGTAAAGTATACATATAGTACATATTGTATGAAGTACAGATTGGCCCTGACTTAGGATTGTTCAACTCACAATTTTTGCAACTTTATGATGGTGTGAAAGCAGTACACATTCTCCCCTCATGACTTTGAATTTATTTTCTCTGGAATTTTTCTCTCTCTCATAATTGTTTAGTTCACACAGAAATTCTCTTCTCAAACAAGTCTTTCCTGAGCATATAAAATATGAAATATTACATTCTCCAGTCATACTCTGTCCCCTCACCTTATCCTTTTCAATAACTAACAACTGGTATGTTTACCTGTTCACTATTTGCCTTTCCCTTAATAACATGTAAACTCATTGAGAGATGGGTCTTTGTTTTCTTTACTGCTTTATCTCTAGGGTCTATAAAAGTGCTTGAAACTCAGTAAACTGTATTAGAGATACAGAATCTTACTCAGCCTGAAAGACTAGAAGCTAACCACTATTTGTATAGTTCAGTTAAGTTTGATGTAAAGTTTGCTTCAAAAGCTACAATAACCAAGTACCTAATATTTAGGCCCCTGATTAATTCAGAACAGTGAATATCTGACCAAATAGTATATTTTAGAACATATCTTAGATATGATGATGGACATCTATGGTCAGTAATAGTTACTGAATAATGCCAGGGCCACTGACTAGACAGGCAGAGTATGTCCCTGAGAGCATCGGAATGCTCAATTATATTTGATATCTGTTCTCTTTTAAAAAAAAAATTGAAAAACTTCACTATATTGAAAACATTTAAGCAAAATAACATGACAGAGTAATTTAGACAATGATTTATGTTAGCTGCATTTATAAACTATAAAATATAATGTGAATTTGTACATGAAAGTAAATTTTATTTCAAAATTTTTGTATAAAATAAAAATTGAGCTGAACATACTATGTACATAAGTTCTTTATGAATTTTTTGTCTATTTCTTCTCTTCTAGATTGCCAACAGGTATATGATTAGATATGTTGAAATCCACAAGAAAGTCTCATATTTTTTTTCTGATTGGAAGAAAACTCATGAGAGAAACGTGATTGGAAGAAAACTCATGAGAGAAACTCTTCCCTATTCCTATACAATTTGCAGTCTCAAGAATATTGGATAGTTCAAAGCAAAGCCTCGTGCTGTTTTGAAATTCTTCCATTATTTATTTATTCTGAAGTCATATTATTGCATTCTTCCTCTCAAAAATATGAAAGTAGTTAAGTAGTTATTTAAAGCAATGGTGGAACTTCCTCCAGTGCTGACAGGATGGCATTAGGCCTGTTTTTTCCCCTGCTCCTCCCCTCCTAAGCACAACTGTAAACCTTGAAATGGTGCAAGAATCAATGCAAAGATAACTCTGAAAGATGTTGAGAAGGCGGCAAGCTGGTTTGGGACCTCTGGATTTGAGGACTAGCACAGAGGCAGGATGTCTTGTATCCTGCCTCCAACCACCCAGTAGAAAATGGAATCCAGATCTGGTGTTTCCAGATCACCTAACTGGCAACAGAAGGCAGCCCGGGTATGCTCCTCCTCCCTGCCAGCCCTCAGATCAAATGAAAAAATCTCCAACATCAGATAAGCTTGGTATCACCTACAAGGGAATTAACTGGGAGCCCCACCAGAAATAAATGGCCAGAGGAAGTTCCTCTTCTCTCTGTGGGCCTGAGACTCCCTTTTTTGCAGAAGAAAGATGTCAATTTTTTTTTGGAAGAAAATGATATCAGGGAAGAACAAAACTGAAAATACAACTATTATTTGCTTTAAGGTCTAAATATCAAACACTGGACTAGGTGTCTTATAAATGATATCAAACAGACCGTACTGGGTAATGATTAAAGGTATGATCTCTGGAGCCAGATTCTATAATAAGTGCCTCATACATGATAGCAATTACTCTCATCTAAATGATTTTCACAACAGACATATGGTGTAAGCATTATTATTCCCATTGTCTACTGTATAAACAAGGAAAGGAAGTTAGAAGGGTTAGACATCTTGCATAAGTTTCCACAATTGAGGTAGATTAAGATTCTGAATTCTGATTTTGCAGCCTACAGTTGTTTTTTTTTTTTTTTTGGCTCAACTCTGCTGCCTCTCACCTAATGTATAATGTTGTATAAATTGCATTTTCCTTAGTACTTATACTTGCAAAGTAGGGGGTATGCTCAGCATGTGGTGACATTAATCACAGAAAGTGTACTGATGAAAATGAGCCTTACAGAGGGATTTGAATGAAGTTGTGGGCATTAATTAGCGAAACAGAGTTAGAGATACATTGCAGAAAGAATAACAAGTCAAATCACAACCACGGGAATGATTTTTTTTAATCTGGCAAATGATAAGGAGGTAATTCTACTGGAGCTGGCGGCTGTTTGTGCATTGTGAGATGAGAGGTTGCATAAGCATGGCCTTTCTAATAGTGATTTGATTTGATTTGTAGCTTTTGTTACTTATTTGCCCTTTTGATGTAATAGCATTTTAAGAAAAATTGGAAATAATAATTTACTTTTCAATTTAGAGCAACTTAGTGGACGTACTCAATTACATGACCTTTCTTTTTCTGTGAATCACAAGTGCACTTCACAGAATATTTGCACTGCAAAATCTGTAAATTAAATTTTGTTAAGATAAATAATACATTCTTATTAATTGCTTCCTAAATACTAGTTATATTCCATTTGAATGATTATTGTTTCTAAAGTTTCCCAACTGGTTTCTCCCTTTCCATCTCAGCCCCCACTACAGTATAAGCTTCTTCCATAGCCGTGGTGATTCTTGAAACATCTTGTCAGTCAAGTTACTCCTCTGCTCAAAATTTCTAACGACTTTCCTATTTGCTCAAAATAAAATCCAATACTATTACTATTGCCTATAGGGCCTACAGGTGTTGTCTCCTGCTGGCAACTTCTCTGATCCATCTTCTTCTTTCTCTTTCTCTGTCCACATGGCCTGCTCTCTCATCTCCTTTGGACATTTGCTCAAATGTCATCAATTCATTAGGGTCTTTCTTCATTACTCACAATAGACTGAATGTTTGTATCCCTCCAGAATTCATTTGTTGAAATCTTTATCTCAATGTAATGGTATTAGGAGGCGGAGTCTTTGGGAGGTGGCTAGGTATAAGGGTGGAGCTTTCATGAATCAGATTAGTGCCCCTATAAAAGAGTCCCTAGAGAGCTCTCTGGACTTCTTTCCACCACATTAGGATACAATGAGAAGCCAGCAGTATGCAACCTGGATGAGGGTCCTAACCAGAACACAAAACCATGCTGGCACCCTAATCTGAATTTTCTATCTCCAGAACTGTGAGGAATTTCTTTTGTGTGCTGGCCACCCTGTCTATACTACTTTGTTATAGCAGTACAAAGTGACTAAGACAATACCTTGTCTAAAATAAAAGCCTAGATGTTTTCATCCCTTCCAAATCTGTCACAATACTCTTTTCTCACTTACCTAGACCTTGTTCATATTACTCATCACCACCTGACATGTTACATGTTGATTTGTTTATTGTCCATCTCCTCCCTCATGTAAGTCCCAGGAGAGTAGGGACTTTTTTTTTTTCCACTGCTTTAACATCAAGAACATTGACGTATGTTAAATTCTCAACAAATATTTACTGAAGGAATGAATGAGTAAAATGATTTTTAATAATGCTAATATCTTTAACATTTTAAATTTTTATTTGAAGAATAATAACTCTAATATGGGAGCTATGCTGTACTAAAAGTACTTCACAGAATAAAATAACTGAAGGAAAATTGTCATGCAGTGGCAGAACCTGTGTCAGCAGGGCTGTTTTTAAAATCTACGTACTATTCAGTATAGTGATAGGATTTCCTAATGCAGACATAAATACCTTCATTTAAAATTGAAAGCCATTACTATACAGTGGTTAGAGTTAATAGCCAAGGAATATGAACAAATCAATAACAAAAAATCTGCATTTTTTTGGTGGAGTGGTGAGGTTGCTATGGAAAAGCTGGGAGAGTTTATGAATGACAAATCTTACATAAAAATGAGTTGTACTGTGAGTCACTACTCTAAAGAGTCTAAGAAAGGCTAGAATGGTTTGTGTGTGTTTGAAATACAAAAGGAGACAGGGTTATTAAGTATCCCTCAACCCCTAACATATTTTATAAGGTTGGATGAGTTGCTACCCAACCAGTAAATTTCTTTCATTACCCCTTAGGGATAAGCCAGACTGTCCTTTTTCAGAAAGGCATTAGGAATTGCTGCTTTGTCATTATAGTGATCTCTGTGGATAGAAGACAGCTATAGATCTATTTGAGGCCAAGTCAGCATTCAAGATTGTTTCCATCCAAGTGTTACTGATCTAAGCAATGCAACTTGTTTTTCCATCTGCTATGGTCAAATGAAAATTGACATACAATATAATATTTTACTGTTCTACCTAATATTTGTATCACTTAAAAAGTCCTTGAATTACTCGTGTTCCATTTACCTGATAGAGGTCTTGTAGATTAATCAAGGCAGAGGAAAATACAGTAGAGTGCCCTTTGTAAATTATCAAAATCAGACCGACCAACTAGCCCTGTAGAGGTTTGGGTTGAACAGATAGGAAAATTGGAAAATAGTGCAAGTTTTGTGGGTTATCAGTGACTCCTCTGTGTGTCAAAAAATTTCTTCTTTGGGTATCCGTGTTTTTTATAGTGGTTCCATTACAAGTGGAGCTTTCAAACAAGGATCTAGTGAGTTATAGTAGAATTGTTTGCACATGTTTGTTTTCTACTAGACAAAAACATTGTTTGAAGTTTTCCCATGACACCCAGGTACTCACAAAATTATCCTAACACAGCAAGCTGTCTCAAGTAGCTACAGCCACAGTGGTGATATTTCAGTTTATATTTATGTTCTCTGAGAAAATCTCCCTGATGGTAGAATGTATACCAAAGTCCACCAGGCATCCAGTTCAAGAAAGTAAGAGAAATGACTGCCCAGCATTATAAGTCAACACATAAAACATTTAAAATTTTTATTTGAAGAACAGTGATTCTAGTGTGGGAGCTATGCTGTACTAAAAGTACTTGTTTTCAATGATACAAACATTGCTCCTTCATCATGCAAACAAAAAAATCTATACCTCAAATATTTCCTGAGATGCTGATGACAGTAATCTCAAAGGGACCCAAGTTCTTGTTTAGGCACTGCTATATCTCAGCCCATGGTGTAAAATGCTGCAAACAATGGGTTTTAAAGTAAAAGTGGTCAGCTGCCTCAGTGGCTGCAATAGAAATATTGGAGGCTGGTCTATCTCCCTCATCTCCAAGATAATAAAACTCCCCACTATCCTGGGGGCTTATAAGGGAACCCTTCCTGTTTTCATGCATTTCCTCACCCTGTGCCAACCTCTTTTCTCCATAGGTCCTAAAAATACTCTTCCCTACTAAGGAAACACCAGGGGTATAGTTAGGAGTAATGTTATGTTGGTTAGTCATTCACTCACAGGGATCTACACTTTCTGGGTCTCCCTGGATCACTGATCTTTACAATTTAACCAGGGGACATGCTGTTGGTATCAGAGGAGCCATCTGCTGTCTCTTGGTTAAACTTGTTCTCTGCTTTTACCATTATATTTAATATACTCATTTTGTTGATACATATTAGATGTACATATTTTCAGGGTACATGTGATAATTTGATACATTCACATAACTAAATCAGGGTACTTGGGATATCCATCACCTTAAATATTTATCTTTAGGAACATTTGAATTATTCTCTTCTACCTATATTGAAATGCACAATTAATTAAAATTAATTATAGTCACTTCACTGATCTATTAAACACTAGGTCTTATTTCTTTTATCTAAATGTATATTTGTACCCATTAATCAACCTCTCTTTATCTCCCTTCATCCCACCTTTTCTAGCCTCTGGTAACCACCAATGTACTCTCTATCTTCATGAGATCCACTTTTTTAGCTCCCACATGTGAATGAGAACATGTGATATTTGTCTTTCTGTGCTTGGCTTGTTTCACTTAACATAATGGCCTTCAGTTGATCCATGTTGCTGCAAATGATGAGATTTCATTCTTTTTATGGCCAAATAATATTCCATTGTGTATTTATAACACATTAAAAAAATCCATTCATTTGCTGATGAGCACTTAGATTGATTCCATATATTGGGTATTGTGAATAGTGCTGCAATAAACATGGGCATGCAGATATCTCTTTGATATATTTCTTTTCTTTTCTTTTGGATATATACCCAGTAGTGGAATTGCTAGTTCATATGGTAGGTCTGTTTTTAGTTTTTTGAGGACCTTCCATACTGCTTTCCATAATGGCTGTACTATTTTACATTTCCACTAATAGCATACAAAGTTTCCCTTTTCTCCACATATTCACCAGCATCTGTTATTTCCTGTCTTTTTGATAAAAGCCATTTTAACTTGAGTGAATTGACATCTCACTGTGGTTTTAATTTGCATTTCTATGATAATCAGTGATGTTGTGCATTTTTCCATGTACCTGTTGGCCATTTGTATGTCTTCTTTTAAGAAATGTCTATTCAGATTTTTTTGTCCATTTAAAAATCAGATTATTTGTTCTCTTGCTATTGATGTCTGAGCTCCTTACCTATTCTGGTTATTATTACCTGGTCAGATGGATAGTTTGCAAATATCTTCTTCAATTATGTGGGTTGTCTTTTCACTTTGTTGGTTGCTGTGCAGAAGCTTTTTGGCATGAAGTAATCCCATTTGTAAATTTTTGCTTTTGTTGCCTATGCTTTTTAGGTCTTACTCAAGAAATCTTTGCCCAAACAAATGTCCTGAAGTTTTTCCCCTGTGCTTTCTGCTTTTAAAAACATTTCCAATTGGATAGGCAACATGGGTTTCTCCTATGGGTGTGGGTGTGTAGTGCTATTTTGTTGTTTTAGTTTATAATTATCTGATGAAAAATGAAGATAGCATCTTTTCAGGAGCTGTATGTCTCAATTGGCGAGGTATATGTTCAGATCTTTTGCCCATTTAAAAAATTTGGTTATTTGTTTTCTTATGTTTGAATTTTAAGTGCTTATAAAATCGTTTGGTTACCAGTTTTATATCAGATATGTATTTTGAAAAGATGTTCTCCAAGTCTGTGGCTTGTCTTCTGATATTCTTAACAGTGTATTTTGGATAGCAAAAGTTTTTATTTGTTTGGGTCTATATCTGGGCTTTCTCTTCTGTTCCATTAATCTATTCATGTATTGTTTTGTCAATACCACACTCTGTTGATATAGTGAGTCTTAAAGTCAGGTAGAGTTCGTCCCCCAACTTTATTTTTCTTCAGTATTGTGTGGGCTATTCTGGGTCTTTTGCCTTTTTGTTTAAACTGTAGAATCATATTGCTGATATCCAAAAAATAATTTTTTGGAATTTTGGGGAATTATGTTGACTCTCTAGATCAAGTTGAGAAGAAATGACATCTTAACACTATTGAATCTTCCTATAGATCCCACTTATTTCTATCTTTTAAAATTTATTTAATCAGAGTTATGTAGCTTTCCTCGTGTTGATCTTGTACATAGTTTGTTAGATTTATACCTGGTTTTTTTTTTTGGTGATAACATAAATGGCATTGTGTTTATAATTTCACGTTCAAATTGCTTATTGCTACCATACAGAAATCAACTGACTTGCTTTTAACCTTCTATTCTGCTACCTTTCTATAATCACTTATTCATATCAGGAGTTGTTTTGTTGATTCTCTGAAATTTTCTGTATGGGCAGTCGTACCATCTGTAAACTAAACCATTTCATTTCTCTCTTCCCCGTATGTAGAACATTTCTTCTTATACTAAGACTTCTAGTAAGATGTTGACTAGGAGTGATGAGAAGAGACATGCTTCCCTTGTTTTGCATCTTAGAGGGCAAGTATCCAGTTTCTTACCATTAAGTATAATGTCAGCTATACCTATTTTGCAGATGTTCTTATCAAGGTGAAGAAGGTGCTCTCTATTCCTGGCTTAAGAATTTTCATCATGAATGGGTGTTAGGTTTTTTCAAATGCTTTTTCTTCTTTACTCTGTTAATGTGGTAGATTAACTGATTTTCAATTGCACAATCAACCTTCCGTACCTGTAATAAATCCCCATTTGGTTGTGGAGCAAAATTCTTATTATACATTGCTGGATTTAGTTTGTCAGTATACTGTGGAGGGTTCTTGTGTCTATGTTCATGAGAGATTGGCTTTCTTCTGTTGTCTATATAATTTTGGTAATAGGATAGTTCTGGCCTTATAGAATGGGTTAGGAGGTACTTCCTCTGATTCTGTTTTCTGAAAGAGATTGTAGAGAATTGGAATTGGGTAATTTCACTTCTCTTACATCAGAAAAGGCTCTGGTAAAGTCCTTTTTATTTGGAGTATTGGCCTTTGTTATGGAAAATACTCTGTGGGTACTAAAAAATGGTAAATTTTTCCAACCTCCTGTCAGAGACAGGAGTGTTTTTCTTGTCTCTTCACCATGAGAACCTGGTGGAGTTCCTGGAAGAAAAACCCATGAAAGTGTGGGTATCTCCCAAAACTGTAACCCCTATAAGTTTCTCATTCTCACTTTAGTCCACACGTTGTCTCCAGTGATTCATCAATGTTACCTTTTTTTTTTTTTAAGTGTGTAAACAAAACTTTTTAATTAAAGTTATATTGTAGGTATCCCTTTGTGGGAATTTTTTTTTCTTTTCTTTTATTATTATTATACTTTAAGTTTTAGGGTACATGTGCACAATGTGCAGGTTAGTTACATATGTATACATGTGCCATGCTGGTGTGCTGCACCCATTAACTCATCATTTACAATTAGGTATATCTCCTAATGCTATCCCTCCCCCGTCCCCCACCCCACGACAGTCCCCAGAGTGTGATGTTCCCCTTCCTATGTCCATGTGTTCTTGTTCTCAATGTTACCTTTTAAGTGCTCCTAGTAGTTTATAGCAACTTCCGCTTCTGGTAAGCTGACTTTGACTGATTCTCTGTATTCACTTGTCTCTCAAATTTTCAGTGTGCTATTTTGTCCTGTCACTTCATTTCTTCTTCTATGGCTCCAAAAAACATCATTGGCTTCCAGTCTGTGTAGCTTTTTTCTTAAGGTAAAGATGAGAGTGAGGAGCTCTTTCCATGTGGAAGCTGTAACTAGAAGTCTCTACCTGCCCATTTTTTTAGGTCTGTAATTGGATTCATTGTTGTTTGGTTAGAATCCTTTCTTAAATGTTCTCTAAAATGGTTCCTGGCATATTTGTACAATGTTGCAAATATGCAAGTATGTTTGATTCTCCCTGCTGGGTGAAGGATGTCTTGGCTGAATATTTGATTCTTGGGAGGCAGACCTAATGGTCTTTGCCTCTAGGAGGTGGCAGGTTATCAGTCCCTGTACAAACTACGTAGTTCACCAGCCTTCTTAGCTACAGAGTCTAGAGCTATAGCCTCTGATGTAGGAATGGTGGGAAAGAGCCACTTCATCTTTTCAGGAGCAGATTCCCCAGATCTTCTACTTTGATCCTCAGATGTTATCAAATACAGTACACAAGGGAGTTAGCTACAGGCTCCTCTCTCTTTCCTGTTCACCTCAGTCTTTGCCTCACCCTCCAGTCTCTTTCTGCCTGCTAAATGTAACAGCTGCAAAATGCAAAACTCAGGGAAATTCACTGGTAATTAGCATCCAGTGAAAAGGGAAGAGGGCAAACACTTATAGTTAGGGCAATAATTTCCCAGAATCCTTGTGCTAAATTAGCATCTGGTTAGCTGCTTCTTTCTCAGCGTATAATAACTCTCATTTTATGCCTTTTAAATGAAGTGGCAAAATGCATCAGGCAAGCCCTCATTTGTGGTGTCAGCTATATACAATCTTTACATTTACAAAAGTAATTTTACATATACTAAGGGATTCAGTTTAAGCCTAAACTTTACTAGCATGGGCACTATAGACAGAGTTAAAGTGATTTCATGCAGCTAACCAGTGGCAGAGGCTTTAGCTGAAGTACCAAAAAGTAAGCTGTCATTGAAGCAGACAGAGTGGAAGAGGAGAAAAATGGCAGATTCAAGTGATAACAGTAGGAACAGTTCACAGATACAGGTAAGAGCATTCCTAATGTCTCTGAGGTAATTCAAGATTTTTTGAATCTTGAATTGAACAATTCAAGCAGTCGAATAGCAAGATCAATGTAATCCAGTCATGACTCTTAAAATGATCACTTTTTAAACATCCAGATGTACTTAGGAAAATCCAGGTTACACAGCAGTAGAATGCAGAGAATACTTTATAATTTTATTTAACCAACAGATGGAATTGCTATGCTTTTTGACACAGATCTTTGGCCTTGGCTCTAATATTTTCTGTTTGTGAGATTTAAAGAGGATGATTAATTACATATTTTAATAAGCATATCTTGGAGAATATGTCTTTATAAAGTACACATGCTCATTTTACCAAGAAAGAAGAATCTTTAGTTATTCCTGGTCAACATCTGCCATATTCATTTAGAAAGAGGTAAAAGCATTTTCTCTGTCACTGCTGCTATTTTCCTCATATATCCAGCAGACCTTGACAAATACAGCACATAAAGCTTATTTCCGTGGTGATAGGCATGGTGCTTCACTTCTCCCTAAGACACCTTTATAGACAAGGCTTCAGTTCCACAAAAATGAGCTGAGACAATCTCACAGCTTGTTCAAAACATAAGCCGCTATCTTTGCTTCATTTCACTGGGTTTCTGAAAGCAATGCTGAACAACTTGTTGCTTCTAGTCATTTGAATTCAGCCATCAATTAGGGGTATGATTTTGTTTTTTTATGAAACACCAGATTCTTTAGAGACTAAGATTTGAGATCAGGGTCTTTCATGCTTGGGAAGGAGTTATTGTGGCCTTTCCTATCCATAAACTCACAATTTATACTTATTTAGGGTGTTTTGACTTCTTATGAAACAAATAAAGGATTTTCTACAGTTGATGAGAACAGTGAGGCAGAGTGTGAATTTTTTTGGGGGTTTATAGCTAACCTACTTGAGTGACCATAAGCATCTTTGAAATACACACAGTAAGTTTAGGAATGTGATGCAATCTTCAGGCAAATAGGGTGTTTTTGGGGGTTCTGAAAGAAAGATTTTGTTTCATTTGGTTTGGTAGATTGTATTATATCTGACATATAGTAGAGTTAGAATAAACATAATTTCCTCTCCTCTTTTGTGTATGGTAGAAAGAAAAGATTAAAATAACAGTAAAGTAGTAAATATTAAATAATATCATTTGCCTTCAGTTACATGGAATTAGAGCTTAAAATGTTAGTTTCATTTGGCATTTAAAGTTGAGTTGGAAAGTCATAATCTTACAAAGATTGATGCAAAGCAGTCGTTCTCATTATGTTCTGATCAGCATCTCCCAGAAACTTACTAGAAATGCAAATTCTCAGTCTCCACCTGAGATCTATTGAATCAGACACTCTTGGGTAGATACCCAGCCATCTGTATTTTAATAAGTCCTCCTGGTAATTCTAATGCAGGCTAAAGTTGAGAATCATTGGTGTATGGCATAGGTCTGCTTTAAAGCCCTTGCATTTAACTTATTCTTAGAAGAAACAAAGAAGGTTATTCTATTTTACATATGACATGGTAATGATGTGTGTGTTGTAAGGACAGGTTGTAGAGATAATTCTGTAACTAATGAATTTCTGTTTCAGAAGTAGACCACCTAGGTGCTAAAATTGTCTGCTTTTGTAGAAGAGTAAATGATATGGTTTGGCTGTGTCCCCATGTAAACATCATCTTGAATTGTAATCTCCATAATTCCCATAATCCCTAATGTCAAGGGAGAGACCAGGTGGAGGTAACTGAATCATGTGGGCAATTTCCCCGTGCTGTTCTTGTGATAGTGAGTGAGTTCTCATGAGATCTGATGGTTTTATAAGTGTTTGGTAGTTCCTTCTGCATTCATTCTCCTTCCTGCTGCCTTGTGTTGAAGGTGCCTTGCTTCCCCTTCACCTTCCGCCATGATTCTAAGTTTTCTGAGCCCTCTGCAGCCATGCAGAACTGTGAGTTAATTAAAACTCTCTCTTTTATAAATTACCCAGTCTCAGGCAGTTCTTTATAGCAGTGTGAAAATGAACTAATACAGTAGATGAGAGTGAAACCTATTGTATTAAAAGTGAGAAATTTATTATTTTTAGCCAATAGAGAATATACAGACAATCCCCACTTACGACTTACAACAGTTTGATTTACAATTTTCAACTTTATGATGGTACAAGAGTGATACACATTCAGTAGAAACCATACTTTTTAAAATCTTTTTGATCTTTTTCTGGGCCAGCAATATGTGGTAGGACACTGTTTTGCAATGTTGGATAGCAAGCCGAG
The DNA here is from genome assembly GCF_000001405.40 of Homo sapiens. Classification (NCBI taxonomy): domain Eukaryota; kingdom Metazoa; phylum Chordata; class Mammalia; order Primates; family Hominidae; genus Homo; species Homo sapiens. Next base: position 44,331,158 of record NC_000014.9, on the reverse strand, counting down.
TTGCAGGTCCCAGTTAGTCAGTGATTGATCACGAGGGCAAACAAATTATACTCTGAAGTGTACTGTGTTGCCAGATGATTTTGCCCAACTGTAGGCTAATGTAAGTGTTTTAAGCGCATTTAAGGTAGGCTAAGCTAAAGTCTGATGTTTGACAGGTTAGTGTATTAAACACATTTTTGATTTATGATATTTTCAATTTACAATAGACTTATTGGCACATAACCCCATTGTAAGTCAAAGAGCATTTGTACATGTTTATTTGGTGATTTTTGAGGTGTACCATTATGAGCAATAGTAAAGACTAGGGGTAAACATAGGACATACCTTCCTTCTAATGTCATTTTTTTTGGTGAATACTGATCAGAATCTTCTTGTGAAATGCAAATGCTCTGCCATTCCATCTCTTTTTTATCCACCTTACCAATGCATGCTTTTTATCTTTTATAGCATTTATTACTTCTATCATACTAAATAATTTCCTCATTTATTATTTTTGGTATTTGGTATCTGTCTTCTTCCAAAAGAATGCAAGCTTCTTAAGGGATGTCATAGTTTTTACTCTCTTGATCAATGCAGTATCCAAAGAATCTGCAACAGTGCCTGATCCTAGTGAGCATTCAATAAATATTTCTTGAATGTGTAGTGTTGTAAACTTGCCATTATAAGAATGAAGAAATCCAAGAGCATGGTGGGAGCTTAACCAAATGAAGAAACAGGCTACCTGAGATTGACTTGGGGAACTTTGCTCTTTACCCCAGATGTGGGATTTCCTTCTCCTGTTTATGATATTATAATGAGCCAATTTATAAGCAAATAATGTAAGTTGTAATTAGGGGTGGAGTAACTAATGTTCCAACTGGCTCACACATTAGAGGATAGTTAAAGGGGGAGTGTGGAAGGACCTTTTATTGTGAGAAAAGAATGAGGTACAAGGGCTATACATGAATAATAGAAGATTGGTATATAAATAAAAACACCTTATAAATAAAAGACATTGTATTGAATGTGTGAGTTCATTAATTTTTGGGTATTGCATACCTGGAGGCTTCTGAAGAAACCACCACAGGAAGGTGGTGGCTTTTGGGAATGGCTTATGTTATTATTTGTGATGACTTGTCTCGATTATTTTCCCACCCCTTGCTGCCACCCAGCAGCCCATCTAAAAGGATTAGGACAGGTAGAAGGCAGAATTATTTTAACCAGAGAATACATTAGATTAGGACTCTAATAATATTGTCTTTGACTGATGGAATTGGTTTTTAAAATAATTTATTTTTCTTCATAATATTCTTGTCCTAAGTGATAAGTAGAAGGGCATTCCAGGTAGGTGGGGTAGATAGAGAAATTCAATTGTTAGCCAACTCACTGTACTATATAGGCTTACCAAATTCAAAAATTACGTCATTTCTTTCTTAAATTCCCATCACCTCTCTATGTATTTCAAAGTTACATCCTTGTCCCATTAATAACTCTTATAAAGAACATATTTTTTCAAGTTATCCTTTTTGACTACCTTCTTTACTAAAAACAGTGCTAATTGTTGGAAGAATCTATTCAACTTCAGAGTGATCTCAATGATAGCCTAAGAATAGCCTAAGTTCAGGTGAAGTTGCTTCAGTAATTAAAGATAATACTGTTAAAATTCATCATAGTTGATTCTGAAAAATTAAAAGAAGAGTAGATTCAGAAAAATTAAAAGAAATAGAATTAAAAATGAAAAGAATCATCATTTTTTTGAAGCTGGCTTCTGTTTCATTCCTGGGCTTTTCCTGATCACAGCCCACTAACAATTAAGAAACAAAATCATTTTCTCTAAGCTGTGGCTATTTATTTCAGCTGTCATTGTCACCCACTCTTGTAAACAAGAATGCAAATGAAAAGAGCCATGTTGGATTCTGTTCTTTGAGGGACTCTAGAGACAACTTGGCATCTGGCAGATGGAAAATAAAAATAGTAGGTTTATGTTTTACTAATTATAGATTTCCAAAACAATACATAGGTCAGGAAAACACATGTTAAAAAATGTAAAGCAAAGCACAGCTATCTACAAGTTACTTTAGAGAAACATTCTCATGTTTTAGGTGTTAAACTTGGAGGTTTGCTAGAAAAATTTATTTTTAGCAGAAGCAATGGGTATGTGTGAGTATGTGTATGAATGAAATGAGAGTAATGGAAAGAGGGAGGGATGGGGAAGAAGAAGAAGAGAAAATGAGGAGAGAGGAAGAAAGAAAGGGAGGAAAGGGAGGAAGGGAGAAGGAAGAAGAGAGAAAGGAAGGAAGGGAAGGGTTGCAGGGGACTTGGAGGGGAGAGGGAGAGAGAAATAGATGGATTTCCTTTCAGGTTTGGTTTAAGCATGTTTTACTGTGTGCGGAAGCCCATCTTGGGAAGCAAAGGGTTAGGACTCAACACATCCTGAATCATGATTTCATATTCTGAAGGGGGATGCTCTGTCTTCCTTTGCTGGGCAAAAAGAGTAGAAATGAGAAGCTTGTGCCTGGGTTTACTGTTTGCTTTGGATATCTATGTGTCCTAGAACTCAGGAAATGCCTAGATGTGAAATATATATGGAGAAAAAAGAAGTGTCCAGAAATTTTATGGAACTTTTGTAAAATGTGAGGGGATTTTAATTGCTAACAGGTAGCATTGAAGCTGATCCATATTGATGAGTTAACTGGGTCTTCAAGAAATTAGCGCATAACTCTACTGCAGGATATCAGCACTCTCAATTCCACTGTAATGTAGCACATTTTTTTCTGGCCTAAGTCAACTCAATATTAAGTAAAGTAAATTAACAATATAAAACATAGTAAATTTTCACAAATGTATACTTAAAATGTGATGTCATTAACCTTATTTATTATCTTAATTCTTTGATAAATGTAACTTCAGAATTTGATATGCATTTTGTTAAAATATAACAACAACCCATTTTATTAAAATATAACAGAGTAGTCTTCCCCAGGAGGCAAGCAACAGGGTAGTGATTTGTTTGTAGAGAGTTTAAAACTAATTATAGAATAAAGTTAAAGTCAGTCTGTTATCTTATCACCAAGTGCTTGGGAAATTATAAATATCATTGATAAAATACACATCTACACCAGGGCAGACTGATTCCAGGCTGCTGTATATAGAATGTGCCATTTAGTCCTGGCAACAACCCATATGAGGTAGGCATTATTAATATTCTCACTTTACAGAGGACCAAACTGAGGCTTAGGTTAATTTGCCTAAATCATAGAATCAGTCAGGGTGATGCCACCAGAAACCACATTCATAACAGATATATCATATTGCTTTCCTAAAACAGTTTGGATGTTAAATTGTATTGAACACCCCACCTCACTCCCTTTGCCCTACCATACTTCTTTCCACTAATACAGGGAGAGGAAATATGATTATTCCATCAATTAATTTCTTCCAGATGATTCTCTACTAGAAATTCTTTATCCTATGTAAAGCCTTATAACAGCATTTGTGAATAGGAATCAAGCTGCAGATTTTTACTCAGAAAGAGAGGTCACTCATATATCTTTGACTGATTTTATTAAATCTTTGTCAAACTTGGTCTTGAATCAAAGATGGATATTATAAAGAAAATAAGATTTTCTGTAATTCTTCTAAAGTTGGGGGTGATGGTTAGAGACTGCACTAATCAATCATCAGTGAATAAATGGAAATATGTGGATTCTGCACATAAGGAGAAGTAGGACCTTATCAAAGTGTCAAGGACATTTGGGAATATTTAATATCTTTAGGTGTATGACTGTTAGAAATTCCTCTAGGAGACATTTAGTGCAGCCCTGTTTGTAAGAACTGTAAGCAAGATACGTAAATGGAGAGTTTTGAGCCTAGACAAATAAGTGTGTGTGTGTAGGGAATTGAGTAACCATAGGGAAGTGAGAGGACACAGAAAATAAGTCTCATGGAGTATATCTTTGAATATCTCTGAATTAACGATAGATCTGTACCAATAACCTGAGAGTCCAGTCCCAAAAAACAGGCTTGGGACTTAAAACAGGGGAGGTGGGATGAAATTCATCCAGAAAACTAGGACCTGGCTGAGCTTAGAAGTTCTGTCTTGGCGAAGGGAGACATGATTCCTGCTAGTGTGGAAAGAGTCTAAGATGGCTATCACCGTCAATCCATGGTCTCTTCTATCATAAAAACACAAAACAGTCGGGATGCATACTCATGAAATAAATCCTTCACTGTTCTGTCAGCTACATTTCTTTTCCATTTTCCATATGGACAACCTTTTTCATGTTTTAGAAACTCCTGGTCTTATTGTCTTTTCCCTCAGAATATAAATGTACTTCTTAATTTCCAGTGATCATAGGAAGCACAGGTAGGAAACCCTCCAACTTTCTACCAACAAACATACAGACTTGGCTAAGTCTTTCATTTTTTATTTCTTCCCTTCTGTTACAATGAACTATACCTAGGAACTTCCTGAGATAATCTTCCCAGTTTGGCTCCAGATTTCATCTCTTTCTTTCTCAGGGTGCATATTGCACTGATTATTTCCCCCCTTCCTTGTGTCTTCAATTTCTCCCTACTTCCTTCTTTCCAAACGGATTTAAACAGACTGAAATATCTTACATCAAAAACGCACAAAATAACAGGCCCTACTTTCCTTACTCCCAAACATTCTTCAACTTGCTATACTCTGCCTTTTTCATCCATGTAACTACTAAAATTATTTTCACTATATCACCAAATACGTCTTTGCTGTTAAATCTAACAGACACTATAAAACTCATTTCTAAACTGAACTACTGTTGTTCATTCTGTCTTTAAATACTCCTTTCTTTATCTTCTAGATTACCCACTGTCCTGGTGTTTCATACATTTTTCTAATAGCCACTTAACATCTGCTTTGCAGTATCCCCTTCTGCCAGGAATTCCAGCTTTCTTCCCATTTCTCCTTTCCTTGCGTGCTTAATCTGCATAACCCTTCCTCTCCCTAAGGGGCTGTTTTGTTCATATACCCTCTAGGAATTTTTTCCTGAATTTTAACATCTGTATTCTGTTCAAGTTTATTTGCTTCCAAAGTAGATTTTCCTCAAATAGTACTCACCACTACTGGATTGTAACTAACCCTATACTCACATGCATTCTTCACTATCTTGCTTCTCAAAATATGGTTGACAAAATCCTCAGCATCAGCATCACGTAGCACTCCTTAGACATGTGGAGTCTCAGACCTCAACTCAAACCCGATGAATCAAAGTCTGCACTTTAACCATATCCTAGGATGACTTGTATCCACATTAAAATTGGGAAGCTTACTGTGGTCATATTAGGTGCTTGATAAATATTTATTGGATTAAGTAGAAAAATTCATAGCTATCCAAGAAATCTGAACAGAAGAAAGCAAATAAGATAGATTGCCTTCAGGCAGGAGTGATACACTTAGAAAGACATAGCTTAAAAGTGTAACCAAATTAAGAATGTTCTTTTTCCTCAGGTGTAGAAGAAAATCTCCATTCAGCTGCTTTGTATCTATCTGATGCAGAAAAGGGTGTGCTTGTGTTTTGTGTATGTGTGCATTGTGTATGTGAGAGAGAGAGAGGTAGAGATGGGGGGGGGGAGAGAGAGAGAGAGAGAGAGAGCAGAGAGCTAGTGAACTTTTAAAATCTCCATGGTTTGAACTTTTTGAGCAGAGTGGAGCAGCTCAAAAGTGATGGGATAAGTACCATCTAAAGTGGAGCTCATGTAAGAAGCAGAATTTGGAAGCTCCTCCTAAGGCAACACCAAGTATACTGATTACATTCCATTTCCAAACCCTAAGAACTGAGGTTTTGTATTTGGTAAACATTTACTGAAACCTACTAAATAACTTGCAACATGGCTATTGATAATTGAAAGCAGGGGTTGGCAAACTATGCCCATGGATCAAATTTAGTCTGTGTCCTGTTTTTAAAAGTCCCAGGAGCTAAGGATGTTTTTTACATTTTGTTATTTTTTTATTTTTTTTATTGTATTATTATTATACTTTAAGTTTTTGGGTACATGTGCACAATGTGTAGGTTAGTTACATATGTATACATGTGCCATGCTGGTGTGCTGCACCCATTAACTCATCATTTAGCATTAGGTATATCTCCTAAAGCTATCCCTTCCCCCTCCCCCCACCCCACAACAGTCCCCAGAGTGTGATGTTCCCCTTCCTGTGTCCATGTGTTCTCATTGTTCAATTCCCACCTATGAGTGAGAATATGCGGTGTTTGGTTTTTTGTTCTCATGATAGTTTACTGACAATGATGATTTCCAATTTCATCCATGTCCCTACAAAGGACATGAACTCATCATTTTTTATGGCTGCATAGTATTCCATGGTGTATATGTGCCACATTTTCTTAATCCAGTCTATCATTTTTGGACATTTGGGTTGGTTCCAAGTCTTTGCTATTGTGAATAGTGCCGCAATAAACATACGTGTGCATGTGTCTTTATAGCAGCATGATTTATAGTCATTTGGGTATATACCCAGTAAAGGGATGGCTGGGTCAAATGGTATTTCTAGTTCTAGATCCCTGAGGAATCGCCACACTGACTTCCACAATGGTTGAACTAGTTTACAGTTCCACCAACAGTGTAAAAGTGTTCCTATTTCTCCACATCCTCTCCAGCACCTGTTGTTTGCTGACTTTTTAATGATCGCCATTCTAACTGGTGCGAGATGGTATCTCATTGTGGTTTTGATTTGCATTTTTCTGATGGCCAGTGACGGTGAGCATTTTTTCATGTGTTTTTTGGCTGCATAAATGTCTTCTTTTGAGAAGTATCTGTTCATGTCCTTCGCCCACTTTGTGATGGGGTTGTTTGTTTTTTTCTTGTAAATTTGTTGGAGTTCATTGTAGATTCTGGATATTAGCCCTTTGTCAGATGAGTAGGTTGCGAAAATTTTCTCCCATTTTGTAGGTTGCCTGTTCACTCTGATGGTAGTTTCTTTTGCTGTGCAGAAGCTCTTTAGTTTAATTAGATCCCATTTGTCAATTTTGTCTTTTGTTGCCGTTGCTTTTGGTGTTTTAGACATGAAGTCCTTGCCCATGCCTATGTCCTGAATGGTAATGCCTAGGTTTTCTTCTAGGGTTTTTATGGTTTTAGGTCTAACATTTAAGTCTTTAATCCATCTTGAATTAATTTTTGTATAAGGTATAAGGAAGGGATCCAGTTTCAGCTTTCTACATATGGCTAGCCAGTTTTCCCAGCACCATTTATTAAACAGGGAATCCTTTCCCCATTGCTTGTTTTTGTCAGGTTTGTCAAAGATCAGATAGTTGTAGATATGTGGCGTTATTTCTGAGGGCTCTGTTCTGTTCCATTGATCTATATCTCTGTTTTGGTACTAGTACCGTGCTGTTTTGGTTACTGTAGCCTTGTAGTATAGTTTGAAGTCAGGTAGCGTGATGCCTCCTGCTTTGTTCTTTTGGCTTAGGATTGACTTGGCAATGCGGGCTATTTTTTGGTTCCATATGAACTTTAAAGTAGTTTTTTCCAATTCTGTGAAGATAGTCATTGGTAGCTTGATGGGGATGACATTGAATCTATAAATTACCTTGGGCAGTATGGCCATTTTCACGATATTGATTCTTCCTACCCATGAGCATGGAATGTTCTTCCATTTGTTTGTATCCTCTTTTATTTCATTGAGCAGTGGTTTGTAGTTCTCCTTGAAGAGGTCCTTCATGTCCCTTGTAAGTTGGATTCCTAGGTATTTTATTCTCTTTGAAGCAATTGTGAATGGGAGTTCACTCATGATTTGGCTCTCTGTTTGTCTCTTATTGGTGTATAAGAATGCTTGTGATTTTTGTACGTTGATTTTGTATCCTGAGACTTTGCTGAAGTTGCTTATCAGCTTAAGGAGATTTTGGGCTGAGACAATGGGGTTTTCTAGATATACAATCATGTCATCTGCAAACAGGGACAATTTGACTTCCTCTTTTCCTAATTGAATACCCTTTATTTCCTTCTCTTGCCTAATTGCCCTGGCCAGAACTTCCAACACTATGTTGAATAGGAGTGGTGAGAGAGGGCATCCCTGTCTTGTGCCAGTTTTCAAAGGGAATGCTTCCAGTTTTTGCCCATTCAGTATGATATTGGCTGTGGGTTTGTCATAGATAGCTCTTATTATTTTGAGATACATCCCATCAATACCTAATTTATTGAGAGTTTTTAGCATGGAGGGTTGTTGAATTTTATCAAAGGCCTTTTCTGAATCTATTGAGATAATCATGTGGTTTTTGTCTTTGGTTCTGTTTATATGCTGGATTGCATTTATTGATTTGCATATATTGAACCAGCCTTGCATCCCAGGGATGAAGCCCACTTGATCATGGTGGATAAGCTTTTTGATGTGCTGCTGGATTCGGTTTGCCAGTATTTTATTGAGGATTTTTGCATCAATATTCATCAAGGATATTGGTCTAAAATTCTCTTTTTTTATTGTGTCTCTGCCCGGCTTTGGTATCAGGATGATGCTGGCCTCATAAAATGAGTTAGGGAGGATTCCCTCTTTTTCTATTGAATGGAATAGTTTCAGAAGGAATGGTACCAGCTCTTCCTTGTACCTCTGGTAGAATTCGGCTGTGAATCCATCTGGTCCTGGACTCTTTTTGGTTGGTAAACTATTGATTATTGCCACAATTTCAGCGCCTGTTATTGGTCTATTCAGAGAGTCAACTTCTTCCTGGTTTAGACTTGGGAGAGTGTATGTGTCGAGGAATTTATCCATTTCTTCTAGATTTTCTAGTTTATTTGCGTAGAGGTGTTTATAATATTCTCTGATAGTAGTTTGTATTTCTGTGGGATCGGTAGTGATATCCCCTTTATCATTTTTTATTGCGTCTATTCGGTTCTTCTCTCTTTTCTTCTTTATTAGTCTTGCTAGCGGTCTATCAATTTTATTGATCCTTTCAAAAAACCAGCTCCTGGATTCATTAATTTTTTGAAGGGTTTTTTGTGTCTCTATTTCCTTCAGTTCTGCTATGATTTTAGTTATTTCTTGCCTTCTGCTAGCTTTTGAATGTGTGTGCTCTTGCTTTTCTAGTTCTTTTAATTGTGATGTCAGGGTGTCAATTTTGGATCTTTCCTGGTTTCTCTCGTGGGCATTTGGTGCTATAAATTTCCCTCTACACACTGCTTTGAATGTGTCCCAGAGATTCTGGTATGTTGTGTCTTTGTTCTCGTTGGTTTCAAAGAACATCTTTATTTCTGCCTTCATTTCGTTATGTACCCAGTAGTCATTCAGGAGCAGGTTGTTCAGTTTCCATGTAGTTGAGTGGTTTTGAGTGAGTTTCTTAATCCTGAGTTCCAGTTTGATTGCACTGTGGTCTGAGAGACAGTTTGTTATAATTTCTGATCTTTTACATTTGCTGAGGAGAGCTTTACTTCCAACTATGTGGTCAATTTTGGAATAGGTGTGGTGTGGTGCTGAAAAAAATGTATATTCTCTTGATATGGGGTGTAGAGTTCTGTAGATGTGTATTAGGTCTGCTTGGTGCAGAGCTGAGTTCAATTCCTGGGTATCCTTGTTAACTTTCTGTCTCGTTGATCTGTCTAAAGTGTTTAAAAAATGGCCAGGTGCAGTGGCTCACGCCTGTAATCCCAGCACTTTGGGAGGCTGAGGTGGGTGGATCGCAAGGTCAGGATTTCAAGACCAGCCTGGCCAAGATGGCAAAACCCCATCTCTACAGAAAATAAAAAAATGGAAGAATATACAACAGATAACATAAATGGCCCACAAATCCTAAAATATTTACTATCTGGCTCTTTCCAGAAAATATGTGCTAATCCTGATTCAAAACTTTGTAGCAAGATCTATAGCACTATTAGAGGAACCATGTCAGGGCAAAATCATCCAACATAAGACTAATCAGTAGCAGGAAAAGGTAAAAGATACTTTGTCACCATGTTTGTGCATGAGTGGTACACACCCACACACCCACCACACACACACACACACACACACACACACACACACAGTCTGAACAGACTCTAATCTATTGTGTACCAGAAACTCCTGGATATGATTTTCAGGACAATCCTTTTCATTGAAAATATAGTGAATAGACCTTTCCTAGTAATTCTTTGTTTTTGTGTAATGGGTAGTAGAATTTATTTGGTTTGAAAAATGCTGTTCTAGTTTCTAGTTTTATTTATGGAAACACTATTCTACAAAAAATAAAATTTCAATAAATCAGTACAGTCGCTTACTATCTTTCCATTTATTTACATATGTTAGTTTAAAACAGTGGATTATGGCTAACACTTTGTCTATAACCAAGTGGCAGTTGTACGTAGAAACGTGTTTTTCTTGGTGAGAGGGTGGATTTCTGTTACTACCTGATATAAACATAGCTGCAGTTTGAGCAAAAGATCCTAAGATTTGACTGAGAGGTACATTCAAATTATAGGGTAGAAATATCTCTTTATAAGTTTTATTCAGGAAATGTAAAGAACCTTAAAAATATTTTCTCAATAGCTTGATGCTGATGGTGATGATGATAATGATGATATATAAGAAACTTGATATTATTTTCATCTTTCTGTTTAGTGGGGAAATAATGGCCTGTATGGATGCAAATGCAAAAGTATCTTTCATCACATTGGTGAAGCAATTTTTTGGACACACCTATCTATTAATATTCATGATTTCTTTGGCCTACACATGGGAGATAATCTAATTGCCAAAAGAAAAAGAAGTAAACTTGAGTTTTTAGGAGACTGCTGAAATAAATCCCATGTATATGATCATATGCAAGTTATATAGAGAAATTTGCATACAACAATTGCAATTATCACAAACAATTGCAATTATCCTCTAACTTTGCCACACACTTTGTCTTTCTTATAATTCTAATGCTGTGTATTGTGTGCAAAAATGAATTTATGCAGTACATGTATTTGTAAATTATTTGAAAACAGTTTTAATTGCTGGTGCTTCTATGATTAGACTTGAATTTAGTTTACTCCCCTTCTGTTTTGTGTAATAGCAGATAACGTCACCCAGAAGGTGCTTTATAAAATTTGATGTGTTTAAGGAATCTCTACTGATGTTAATTAAGTTTGATCTTGCCTCTAGGATGGGACATTCATGTAAAAACTATTTTTTTAAATAAGCCTCTGTAATATTTCATTTTTCTTTATGTTAGGTAGCATCCCAAATTAAGGAAATAAGTAATTGCTTTTACTGTATCAGTTTTTAGAGGAAGCATTGACTTCTTATCATGTATGAATAGTTTTGCATAGCATACAAAATTATCAATATTTATTATTTTTGTATGTTATTGATACTCATTATAATAAATTAATTCCAAATATTACAAATATTTATATGACAAAAATATATACAATATCACTTCCTTGTGTATGACCAAATAATTACAAGTACTTTTATGACCAAAATATGTAAAATACTGTGCAAGATATGAAGGGTAAGGAAAATGAATGGGTCATGCTTTAAGATAAATTTCATGAGGATAGGAGAATGCTATATTCTCTTTCTTGCTCCAGAAGAAGGCACATAGTCTATACAGAGAAGATTAAATGTTGAGTAACAGGGCAAATCTGTAATGAATGTAATGGGGAATGGATATAAGAATGATGCACAATGAACCATAGCACAATTTGAACGTAAACATATAAGTGCCTTAAAAAATTTCAAGTGATGTGAAAGTTCCAACAAGAGAAGGATTATAGGCCAGGTACAGTGGCTCATGCCTGTAATCCCATCACTTTGGGAGGCCGAGGTGGGTGGATCAGGAGGTCAGGAGATTGAGACCACAGTGAAACCCCGTCTCTACTAAAAATACAAAAAATCAGCCGGGCGTGGTGGCGAGCACCTGTAGTCCCAGCTACTCGGGAGGCTGAGGCAGGAGAATGGCGTGAACCTGGGAGGCGGAGCTTGCAGTGAGCTGAGTTCGCACCACTGCACTCCAGCTTGGGTGACAGAGCAAGACTCTGTCTCAAAAAAAAAAAAAAAAGAGAGAGAGAGAAAGAGAAGGATTATATAAGGTTAAAACTGGGGAGGAGAGGAAATCTAAGAAGACTCCTTGTTAAAGTGATTATTGAGATGTCTTTAGATGACAGAGAAGACTTTCAACAGTCATAAAAGAGATAGGAAACTATCTTAGTTTATTTGTTCTGCTAAAGAAAATACCAGAGACTGGATAATTTATAAGTAATACAAGTTATTTTTCATAGTTCTGGAGGTTGGGAAGTCCAAGATCAAGGCGACAGCAGATTCAGCATCTGGTAAGTCTCCCCTAGACTGCCTTGTGGCCAGGAGTGGCCACGTGATCCAGTATGACCAATGATAAGGAAGACAAATTTGCCCAGTGGGCCCCCAGAAGAATGTTTTGAAAAGGGGCACACATGGTGAACACACTTCTCAGCCCTTGCCCCCTCTTCCGGCCTGTAATGTGGATATGAGCTGAAGGTGAAATGGTCATGCTGCAGCCATGGCCAACCATGAGGACACTGCTTCCAAGATGGTGCCTTATTGCTGCATCCTCTGGAGGGAATAAATACTGTGTCCTTATATAGCAGAAAGGGCAAAAAGAGAAGAGGGACTAGGGCATTCGTTTCAAATTCTTTTATAAAGGCACTAACCTTATTTATGAGAATGGAACATTTGTACTTAATCACTTCCTAAAAGAGTATTAGGTTCCAGCATATGAATTTTGGAGGGACATATCCATTCAAACCATAACAGGAACATTTAAGCCAGAGAGAAATCACGTGAAACAGGGAACAGAGATAGAAACACATGGGAGGTGTTAGGTGAATAGTGACTACTGTGGATTGACTGTAATGGGAGGTACAGGTAGGGAGAATGTGGGAAGATCCGGATTTAATATTCTCTGATAGAATCATTGAAAAATGAGTAATTTATATTATCTGATCTTCTATGGTACTACCAACGTACTCTGCAATAAAGTATTAAACAAAATCTTCAAAAAATTGACAGTCAATATTATGTAACCACTTCAGGTAAATTGTTTCAGATTTAAAAATACATAGTTATCAAGTAAGTTCCTTAAGTAATGCCCAACATTGTTTCAGACATAGAAGATATAACTTTGGAAACCCTTTTAGGAAATATAAGATTCTTTCTTGTATTAATTTTACTTTTTGTGAATGGAATAAACTTAGATAGTTTTATATCCTCTCAGAAGCTAAAATTATTTTACTAATTATTTGCTATTCTATCATTAAATAAAATACTGGGTAATCAAGTTTATTGTAAGGAAATCATGTATCATATACAATGGTGTTGTACTTAAATCTGGGCCCCTATTGTTCATTTATTGTTTGTTTTTAACATATAATATTTTAAATTATTTCTTGACTTTTACAGTAGTCCCCCCTTATCCACAGGACTGAGACTCCCAGTGGCTTTCTGAAACAAAGGATAGTACCAAATAATATGTACACTATGTTTTTTCCCTACACATATGTACCTGTGATAAAGCTTAATTTACAAGATAGGCACAGTAATGAGACAGCCAGGTGAGAAGGGCTCCCTGGTAGAACCTCCAACCAACCTGCACACTGGGAGGACTGTACACTGGTGGAGCCTTGGGAAGTTTGCGCCATTTACAGTGGGGAGGAGCCTGGCCCCTCTTCTTCTTGGGTGGTACTTGGGATTCAGTCTGAGAGGCGGGAAGGGCACTAGCAGGACTCTGGCTTTGCAGACTCTGCCTGTTTTCCCCCACCCCTCTTTTGCTTTTACCCAATAAATATCATTTTTCTTACCCTTCAAACTGTCTGCGAGCCTAATATTTCATGGCTGTGTGACAAGGACTCCACGTTTAGATGAACTAAGGAGAAAGTCCTGCAACAGTAAGAGATTTACAACAATAACTAGTAATAAAATGGAACAATTAAAACAATATGCCAGGATCACTATTCTTGTGCTTTGGGGCTATTATTAAGTAAAATAAGGGTTCTTGAATACAAACACTGTAATACCCCAACAGTCAATCTGATAACTGAGAGGTCCACCAAGTGACTAACGTGTGGGCAGTGCGTGTTCAGCATGCATACACCAGACAAAGAGGTGACTCATGCATACACCAAAGGGGTGACTCATGCATACACCAAACAAACGGATGACTCAGAGTTGGATGGTGTGAGATTTTATTACAATACTCAGAATGGCACACAATTTATAATTTATGAATTACTTATTTCCGGTATTTTTCATTCAATATTTTTGGATTGCAGTTGACCACAGATAACTGAAACTGCACAAAGTGAAACTGTGAATAGGGTAGTGGTACTGTATTTTTATAGAAAGTATTACAGAATTTTTCTTGAACATTTATGTTGAGACTTAGAAAACAGTACCCCAAAGTGAAGGACTCAGAAGCAGCCTAAAAACACAGTTTCTTTTGGGCTGGATGTGGTGGCTCAACCCTGTAATCCCAGCACTTTGGTTGGTTGAGGTGGGTGGATCACTTGAAGTCAGGAGTTTGAGACCAGCCTGGCGAATATGGCAAAACCCAATCTCTATTAAGAAAACAAAAATTAGTGGGCGTGATGGCACATACCTGTAATACCAGCTACTCAGGTGGCTGAGGCAGGAGAATCACTTGAACCCAGGAGGTGGAGGTTTCAGTGAGCTGAGATTGCGCCACTGCACTCCCGCCTGGACAACAGAGCAAGACTCTGTCTCAAAAAAGCTCTAAAACAACAACAACAACAAAACACAACAGTAACAAAACCCAGTTTCTTTCTGACCTTCTCCTGCTCTCCTTTCTTTTACCCCTTACTTTCCTCCGCACAGGTCTTAGAAACAAGCATGCTTCTTCCCTAAAGCTAATTATAGAAACCAGCATCCCCTCCCTCAAAGTGAGCCTTAAAACCTAAAAATGTTGCTCTAACCCACCTCTGCCTTTTTGGGTAAGAACTGGCCATAAATAAATTTTCCGGCCTACTTTGTTTGATAGTAGGCCATAACACCCCCATTCCTGTATTCCAGATAGGGTCATGCCTTATACAGGGAGAAAGAAAATACTGCATAGAGAGGCCAAGAAGAATCTCAACAGACAGCATTGCTGGGTTTCACCACTCAGCCTGTTTCCGTTAGGGCGTGCCCTTCTTGTCCAATCACAAGTCTGCCCACTTGTCCATTCTTCATTGAACCTAGGCATAAAAATAGATAGCTTTTCCTGTATCTTTGGGTCTTTATTCTGAGGGCTCCCATGTCATGTAGAACTTTGTTTTAAAAATATATATTGTGCCTTTTTATTGTTAACCTGTCTTTTGTTATAGGAGTGCCACGCCCCTTATGATGGGGGAAAAAAAGATCACCCCCTTTCTGCTCCTACTCTTGCATTTCCAATATATGGCAATGCTGTCATATGGCCACTGGAATTTGCAAAATAAAATCATAATGAATGGAAGCAGATGTTCACTGCTGATGAGAAACTCTATGTGATGCTACTACCAAAATATCCATCTTCTGTATCAATAAGCTGTTTTTCATTTCTGCCTTTCTCTTTGTGCATTAGAATTTCTTATGTATATTATTCACTGCAGGAAATATAATGTTTGGAGGAATATTGTAATAAGATTTAAGTGTCATATTGAAGGAATAGTTGGAAAATTAACTCAGGAGAATTGAACAGCTGCTGATTTCCTGTTTTTATTATTTTTAGGAAGTAAAGCTTTGAAATTAGATTTTCCTAGGGTGGATTACAAGAAGCTCATGAACTAGGAAAAAAAAAGGAGGTGCAAGAACACAGGGAGAAGAAAATATTTCTGTGAAAAGACATATTTGCAGATATGCTTAAAAATTATTTCTAGTGACATATTTCCTTCATATGTTAATAAACTTTGTTAAGAGACATATTAATGTAATAGTAAAATTTGCACTATTTTTTTCTTAACACTCACTTAAATAGGAGAAAATATGTTTTAGAAAGTCCATGGCATTCATTTGGAGTCAGTGTTTTGTTCTTTATGATTTTTCTTTAATGAGGTAATATTGAAGGTCTTCATAGTACCCTCTCCTGGAGGCTAGCATGTGGTTTGGCATAGCATCATGCATGGGCATGTATAGTAGGGAAAAACCAAGTTTTTTTTTTTTTTGTATTATACTTTAAGTTCTAGGGCACATGTGCACAATGTGCAGGTTTGTTACATATGTATACATGTGCCATCTTGGTGTGCTGCACCCAGTATCTCCTCATTGGACATTAGGTATATCTCCTAATGCTGTCCTTCCCCCGTCCCCCACCCCACAACAGGCCCCAGTGCGTGATGTTCCCCTTCCTGTGTCCATCTGTTCTCATTGTTCAATTCCCACCTATGAGTGAGAACATGCGGTGTTTGACTTTTTATCCTTGTGATAGTTTGCTGAGAATGATGGTTTCCAGCTTCATCCATGTCCCTACAAAGGACATGAACTCATCATTTTTTATGGCTGCATAGTATTCCATGGTGTATATGTGCCACATTTTCTTAATCCAGTCTATTATTGTGGGACATATGAGTTGGTTCCAAGTCTTTGCTATTGTGAATAGTGCCACAATAAACATACATGTGCATGTGTCTTTATAGCAGCATGATTTATAATCCTTTGGGTATATACCCAGTAATGGGATGGCTGGGTCAAATGGTATTTCTAGTTCTAGATCCCTGAGGAATTGCCACACTGACTTCCACAATGGTTGAACTAGTTTACAGTCCCACCCCAACAGTGTAAAAGTGTTCCTATTTCTCCACATCCTCTCCAGCACCTGTTGTTTCCTGACTTTTTAATGATCACCATTTTAACTGGTGTGAGATGGTATCTCGTTGTGGTTTTGATTTGCATTTCTCTGATGGCCAGTGATGATGAGCACTTTTTCATGTGTCTTTTGGCTGCATAAATGTCTTCTTTTGAGAAATGTCTGTTCATATCCTTCGCTCACTTTTTGATTGGGTTTTTTTTTTTTTTCTTGTAAATTTGTTTGAGTTCATTGTAGATTCTGGATATTAGCCCTTTGTCAGATGAGTAGATTACACAAATTTTCTCCCATTCTGTAGGTTGCCTGTTCACTCTGATGGTAGTTTCTTTTGCTGTGCTGAAGCTCTTTAGTTTAATTAGATCCCATTTGTCAATTTTGGCTTTTGTTGCCATTGCTTTTGGTGTTTTAGACATGAAGTCCTTGCCCATGCCTATGTCCTGAATGGTATTGCCTAGGTTTTCTTCTAGGGTTTTTATGGTTTTAGGTCTAACATGTAAGTCTTTAATTCATCTTGAATTAATTTTTGTATAAGGTGTAAGGAAGGGATCCAGTTTCAGCTTTCTACCTATGGCTAGCCAGTTTTCGCAGCACCATTAATTAAATAGGGAATCGTTTCCCCATTTCTTGTGTTTGTCAGGTTTGTCAAAGATCAGATGGTTGTAGATATGTGGCATTATTTCTGAGGGCACTGTTCTGTTCCATTGATCTATATCTCTGTTTTGGTACCAGTACCATGCTGTTTTGGTTACTGTAGCCTTGTAGTATAGTTTGAAGTCAGGTAGTGTGATGCCTCCAGCTTTGTTCTTTTGGCTTAGGATTGACTTGGCAATGCGGGCTTTTTTTTGGTTCCATATGAACTTTAAAGTAGTTTTTTCCAATTCTGTGAAGAAAGTCATTGGTAGCTTGATGGGAATGACATTGAATCTATAAATTACCTTGGGCAGTATGGCCCTTTTCATGATATTGATTCTTCCTAACCATGAGCATGGAATTTTCTTCCATTTGTTTGTATCCTCTTTTATTTCATTGAGCAGTGGCTTGTATTTCTCCTTGAAGAGGTCCTTCACATCCCTTGTAAGTTGGATTCCTAGGTATTTTATTCTCTTTGAAGCAATTGTGAATGGGAGTTCACTCATGATTTGGTTCTCTGTTTGTCTGTTATTGGTGTATAAGAATGCTTGTGATTTTTGCACATTGATTTTGTATCCTGAGACTTTGCTGAAGTTGCTTATCAGCTTAAGGAGATTTTGGGCTGAGATGATGGGGATTTCTAGATATACAATCATGTCATCTGCAAACAGGGACAATTTGACTTCCTCTTTTCCTAATTGAATGCCCTTTATTTCCTTCTCCTGCCTGATTGCCCTGGCTAGAACTTCCAACACTATGTTGAATAGGAGTGGTGAGAGAGGGCATCCCTGTCTTGTGCCAGTTTTCAAAGGGAATGCTTCCAGTTTTTGCCCATTCAGTATGATATTGGCTGTGGGTTTGTCATAGATAGCTCTTATTATTTTGAGATACATCCCATCAATACCTAATTGATTGAGAGTTTTTAGCCTGAAGCATTGTTGAATTTTATCAAAGGCCTTTTGTGCATCCATTGAGAAAATCATATGGTTTTTGTCGTTGGGTCTGTTTATATGCTGGATTACATTTATTGATTTGTATATGTTGAACCAGCCTTGAATCCCAGGGTTGAAGCCCACTTGATCATGGTGGATAAGCTTTTTGATGTGCTGCTGGATTCAGTTTGCCAGTATTTTATTGAGGATTTTTGCATCGATGTTCATCAGGGATATTGGTCTAAAATTCTCTTTTTTTTGTTGTGTCTCTGCCAGGCTTTGGTATCAGGATGATGCTGGCCTCATAAAATGAGTTAGGGAGGATTCCCTCTTTTTCTATTGATTGGAATAGTTTCAGAAGGAATGGTACCAGCTCCTCCTTGTACCTCTGGTAGAATTCGGCTGTGAATCCATCTTGTCCTGGACTTTTTTTGGTTGGTAAGCTATTAATTATTGCCTCAATTTTAGATCCTGTTATTGGTCTGTTCAGAGAGTCAACTTCTTCCTGGTTTAGTCTTGGGAGGGTGTATATGTCGAGGAATTTATCCATTTCTTCTAGATTTTCTAGTTTATTTGCTTAGAGGTGTTTATAGTATTCTCTGATGGTAGTTTGTATTTCTGTGGGATCGGTAGTGATATCCCCTTTATCATGTTTTATTGCATCTATTTGATTTTTCTTTCTTTTCTTCTTTATTAGTCTTGCTATCGGTCTATCAATTTTGTTGATCTTTTCCAAAAACCAGCTCCTGGATTCATTGATTTTTTGAAGGGTTTTTTATGTCTCTATCTCCTTCAGTTCTGCTCTGATCTTAATTATTTCTTGCTTTCTGCTAGCTTTTGAATGTGTTTGCTCTTGCTTCTCTAGTTCTTTTAATTGTGATGTTAGGGTGTCCATTTTAGATATTTCCTGCTTTCTCTAGTGGGCATTTAGTGCTGTAAATTTCCCTCTACACACTGCTTTGAATGTGTCCCAGAGATTCTGGTATGTTGTGTCTTTGTTCTCGTTGGTTTCAAAGAACATCTTTATTTCTGCCTTCATTTCGTTATGTACCCAGTAGTCATTCAGGAGCAGGTTGTTCAGTTTCCATGTAGTTGAGTGGTTTTGAGTGAGTTTCTTAATCCTGAGTTCTAGTTTGATTGCACTGTGGTCTGAGAGACAGTTCATTATGCTTTCTTTTCTTTTACATTTGCTGAGGAGTGCTTTACTTCCAACCATGTGGTCAATTTTGGAATAAATGCGGTGTGGTGCTGAGAAGATTGTATATTCTGTTGATTTGGGGTGGAGAGTTCTGTAGATGTGTATTAGGTCTGCTTGGTGCAGAGCTGAGTTCAATTCCTGGATATCCTTATTAACTTTCTGTCTTGTTGATCTGTCTTATGTTGCCAGTGGAGTGTTGAAGTCTCCCATTATTATTGTGTAGGAGTCTAAGTCACGTTCCAGGTCTCTAAGGACTTGCTTTTTGAATCTGGGTGCTCCTGTATTGGGTGCATATATATTTAGGATAGTTAGTTCTTCTTGTTGAGTTGATCCCTTTACCATTATGTAATGGCCTTCTTTGTCTCTTTTGATCTTTGTTGGTTTAAAGTCTGTTTTATCTGAGACTAGGATTGTAACCCCTGCTTTTTTTTGTTTTCCATTTGCTTGGTAGATCTTCCTCCATCCCTTTATTTTGAGCCTATGTGTGTCTGCATGTGAGATGGTTTTCCTGAATACAGCACACTGATGGGTCTTGACTCTTTATCCAATTTGCCAGTCTGTGTCTTTTAATTGGAGCATTTAGCCCATTTATATTTATGGTTAATATTGTTATGTGTGAATTTGATCCTGTCATTATGATGTTAGCTGGTTATTTTGCTCATTAGTTGATGCAGTTTCTTCCTAGCCTCGATGGTCTTTACAATTTGGCATGTTTTTGCAGTGGCTGTTACCGGGGAAAAACCAAGTTGTTTCCCCTTCTATACTCTCAGTATAGCACTTCTGGTCCCCAAAATATGTGGACTTCTTCCCACACTGCTACTCTGATACCAACTGAATGTCCACAATTTAATTCAATCCTTTTACCATTCACCTGTAGTTAAGAGTCAGATCCCACAAATTAAGGGCTCAGTCCTACAAGACTGCCCCCACTTTTCTTTGGGGGTTGCAATCACAAGTTGGGACCTTAATTACTCTCATTGACTGGGTATAAATTGTTGGTGCCCATGACCCTTTCCACAGGCCTATGAATGGCTGACAGAACTGAGAGAAACACTTAAATTAGCCAGTTTCCTAGAAAGAATATTACAAATCATACAGATGAAGAGCCAGTTGAAGAAGTATACAGAGCAAGGTTAGTGGGAAGGGGCATGGAGATTCCACACCCTCTCTGGGTGTGCCACCTTTCCAGCACTTCCCATGTTAAAACAACCAGGAATCTCTTTTGTCTGGTAGTTCAGGAACTTTTATGGAGCCTTCATCATGTAGGCATGATTGATTATTAACTCAATATTCAGCCTCTCTCCCCTTCCTGGATGATGGGAATGGAAGATGGAGCTGAAACTTTTAAGCTTCTAATCATGGCTTTATCTTTCTGGTGGGCAGCCCCTACCCAGGAGCCCACCAAAAGTCACCTCATTATAACAAAAATGCTCCTATCAACTGGAAAATTCCAAGGGATTAGGAGCTCTGTGTTAGCAACCTGTGACAAAAACCAAAATATATATTTCTTGTTATAATCACAATATCACCAGCAGAAAGCTGCAATAACATAATGATCATAGAAAAGATCATAGACGCATAATCCAGCTTTACAAATTTTACTTATATTTTATCCTCTGATCAGAGGTTAATTGCTTTGACTTTTGTCTAGTAGAGGCAGATAGTTCAAAATAATAATGCTTTTATTTACATCAATATTTGCAAGTAACATTTATATTAATAATGCAGCAAATAATGGACACAAGAAAGATGTAGGAGTGAAGACTATTTTGCCTCACCCTCTAAAGGTTCACGTCTGCTGAAGTGAACTTACAACAGACAGATTAACAGGAAAAAAGGTATATAAATTTATTAATGTGCATAAACATGGGAGTTGTATAAAATATGAGATAAAGAAAGGCCAGATGGCTGAAGCTTAATTAGCAGCCTCTTCACAGGGGAGAGGGAGATGGAGAAATGTGGGCAATTTTGAGGGTTAGTAAATGTTTTCTAGGGGAAATGAATCAGCCCAATAAACAGAGAATGGTTTGTAAAGGATCCTCTTTGGAAACTGATAGGGATCCACAAGTTACAAGAATGAAAGGGGCAGAACTGCACTATGAACAATGGTTCTCTTATTATGCAGATATAGTCTCTTATGTAATCTCTTGGAGCTGCCCGCAGAAGAATAGATGAAATGTCTGTCTGGGCATGATGACCATTATTAGTCTCTTTTCTCCTATTTCCTTCTCTTATTCAGTGGTCAGTCTTTCCTAGGGAAAGGGTTTAAAACAATTGCATTTCTTTTGGAAAAAAGTTTCATCATTCAGATATGGAAATTCCAGAAAGAGCTCCTCCCTGTATTTGGGAGGCAGGGAGAGACAAGAGAAGGTCATTGATTTTGAGGCAGCTTCTAAGGCCTTCCAGCTTCCTTTATTTCTAAAGTGTTCAGCGTGCCATGTTTTAGGATATAATTTTCTGAGCTCCAACACAAATAACAGAAAACAAGTAACATAATACATTAGTAATGCAGATAACAATATTACAGGTATTGTATTAGTCCATTTTCACATTGCTGTAAGGAACTGCCTGGGACTGGGTAATCTAGAAAGGAAAGAGGTTTAATTGACTCACAGTTCTGCATGGCTGGGGAGGCCTCAGAAAACTTACAATCATGGTGAAAAGTGAAGGGGAAGCAAGGTACCTTCTTCACAAGGCAGCAGGAAGGAGAATGAATGTAGGAGGAACTACTGAACACTTATACAACCATCAGATGTCATGAAAGCTGACTCACTGTCACAAGAACGGCATGGGGGAAACCACCCCCATGATTCCATTACCTCCACCTGGTCTTTCCCTTGACACATGGGGATTATGGAGATTATGGGAATTGCAATTCAAGATGATATTTTGGGTGGGGACACAAAGCCTAACCAAATTAGGTATCATAACATTGTATTTACACTTTTGAATTGAGAGTGATCACTAAAGTATAGGTGAAGAAACTGAGACTCATAGTGGTTAAAAGTCTTGTTTAATTTACAAAGCTAGCAAGTATGAGAGGTGGAAAACCAATCTAGGGCTTCTGATTTCTAAATTGGAGCTCCTTTTTCTTTAGTAAAATGTGAATTTTCTCAGGAAAAAGCCATACATTTATTAAAACATCTCATGTACCCCATAAATATATATACCTACTGTGTACCCACAAAAGATAAAAATAAAACATATCCATACATTATTTTAAAAAACTATACATTATCAATTCAAAGGCTGTTGACTCCAAGCCATCACTTTTACCATATTTTCTCATGCTTTTGAGTTGATTGCATGATGGCAAACATTTAAAAACTAAAACATTCAGTCAAGAATTTAGCCATTTTTGTCTCTGTGACATCCACCAGATATTTGGAAACCCAGAATTAAGAAAATTCTGAACTAGTAGTTTAGAAGCATCTGGTCCCATATACTCATTCCACAGATGACAACATTGGGTTGATAACTCTTTTCACAAAACACAGCAGGGCTTTCCATGAACCCAATAAAAACTAGAAATGGTAATATTACAGTAGTGATATTTTTAGAGAAGATGGTTTTGCTCTTTCAAATTTTTCATTTATATAGTCCTTTTTATATTCAGAGAAAGGAGCATTTTGTTATGCCCTTTAGTAGAAAAAAAGCAATCAAGGCCATTTATGCCAGAGTAAGCAAGAAGGCGCATAACTCCAGGGAGTTATCACTCTTGAAGAAAATTTCCATTTGAATTTTCTGGCTCATTTTTTTACCAGTCTCATGGAAGTTATCTAGCAGATAAGACAATGTTAATGATATGGTCCAACAGAAAAGATCTTTTAAGACAAGAATATGATATGGAAATAAAGCATTAAGTAAATACTTGGCTTCCATCCTCATAATATAGGGTTTCCCCACTGTTTGCAAAGACAGAGCACCATTTGCTTACCACAAAGCTATGACAGAGTCTGCATGCTTCCAAAGAACTAAGAATTGTTCTGATATGACATAAACAGATCCTATGACTTCAAGTTACTAAAAGGACGTAGGGATTTCATTTTATCACAATAAAAATTTCCCCTCTTATTTGCAATATTTCATTGAATCCAAGATGTCACAATGATCTATATTAATTTTAAATGGTATTAGTTGAAACCTAGATTGCATTCTTTCAGAATAATGAAACTCATTATTCTGAGATGAATGAATTATCTTCATAATAATAAAATAAAAATAATCCAGGACAATACAATTACTTTTCAAGTTCCAGTCAATTTATCCTGACCCCCAAAATAATTCAGCACTTAATGCTATTTGAGAAAATGCTAGAAATTAGGAATGATAGGCCTGGGACAAGTCCTCAGAGAGTTTGCAGTTAACCATGCATTAGTAATACAAAGTGGTAAGAGCAATACAAAGTCATAATGATAAGAAAATATAGCACCTGTTGGAGCATATTGTAGGGGTCATGAGTCAAGACCAGGCCTTAAGGAACCAGTAAAGGGACAGTTTCAATAATCAATTTTTGGGGAGACATTTAAACTTAGTGACACCTCTGTTTCTCTTTGAAAACTTGAAGCTTAAGTTCTAAATATAAAGTAGCTATTAATAATTGCTAGTAATAGTGGTACAATATACAATGTAGCTATTATTAATTAATAGTTCCCTGCCCCTTTAGTTGGCATTAAGGACAAGAATCCTCTATTTAAGAGCAATAATTACTAGTATTTTAGGTTGAAAGATATGAATTTTTTTCCATAGGTTGAAAACAGTTGAATATTAGTAATTTCATATGGCACAACTGTACATGTTACTAAGTTTTATTTGTTGTCTAGATCTTATGAAAAATACAAATTCAGTAATTTTTATTTTTAATGAGTCTATCTCTTCTCCTAAATATCAAAATTTATATGAGTTTTGATTTATTTATTTTTTCCACGTGTAGTTAGGAATCAAAAGAAAGAGATTTTGAATGATTATGGTACAGTTATTACCTGTAATTTAGTCAGTGGTCTCAAAGAGAATTTCCAAATTTGTAAGATGACATGAGACTACTCATTCCATAAAATAAACACCAACTTTGCCTAAGTTAAATAATTGTTCTTGAACATGACAATTAGAGAGTTACTAGTCATGCCATCAGAAGAAAAGTTCTTACACCCTTAAGGGGGCTGACAAAATTTTTCCTCCAGTTAGTTTTGGGGGGCATGCAGTTGAGAAAATTAGGGTGGAGTGTGTTTCCTTATGCAGACTTAGGAAAATGCAAAGTACTACTAGATTTTGTCTGAAATTTAAAATACAGATCATGAATAAGGGATGTATAAAAATAGGAATGTAAACCATGATTTCATCTATATTCTCAGCTTGTCTACCAACATATTTATCTAGAGTAAGTTAATATCAAGCAAAAATAGTAGAAAAGAAAATTATCTTTTTTATTTTTAACTTTAATCTACAATTGTTTCTACATGTTTATATGACATTACAGGTTTGCAACCAAATGGATTAAATAATGGGTTCAGAAGCAATGGACTAAATAACTGGCTGTAAGTAAAGTGAGAAGATTAGATTGTTGCCTTAATGTTTGAATTCTTGAGCTCTCTTACTTCAGGGATAATAGATATAAGTAGGAGAACTTAGAAAGGAAAATAAATTCCTTTTATTCTTGCTTCTCCCTTGCTAGCTATTGCAAGAATAAGAGCTCGAAAGTTAAGGTAGATGGGAGAGGAAAAGGCAAGAAAGGACCTATAGGTCTTTTTATTATTGTTGTTTTACTAAAATATAGCCTGTGGCTGAAGGTTTCAAAATACCTTTAATTTTTAAAACATTTTTTATATTTCACTAACGCCTATTTCTGGGATGCTAAATTTAGAAATCATGAAATGATTAATGATAACTAAACCACAGTGTAGAGAACAATAAACAAATCTCTGAACATATTTCCCAAGGACTGATATTCTACCTAAAATCAGCTGTACACTGTGTAACTTTTATAGATAACTTTATTCTTTTGTCGTTGATGCTAGCTACCTCAATAAAACATTTTAAGTTGATGAAAAATAAGACAATGGCAAAAATATGGAGTGTTCAGTTAACAGTCATATACAGAAGAGATAAGTAGAGAAGAGATAACAACTGTCAATCGAGTGGTTTATAAAACAATTTTAGGGTAAATAATTGCAGGCAAATATTTAATATCTCACACCAAGATTAATTTGCTGTTACAATTTCCATGCTCTTAACACAATCAATATTTTACTGATCCTTCCATATTCATAGTCTTTTAGCATATGGTAGTATATTTCGAGATACTTTTAAAAAAGCTATACTTCATGATTTTCTGTAGTAAATTATCTGAGTGAAAGAAAGATATGTAATTTTTATTTTTATTTATTATTTATTATTTATTTATTTATTTATTTTTGAGACGGAGTCTTGCTCTGTCACCCAGGCTAGAGTGCAATGGCACGATCTCCGCTCACTGCAGCCTCCATCTCCGGGCTCAAGCTATTCTCCTGCCTCAGCCTCCCAAATAGCTGGGATTACAGGTGCATGCCACCACGCCCGGCTAATTTTTTTGTATTTTAGCACAGGCATGGTTTCACCGTGTTGCCCAGGCTGGTCTTGAACTCCTGAGGTCAGGCAATCCACCTGCCTTGGCGTCCCAAAGTGCTGGGATTACAGGCGTGAGCCACCGTGTCCTGCCCAAGATATGTAATTTTTACAATACACTTTTTAAAAACAACGTGAGCAAAGAAAATCTGGGGTAAAGTTCATTTGGGAATTACAACCAGGTTGATGGCAATTTATCCTAAGCAGATATAAGTCTAATAGTGGGCAAAAAGTTCTCTACCATTTTACAATTAAATTATCCTACTTTCATTCATTTGAAAATTATTGAAAATTTTATATTTTTGTTCCATTATACTCATTGAATTTTGATATTAAGGAATTTGTGTATTATGCGATGTAAGTTTTCTGTGACCACTTTAGTATTCCCTGAGTATTCCTTCTGTAATTCTTAGGATATTTGAAATGTGGATGATAAAATTTGGCATTTAAGTATATATCATATACTATTTGATATTTATTGACTATGCATTTTTAAATAAGTTAGTTAATTGCGAGGTTCTTAATCAAATAATTACTTACGCTTTCTATTGTGTCTCCTACATATTAGGAATACTTTCTTCATTGCATTTCATTATTGCCTACAAAACACATAAGCAGTAGGACTATTATAGGTTTCTCATTCTTTGGAAGTCAGCATTTTTCAGTACCTTCATCTGCTGTTTAAAATTAATTAAAACTATTAATCTATTAGCATTGTGACCAGTTATGATTATATAATTTTCTAATTTTTGTTTACTCTATTTTTACTTTGATTTCCAAATGCTATAGTCTTTAAGACAAATGAAAGTAAATAGGTGGAATTTTAACCTATGAAACTAGCATTTTGGTTCCTGTCATTCCTGAGCGGGGTGACTTGAAAGTTCTGTGATTTAGGTTCCTTGATCTGCCTGATAGCCTGCCCTTCTGAATAGTAGTGAATTTTATTATACATCATGCGCCAACTTGACCCATCTTACACTGAGCTCTTTATTGCCAATATCTTTGATTATGCTATCCTTTGTATTGAGACATATATCAGCAGGAAGTCACCCTATATATTCATCTAGAATGTTCAGAAGCTTTCTTTAAAAGATAGGATAATGGAAACACAATACATATGGATTATTAGAAATTTTACTTTTAGAGTCATTTCCATTCCAGTTTATACTACATTGTAGGATCAAAATAAGCAGTCTTCTGCTGGAAAAAAATGTAATAAATGATACTGAATTTTTATTTTTTTAATGTTTGAATCTCTGAAAGCTTTTTTGCCTTTTGGGAGTGGTTTAAAAAAAACACTAGGCCTCTTCAAGCTAAAGTAGAGCAATAAAAATGCCCTGAAAATGAAAAAATAGAAATATTACAAAATATATATCTTTTATTTCTATCAAATTAGCAAAAATTAAGAACTTTATTATATTTTATGAACTTAAGTGTGTGATAAGATTTCTCACATTTGCTTTTAGTGGGAATGTAAATTATTACCATCTTTTACAAACAGCCTTAAGGCAATTAGGTAGAATATCAAGTAAAAAGCCAAGTTATAAAATTATCTGGAAGATCTCCATTATGAAAAAAATTATGAAAATAAAAAATGTCAGTAAGGAAATACATCAAAATATAAAATGATTATTATTGAGAAGTGGGGTTATTGGTAAGCTTATTTACTTTTATACTTCCTTTTAATATACATTTAAAATAGATTTTTGACATTTTCCAAAAGCTAAACTAAGCATGTATAATTTTTATATTCAGAAAAATACCTAAAAACTTTATTTTTTATAAAAAGAGAAATAATGAT
This sequence comes from Homo sapiens, assembly GCF_000001405.40. Lineage (NCBI taxonomy): Eukaryota > Metazoa > Chordata > Mammalia > Primates > Hominidae > Homo > Homo sapiens. The sequence goes on along the minus strand of NC_000014.9, from coordinate 44,303,255 downwards.
TTTAATAAATGTCATCCTTAGGAATAAATATATGAATGGCAGCACTGCCACACAATATAAATATTCCCTGAAACTACATACTGGCTTTGGTATGATGTTTTATAATATTTCAAAGAAATTTATATTCATGGCTAAATTAAAGCAGCAAGTGCAATTTAACTTTTAAAATTCCTTAAGCAGAAGCAGTTCAAAGTTCAGCGGGATGCTCCAGCTACCCTGTCATTATTTCACGGTAGAAATTCTTCGTCTTCTTTCTCTTCCCTTTCCTTACATATTTTTTGGGCACTGACTATGTAGATGGCATTGTATTAGATCAAGAGGATATAAAAACATAAACAGCCTCTATCTTTTAAAAGTTTGCAATTAATATCATAAACACTTTTGAAAACCTAACTGTATTTGAAGAAGCTACACTCAGAGAGATTTAAAAGTAGAAAGTCTATAGGGACAACACATATTCAGGTTTAATTATTAGGAATATTATTTAGCCTTAAATAAGAAGGAGATCCTTGCCACAACATGGATGGACCTGGAGGACATTCTGCTAAGTAAAATAACCCACACACAGAAAGAAAAACATTGCATGATCTCAGTTATATGAGGAATATAAAACATATATATAAAATACACAGACATAGAGAATCAAACAGTGGTTACTGCAGGTAAGTGGTAAAAGGAGAGACAATGGGGAGATGTATGTCAACGAATACAAAGTATGTAGGATAAATCAGAGATCTAATGTGTCACATGAGATGCAATTCTATTGTATTAGATATTTTTGTTAAATAAGTAGATTTTAGCTGATTTTGTCTCAGAGAAGTAATTATGTAAAGTGATGAATATGTTGATCTGCTTCACTATAGTAACCATTTATCTATATGTACCCCATACATCATGTTGTAAATCTCAAATATACACAATAAAATGTATTTTAAAAAGAATCTCAGAATCAAGACATACAACTGTTTTCTTTGTCTAATTTACTTAAGACTATAATCTGTTAGCTCAACTAAGAGAGCTGTTGACTTGCTGGAATGACATGACACAGGATTTTCTTCTTGGTCACTTTGCAAGCTGGGGATCTCCAGCTGGTGATGCCTCATCCGGGCTTTGCTTGACCATAGCTGCATGCTGCAGGAGATGGCCTGCCCACTCAGTCTGCCCAGGCCAAGTCTGGCTTATGCACTGTTTCCCCAGTTCCTGTCCCATACCCAAGAAGAATGACGATGTGCTGACATTGAAGAGTAAGCAAGGCAGGGAGTTTTATTGAATGATAAAACAGCTTTCAGTGGAAAGGGGATATGGCAGCGGTGTGGGAGGGGTCCCCCCACCTGAAGGCAGGAAAATCCCCTCAATATGGCTGAGTCTGGGGCTTTTTATGGGCTTAGAATCGGGGAGGGAAAGACTGTCGGTAGTATTGGAAAAAACAACATTCATTGGTTAAAAGACATTATTCAGAAAGAATCAATTGGGAAACAGTGGGGCAAAGAGGAAGAGAAGTTCTCATTCTCAGTTGTGGGTTTCATCGTACCAGTAGTCCAGTCTTTCAGCCTTCAGGCTGTTTTTGGCTTGAAGGTGGGTTTCAGCGGGGATCTGCCCCTATCTGCCTAGGCATTTGGCTGCTTCCTGTTGCTTTCAGAAACAGATAACCTCGTTTCCTCCTGAGCTATAGAGAGTGGGATTGAAGGACCATAGGGGATAGAATTTTGAAACGGTTTCTCTGATGTGACATTAATGACTCTTTTTTTTCCCTAAAGTAAAAATAAATTTAAAGGGGTATAGAAAAGGGGAATAGTACAAATCTTTTCACAGTTGTTGTATATCACATAATCTAATAATTTTAGCAAGATATTTGAAGAACTTTTTGTCTTGTGGATATTTATCTTCTTCAAGTCGAATAAGTTTAACAACATAGCAACACAAAAAGCAGTGCAAAATCACTCAGCTGACCAGCAGGCAATGAAAGCATGTTCTACAAATCCTTGTGATTATCCCCCTTTGTCTTCTTTATTACTTTCTGCCTTCCTATGCTGTTTAAAGGATTCCCTTACTCAAACACTACAATATAGCTCATTTATGTAAAATCAACTACCAATGCTAATTTCAGATGCAAAACACATATGCACTGAGGGGAGACCTCAGGGATAACATCTTTATCTTAAGTTTTATAGAGCCCAAGACTTTTTTATCTTTTAATTCTCTATGCAGCAGCTGCACTTATCTTTCATGGACAGATTTGAAATGTAATGGAAATGCTAACAAATCTGCCTCTATATAACCTTTTCTTTTCAGTATCATTAAGAATTAGAATGAGTCACTCATTTCCTTATATTATCCACACACAATTGTGGTCATTACTGACCCCTTAATTATAGCTATTAGCCACCATGAAATTTCAAAGTACTTTTCAACCTTCCTATTGTTTGCGAGCCAAAGTATTTTACTTTAGGGGTAGCAATATTACTGCTTCAATTTTGAAGTATATATCTTTATTAGCTAAATTTGGTATGAATCTACTCATAAAAAGGTAGATAATATAAATGAGGAAATGTCTCAATGTTCTTCACACCCTCACTATCCTTACAAAATATTCATTTTAACTAACAATAAATAACATGAAAATACATATATATTTTTAAAATCAAATAAATGCTTAGAAGTCAGAGTCCATATAGATGCACATATGGTCAATGACACTGCTACTTAGTTCCTTTTTTATTAACTTGTTTACTATTAGGAGGCTTGGATGGAATTTACCATTTAAAAATTTACTTGTATAAGGGTAATAATAATAATAGCTAACATTTATTTTGTACTTACCATGTAAAGACCTTATGTTGCCTTACTTGGAATATATTTTTAATTCACATAGTAATTGTAATATATGAGGTTAAATGATTTGCCCCAATATGCATAGGTAGAAACCAACATAACTAGGACTTGAAACTGTGTTTCTGAGTGGCTCCGGAACCAGCTGCTCCCAGTGCACACATTTAAACACTATACTATAATTTGGCCATTATTTATCTCTAGGTGCCTCTAAGGAAAAGCATAAATTGATTTACTGACATTTTAGAGCCATATTTTGCCAGTTCATTATTTTCTTTGTATCCTTCAAATTTTGACTTTATTAATGTGTTTATAAGATGTAATTATATAATTGCTTATCTTTGTACTCCCAGTGCGTAGCACAATTCCTGGAAAACTGTCAATACTTAGTAAATATTCATTGAATGAATAGATTTGCATATATTTTTATTTAAAAATACATCAACCTATGCATTAATTTTGTTAATACCTATTATCAAATAACAATTTGAGAAAATCAATAACCAGTAACATTATCCTAAGTCAATAAATCCAGTTCTAATACACCAGGTTCAATACCTTCATTGTATTCCTTGATATGGTTGCACCATAATCAATTTACTCAATCCCCTGTATTTGAAATTTTAAGTGGTTCCCAATTTCTGGCATTTGCGTCAATGTTTGAAGTCATATTCCTGTACTTAGTTCTTTATACATAGCTCTAACTAAGAAAGGCCATTGGTATGTCAATAGGAATGTACATTTTCAATAGACATTGGTAAACATCTAGAAAGATATACCAACAGAAAAAGAGCATAATTAGGTCGAAGACATAATTTTTTTTGCCACAAAAGCCTTGTTACAAGCCACTTAACCCATGTGTAAGAGTTTATGGATACTATGATGAATAGAGATTTCACATCTGTTATAATTACATTCAGAAGTGGACATAGGATATATAAAACACATGAAGCTCAAAAAAAAAAATAAGAAAACAAACCACCCAATTAAAACACGGGCAAAATTTTGAATAGACATTTCACCAAAGAAGATATAAGAATGATAAATAAACACATCATTATATAGGATATTTTTATATAGGATATATAAAACACATGAAGCTCAAAAAAAAAATAAGAAAACAAACCACCTAATTAAAACATGGGCAAAATTTTGAATAGACATTTCACCAAAGAAGATATAAAACACATCAAAAGGTGCTCAACATAGTTAGTCATTAGGAGAATAAAAATTAAAATCACAATGAGATACAACTACACACAAATTAAAATAGTTAAAGCAAAATAAGACAAAACAATAAAAAACTGACAATAGCAATACCTGGTGAAGTTGTGGCACAAGTGAAACTCTCATTCATAGCTAGTGGGAATGCAAAATGATACAACTACCTTGGAAAACAGGCAGAAGTTATATATATTTGTACCACATCATCTAGAAATCTGCCCTTGGGTGTTGCCAAAGAGAAATGAAAGCTTCTGTGTGCAAGAAAACCTTGAATGTTTATAGCAGCTTTACTCATAATTGCCCCAAACTGGAAACAACCTGATATTCTTCACTATGTAAATGAATAAACTAAGTATGGTACATCCATACAGTAAGATACTACTCAGAAATAAAAATAATGAACTATTGATATGTACCAATAACATGGTGGATCTCAAATCAATTATGTCAAGTGAAATGAGTCAACCACAACAGGCTACATATTGTGGGATATTCTCGATCTGTGTGTCTGTGTGTGTGTGTTTATAACAATTCTCTCTTCACACACATAGACACACACACAGACACACACACACATACCATTTTGGGAAAAGGTAAAACTACAAACAGAAAATATCAGTGGGTATGTGGGTATTCTCAATTGGGGTATGTGACTATAAGGCAGCATGGGACAATTTTCTTCAGCTGACAGAACTATTCTATATCTTGACTATGGTGGTTATTACATTACTTGCATTCATCGAAACTCATAGACCTCTACACCAAAAAAGTGAATTTAATGTTTGTAAATTAAAACTGATATAGTTTGGATGTTTGTCCCTGCCCAAATCTCATGTTGAATTATAATTCCCAATGCTGGAGATAGGGCCTGGTGAGAGGTGTTTGGATCATGGGGGTGGATCCCTCATGGCTGAGTGGTGTCTTTGTGATAATGAATGAGTTCTCATGAGATCTGGTCATTTAAAAGCGTGTGACACTTCTCCTCTCAACTTGCTCCTGCTTTTGCCATGTGATGCTATTGCTCCCCCTTCACCTTCTGCCATGATTGTAAGCTTCTTGAGGCCTCTCCAGAAGCTGAGCAGAAGCCAACACCATGCATCCTGTAAAACCTGCAGAAGCATGAGCCAATTAAACCTCTTTATAAATTACCCAGTCTCAGATATTTCTTTATGGCAATGTAAGAACAGAATAATATGAAAAATTGGTACCAAGAGTGGGGTATTATTGTAAAGATAGCTGAAAATATGAGAGCAGCTTTGGAACTGCATAATGAGCAGAGGTTGGAAGAGTTTAGAGGGCCGAGAAGAAGATAGGAAGATGAGGGAAAGTTTGGAACTTTGTAGAGACTGGTTCAATAGTTGTGACTAAAATGCTAATAGTGATATTAACAGTGAAGTCCAGGCTGCTGAGGTCTCAGATGGAAATGAGGAATTTATTGGAAACTGAAGCAAAGGTCACACATGTTATGCCTTAGCAAATAACTTGTTTGCATTCTGTTGATGCCTTAGGGATCTGTGGAAGTTTGAACTTCAAAGTGATGATTTAGGATATCTGACAGAAGAAATTACTAAGCAGCAAAGCATTCAAGAGGTGGCCAGCTGCTTTTTACAACCTATGCTCAGATGAGGCAAATAAATGACTTAAAGATTGAATTTAGATATAAATAGGAAGCAGAGCATAAAAGTTTGGAAAATTTAATGTCTAGCCATGTGGCAGAGAAATAAAAAGCTTTTTTGGGGGGAGGAATCCAAGCAGGCTGCAGAGCAACCACTTGCTAGAGATATTTGCGTAACTGAAAAGGAGTTAAGTGTTAATAGTAGAGACAATGGGAAAAATATTTTGAAGGCATTTCAGAAATCGTTATGGCAGCCCCTTCCGTCACAGGCCCTGATGTCTAGGAGGACTGAATGGTTTTATGAGTCAGGCCCCACTACCCTGAGCAGCTTGGGGACACTGCTCCCTGCATTTTGGCCATTCTGGCTTTAGCCAAGGCCCAAATGGGCTTAGCTACAGCTCTAGTGGCTGCTCCAGCTCCAGAGAGTGCAAGTCGTAAGCCTTGGTGGCTTCCATGTGGTGTTAAGCCTGCAGGCACACAGAATCCAAGAGTGAAGAATGCTTGACAGCCTCTGCCTAGGTTTCAGAGGCTGTATGAGAAGCCTGCAGCAGGGGCGGAGCCCTCTGCTAGGACAGTATAGGGGGAAATGTGGGGTTGGAGCCCCCACAAAGAGTCCCCACCAGGGCATTGCCTAATGGAGTTGTGAAAAGGGAGCCACCATTCTGCAGACCCGACAATGGTAGATCCAGCAGCTTGCACCCACAGTGTGGAAAAGCTACAGGCACTCAATTTCAACCTGTGAGAGCAGCCGTGGGGGCTAAACCCTGCAAAGCCACAGGGACGGAGCTGCTCAAGGTCTTGGGAGCCCAACCCTTGCACCAGTGTCCCCTGGATGTGGGACATGGAGTCAAAAGAGATTATTTTGGAGCTTTCAGATTCAATGACTGCCCTGCTGAGTTTCACACTTTCATAAGGACTGTAACCCCTTTCTTTTGACTGATTTCTCCCTTTTGGAATGGGAATGTTTACTCAGTGCCTATACCCCAATTGCATCTTAGAAATAACTAACTTGTTTTTTACTTCATAGGCTTATAGGTGGAAGTGACTTGCCTTGTCTCAGATGAGACTTTGAACTTTTGAGTTACTGCTGGGATGAGTTAAGTCTTTGGGGGACTGTTGGGAAGGTATGATTGTATTTTGCAGGGACGTGAGATTTGGGAGGAGCCAGGGATGGAATGATAAAGTCTGGATATTTGTTGCTGCCCAAATATCATGTCAAATTGCAATCCCTAATGCTGGAGATAGGGCCTGGTAGGAGGTATTTGGACCATGGTAATGGACCCTGATGGGTTGGTGCTGTTTTTGCAAAAATGAGTGAATTATCCTGAGATCTGGTCATTTAAAGTGTGTGGCACCTCTCGCCCAACTCTCGTTCTTACTCCTGCTTTCACCACGTGATATGCTTGCTCCACCCACCTTCACCTTCTCCCATGATTGTAAGCTTCCTGAGGATTCCCCAGAAGCTCAGCAGATACCAGCACCATGCATCCTGTAAAACCAGAAGATTCATGAGCCAATTAAACTTTTTTAAAAAATAAATTACCCAGTCTCAGGAATTTCTTTATAGCAACACAAGAATGGACTAATAAAAAAAAATTCAAAAAATAAAAACAGTGAGCAGAGGGTAGCCATATCCCATGCTACCTTTGACAACTACAAGGCATTAAACATGCATGGTGTGACCTGGTATATGCAAGTGTGCATGTGTGTGGATATATACATATGCATGTGTGCTTATTATCACTAACATTGCTTTGCAGCTTCCATTTTGACCCAGATTGAAAATCATTTAATTATTGTCAATTTGGATTTGTTGCTGGGAAAATTAGTCTTGATGCACTCTTCTCATATTACAGGGAAGGAAATGCTTATCTAGGTTGATCAAGGGACTTTCTTTGGGGTCAGAGTCTGAAATAGATTTAGCTTATTTATTTTCCCATTGAGTCAATTTTTCTATTTTAGCAAGGTTATAGGACTGCAGATGTATCAATATTGCTCATAGCTCCTGTCTTTGAAAATGTCGTAATTTGTATTTTTTGTCATACATGTTTGGAAATATAAAATTGTTCTTTACTTAAAGATTACGTAGCTACAGTCTTAATGGAATTACATGTAACAACTCATTTAAGTTCCTCTAAAGAAAGATACTTTTAAATTAAGATCATATAATTGCCATTTTACTTGTCTTAAATTAAACTAGATCAACCCGCATAAGAAAAACATTAGAAATAAAACTGTGTATCACTGTTTACTTTAGATATTTCTTACCTAGTTTTGCTTTTTGATTTGACTTCATGTTGTTAAGTGTTACTCTTTTACACATTTAGATTGTGGAGTTTAGTCAAAACCTTGGCTGAAAGACATACCCAAAATAGCCCTTTAGAAGGTGTACCTCCACTAATCATTCTGAAGGGATTAGAAGACTTTTTTTTTTCCTGGCAATTCAGAGTGAGAAGACTTTCTTGTGATAGGGACTCAATTCAGGTGTTATCGCTACTGGAGAATATACTTCCCTAGGCACTCATTAAACGTAAAGTAGTGCAGGGAGGGCATACCTGGAGAAAGGAGTAGAAAAATGGAAAATGGGGAGGAAGATTAATGTTAACATTTATGATGATACTGGGGCAACAATGAAGGAAGGATGGTGAGAGTAGCATCACTCAATGTGGTGTTTTTTTTTTCCCTTAGAAATGTTTCCCCTATGAGACTTTTTTATTAATTATTGTTTCATTGCAATTTTACTGATTTTTCAATTAAAAAGGTAAGATGTAGTCCTATAGCTTTTAAAAAATAAACACTTCATAATGAGTTTTAAGGTATAACAGTCAGAAAGTTATTAAAACCCATTTATGATTTTATGTGATGTATTTGAGGTATGATATTTTTAAAAACATGTATTATTTTTTAAAAAATCTTACAAGTAAAACATGAATGTACTAATTGAGGATCAAGCAATATGTTAACAATTTTGTAAAAGCTCATATTTCAAAGTCAATATTCCTGCAGAGAATATGAATCATGAGCATAATCATGTTCTTCTTTTGATTTTAATAACATCACAGAACTTTTTCAAAAGAGGCATGACATTTAAAAATTATGCTAGTATAAATGTGCACAACTATTATTTGTCAAGTAAAAATAAATTATACCAAAATGAAAATTATATTACTAGTAGAATCTACAGACAATAAAAAACGTAAATGATATTGACAGTTGAAATATACCACTTATGCGTTTTGACCTCTAAGGTTGTCTTCTCATACCCCCATTTTCTGCACCCCTTGCCCCCAGGTTATTATATGTACTCTCCTTAGAATGAAAGAATTTTCTAATATTACAGTATTTTGTTAATATTATGAAAATCCTTACTGTCAAGATAGATTTATTTGGGCCAGACTATGAGGCAAGTGGTATAGGGCAGGTAGAGGAGACATTGACTTTGGGAAATCACAAAGACATGAGGGGTATGACAAATACTGATGGCTTAATCAATAGCCTAGAGTGAAGGACACCTATTAATACATGTTAAGGGCAAATGAAAAGTGAGGTGAGTGAATGTGCTATTAGGTTGAAATGGAGAGGTCAAGTTACATATAGAGGCCCAGGGTTAATAGAAGTTAGCATTAGAGGCTTAAGCTGGGCAGAGAAAATGGACATTCCACAGTGAGAATACTTATTTGGGTTTTGTTTGTTTACGTGTGTGTGTGTGTGTGTGTGTGTGTGTGTGTGTGTGTGTGTTTGAATGTGTTGAATGTGTGATAATTTATTTCCTGACTTTATCAAGGAAGAATTTAAATCAATTATGAAAACACAGATATTGAGCCCTCTGCCTCTGGCCATGATGGATTAACATGGGCTGAGTGAGGTGCCTGAAACAAATACAAGACAGAACAAAATACTGTAATCAATGGTGGTTCTTTGAGAAAACCAATCTTTTACCAGACTGACTAGGAAAAAAGATAGAAAACACAAATTACAAATTAGAAATAAAAGAGATGACATCATAGAAGATTCTATAGCTATTAAAAGTATAATTTGGGAATATTATAAGCAATTTTATACTAATAAATTTGACTACTTAGAGGAAATAGATGAATTATTTACTCAGTCAAGAAAAATAACCTCAAATGTTTTATAGCTATTAAGGAATTTAATTTGCATTCAAAAGTATTAACACAAAGTAAACATCAAGAAATTATACTAAACTTTTAAAGAGGAAATCATACCCATTCTACAGAATTTTCCCTGGAAAACTGAAGAGGATTGAATATTCTACATTTTATTTGATGAGGACAATATTATCATAATACCAAATTTAGAAAGACTTTATAAGAACAAGAAACAACTGCATAATACTTTCCAAAAACATAGATGCAAAAGAGTCAATAAAATTTTAGCAAACCAAATCCAGCAATACAGTGGGACATATCATGACCAAATGAAACTTATCCAGAATAAAAGGTCTTTACATTGAAAACTAATTAATATAATTCACCATATTAGAAAGGCATAAAAGAAAAAAAATGATCATCCCAGTAGATACATAAAAATGCAATTGACAAAATCCAACCTCCATTTCACCCAAACTCTCAGCAAACCAGGAATAGAAATAATTCATGCAATTTAATTGAGGACATTTACAAAAATCCTGTTGCTAACATTGTACATACTGATGAAAGATAGTGCTTTTCCCCTATGATCAGAAACAAATCACTCTCTTACTACTTCTATTGAGCTTTGTACTAGAACTAGTAAGTAAGTTTATTGGGTTGCAGGAACCAGATCAAGTCATAAAATTAATTGTATTTTAATATACTACCAACAAATATTCACAAATTGAAATTAAAAATGATGTCACTTATTATAGCACTAAAATTATTAAATACTTAGAGATAAATCTGACAATGTGTAAGATATAAACATTAAAACTAGAAAATGTTAGAGAAATTAAACTATAAATAAATGGATTTATGTCTCATGTTCATGAGCCAGAAGGATAAATATTATGATGTAGATTTTCACCAAATTATAGATTCACAATCAATATCCTAGCATGAGACTTCTTTTTCTTTTGTAGAAATTGGCAAGCTAATTCTAAAATTCTTATAGAAATACTAAGGAACTAAATGCAAGTCACAAATTTTTAAAGAAACTTAAAAAAGGAGAAAAAGTTGTATGGCAAACACTACCTGATTTCAAGGCTTATTATAAAGCTTGAATTATCAAGAAGAATGGCATCAAGAGAGACAAATTACTCAAGGGAACAGAAGAGGGAATCTATAAATACACTCTCATACACAAAATACTGATTTTTGACAAAGGTACAAAAGCAATTCACTGGAGAAAGAATTGTCATTTTCAAGAAATGGTTCTGGAATAATTGGATATCTATATGCCAAAAACAAAACAAAACAGAACAAGACAAAAAACATGAGATCTGATCCATACTCAGGTGCTTTGAACCATGTAAAAATGAACACAAAACACATCATAGGCTTCAGTGTAAAGTCTAGAACTATAAAACTTCTAAAGGTAAACATAAGTCAGTTTGGCTATTGGATTTGGATTTTGTTTTTAAATCATTTCCTGAGCTAAAATTTCTTCAGGGATTCATAGGCTCTGTTTGGAACTCTCTTCCACAAGGGAAAAGAAACTGCTATAAAGAACTTAGTGATGAGGAAATAATACAAGTAATATTCCTTTCATAGCACTTTCTTATACATTTTGCCACAAATTGAAAATAGAAACACAGACCGTGTGAGCAGCAAGATCTAGGGACAGAGTTTGAGCCTTGCGACTCTCACCATCCAAAGATTGCCGAGCCCCCATTCGTCTACCGCCAACCACTTCTGACACAGAACATTCAGTCATGGGTAAAAATATCCCGGTGCAGAAGGCCAAATGGGCTGAGCAATATGTTGTCACGAAAGACTGCATGATGTCTGTAACTAAGCAAGGAACTGAATTTTTTTTTTATTAGGAGAGGAATCTTCTTTTAGTTGCTTATAAAAATGTTACAGGAGCCTGTAGGTCATCTTGGAGCTTCGTCTCAAGTATTGGGCAAATGACAGAAGCTGCTGAGAAAAACAGCAGATGGCTTGAGAATACAGAGAGAAAATGCAAAGTGAGCTAAGAGCTATCTGTAAATGATGTACTGTCCCTTTTGGAAGAGTTCTTGATCCCCAAAGCTTCACAAGCACAGAGCAAAATCTATTAAAAGCAAAAGGAGTCTACTTTTGTTATTTGGCTCAGGTTGCCGCTAGTGATGATAAGAAAGGGATTGTGGATCAGTCACAACAAGCACATCAAGAAGCTTTTGAAATCAGAAAAAGGAATTGCAATCAACACATCCTATCAGATTGGGTCTGGGCTATAAGCTCTCTGTGTTGTATTGTGAGAATCTGAACTTGCTGGAGAAAGCCTGCTGTCTTGCAAAGACAGCTTTTGATGAAGCCATTGTTGGACTCAATACATTAAGAGTCATATAAAGATAGCATGCTAATAATGCAACTACTGAGAAACTACTTAACATTTTACACATCAGATACCCAAGGAGATGAAGCTGAAGCAGGAGAAGAAGGTGAAAATTAACTGACTTCTCAAATTTGTCTACTTCATTCTAAAACACAGTGGACCATTTGTCATCCATATGTCCTGAATATAATTTTTTTAAAAAGGTATAGGTTACTTCTATTTGAATTTCTGTTTTTTCCTATATGGTTTTTATGTTTTACATTAGAATAGGGCCAATTAAGATTTAGGGAGTTATATGTTTTCATCTTTAGGTGGCCAATATGGGGATGTGAAATTTTCATATAAGCTATAAATGTTTGACATAGTATTTTGCTAAATTGTGGCCTCACAAGGACCTCTGTTATAACTGCCTCTGTGTCTAGGCAAAGGAAAGCACCTATATATTGGTGTGTCCTAATAACGGATTAAAGGATAATTTGTTCCAGGTTTAGTTGTAGTTGTGCAAACTGTAAGGAAAGAAAAGTTTCCATAACCCTTTTAGGGTTCCTGGCTAGGTCTGAAAGAAAACAAAGACAGATTAATAGGAGAAAAGCATAAAATATTTAATCAAAGTTTTGCAAGACATGAGAGGCTTCAAATTGAAGATGCAAAGACTCAAGGAAAAACTGTCCATTTTAATTCTTAGATGCGACAAAGCGTAGACAGTCATGCAAAAATGTAATTTGTCAAAAAGGGACTGATTTAATGCTAATAGACTGAATGGAGAAACACAGCCAGGCCTGCGTGTTTATATTTTTCTTGTGCTTCTATGTGTGGCATTTCTTCCTTCTGGATATAAGACAAGACTCCTTCTGGAATAAGGGCCTTATGACCTACTAACAGACAAGGTAGGTCAGGGAATTTCTGTATGGCTAGCTCTCACACAGAAAGGCAAGAAAAGGCTAGAATAATATTTTTACTTTTTATCTTTGGCTTTGGGGGAGAGGATTTCTGGTGTCTTTGACCTGCCTTGGGGAGGAGAAATTTCAGGCTCCATGGCCTGAGTTGGTGAAGAAAGGGGACCAGGAGAAAGAAGAGCAGGAGAAGGTCAGAAAGATTTTACTTCTGAGCCCCTTTTTTCAGTTCAGCATGCCAAGACACTGTACTTTGGGAGTGTTCTGAGCCCTGTCAGTGGGAGTATTTACAAGGTTGTTGTAGAAATAGGTACCCCATAGGCATAATATCCTGAACATATGAATGGGTGGAATGCAGTTTCAATGTGTACACCTTGGACTATAGCTTCGGAAATGTTCCTTTATACAAAGCTGTCACTCAATTTCCTCTAGAGAAGGGCAGAAATGATTCCTATTCTTTGTAAAGTTATCTGTTGTTTGCTTTCTTTTTTTCTTTCTTTTGTTTTTTTGTTTGTTTGTTTTTTTGAGACAGAGTCTTGCTCTGTCACTTAGGCTGGAGTGCAATGGCGCAATCTCGGCTCACTGCAACCTCTGCCTCCAGGTTCGAGCCATTCTCCTGCCTCAGCTTTCCCAGTAACTGGGATTAAAGGCGCCCACCACCACGCCTGGCTAATTTCTGTATTTTTAGTAGAGATGGGGTTTCAACATGTTGACCAGGCTGGTTTCAAACTCCTGACCTCAAGTGATCTGCCTGCCTTGGCCTGCCGAAGTGCTGGTATTACAGGCGTGAGCCACCATGTCCAGCCTTATTTTTGCCACTCTTATATATTTATATTTAAATATTTTAAGCAACCTAACAACAAATGTACAAATAAAGATGCTGTAAAATGAATTGCTTGATATCCATTACTTCATGTATATCAAGTACAGCAGTAAAAGAAAAAACTCATGTGTTCAACTTTTAAAGGTATTTTGCTTTTGTGATTTTTAAAAATACTTACCTAACATAAATGTGCTGTAAAAACAGTTAATAGGGAAATAATTTGAGATGATAGCTATTTTGTTTAATGTCTTATGAAATTTTCATGAACAATTTTAATCATTGTTAAGAATGTGTAATAAACTGATATAAGTAGAATACAAGTTTATGAATGGAAAAAATAGAAATATGCTCTCCATTTTTCTTTAGCTTACTTTATTTTTCATTTAATTTTATGTTAAGAAATTTTTTTTGCCAATATTTAATTTAGAAGGTATTACCATTGTTTTTCTCCTGCTTTCAGTGTACACTTTTGAAATGTGACTGATATTAATATGTACTTTTCACCACCCTTTTTCTTTGCTGTATTTACTGATTTGTAATACTTTGAAATTTCAGTGATTAATTCTAACATAAACAATTTTAGTCCTGCTCATAAATGATCTAAAATTTGTCGTTTTTATTGGTGAGGAGCTGAATGTAAGTATATAATAGAATATCTATAAGCAATAAATACTGGAAGACTAAACCAGTAGAATGTTTAGAGCTTTAGAAAGTACATATGCATTTTCTGCTGAAACTAGAATTGTGGTAGTAGGAGGAGCTGCTGGAGAGGGCTGGGTCCGGGGGCATCAGTGATTTCATAAGGATCATTGGACCAATGTGGAGTCAGAGGAGAAAATGAAAAATCCTGTCTTAGACATGTGAGTTAATAAACAGAGACAACCTAGAGATACAAAGAATGACTGATTTGGGGCAATAAAGCTAGCATCATATTTTGGGTGAAAATTTTCTGAACCATGTTTTAAATATTTAATATTTTTTGATTGATTAGTAGCAACTTGTCTTTGAATACTAGGACTTTTTATTTTGTAAGTTATTGGAGGAAGATATTTGAATTCTATTTGAAGAATTTGACCTAATTTAAGAGAAAATCCATACCTCATTTTTAATTTATGGATGAAATATAAATAAATATTGCAAAGTTTTAATAAATCAAAGAGCAACTTTCACTACAGATTAATATTAGATTGACCTTACAGTATTAATTTTATAATGAAATATGTATATATCTGTGAGAGACTGAATATGTAAATGGACAATGACCAGGTCATAAATAAAAACAGAACTCTGACTCACAACCTCTGTGGCAATCAGACCTGGAAGCCAAAAACCATAACCTCTGTAGCAATCAGCTGTGTATGGTCAAAACTTGGTCAATAACTACCAGCATCCCTAATTTTTGCCCTGTTTCTAATTTAGGACTAACTAGAGAAAACAAAAGACTACTCCATAACCAACATAGGATGCCCTACTTCTACTTAGCCAGGCTTCAGCTTTCCTATGCCGACAAGCTCCAGTCAGAGCATACCCGAAGCCTTCCAATTTCTCTAGCTTTTGTACTGCACTCCTTCCAACTGCTTTTGAATCTCTGCAACACGCAGGTTATAGTGACTGATTCTCTGGCTATAGCAAGCTCTGAATAAATAGCCTTAGCTTATTGTCATTTGGATGGTCTTCATTTATTTTCACATCTGGAAATATAAATTTATGGGGTATCAAAAATTATAAAATACAAACATTCTCATTTAAAATTCTTAAATAACAATTTTAGTATGTAAATACTCAAAATTAAATAATCTGGTGACAGACAGTAAACATTTGGTGAAACTCAGCTAGATGTTGAGAAGCAGTCAATTCTAATTTAAATACTAGCTTTTCCGTCATTCTTGATTTTGAAATACGGATTTTCACACTCATACTTTGAAAAGTAACCAAGATGATCTGAAAATTATTTTAACATATAATATATATTAGCCCTATAATTAACCCAGGATCATACCTGATAATTTAAAGCTTTATCCAGAAAAGAATTTTGACTTTCAGTTAGTTGGTGAGGAATATTCAATATTTAGATAAGAAATTCAATTATCTTTTCACAGAAGCCAAGATGATTAGAGTTCAGAGAGCCAGAGGCACTCTGCTGTTTCATTTTAACATATAGCTGAAACAATTATATTTTAAAATATTTTTTTCAAGAAAGTGGATCTGCTTTAAAAGCCATGAACTCGCATTACTGCATTCATATTTATTGTTTTCAAACTAATTATATTGCTAACTAATGCATTAAATTTATTCTGTTAAAATAATAGAAGCCCTTAACTTTATAAATATCTCTCTGGGGTTTTCTCCTGGACTATTATTTAGTTATGTTTAATAAATTGTAATAGTTAATGCCATAAAAACTTTTTGGGGGTCTTAAAAGAAGCAACAAAAGTGAAAACACCTGGTAATGTACATTTCAATCAGGAAATCCTGGGATATAAGTGGTTCTCATCCCTTTTTAGTCTTCACAATAACAATAAATGCAAACACTTACATCAGTAAAAGCTATATTGATGCCTAAAGCCAATGTGTGGTTTTACCTTGAGAATAAATTAGAAATTTAAACAGTTTTGACTAGTTGATGGCAAAACAGCCAATCTTTTTGTCAATTTTATTAAAAACAGAGATCAGTCAAATTTTCCTAGTTTTGTGTGGATAAATTGTTGGTTGAATTCTTTACTTTTTAACTATTTGTTTTGTTCTAATGACTGAAAGCAGTGAATATAGTGTTAACAGTAATAGAAACATAATGAAGCAAGAAATACACATACACACACAAAATGGATTCCATCCATCCATGCTCACTAGCCTGTAAAATTTTCAAATAAATGTCTTGCAGACTGAGCAGTAAGTTTATTTTCCTCATGCCTTCCTTTAATTATATGGTTTATTAGATCTGTAAGTTACCACTTGCTTCCCCAAAGTCCTCTACTTGACTTAATTAACACTGTGCCCTTGGGAACACTGAACATTACATTTCAAGCCCAAGGAAATTGATGCCTATCTATAGAGCATACAAAAGGTAACCCGATTTTCTTTTAGGAGTTCGACTTTAAAGCTGTATCAATTTGTTATTTAATTGCCACTTGCTAGTTTTTTTAAAATTAATTATCTCATCACTCTTTGGTCAGTTTATAATAGGGATATATTTATTATTCTCATGGATGTGTTGAGTGAACTAATTACAAAGAGTTACAAATTCTATATCCAGGAATCAGGAAATTACTAATGAAATTAATTGATGTCAAAAGTGTATACTATTGATTGAATAGAGAGTTATGATGATAATTCAACTCTGCATGGAGATAAATGTTCACTGAAAATCAACCAAATGCTACATTAATGTTTTATTGACTTATGAAAAAGAATGCAGTTATAATCATGTTCTCTGCTTGTTACAGAAGATATTACTCTGGGATGATTATTTTGATCAGATTAACATGGTAATAAAATTAATTTAAAAATAGCTTATGTGGTGATCAACCAGCAAAACGTTACTCAAAAATATCTGAAACAAATACTTTGAATGTGACTATAAAAATATTGGTAAGGACAAATTAATTTGTTTTTTGATCCATAACATTCACAGAGAAAAGAAACCGAATGAAAATGGTTTTGTAATGCATAATAATGTAATTGATGTCAGGTATCTGATTTCATTTGAACAATTACTTTAAAATAATTTGTAATGAAACTTATTGTAGTAGGATGAATTGTGGTCCCCAAGAAGATATGTCCAAATCCTAATTCCCAGTACCTGTGAATTTGACTTTATTTGAATTTTTTTTTTTTTTTTTTTTTTTTTTTTTTTTACCATTTATAATTAAGTTAAGGATGAGAGCATTCTAAATTACCCAGGTGGGCCCTAAATCCAATCAAATGTGTCTTTCTGTGCTATAAATGTGGTATAAAGCCATGCAAAGACAGAGGCAGAGACTGGAGCGATTTGTCTACAAGCACAGACTGCCAAAGATTGCCCGTAACAATCAGAAGCTAGGAGACAGTTGCGGAACAGATTCTCTCTCAGAGCCTTAAGAAACAACCAATCCTGCCAATACTTTGACTTTGGACTTCTGGCCTCCAGAACTGTGAGAGGATAAAATTCCATTTATTTATTTTTTCTTTCTCTTTTTTTTAAATTCTTTTTTTGAGATGGAGGCTCTCTCTGTGGCCCAAGCTGGAGTGCAGTGGCACAATCTCGGCTTACTGCAACCTCCACCTCCTGGGATCAAGCGATTCTCTTGCCTCAGCCTCCTGGGTAGCTGGGACTACAGGTGCATGCCACCACGCCCGCCTAATTTTTTGTATTTTTAGTAGAGAAGGCGTTACATCACGTTAGCCAGGATGGTCTCAATCTCCTGACCTTATGATCTGCCAGCCTTGGCTTCCCAAAGTGCTGGGATTATAGATGTGAGCCACTGCACCCGGCCTCTTATTTATTTATTTATTTATGTATTTATTTATTTATTTATTTATTTATTTATTTATTTATTTGGAGACAGAGTCTCACTCTGTCACCCAGGCTGGAGCGTAGTGACGCCATCTGGGCTCATTGCAACCTCCACCTCCTGGGTTCAAGCGATCCTCCTGCTTCAGCCTCCAGAGTAGTTACAACTACAGTGTGCACCACCATGCCGCAGATAATTTTTGTATTCTTAGTAAAGACGGGGTTTCACCATTTTGGCCAGGCTGGTCTCGAATTCTTGCCTTCCAGTGATCGCCCACCTTGGCCTCCCAAAGTGCTGGGATTACAGGCATAAGCCACTGTGCCAGGCCAAAATTCCATTTATTTTTTAAGCCAGCAAGTTTTGGTAATTGTTAAGGCAACTCTAGTAACCAAAAGCACTTATGCATAAATTAAAATGTCAGAAGATTTAACAACTCAAACAGAAAAGCAGTTAAAGCAGTTACACCATATTCATTCAACAAAGTTAAATAGAAGACTAACTTAAGTTATGATCGTCCTTTTATTTTATATCTATCTATATTCACAGTCTGAAATACAATTAATTAAATTTGCCACAGTTCTTGATTTCATGTTATGTCCCCACACCATTGAAGATAAAGGAATAATATAAATGGACATGGTAAAGTCAAAATATGTAAGCAGAAACTGATTAAGAAATGAAAATTAACTTAGAAACCAACCACTTAATATGTCTAGGGAAAATTCTTCCTTAAACCTAAATATTTAGAGGAGAATTCACTCGGGAAATCTGTAAATGCTTAAGCAGAACATGAAAAATCTTAACCAAATAATGCTAGCAGATGTGATTTTAAATAGCCAACAGCCACCACAACAATCTTTATGCACACAGTTTTTCTATGCCTCAGTTAATGATTGTTTATATAATTAGAAATTTCATCATCTATGCAAAAGTTATTTTAAATCAAGTCAAAGGAATCTAACATACTCTTGGAAGATATTTTTATGCCCTAAATTAGGCTGACTCACAGAAAAAATGCTACAAATTTATCTATTTAAACTTAACAAATTTATTTACTTAAAAGATCAGCTAACTGACATAATTTAGTTCAGATACCTAAACTTCTTAAAATGTATTTTAGAACAGAAATAAGTGTATTTTCTACTCAAATTATACAGAATATACTATCATTGCCAACTATTATCAGAATAAATGTATCCATCTAAATGCCAGAATTTTTAACCCTTCATAACTTCATAGAAGATAGAGATCTCATTAAATAAACATATGTGGCATTGAGCCAAGGGAATGAAGAGATTTGAAATCTTACTATAGATAAATGTCTAATTAATCATTGTTGACTAATTAATTCAGCCCTTTTATTTCTAGTCTAAGCTTTTCTAAGTTGATATTTTAGAACATATAATAAATGGAGTTTCAGAAATATATTTTGAAAGATGTTGTGTCAAAGTAAAGGTTATCTCCTTATGAGATTTTTAATTAATTAGAGAGAAGTTCAATAGAGCTGTAATCAGAAAAAAAAGTTGTAAATATGTATGGTAATGCTACAATTTGTTCTGATATGCTACTGAATAAAATAAGTTTGTAAGGCAATAACAAAATATGTTTTAGTAACTGAAGTTTTCATTTATCAAAACATTGTATTTGGCTTATTCTGTAAAATTTTTATTGCAGATGAAAGTAAGTATGTAGGGAATGTATCAGAGACATGTGTTTTAGTGGTCTATTCATTCAGGGTTTGATTCCTTGCTCTACATCCTACTGTATTGAATGAACTAACATAAGTAAGGTACAGCACACATAAATAAAGCAGATAAATACTCATTAAATGCTACTTATTACTGCATTGGAAATTTTATTTCTTCTTCCTTCATCTTTATCAGATCTAAAATATGTTTTTTGGTTAGTATCCATCCTCTCATCTTAGTATCCATCCTTCCATCTTTATATCTGAAATAACTTTGAAGACGTTAGTGGGTTTTAATAAACATATTGATTATTGAAAATGTATCTCTTTTATCATGTTTATTAATTAGAAAAGTGGCATGGATACACATTGATTTTTGAAAATGTGTATCTTTTATCATATTTATTACTTGGAAAATTGGCATGGAATAGAGTTTAAGTGTGTTTTTATATGATGAGATAAATATAGCTAGCTATTTCTGATATATTCCTGAGTAAGGTCAACATCAGTATATGGATGTTTATGAATACTTTGCCTTAAGTTTCTTGTCCTCCTCAATTCCACTAACCTTCACCTTCATGATATTTCAACTACACAACCCTAAGACTACGTATTGTATATTGTCATTATTTAGAATTGTTGTTGGTCAGATGCAGTGGCTCCAGCCTGTAGTCTCAATATTTTGGGAGGCAGAGGCAGGTGGATGGCTTGAGCCCAGGAGTTTGAGGCCAGCCTTGGCAACATGGCAAAACCCAATCTCTACAAAAAAATACAAAAATTAACCGGGCATGATAGCACACACTTGAGGTGGGAGGATCCCTTGAGCCTGAGAGGTGGAGGTTGTGGCGAGCCGAGATCTCACCTAATAATATAGTGTCCAATTTGACTACCACTTTTACTACTGTTTCTCTACTTAACTGAATCTTTGATTTCCTGGAGATTACTAAGGCCTTAATCAATCACATACTTTATTTATTTTTACTAATTTGTTGGGCCCTTCTGTCTTCACTTAATCCTCATTTTAAAGCATATCATATGGTTAACATTATCAAGACTGTTTTGATTGCAATAAATAGAAAAATGATTCAATCTAATTAGGGCAAAAACAGTGAAATGATAACTATCAGAAGGGCAAGAGTTTAGCTGATCCCCATGGAGCACTGGAAAGGGATGGTTCATTCCATAAATGTTACTGAATTGGTTAACCAGGCAGAAAACAAAAATATTTGTTTTTTTCCATACACAAAATAAACTGAAGATCTATTTAGAGAAGCAAACCCATAACTCTAAAAATAATTATAGCAGAATCTTTTTAGAAAATTGGGGTAGAAAATAATTTCTTAAACAAGGGGCAACTATTTAATGTATTTCACAACCTTAAATTATATCTATATCTTCTCATACTACAAGAGATCTCCTGAAGTTCAAAGCAAGCTGCATGTTGAGCATTTGTAATTAATATAACTGACTAAAGATTGATAGAGTATGAGAATAACTTTTATAAATTGATAAGAGAAAATGTACAGTGGAAAATTGACTGCAGAATATTGTATTAATCAAGGTTCAGCAGGAATCATATGGCATACTTACAAGGAGAATTTGAAGAGATTTAATACAAGGACGCTTTAGAAATGTAAGGGCAAGATTCAGGAAGCCAATGAGGAATAGACTAGTTCCACAGAGTCAGCAGCAGAAGAGAGAAATATGAAGGTATGAGGAGAGAGACGAGGATAAGACAGCCAGTCTGACAGGAGCGATAGATTCTGGTAGGGAGACACAACCAACCCATGGCAGCCAGCAGGGAGATATCTAACGTCAATTCCCTACTGCTCTCTGTATTTTCTGCTAATGTCTGTCTCCAGTTGGGAAAAGCCAATTGGAAATCAAAGGACTTAGAAATAAATTGATGTAGTCCATATGGCTCTGACAACAGGGTATAGAGCAAGGGTGGATAAGGGTGGAGAATGACTGGACAGCAAATGAAAATTTTTGAGCATAAAAATTAACAGAAATTATTAGCATTTAAATAAATGAAAATTCAAACTGCTTAAATGTTGTTTTACACCATTCAAATGAACAAAACTGAAAAGTTTGATTAATCAAAGTTTTGGTGAAAATGTGGAGAAATAATTACAAATCTGTTAGTTGGAATATAAATAGAGGCTTCTGTTTTGAAAGCAAAGTTGGTATGTCCACAATAATCCAAAATTCAACTCCTGGTATATTCCTCAGAAGAATTTTGTGTTTATTCATAAAGAAACATTGTTTTCCATCGAAAAAGTAGGAAAAACAAGTTCATCAAAGGGGAAGTGAATATACAAATTGTAACTTTATGGACTGATATAGTATCTACCTGTACCATCCAAATAAATCTTAATGAAATAATATTGGTTGAAGAAATTAATTTGCAGGATGATGATCAAGTTAAGAATTTTAAGCCAGGTGTGGTGGTACATGCCTGAAGTCCTAGCTTTTTGGGAAGCTCAGGTGGGAGGAGTGCTCGAGCCCAGGAGTTTGAAGCTGTGGTGAGCTATGATCGTGCCACTGCACGATAGTTCCACATGAGTGCGACTATCTCTAAAAACAACAAAAAAAGGAAAAGACGTTAAGGATTTTATTATTACTCAAATCTTAAATATACAAAATAGCATGTATTGTTTATTGTTTATATGTCTATGTAAAATATGAAACCATATATGGGGTGGATATTTTACATAGACACTGGTGGATTACATCAATGAGTTGCTAAGTCCTCTGATTTCCAATTGGATTTTCCCAACTGGAGACATTAGCAGAAAATACAGAGAGTAGTAGGGGAGTGATGTTCATATTTCATGTAAAATATGAAAACATATAGGATGGAGATATATATATGTATATACACATATACATATATATGTGTATATGTACATATATGTATATATGTATATATATGTGTATATGTACATATATGTATATATGTATATATGTGTGTATATGTATATATGTGTATATATGTGTATATGTATATATATGTGTGTATATATATGTATATGTGTATATACATATGTATATATATATCCCTTTCAATATAGTGGTTTCTTCTGGCCAGAGCGGAACTAGATGTGGAGAATGTGCCTTAACAATATCTGTGAAATTATATGTCTGACAAAGTAACTGACCCAAATATTATACAATATTGGCATTTAAAGTATTTAAAATGGGAAATCTGTTATGTGTCACATGATTGCTTATATCTTAAATTATTAAATCATTAAAATATGACGAATTTGGGGTTATGATAGAAAATATTTTAAGGTGGCTACATCATGTATATTTATATTCTTAATTCCTGAACCTGTAAGTAAGATGACAAAGTCAGCTCAGATTTTTACTGCAAGAATTCCCATTAAATTGACTAATAAATATTGAAATGGGATTATCTGCATCAATACTGGACACTCAGAAAAACTACCAGTGTAAATAGATGTAAAAACATATTTGCTACAGACAGGACAGAAGAAATTAGACTAAAGGCAGAAGTTATAGAGAGGAGGAATTAAATCCTCTTGTGAACAAGCTATGTAAAGTAACAGGAGGATAACTTGTAACCACACAGTAGCTTCTGATTTACAGGTGAGAAAGCATGCATGGATTAGCAAAGAAACCACACGATGTTGGGGACTTGCTAGGGATTTACAGCTGAGTAAGCTCAAGTAAGCAGAAAGGTACATGGTTAGACTTCCTATTTAATGAGTAAATGGAGCCAAACCACTAGAATTATTAAAAGATGCTACTGGTCAAGTGGAAAACACATTCAAGAAACAAAGAAAGTTTCTTCCTGGAATATATTTCTGACAAAATGAGAGAAACTGTCAGAATATTCATGGATGTGTTCAATTGCACATGATTATTGAGTGTTTGTGTTTGAGTTAAATGAATGTTTTAAGAATATATTACAAAATCAAAGTTCTTTATTTGAAATTCCTCACATCACCCCTGCATAAAGTAAATAAGTTAGAAAGAGAAAATACAAATATAACAATTGGAATGAAAATGAAATATAAGCAAAGATAGGAATTTTATTATTTGTAAGTAAATGTTGTGGGAAACTTTATAAAAATAGATGCTTTTTTAGAGGAATGAAAATTACCAACAATGAATCAAAAGTAATCTTATAAAATGACAATTAAAATACCATAGCCATAAAAAAATACTAAAATCTTCTTCCAAAAAAGCACTAGGTTCAGCTAGTTAAATGGGAAAATTTTTATAATCCTTCTAAGAATAGTTAAGTACCATACTTTTTAAACTGTTCCATGACATAGAAACAGATGTAAAACTTTCAAAAATATGTATGAGACCAGCATAATCCTGATAAAAAAGTAGCCAAATATAATGTCATTGTATGCTCCCCTGACCTCACTTCTTTCCCTGATCCCTGTACAAAATAAGTAAATGGAGGCTGGGCACGGTGGCTCATGCCTGTAATCCCAGCACTTTTGGAGGCCGAAGCGGGCGGATCATGAGGTCAGGAGATCGAGACCATCCTGGCTAACGTGGTGAAACCCCGTCTCTACTAAAAATACAAAATTTAGCCAGGTGTGGTGGCGGGCACCTGTAGTCCCAGCTTCTCAGGGAGGCTGAGGCAGGAGAATGGTGTGAACCCAGGAGGTGGAGCTTGTAGTGACCAAAGATCGTGCCGCTGCACTCCAGCCTGGGCGACAGAGCGAGACTCTGTCTCAAAAAGAAGACAGTAAATGGAATGCAACTTACATTTAAAAATTTATATATGGCAATGACCAAATAAAGTTTATCAAAACTAAAAAAATGGTACAATGCTAGAACTTGTAGCATATTAAAAAGTCATGGAGAAATTTAAAAAGTAAGGTAATATTGATTTATATAATAAATAAGTAATAAAATACAACATCTGTTTCTGCTCTTTGCTTTTGGTTCTCTATGATTTATCTAAAACCAATAACCAAACTGAGATTTACTATTGAAACACTCTAGGCATTTGTCTCATAATTAGGACAAACTAGAATGCTGCTATTGCTCCAATTTTCACCTTATTGTGGATTTTTAACCAATGAAATAAGACAATGAACAAAGATAAAAGATATATCTATTTGAATATTATTAATCTTTACAACTATTTTTTTGTCTACCTGTAAAACTTGAGGAAATTAACTAAAGTTTATTAAAAATATCAATTTAGAAATGTTATGGGATATTTTTAAAATTAATTTTTTCATATATGAGAAACTATCAGTCAAAAGGCATGACCAGTAAAGATCCACTTACAGTTGCGTGACTGCACTCTAGCCTGGGTGACAGAATGAGACACTGTCTCAAACAAACAAAGAAAAAAAATCACAGTAAAATTTTAAAAACCTATTTATTTGTAAAATATCTTAACAACAACTAGCAACATTTATGTAAAACAAGTGCAAAATTTTACTGTGGGATGTAAGTGAAAAAGAGCTGGAAAATTTGTGAGCTATTCATTGCTCAAGAAAGAAGACTCAATATTGTAAGTGTATATTATGATGTAGTAAATGAAGACCTATGGAGATTAATTAAAAAGAACAGAAAGTCCATAAATGGGCCCAGGTTCATATGTGTGTGTACTCATGTGTGCTTGGCAGATATTTAATGAATCAGATTTGGAATTTTGAATACATGGGTAATAGATTACTTAAAACTCAGTGGACGGCTGGGCATGGTTGTTCATGCCTGTAATCCCACTTTTTGGGAGGCTGAGGCAGGTGGATCACCTGAGGTCAGGACTTCGATACCAGCCTAAACAACATGGAGAAACCCCGTCTCTACTAAAAATACAAAATTAGCTGGACATGGTGGCACACACCTGTAATCCCAGCTACTTGGGAGGCTGAGGCAGGAGAATCGCTTTAACCCAGGAGGTGGAGGTTGCGGTGAGCCGAGATCATGCCATTGCATTCCAGCCTGGGCAATAAGAGTGAAACTCTGTCTCAAAACAAACAAACAAACAAACAAAAAACAAAAAACCCCAAAACTCAATGGACGAATTGGTTAACAATCTGGAAAAAATTATATAGCAGGATTTTGTGGTAAACCAAATACTGAGATGGCTTCCTAAATCTCAGTCCCTGATATTGAGGCCCTTTATTACCTCCTTTCCTTGAGTGTGAGCAGAACCTATGAATAGGATGGATTTTACTTCATGATTAAATTAGTTGATTCTGAGTTAATCAAAATATAAATTAGCTCTGGTGGGCCTGACTTAATCAGATGATCTCTTAAAAGGGGCTGGGACCTTCTTGATTTGAAGTGTCATATTCCCCTGCTGGCCTTGAAGCAGCACATAACCGTGTTGTCAGAGGGCCTATGAAGGTGGCCACATGGCAAGAAATTGTGGATAGCCTCTAATAGCTAAGGGCTGCCCCTGGCCAACAACCAGTGTGAAAACAAGAAACTCAATCCTACAGTCACAAGAAAATGAATTCTGCCAACAACTATTGATTTTGGGAGAGAATCCTGAGCCTCCTATAAGTTTGCAGACCCAGAAAAATACTTCGATGTATCCTGGTGAGACTCTGAGCAGAGGACCGAGCCATGCTCTTCTGCCTGGGCTTCTGACCTACAGAAATGTGAGAAAACAAATAGGTCTGTTAAATATGTGGTAATTTGTTACACATCAATAGAAATTTAATACAGATATCTAAAGGGATATTAATAGTGGCATTATTTGTGATTAAAAAGAAAACAAAATTAATGGAATACAGGCATTAAAAACTTGTTGAAAAATATTTTGGAAAACACTTATTTTTAGTGGTTATTTCTAGTTAGAATGGAGGACTTACTTTTTTCTTTGTGCTTATGTATAAGCATTTATAAAATGTTTATAAACAGTGTGCATATTTTTAAATGAGAACAACCTTTGGAATCTGGTTATCTTATGTTTTTTGGTAACTTGTGCTTATTTCTTTTATCCCTAAAATAATGCATAAGTGTCACTTTCATCACTAAAAGTGATATTACCATTACTTTTACTTAACATAAATATGCTAGATATTATATATAGTTTGACTTTAATCACTTAATAACCTCACTTTAAAGGTATATGTTAGTTCTATCTATATCTACAGGTGATTAATTGAGTGCTTATTTAAGTTGGGGAGTCTCTTTGAATAGTGGAAATAATGTAAAAATATAGATGTGCCCTAGACTTTCCTTTAATTATCTAGGGTACTATGAGTTTTGTGTGACACAGGGGAAAATGAAGCCAGATATTTGCTTAAAAAAACAACAAAATCAGAAGTAGCATAAATCTGGCCAGCTATCTTAAGTAGAAAACTTGAGGATATAGTAAATCCAGATTAGAGAAAATCAGTCCATGCTGAAGGAAAGGAGTCGATAGAATATGCCTCCAAGTCTTGCTAAAAATACTAGTGGGGATTTCATCTGTTTTGAAAGAGAAGGGACAGGCTCCATTTATAAGGTCTCCTATGAGGACCCAGAGGGTTCTTCAGCTTCCCTTTATAGTTGGAAGTGCAATAAAAAATTAGTGACGATACTAGGGGGTAACAGTATCCCCTAATAACCCCAAACTGTTCCATGCATATTAGAGATATAAAGTGTTTCAATTATTTTAGCTATCACATAATCTTAGAATAGGAAAAGGCCATAAAATATCATCTAGTCAGACCTTCAAAAATGATGTTTGAATCATTTTTATTGTATACTTGATAAGCACAGCTTAATCTTTGCTTGAACACCTATTATGAAAAGGTACTTTTATTTATTACCTCTAAGACTGCCTATTCTACCTGTGTGGGTAGGTTTGATTTTAGGTGCTCTGTCTTGTGTGTCTGTCTCCTATGACTTCTACCTAGTATCCTTGGTTTGATCAATTAGAGCCATAATAAAAAACTGCTGAATCCACCTTCCACAGCCTGTCATATATTTAAGGCATCATGCTTTTAAAAATGTTTTTTTTTTTTTCATTTTGGACTGTGTCCTTTGTACTACATAAGAAATGAAGTTTATGGGCAGAGTTGGCCTTAAACAAATCATTTATCTTTGCTAACATCTTTCTTGGGCTTCCACACTGGTGCCTCTTTTTGGTACCGAAGATTGCCATTGTCCAACTTGAGGTATGTTATTGCTACTATGTTACCAATATCTCCATCCATTCTAGCACTCACTCAGCATTTCTTTTAGTTGTGTGTTTTTATTTATCTTCTTTTTTTTTTTTTTGAGACGGAGTCTCACTCTTTTGCCCAGGCTGGAGTGCAGTGGCGCGATCTGGGCTTAATGCAAGCTCCGCCTCCCGGATTCACGCCATTCTCCTGCCTCAGCCTCCGGAGTAGCTGGGACCACAGGCGCCCGCCAACGCGCCCGGCTAATTTTTTGTATTTTTAGTAGAGACGGGCTTTTACCGTGTTAGCGAGGATGGTCTCGATCTCCTGACCTCGTGATCCGCCCGCCTCGGCTTCCCAAAGTGCTGGGATTACAGGTGTGAGCCACAGCGCCTGGCCGTTTTTATTTATCTTCTAAACTCAAAGATCTCTAGAGTGAAGAAAAGCTGTATAATTTGTTGTGTCATCATCAACAATCAACCTCATCATTGCAATAGCTAATATTTATTACGCATGTACAGTGTGATAGAACATGTTCTAAGCCTTTGCATATATTAACATTCCAAAATAACCTTATCTTGCAGGTGCTATTATTACCCATGTTTTACATAGAGAGGTTAAGAAATTCTCTCAACACATGATAAGTGTTGGAACAAGGACCTGAACCTTGGGAATCTGGTTGTCGTGCTCACTGTCGTAACTATGTTACACTGTCTCCTACAATCTCAAATCAGAGCTTTCATTGGTTCAACATGCTTTTCTTGGATGAGTTTATCTGTGCCCTTGTTTTTAAATTATTACGTAGATATCAGATCTACTGTCTTCTGTGCTTCAGATCTTTATTTTGAACTGCAAATCGTGCAACTTTATATGAAAACTCTATGGTCGTGTCAAACTTAAGCCATCCTAAACTGAGTTCATCACCTTCCATTCAAAACCCTACCTTCTCTTGTGTTCCCTCTTTTATTAAATTGAATCATCATGCATTGATTTACTCAAACTAGAGATCTAGGCTTCCCCCTAGATTCCTCCCATTTCCACATTTTACCATCTCCATTTAATCTCAAAGTCCCATAAATTCTGCTTCCTCAGTATCTCCCTAATCATTCCTCTCCTCTCCATTTTCACTTTGATTTCCTTAATTCAGGTTTTCATAATTTTTCACTTGGACTATTGCAGGTTCAGCCTCAGAAAAGTCCCCTACCCAAACACTGCTCCCTTCCAATGGATCTATTGTAGCATACTTAGGAACTTTATAAAGCATAGGTGATTCTGTCATGTAACTGTTTAAAAAGCTGAAATGTCTCCACACCTCTTTAAGATAAAAGACAGACTATAGCAAGTCAAACAACCATAACCTAGCTTTGTTTACCTTCCCAGTCTTACGTATTGTCCGATATTCTTAATCGACCTACTGTATGCTGTTTTCTTGGCCTAGGAGGACCTATCTATCTCTCATAATTTTTCTTCAATTAACTTTGGTCTATATTTTTAAAATTAGCTCAAATATCACTCTCCTTTGGAATTGTTCCCTACAACCACTTACATTCTGAGATCTGATTTTCTTCTTTACTCTGTATATACATCTATGCTTTTTCAATATTACTATTTTAGCAGCATTGTAATGGTAGGTTTTTTTTTTTTTCAGTCTTCTTTCTTCATGGCTTGGAAGTTCCTTGAGGGCAGGTACTATGTCTGCTGTGGTTATAGTCCCAGTATTTGGCATAGCGCCTGGGAAATAGTGAACCTACAACAAATAATGTCAATAATCTTTTCCAGTCTATTAACAGAAATGAGAGGACCTAAAATAGGATGAGAAAAGTTTTCACCTGTGTGCTTGTTCACACTGTTGGAAGTGCTGCCGGGACCACAGTATTAACAGAGGGACTAAGGCAACATTTAGGCTCAGTGGAAGTATGTGACGGTTTATTGTGGATATTTTCTATGGGCCTGGTATGGAGTGGGGAGAAGCGTCATTTACCTTCTCTGATACTATTCCAGAAATACTTTTCATCAGGAATTTGCCTTGAGATAGGACACCTTTGAAAATTATAAATATTTTATTGCTTTCTGAATTTTATTTCTAAAAATAGTAAAATCTTTGGAACTTATTCTAGGGCCTGGAAACTTTCACTTGCCCTTCAAATTATACCGCTGCTTAAAAAAGCTTTCTGCTTTTTAAGCAAAATGGTAGTAAGTTCCGGGGTTAGAGTGTCAGGGAGTGTTAGCTTGAAATTCATTATGCCACTTGTTATTTGCTTGATCTTCGGCAAGTTAAACCCTCAGTTTCCTCATCTAGAAAGTGGAAGTAACAGCACTAACTTACTATTATTAATAATTCTATTGTACCTCAACAAGAATAGTTCTACACAAATGTGTCCTATGTAGAAACTTAAACCAAACACACATTATTACAGGTTACATCTAATCACATGTACTATTGGTAAGCGTTCCTGCTGTACATAGAGGGGGTCTTCACTGGTGTCTTTATGCAGCTTGGAGTATAATTGACTCACAGTAGAGCTAAGCAGGTTAGTTTACAAAGGGACATGTGTAACGCAGGCAGATAGTGATAAGTATTACTATTGATTTCCTTCTGAATGCCAGGCACTGTTAAGTATTTTATACATTTGCTGAAATAATACATAAAACTGGCTTAATGATATTTAACACAATAATAAATAAAATGCTAAGGATATTATTTGTAGTCTTCATAAAAACTAAATAAACAGTGGATTTATTTGATATTGAATATATGTTAAAATACTCATGAAATTATTGCCTACACATCCAATACCTTATGTTTATTAAACTCTTCGTATATGACAGATATTGATTCTGTGTTCAATACTAAGAAAATCATATATTACCCCAGGTAATCTTATGAGACCATGTGCTAATTCTAGTCCTTGGTGAATGGCCACTAATAGTGTTCTGGTTAAATTATATAACAACATATGTGATCAAGAACAGTTAATAATGAGAATGGCTTCCAAAAATGAACTTGGGGATATAAGCTTGCTATGGAAGCTTCATCCTGTGGCCACTAATAACAGGGCATATACTCATTTCTCATGAAGATCGGGATTTTAAAGGATTATGACATTACCATGAGAAATATATTTCTTATCAATTAGATGAGAGAACAGTTTCTTGACTTTTACTCAGAGCAGGAGAAAGAAAGCAGTTGTCAGGAATCTAGACCTACCCTTTATAGCCAGATTTCCACACAGCTGAAAGTTAAGCTTGATGAGACTCAGCCTTAAGAAAGCTGAACACTTGATCATGCAGACACTGAGCCCATGATGCCTCACAACTCAAGTATTTAAACCAGACTTCTCAAAACAATAATGAAATGTATTTAGCAGCTCTTTTATTTCATTTTAGCATTGTTAAAAGCAAAGCCGTGGAGATAGGACTCATCTGTATAAGCACATTTAAGTAGGGATTACATAGAAATGAGTTATCTAAAAGTATCTCCACTTCTAAGCATTTGAATATGGTTCTTAGTCAGTTATGCCAAGTTAAATTTGATTGCATTGGGATCAGGCTTTTATCCTTTACTTTCAATAACAAAAATCATACCCAACAGTATGACAGCTAAGGCAGTCCTGAAAGTTAAATGTTTTGCTAAGAAGGAAAGCCATCTAAATGGACTTGGTTAAGGTTTTTTGTTTTTTTTTTTGTTTTTTTGAAGGGCGTCAGGGGAATCCCAGAGCTTATTTTCTTCTTAACATTTGATAGTTTTAGGACTACTGGGCCATGCAGCCCAGTGTGCTGCAGTGGCTAATTTAAAGTTCTAAAGGAGTTTAAACCAGCATGTATTTTTCATCACAGATAGGTTAAAAGGTTTTTAAAGTATTCTGCTTATTCACGAGCAGCTGGAATTTAGTAGGATTGCGTATCTGCCATGACGTCAGCAAATACAATTCCCAATGTGGCCCTCTGGACAGGACAGCACTAGAGATTCTTTACACCTTTCCTACCTAGAAGTAGACTGAAAATTGTATGGCAACTTTAGGTGTGAATGCTTCATTTCATAGCTCTATCTCCTCATTTTAATATGTATTGTTATTTATTTGTGTGCCCAAAGAATAATAAATTCATGGTAGACTGTGAATGATATAGGTCATTATAGCCCCTTTTAAACTAAAACTACTTATAGAGTGTAAGAACTCCTGACCACAAATAGCATGTGTTGTTTTCACTACCTGCAATTATCTGTATATGTAATAGTAGATTTATTTTTTTTAAATGTACTTTTGGTGGTCTTGCTCTATGAATATGCATCCTATAAATGTATTGTCTAGTCAGTGCATTGTCTTGGTATAGTTACTGCCTTTTTATTCAAAATGAGCATGGTTTTACAAATAGAAACATATGAAAGAGAAAGAAAAGATGTCAAAATAAAGGGATTCTTTATAGAGCCATGAGACATTGCTATCCCCTGATATATTATATAAATCCTGCAGCCTCAGACCTACTGTGGATAAATAATGACGTGTTATCAAAACCATACCATTGAGTTAAAATCGTCAATGTCTAACTCATTCTACCTCACCAGGTATTTCTTCCCATTTATAATACTCTTTTTAAAATAAAAAAGGGTTCACAAATTCATATGTGTATATAATAGGGATGATATACAATTGTACTTCAAGCTGAATGCAAGCAATCTGTCAAGAAACAAAGCTAAATTCTGAGTAATAAAATCCACCACATGATTGATACCTTGCATTAAAGTTTGAGTCGGAGAAAGCAATTTTGTTTATGGGAAAGTCTTGGCTTGGTACATTTGTCATGTCACATAAAGATGGAAATCTTACCTTATGGTTGTAGATTATAGTTATATTTCAGCTTCTGTAATTGTGAAAGGACATGCATCTGTTATAAAATAAGAACCATTTTCTTATAAAAATGAGCTCATTTTAATGTTTCTTTCTTCCAATACATATCGTATTTTCTGTAGCTTTCTTCTCAGGTTAACTCTTCTGTGATTTTTTATTTCACTATGATTTCATAAACTAATACATCTTCTAAGAATTTTTGACTTCCAAATTACTGTTTGTTTGTGGTCACTCCACAGTATAAAAAATGAGGTAAAGATATAAAAGAATTGACTTAACATTTAAGAATATTGTAAATTGAAGAAAACTAGGTCAGCATGTTCTCATTTTTCTAGGTAGGAAAGAAATGAGTAGTGATATTCAAAATCTTGTAAAATTTCAGAAGCATATCACTTATTCATTTTACTTACCATTCTTTGTATGAAATACTTTTAAAATAAAGTTTTCTAAAATGCACAGTATTTTATAGTGTACAAAATGCTGACACATGTATCATTTCTCATCTTTCCTTTGAAGGAATTAATATATTACTATTTTTATCTTCCCATTTCATATACCAGAAAACGTAGGCGCAATAAAGCTAAATAATCTGTCCAAAGCTGATTATCTAGAATTTAGCCGACTGAAGTTTTCTGTTGTAGTAGAATTCTAAATGAGTTTAGCTTGCCTTTTGATTAAAATATGGGCAGGCCAACCTTTAGCCTTTGAGTTAACCTGATTTCACTAAACTAAAGCTATATTTAATCTAATCAAAGATTTTTTTTTAGGACAAATGACAGAGTGAGAACTGGTATTAAAAATGATGAAGAAGAAAATTCTATTACCTCTTAAATATATATATATATATGTATATATATATAACTTTTTAAGAAACAGTCTAGGGAAAACAAAGTATTAATAATTAATATTTTTAATATTCTTAATTTTTTTAAATTTCAAACTTCACTCAGGAAGCCAACACTTTTTGCATAAACATAACAAAGAAAATTTTAATAATGCAGATAATATGTTGCTGTATGAAAATATGGATGAACATAGTATCAAAATACAGAAAAACACAAGTTTGAAAATGTAATATATGTCAAAATCATTTTTTTTTGTTTTTACCTCATTTTGTGCAAAATAAAAATGGTGAGAATATTGCTCATGAAGACCTTTGGACATGGAAAAGTTAATAGTGAGCCAGCTGTAAGAAGGAAGATTAGCAGCAGGTTAAACATATTTGAGAAAGAATTCTTCTGTAGGTAGAGATAAAGAGAAAAAGCAAATGTTTTTGCCCTAAGCCACTTCTTTTTACTTTAGGAAAGGACAATAACAAGAACTTAGAAAATGCAAAGTAAAGTTCATTCATTCATTCATTTTACCAATAATTAGTAAGTACTAGTAATTAGGTGTCAGGTGCTTTTCTAGGCATTGGGGAACTAACTGTGAACCAGAAAGACAAGGTTTGGACTCTTATGAGGTTTACATTTTAACTAGGGGAAGACAGATAATAAAAAAACAAACAAGTAAATTAAGATAACTTCAGATAATGAGCCGGGCACGGTGGCTCACGCCTGTAATCCCAGCACTTGGGGAGGCTGAGGCAGGTGAATCACGAGGTCAGGAGATTGAGACCATCCTGGCTAACACGGTGAAACCCTGTCTCTACTAAAAATACAAAAAATTAGCCGGGCGTGCTGGCGGGCGCCTGTAGTCCCAGCTACTCGGGATGCTGAGGCAGGAGAATGGCGTGAACCCCGGAGGCAGAGCTTGCAGTGAGCTGAGATTGCGCCACTGCACTCCAGCCTGGGTGACAGAGCGTGACTCCTTCTCAAAAAAATAAAATAAAATAAAATAAAATAAAAAATAACTTCAGATAATAAGCACTTTCATGAAAATAATACAGCATGATGTGACAGAGACTATCAAAGAGGGCACTGCTAAAGAAGAGTGGTCAAGCAAGTTCTCCCTGGAGAGATGACATTTTGACTGAAACTTGAATGAAAACAAGGAAGAGCTGAATAATGAGAGCACATGGACAGATACAGGGGAACAATACATACTAGGGCCTTTTGGAGGGTAGAGGTTGGGAGGAGGGAGAGGATCGGGAAAAATAACTAATGGGTACTAGGCCTAATACCTGGGTGAGGGAACAATCTGTACAACAAACCCCCATGACACAAGTTTAGCTATGTAACAAACCTGCACATATATCCCTGAACTTAAAATAAAAGTTAAAAAAAGAAAGAAGAAACGTGAAAATCTGAGGTCAGTATTTCAAAAAAGCTGTAAAATTTGCAAGGAACCTAAAGCAGGAATGGAAATATAAGGGTATAGTAGTTATCTATTGCTGTTTAACCAATTTCCACAAGATATAACTGTTAAAAAAAAACATATATTTGTTGTCTCACAATACTTGTGGGTCAGAAATTAGAGATTTTCCCAAGGTTGCAATCAAAGTGTCCACTGAAGCAGTAGTCATCTCAAAGTTCAACTGATGAATAATTTGCTTCCAAGATTACTTGGTGGGTATCGGTACGATTCAGTTCTCTGTGGACTGAGAGTCTAAGGATCTCAGTTCCTTGTCACATGGGTCTCTCCATAAAGCAACTCCAAACATGGCAGCTAGCTTCATTAAAGTAGCCAGAGAGCGAGAAGCAAGGGAGAGCAAGGAAGGGATAGAAAACAGAATTTCTTCTAACCTTATTCAGAAGTAACATCCCATCACTTTTGCCGTATTCTATTAATTAGAAGCTAGTCACTAGGGGCAACCCATATACAAGAGGAGGAAATTGCACCAGAGTGTGAATATCAGAAGGTGGGAATTATTGGGAACTCTTTTAGAACCAGCCTGCCACATGGGCATTCAGAAAGGCAGGAAAGGGTATGAAGTTTTGACACCAGAAAAGAATTGCACACCTGAAGAACACTGGGATAAATTCAGATTTTGCTAATCTTCTTCTCCCAAGAAAAAAAAGTTTGCAAAGTATACAACAGTAGCTCCAAGAAAAAAAAAAAAAAACACTGCTCAACTTTCACACATTTTACACAGAATTGTTATGGCTTTGGCAATTTCATTTTTGTTCACTTATGAGTGAGAACATGTGGTGTTTGGTTTTCTTTTCCTGTCTTAGTTTGCTGAGAATGATGGTTTCCAGCTTCATCCATGTCCTTGCAAAGGACATGAACTTATCCTTTTTTATGGCTGCATAGTATTCCATGGTGTATATGTGCCACATTTTCTTTATCTAGTCTATCATTGATGGGCATTTGGGTTGTTTCCAAGTCTTTGCTATTGTGAACAGTGCCACAATAAACATATGTGTGCATGTGTTTTTATAGTAGAATGAACTATAATCCTTTGGGCATATACCCAGTATCGGGATTGCTGGGTCAAATGGTATTTCTGGTTCTAGATCCTTGAGGAATTGCCACACTGTCTTCCACAATGGTTGAACTAATTTATGCTCCCACCAACAGTGTAAAAGTGTTCCTATTTCTCCACATCCTCTCCAGCATCTGTTGTTTCCTGACTTTTTAATGATCGCTATTCTAAATGGCGTGAGATGTTATCTCATTGTGGTTTTGATTTGCGTTTCTCTAATGACCAGTGATGATGAGCATTTTTACATATGTTTGTTGGCTGCATAAATGTCTTCTTTTGAGAAATGTCTGTTCATATCCTTCGCCAACTTTGTGATGGGGTTGTTTTTTTCTTGTAAATTTGTTTAAGTTCTTTGTAGATTCTGGATATTAGCTCCTTGTCAGTTGGATAGATTGCAAAAATTTTCTCCCATTGTGTAGGTTGCCTGTACAATCTGATGATAGTTTCTTTTGCAGTGCAGAAGCTCTTTAGTTTAATTAGATCCCATTTGTCAATTTTGGCTTTTGTTGCCATTGCTTTTGGTGTTTTAGACATGAAGTCCTTGCCCATGCCTCTGTCCTGAATGGTATTGCCTAGGTTTTCGCTAGGGTTTTTATTGTTTTATGTCTTACATTTAAGTCTTTAATCCATCTTGGGTTAATTTTTGTATAAGGTGTAAGGAAGGGGTCCAGTTTCAGCTTTCTGCATTCAAGTTGATGATTTCGTATCTCACCTCAGAGAGATAATAGAAGCCGTTAGACATTACCTACCATATTTTTCTACCCATCTCCCTAGTTATGAATCTACTATCAGTCACCCTTTCAGACCTTTCTCTTGTTAACATGGAGGAATTATGTCTCCTTCCCTGATCTCAATTAGATACTCCCTTGACTTTTCGGAAATATTAAACTATCATGCACTCCTTTTTTCTCTTTTATCTTCAATATAGTCCTCCTAAGTCTTCTTATTAACAAACATACTACATGTGAGTTTATTTCAATTGCAAATATACATTAATATTCGATATATGTTATAAATACTAAAAAGTTAATTTTCTTCTACTGCATATATCTATCCTTATAAAAGCATACTATTATACTTTTCCATCTTAAAACCACTCTCCTCTTAGCCCATTTCCACCTTCAACTATTGCTCTATTTCTGTCCTCCCTTTATAGAAAAACTTGCAAGTGTCATCTACCCTGTTTCAAATTTCTTTCTCTCCTTGTCTCTTATCAAAATTTCTTGTATGAAGATCACCAACCAGCATTATTAAACTCAGTGATTATTTCTCAGTTGTGATATTTTGATATTCCAGAAACATTTGCTATAGGTAATCACCCTTTTCTTTGAGCCACCTTCTTCACTTGGCTCCTAAGATGTGACACTGGTCTGGTTTTCTTACTAACTCTTTGGTTTCTTCTCCACGTTCTCCTTTGCTGATTTCTTCTTATCTCCCTGACCTTTGAAGTAGGATTGCTGAGAGCTTACGACTTAGACTTCTCACTCTCTCTAAATTCATTTCCTTTAGATTTTCATAACTGTCAGAGCTTTAAATATAAGCTGACAATTCCTATATGAATGCCTCCAGCACAAATTTCTTCTTTGAACTCTAGACTAACAAAACCACCTGCCTACTTGCTCCCTCCACTTAGATATTTATTATGAATATAAACATAACATACCCTAAACTGAGCTTCTTTTATGCCCCACAGCTCAAACCTGTGCCCCTCACAGTGTTCTGTAATGCAGTGAATGGCAAATGTATCCTTCCAGTTTTTCAGGATAAAATCTTGGAGCCTTCTTTAGCTCTTCCTTCGCTCTCATACCTCATATTTTAGGCTAAATGTATCTAGGATACAAATTCTTGCCACACCTCCAGTGCCATCACACCTTTATCAAAGTCACAGTTATCTCTCACCTGAGGTCTCTGAACTGGTCTCTCTGTATTTACTCTCAACATATTCTCAACCAGTGAAGAAGAAGCTAGAGGAAGTGTGGTGAAACACAAGGCAAATTACACTCAAAATATTACAAATATTCATTCCATTCTGAATAACAGTCCAGCTACTCGCAATGGTCTACAGGACCCTACATTATTTGTTCCCATTACAAATTATACCGACATCTTCATCGTCTCTAATTTCTGCCCCAGCCATGATGGCCCTTTATCTCTTCCTCCAACAATCTAGTATGCTTGTAGCCGAGACTTTTGCACCTGATATTCTTTCTGCCTGCGATGGCCTTTGCTCTGTTCATAACAAAATACATGTTTTAGTTATTTATCTTGTTTTTGTCTGTCCCTCCCACCAAATATAATTCTCAGTAGTGGTTGAAACAACCAGACCCTTACATTTGAGTAGGCTAACATAATATGGTTTATTTTTGGCTCACATAGATGTTCAGTAATTTTTATGATCAGTGGTTTGGGAGGGCGTCATGCTCCACATAGTGACCCAGGCTGACTAAGGCTCTGCTACCTTCTAACTGTAGCTACTAAAGTTATTCCAGGCATCATTCCTGTTTCTTAAAGGCCACAGTACAGAAATAACCACCTTTACCTCCATTCAAATTCTAATGGTAATACCTGGTAAGATGTGAATGAAATTCTTACTGGGTAGCTACCCTTGAATGGCAACACAGAGCCTGAATATTTGGTGGATGCCTACATGTTTAGCCATACTCCATATGAACAGCGGTTATTTTAACTATATTTTTTACTACTATATATTCAGCACCTAGAAGAGATGAATAATGGAAACAAACAAATATACAATAAAATACAAAATAAATAAAACACGTATGTGCCCATAACCCTGTCCATCTACTACTATCTTCCTTCCCAAGCTGATTGAAATGGT
Organism: Homo sapiens; assembly: GCF_000001405.40. NCBI lineage: Eukaryota > Metazoa > Chordata > Mammalia > Primates > Hominidae > Homo > Homo sapiens. The sequence goes on along the minus strand of NC_000014.9, from coordinate 44,264,062 downwards.
AGCCCAGACTTCTGGTTTCACTCTTACTTTCTAACTGCTCCTCATCCTACTTTAATCTAAATTATACAGAATCTGAACTTTCTCTTTGTAATTAAATTCAATATAAAATATGTCAAGATAATGCTTTTGGTAGTTAAAAAATCTTTTACCTTGTGGAGCTCTGTCCACTGGAATGGAAGCTAGTGTTGCTTCAGGGAGAGGGCAAAACAACTGCAAGCAAAGAAGTCAATGTTCAGCTTTAATGTTCGATAGACAAATTTTTAAATCTCATAAGATTGCAAAGGTCATGAAACCTGATTTTTCGTTGCAAGAATGAGGTACTATAAGAATGAGAAAAGTTTTTCTTTTTCTCTGAATTTCCAGGGATATCTTTACATAGTAGAAAACAAACTTGAAAATATGTTTATGAAGTTTTAGTGCGAGCTACAGAATAGAGACAGTATGTTACGAAAAATTGTCCCCATTTCTCCAGTTGGAGAGTTGTCTGAGATGAGGACTATCTTATCTTGAGTTTTCCAGAAACAGAAGTTATGATAAGAACTTGTATGTCATTTATTCATTTGCAAGATGATCCTTGGGAGCAGAAGGAGGAACTGAGGAGAGTGAAACAGGACAGTCGAAAAGTCAGTATAAGAGTGTATTGTTGAAATTTCCATTGTGGGCAAAGGGGACTTTATTTTGCCACAACCTCCTGAGAAGCTTAGAGAATGTCTTCTAGAACTTTTTTTCCAAGTGTAGGAGGCAGAAATATTTTAGTCATTGGCTCCCATCCCTCATTGGTTAAGAGTTACTCCTGAGAGCGTTAGTTCCCTTCTGAGCTATACATATATTCAGGCCAGTTTGGCTATCACAGCATTGGAGAAGGTCCTGGGAGCAAAAGTGTAACATGGGGTATTGTGTCTTTGCAATGGAGTGCTGAAGGCATAACGTGAGTTAAAGCCCACATGAAACTGTCTACTCCACTGATGGCTGAAATTAGAAGTGACACCTTACAAGAAGATTCTGAGGTGATGTGACAGAAAGTTAGAATTAGTAAGGGATCTATTCCTTTGAACATCTGCAGAATTTAGACAAGAAGAAACTGGGATTTGAAGTTGAATGACCATAATATATAAATATCACAAATTAGAGCTTGGCAGGTACTATGGATATCAACAAGTGACTGCCACCACAAGCAACTTAAAACCAGGCAGAACAAGCTACATCGTAATTGGAGGCCACTGAAAATCTGAGGACAATCACATGTTTATACACCCTGCCCTGAAGTTACAATGTTTCAAGCCTGGAGAACAGCAGAAAGACACAGGAAGAGTCCTTTGAATTGTACTGACTACTTAACAAAGAAGATAACTTTTTAATTTAACTTTTTATTTATTTTTTATTGATGTAGAATATTTGTACATATTTTCAGGGTACATGTGATATTTTGATACCTGTATACAATGTGGTATGACCAAGTTTGAGTAATTGCAATATCTATCACTCAAGTGTTTATCATTTCTTTCTGTTGTGTTGTCTTATAATTTTTCTCTTCTAGCTACTTTAAAATATACATTATTATGAACTATAATTTTCCTACTGTACTATTGAATATTGGAACTTATTCCTTCCATGTAACTGTGTTTTTGTACCCCTTAACCAATTTTGCTTCATCCCCGCTTTGTCCTTCCCTTCCAAGCCTATGGTAAAACCAACATTCCTTTCTAAGTGGAGATCCACTTATTTAGCTCCTACATATGAATGAAAACATGAGATATTTGTCTTTCCGTGATGGGCTTATTTCACTTAACATAATGACCTCCATTTCCATCCATGTGGCTGCAAGTGACAGGATTTTATCCTTTTTCATGGCTGTGAGAGTAGCAGGAGGCAGCCAAATGCCTAGGCAGATAGGGGTGGGTCCCCGGTGAAACCCCACCTCCAAGCTGAAGACAGTTTAAAGACTGAAAGCTAAGCTACAAGGTAAATTCTCGGACCGGATTGAGGACTTGTCTTCCCGTTTGGTGCACTTTCTCTAATTGGTCCCCACCCTTCACCTATTTTACATACACCTACTCTTCCCTAATTGGTTTTTCTATACTGTCATGCTCACCTTTGTCTGTGCTTTAGCCTTTCTTGCATACTCACAAACCAATCAGCATACACTCCCCATTCTGAGTCCATAAAAGGCCCAGGACCCAACCAAATAGGGGACTTTCCCACCTTTGGATAGGGAAACCACCCTCTTTGTCCCCTCTCTGCAGAGAGCTGTTCCGTTGCTCAATAAAATTCCTCTCCACCCTCCTCATACTTCAATGTCCAGCATATCGTCATTTTTCATGGGCGCAGTACAAGAGCTTGGGAACTGCCGAACATGGGTACCAGCTATAACACAGGCCAGCTGGGGCACACCAGTGTGGCTGAATGAGGCCCGGGTGGAGCATTGCCACCGGGGGTCCCTGGCGTGCAAAGTGATCGAGAAGACAAGTCCTGCATCAGCTGTATAATCTTCCATTGTTTACATAGTCCAGTTTCTTTTTTTATTTACATACTACGTTAGAATTTGCAAGATATTTACATAAACATCAACTCATAATCATATGGACTAGGTATTAAAATAAGCCCTTTTAAAAATGACTATTTTTAATCTTATTTTTAAAAATGGCATGTAAAAATTATACATATTTGTGGGGTACACTGTGATGTTTCAATAAATATGAGGTATAGAAATCAGATCAGGGTAATTAGCATATTCATCATCTCAAACATTTATCATATTTTTGTATCAGTTACATTTAGTATGCTCCTAGCTATTTGAAACTATATTGTTGTTAACTATAGTCATACTAGAGTGATAGAGACACTAGAATCTGTTCATTCTGTATGTTACCAAAATGTCAGAGGTTTGGTCTAGATCTTGATGCTCACTGCACAGAAAGCCAATCACTGAAACAAATATTGGCAGGGAAAGGGCTTTATTTGGATGCAGAAGCTGAGAAGAACAGAAGATCAGTCTCAAATCTGTCTCCTCCACTGGCTAAATTAGGGGTTTATATGGTAGGGAAGAAATGTAACCATGTGTTGGAAAACAGGAATTAAAGAAGGATAAAGAGGAGTTGGTAAACAGGAATCATGATGGATAAGGTGTCTGGCATCTCACTGGATGCAGTGATCTGGTGAGTTTCAGTTTCTTGATACTATCTGGGAGGCCTGCGGGTGTTTTCCTGAGGAAGGAACTCAGATAAGACAAAAGGAAGTTTCAAGCTTTGAGACCTGGAGGGTCAATTTCTGTATTTATCCTAAAGAAAAAATACAGTAAACATCAGTTCTGTGGGACAGTTAGGCCAGTTTCATTTTTAGCTGTAATTTTGTATTTTATGACAAATCTCTCCTTATCCTCTTCTTCTCCTTACATTTCCCATCCTCTAGTATCCTGTGTTTTACTTTTAATTCCTATGAGATCTTCTTTTTAAAACTTGAGGAAATGCAATGTTTAGCATATTGTTATTGGCTTATTTCACTTGACATGGTGTCTGCTAGTTCCATCCATGTTCCTGTGAATGACAAAATTTCATTTTTTATGGCTGAATAGTATTCCACTGTGTATATGTGCTACATTTTCTTTATTCATTCATCCATTGATTCTATATCTTGGCTATTGTGTATAGTGCTACAGTAAACAAGGGAGTGCAAATATCTCTTCTATACATTGATTTTATTTCTCTTGAATATATAGCCAGATGTGGGATTGCTATATCATAGTGTAGTTCTATTTGTAGTTTTTGAGAAAACTCCATATTGTTTTTCATAATGGCTGTACTACTTTATATTCCTACCAACAGTGTATGAGGATTCCCCTTTCTCTGCATCCTCATCAGCATTTGTTATGTTTTTGTCTTTTTGATAGTAGGCATTCTAACTGAGATGAGATGACAGGGATGAAATGATATCTCATTGTGGTGTTTATTTGTATTTTCCTTATGATTAGTGATGTTGAACATTTTCCATAAACCTGTTTGCCATTTGTATGTCTTTTTTTGAGAGATGTCTATTCAGATCTTTTGCCCATTTTAAATTAGATTATTTTTGTTTTAATCATTGTTACATTGATAGTTTGCAAATATTTTATCCCATCTGTAGATTGTCTCTTCATTTTGTTGAGTATTTCATTTTCTGTGCAAAAAAGTTTTTAGCTTGATATAATCTCATTTTTTAAATTTTTGTTTTTGTTGCCTGTGCTTTGGAGATCTTAGATAAAAATTCTTTGTTAAAGTTAAATTTAGCAAAATAAAGGTGTTTACATTTTTTGATCACTTGAGTTATACTTTCAAAACTAACATCCATCTAAAATTCTTTTGTCTCTATCAGCATTAAACTAATTTGGCTACTGTTGCTTGCAACCAAGGAAGCCTAACAAATACAAAAATTGCTTTCCAAGGGTGAATTAGCTGGCTGCAATTTTATCTTGGAAATGAGACTTGGTTATCATTCTGAGACAATGAGATCCCAATTTATATACTAGGAAGGGAAACTAACACTCCATTAGGCGAAATGTAACCTGGACCCGTGAGGATGAAGCCCTAGAATCTAAGCAGCTGCTGCCATAGAATGTGAATTCCAGGGCCCCTGTGTATGGCGATTGCTTCTGATAGTATTGGACAATTGAAAGTAAGAGGATAATAAGCTCAAAATTAGTCACTTTGTATCATGGAATGAAACCCAGGGACTTTCTGATTCTGCTGAAAGGCATTTTTCTTTTTCTAGCAGAACTGCTGAAGTCACTAGTTAGTTATTGATTGTGCATATTGCTAAATTATCATATCAATTGAATTCATAACCTCATCAGGTTAATTGTGTGAAGGTTAGGAAACTAACCAATAACTGATAGAAACAATTTGAAAAAAAATGTCTGGAAGGGTATAGAGAACCTGGACATGGAGGCTGCCAGATAGGAAGTCATCTGAAACTCCCTGTTGGCATGTTGTTTGCTAGAGAAAACTCTCCCTCGCTACCACAAGAAAGCTAGCATTTTCCTTCATGCCCATGCTGTTGCTTGTTAGTGGGCAGAATCCAAACTCTGTATTGCCAGGACATTAAAGTGCAGCCAGAGGAGGGAATGAAGTTTATAAACAGGTAAATTTCAAGAATTTGCCAATTTGATTAATCAAAAATCAGAAAAAGATTGAGGAAACTGATTTAGAGGGTATAAGAAAGGAAGATATAACAAAATTGTAATTACGCTTTATTTATTGATACGGCCACACTTTTTTGAGATTCTGAATTTAATGGATTAGTGCGAGCTACAGCTGTGATTCCAATGGTTTCTGGGTCGAATGATTAGAAACCCCTATTCATATTTGGCCCATAGAAACACATGAATTGGCTAGTAATCCCTGCACATCATGCAGAACAGAGGTTGCAATCTGGCAGCCTGCAGTCTGGATCTGGCCTATTGACATGTTTTATTTGGCCCTCATAATTTTGGCCTCTGCAGTGTTTTTAAAGCAGTTGATTTATGTGCCAACAAGCTTACATTAAAACTTTTATTTTCACCCTCTTTTATTAAGACTTGGCAACACTGAGCTCATATTCCTGTGTGGCAGCAATTTGCTGTTGTCTGCTTAAGATGAAACAGGTGTGCTTCAAATTGCTATAGGCCCATCACTCTCTATAGAGACCCTATTCTAGTCCACTGCACTCATTTAAATTTGATTTGGTGATCCCTATTGACAGGGAAGGAATAAAAATACTTTGAGTAATACTTAGAATAAATCTGGATTAATTCCACCCTGTATCCCACCTATCTACCCAGAGAGGCCTTGAGTGATGGATTGACAAAGAATTTGGAGGAATCTACAAAAAATACTTTTAGTGACTTTATAGGCCTAGCATACTGGTGAAAGGGTCTGTAGTTGAAATGGGCTCAGACTTTAGCAAGAATTAAGTATCTAGTGGTGTCAAAATCCAAGGGGTGATAGCTTACGGAAGAAAACACAGAGAGGGTACCTCAGAGTGTGACCTTATTGAAAATAATGTTGCAGATGTAATAAGTTGAGATGAGGTCATACTGGAATAGGATGGGCCTCTAATCCAACATGACTGTTGTTATAAAAAGGGGAAATTTGAACACAGACACAGGAGAATGCCATGTAAAGATGAAGGCCAAAATCAGGATGATGCAGCAAAAGTTAGGAAATGATAAAGATTGCTAGTAAACCACCAGTAGCTAGAAGAGAGACAGAAACATATTATCTTTCATGGCTTTCAGAAGGAACAAACCCTCTCACACCTTGATCTTGAACTTCTAGCCTCCAGAACTGTAAGACAATAAATTTCTGTTGTTTAAACCAGTTAGTTTATGGTACTTTTGTGAGGACAACTGCAGGAAACTAATACAGTTAAAACTTTCTGAGGAAGATCTTTAGCTTTCTGTCCTATTCTGTTATTTAATATTCTTTGAATTATTGCTTTCCGTGGAGGAATGAGGGCTTAAGATAGAATCTCTTTCTATCTTTCTTTTATTATTTTTTTTTTCAAAGAAAGTAACAGGAGCAGAAACAAATATCCCACAAGGCCATGTATAATTTGGACAGGGAGACTTACTCATACCACCTCTAACCCTTATTCATTGCTAAAATCCCAGCTGTTAAAGGAAAGGGGAAGAGAAATCACACACTCTCTACCTCCAAAACTGGATTAGCATTCTGTATTTTTCTGCCATAGAAAGATTTTAATTACAATGAAAAATAATTATTTATGGGGTTATTTGTCAATGTATATCTTCCTATTCAACTGAAATCCATTATAGCATGAAAGAATTGTGCCTTATGTCCACTTAGTATTAATAGTACCTGGAGCACTGTAGACACCCAATAAACATTAGATTTGTCTTATTCTTAAAGTTAATAATAGTTGTTAAGTATAATTAGCAATGAAAAATTTCTCACAATTAGTTAAACTAAAAAATTTAGATCTCTGTTTACAGTTCTCAAAATATCTGACTATTTATTGTTTCTGTGATAGAATGCAATTATTTATTTTATAATTAATTTAATTAAAAAAGTATCGTCTAATTTTTAATTTTGCATATTCTTGCTATATACTGATAGAACATATATGTATGTATTATTGAGTTGAATTATCTAGAATTAAATATAAGATCTTTTTAGCAATATAAAAGTACAAATTAGCAGTAATTACCACTGAGATGAAAAAAAGTATAAGCCTTTTGTTTCCTGATAGATCAATCAAATTTGAAAGAATTTATCCATCTCATAACTTATTGTAAAATAAATTGTCAAAATTATCCTTGTCTTGTCAAACACACCAATAGAAAGTTGAACGTAACTGAAGCAATCATATTCAAATAGCACATCAAATGTTCATTTAAAAAAAAGTCAAATGCTTACTTCACACTCAATGGAAAAAACAGTAAAACTATCTTACAAAACAGCTCTTTGTTATATTGACATTTCTACATACATGTTAATTTAAGTGTCCATCTGCCAGTGCCTCTTCAATGTCTAATAGTTATCCCTCATTTAGATATCTAAATAAAACTCTTGATATCCAATGTCTTTCAAAGCTGGTTTCCACTTTTTTTTCTATCACAATTCACCCAGTTTATCAAGACAAAAATCAAGAAGTCAGGCTTGTCCTCACTCTTTCCTTGATCTTTACCTCCAAACCAATAGCAAGTCCTGTTGTTTTAGCTTATAGTCACAGTGAGTGCAATAGAGCACCAGAACTTATTTATCCTAACTGAAACTTTGTACCTATTGACCAGTGTTGCCCTTTTCCCTGTCTGTCCTTCCTCCGTCACAACTTCTGGTAACCACCATTATACTCTCTATTTCTATGAGTTGACTTTTTTAGATTTCACATATAAGTACGTGAAATATGTGGTATGACAAATACCACATATGGTATTTGTCTCTTTGTGCTGGCTTATTTCATTCTCTAGGTTCACCAATGGCAAATGGCAAATGGCAAATGACAGAATTTTCTGTTTTTTAAGGCTGAATAATATTGTATTGTGTATACATACCATGTTTTTCTTTATTCATTTCTTGATGGTTACTTAAGTTGTTTTTATATCTTGGCTATTGTGAATAACGCTGCAATGAATATAAGAGTGCAGGTATCTCTTCCAAATACTGATTTCAATTCCTTTGGGCATATATGCAGAAGTGGATCACTGGATCATATGGTAGTTCTTTTTAGATTTTTGAAGAATCTTCATACAACTTTCCAAAATAGCTATACTAATTCAAAATAATACCAACAGTGTATAAGGCTTCCCTTTCTACACATCCTTGTCAACACTTGTCTTTCTTTTTTTGCTAGTAGCCAATCTTACAGGTGTGAAGTTACATCTCATAGAGTTTTAATTTGCATTTTTCTGATGGTTAGGGATGCTGAACATTTCTTCATATATCTGTTGCCTATTTGTGTGTCTTCTTTTGAGAAAAGCCTATTCAAGTCCTTTGCCCATTTTTAAATAAGGTTGTTTTCTTATTATTGAATAGTTCTTTGTATATTTTGGATATTGATCCTTTATCCAGTGTATAATTTGCAAATATTTTCTCTCAATCTGTGTGCTCTCTTCACTCTTGATTGTTTCCTTTGCTGTGCAGAAGCTTTTCAGTTTGATGTAATCCCATTCGTCTATTTTTGCTTTTGTTGCCTGTGTTTTGGGGATTTTATCCAAGAAATCACCGGCAAGACCAATATTTCCCTTTTGTTTTCTTCTAGTAGTTTTACAGTTTCAGCTCTTATATTAAAGTATTTAATCCATTTTGAGTTGATTATTCTATCGGGGTAAGATAAGCATTCATTTTTATTCTACCTGTAATATCCAATTTTCCCAACACTATTTATGGAAGATACTGGTTTTTATCTATTGTGTGTTCTTGACACCTTTGCCAAAAATCAGTTGACAGAAGATGTGTGTATTATTTCTGGGCTCTTGGTTTTACTCCATTGGCTAATGTGTCTATCGTTATGCCAGAATCATGCTGTTTTGATTGCTATAGCTTTGTAATAGATGTTGAAATCTGGCAGTGTGATGACTCCAGCTTTGTTCTTTTTGATCTAGATTGCTTTGGCTATTCAAGGTCTTTTATTGATTTGTATAAATTTTAGGATTACAAAAATTTTCTCTGAAGAATAACATTGAATTTTGACAGGAATTGCATTGAATCTGTAGTAGGATGAACATTTTAGCAATATTAATTCTTCTAATCAATGAACACAGCATATATTTCCATTTATTTGTGTAATTTTCAATTTCTTTCATCAATGTTTTATAGTTTTTAGTTTGCAGAGCTTTAATTTCCTTGACTAAATTTACTCCTGAGTATTTCATTTATTATCCTAATGGAAATAGGATTGTTTTCCTAATTTCTTTTTCATATAGTTGTTAGTATGTAGAAATGTTACTGATTTTTGTAAGTTGATTTTGTATTCTCCAACTTTACTGAAACTTATTAGTTCAAACAGTTTTATGGTGAAAGGACATGCATCTGCATTAAAATAAGAATCATTTTTTTCTGATAAAAGTAAGCTTGTTTTAATATCATTCTTTCTTTCGGTACACTTAAGTTGTTTTCAAACCTTGGTTATTGTAAAAAAATGTTGCAATGAACATGGGAACTCAGCTATCTCTTTGAGATACTGATTTCATTTCTACTGTGTATATACCCTGAAGTAGGATCACTGGATCACATGGTGGTTCTGCTTTTAATTTTTTGAAGAAAGAAGCCCTTACTGGCTTATTATTGCCTTCAATTTCAATAATGGTAGCTGTGAACTATATCTTTTCTTGTGTATTTTACATTGTAGTTATCTGACTTCTGAGAGTCTATACTTGTATTCTTTGGGGATCTTCAAGTTTTCCCTCAAATGGCTTTGCTTTCATGTTTTAATTTTGAGGATAATTTAAAAAATTATATAAACATATTCTGAATTACCTGATTGAATCCTCTTATAAAACAAATATGTGACTTAAAGTTGTGTATCATTCTATTCTGTAGAAGAAGCTCTTGATATTGAATACTATATTATCAGTGGTGGAAATGTTGACTTAAACCAGACATTATTATACACAATAATTCAATTATTTATTTATTCATTCATTCAACACTATGTGTTGAGTGCTCAGGAGTGACAAAAGCAGGCATTTCATTTCTCCTGTTGTCTGGCAGGCAAGCACTAAACAAATGATTATAACATATTTAATTATATCTGTCCTAGAATACTTAAAAAATTCAAGCTCCTTAAAATTCACCAGCAGATATTAATCTTTCAGAAGACAATCACATGACAAATGTTCACTATAGAATTGCAAATAGGGCCTGAGTTAATTCATTTATCAGCATTTCCTCCCAGGGTGTTAACACTCTTGCCTAAGATGGTAAAACAAGCCACATTTATATTTATTCACTTGTCTATCAGTTTCACTTGTATTCAGCTACATTTGTATAAACTTTTGAGGCTGTAATCTTCTGGATAGGTGTAGGCAGGCTGCTTTATAAATGTATATAATAATTAGTGATGTAATACCTGGTCTCAGATAAAAATAATAATAATAATGTTTTATTTCTCTAAACAATCATGAATGCTAAAGAAAGAAGTCAATTTAGAAAATGACATTTTAGTTGAAAAATTGATGGCTACGTGGTACTGGATAAATTATTTTAAAAAGATAGAAATGCTTAATCTTGATATAATCGAAGCATAGATAGAAAAATACTCATTTATGACAAAAATAACTTTGCCCCATAATATGTATTATTAAAGTCTCCATGGGAAATGAGACATTTAAACAGAAGAGTGGGAGAAACTTAACTAAGTAATAATGTTTTCCAATTGTAAGCATATATGTCACTGGGCAAAAAAGAGTTGCTTCATTACAATATTTTATAATACTTCATAACCTTTTATGGGTTACTAATGTGACTCAAAAAAACTAAAGAACTTTTTTTGCCATAGTGACGTTAAATTATTAGTCTGACATTTTATATAACTAAATCAACATAGGTTTTGAAATGATCCAAAGAATTGTTCTTGCAGATTGAGGTATATATAACCAGGCTAATATAATATCTACAGGTGTTAGTAAATGTCTCTTTTCCATCTCTAGCAGTTTTAATAAAGAAAATTATTTCAAAAGGTGAGTCTCACTCTACCTCCTGCACTCGGCTGGTAGCTAGCAATACATGCTGCAGGAAACTTCCCTGCTTTCTTCTGCAATGATTCCCTTGGCATACATTTAAATAGAACTTGAGAAAACAATCTCTAACATTACATGGAGATCAATTCTACATCACTAGTAAGGCAGCTTTGTTATATTTTTTTAAGAAGAAAAATAGAAAAAGCTATAGTTCAGAGAGAGAGAGAAGAAGAAGATGGAGAAAGAAGTATAGAGTTTCTGCTGGCTGCTACTATGATTTTATCTTCGGTAATGAATGAGTAAACAGTCTTATTGTTGAGCTGCTTGCCATGTGACATATACCTTTGATGCTCTCCCTTCTCTCTCCCTTACTCCCTGTCATGACCCTTTTTCCAAGTATGCGTCAGGAAAAATAACCGATTCTTATCATTTTTAAATATGGACTCAGGCGTAGAAATAATATCTAGAAGTCTAGTTCGTTCTCTCATTGTGAAAGCAGTTTTCAAGGCACAAGATAAATTTTTATAGACTCTTGCTATGTTAATACAAAGGAAAACACAACTTTGGAAATGTTTCTAATGAATTATTCTTTCTGAAGGTGGAAAGTTTTCAAAATGACTTTTTTAAAGAGGAAATTATATATTTTTTCCTATAGCGCATTTATAAGATAAATGAATATACCTGAAGGGCTTCTTTTTTATTGTTGTTTTCCTATTAACATAGCAGCTTTTGTTGTAAATATTTTCAGCATGTTTCACAACAAAAATTCTAGAAAATTTAGTTATTTATATATGGCTTAACATACGATTTTCCAAAAGATACAATATGTAACTTTTTGCCAAATGTACACTGTTCACAAATTACCAATTTCTCTTGGGTTAAGTAGTAGTAATAAATATTTGGTAGCATGTCTGTTACACAGCTTCTAGAGCTGTAAACAAGGGAACTGTTAACAAGAGAACTGCATGTCTCCTCCCTCATTTTACATTTTACAACGTATGTTTCTTCTTTTTTCCATTTCCTTCATTGGTGAATTATTTTCTATAAACACACATGAAAATAATTTCTCTTTTTTCTTCTATGCTATGATGTTTTTCTTTGGCAATGAATTTTTAACTTATTTTCATTTTCGATTGTGTAATATTTACTACATAACAAAATAAGAATATATGCCATAATAAATAATAAATTGATTACCATTCAAAACCACCCAGACTATCAAATAAAACAGCACCAATATCAATAAAGCTACTCCTCATGATCTTGTGATCCCATAACCACCTTCCCCACCAGAGGTATGTCCCTCTTTCTTGAAATTTTGTATCACTTAGCTTCAGGAGCACCACTTTTTCTTGGCTTCTTTTTACCTTAGTGCTGCTCCTTCTAAACCTTACTGGCTGCTGCTTCTCTTCCAGACCACTAAGCACTGAAGTGTCATGAGTCTTAGTCCTCAGTCCTTTCTTCTCTGTCTGCAATCACTTACTAAATGGTCTAACCCACCCTTAGCATTTAAAAAATCATCATTATATTGAAGATTTCCATATTTGAATTGCCAGTCAATAATTTTTAACACTATACTTCTGCATCCAATTTCCTACTTACTTATCCATGGAAATGGCTGATAGCTGATTCAAAGTTCGTATAACCAAACCCAAAATCTTATTTTTATTCACCACTGCCCAACTTCCACCTTTCACTTTGCCCCCTAGTGTTCCAGATGCTTAGGCCAAACAGCTTGGAGTCACCTTTGACTCTTCTCTTTTTCTCACAATCTTCATTCAATTTATCAGGAAATTTTCCAATTTTACCTTCAAAATTAGATCCCAAATCAATTCTCACTACTTCCAGAGCTACTACCTTAATTCCATGCCATTATTTTTTCTTGCCTGGATTATTGCAGTTGTTTCCTAATTGGTTTTTTATCTACCTATCTTTTTCTCCTGCAATCTCATCTCCATATTGTATCCTGAGTGATCCTCATAAAATGTAAAACTGATAACATCATTTCTCTACTCAAAACTCACCAGCAACTTTCCATCTAACTCAGACTAAATGACAAGATGACCTATAGGGCCCTACATGATCTTACTCCTGACTTCTTCTCTAACCTCATTTCTATCACTTTCCCTACCCTGCTACCAACCTACTCTGCTCCGTAGGTATATAGGCATTTTTGCCATTCCTGCAATGATCCACGTGCACCCCTTTTAAAAGCATTTGCCCTTGCCTTTCCTTATGCCAATAACACTGGACAGTGAGAGAGTCATGGGCTCCCTTCTTTTTTTCCATCAGATTTCTTCTTATATTTTACCTGAGCAGAGAGAACTTCTGTGACCTGTTTATCAAATAGCTACCTCACCTTCTCCAAGACCATCAAATATTCCTTATCTACCTCACTTCTGTTTTTCCATAGGTTATTGATCACAAGACATTAATTTGCTTATGGTTTCTCTATTAAAATGAATGCTGCATGTGAATAGATTTTGAGAATTGTATTTTATTGATTGCTTCATCAACTTAACCATATCAGGTATATGACTAAATACTAAATGTTGTTATTAATCACTTCATTGACTTTTTAAATAATTTTACCACATTTATTTGTGATATTGAACCATAATAAATTGTCAATACTCATCTTTTTCACCTACAAAAACATCAATTTCAAATAATTAATCCTATATCTCCCTAAACTTTATATGCTACGTGCTTAAAATTTATGTAAATTATGTTCTATGGCATATATTTTTACAAGAGTTACTTTTTCTTCAAAGTTATATTTTTGACATTTATCCATGTTTGATGTATAGCTATAGTTTGCCCTTTTTAATTTTTTTTTTTTTGTTTGAGATGGAGTTTCACTCTTGCCCAGGCTGGAGTGAAATGGCACGATCTCAGCTCACTGCAACCTCCACCTCCTGGATTCAAGTGATTCTCCTGCCTCAGCCTCCTGAGTAGCTGGGATTACAGGCGCCCGCCACCATGCTCAGCTAATTTTGTTTTTAGTAGAGAGGGGGTTTCACCATGTTGGTCAGACTGGTTTTGAACTTCTGACCTCTTGGGATCCTCTTGCCTTGGCCCCCCAAAGTGCTGGGATTACAGGCGTAAGCCACCACCCCGGCCTAGTTTGCCCATTTGTAAGGCTACATAATAATCATTTTTTGTCTTTTTGTGGCGAACAGAGTCTCACTATATTGCCCAGAGAAGTCTTAAACTCCTGGGCTCTAGCTATCCTCCTGCCTCTGCCTTCCTAAATGCTGGGATTACAGGCATGAGCCACCATGCCGGGGAACATAACATTCTTTTGTATGAATAACCTTTGATTAATGTAGCTAGGCTCAAGACCACGGACATTGACTTGTTTTCATTTTTGTAGTTGTTATTTTTCTTTCAAACGATGTTGCCATTAAATTCTCACATATGACGTCGGTGTCTATATGCCTGGGATTTCTTGCTTTATTGGTGTAGAATTGATGTGTTGTGGAGGGGTTGGGGTGGTTACATATTCAAACTTACAAGGTAATTACAAATTATTTATGAAAGTGGTGATTGTACTGACTTTCACTTCCACTGGCAGTTTATAAACTTTCTTGTTATCTGCATTCTTGTCAATACTTCTTGCCACGCTTTTAATTTTTTCTTATCCTGGGGAGTTTAAAAAGGTGTTTGTGGTTTTTAATGTTCATTCTCCTAATTGTTAAAAGGATTGATCATCTTTTCAAATATTCATTTCTTCTCCATGTATCTCAATCTATGACATGTTTATTTATGGCTTTTGACCATTTATTTGCCAGGGAGAAGTAGTTTAGATTCTTTGTTTTTTTATTAGTTTGAAAGAGATTTTATATTCTCAAATCTCTTTATTACTTTGAAAGAGATTGTATATTCTAAATAGTAATCTTAAGTCATATGTATTGCTGAGTCATATGTATCTCCTTTTGCGTGACTTCACTTTTAAATGATTTTATTTTATGAAAGGTGTAATATTTTTAACAATGACTGATATATTAAATAGGTTATGATATGTGCTTTTTGTATATTAAGTCTTTCCACATCTGAAGTCATCTAGGGGCCACATTTTGAGAACTAATACTGAAGATTATGACAAATGTAACCAGGTGGTTTTGCTAATTATAGGTACATTTCCAGTGTGTTATCTCCACTGGCAAACAAGAATAGCCACTGATATAAAACTAGAAAGTACTTTTTCATCTAATTATAAAATTAGAATCACTTTTTCCTCACATGACAGTAACAAAAGTATATATTTATTTCCTGCCTCATGGCTGTATCAACTTTTCTGCTTTCTATCAAAATATAATCTGGAGATAACTTGAGAGTGATGACATCTCAGACAACATCTGATAATGTAACACTAATTACATCTGTCTCTTATTATCTGTTACTGCACAACAGAGTACCTATTACTTAGCAGCTTGCAGCAACAACCATTTTATTTTGTTCATGATTTTGGAGGTCAGGAATTTGAGAAGGGTTCAAATGCGTGATTCTGGCTTGAAGCTTCTCAAAAGGCTACATTCAAATTTTGGTTGGGAATTCAATCATTTGAAAGCCTGACTAGGTTGGACATTCAAGATGGCTCATTCACATGGTTGACAATTGATGTTGGTTACCCACTGGGAGCTCAGATGGGCACATACCTACACAGGATTTTTCGTGTGTCTTGGACTTCAAGCAGCCTGGCAAGTGGGTTTTGAAAGGCAGTGTCCTAAGAGGAAGTTATAAAGAATGAATATTCCAAGGGCCAAAGATGGAAGTTTCAAGACTTCTGACCTCTGACTTGGCCTTGGAAGTCATGTAGCATCACTTCTATTATAAGCTAGATTCAAGGGGAAGGGAATGAGAAATACTGTTAATTAGTTAATAGAGGAGGAAGAAAGTGTGAATCTTATGTATTGATGGCTCTGCATGGTAATACTGGTGCAAACTGGGAGCCTATGGCCAGTTCACTTTAGCTCTTCTTAAGGCTAGTCTAGGAGGGAAGGGAAATCCTCCAAATGGGCAGAAATATGGCGCTGAGGATGATACATTTGGCTGGTTAGTTCATGTGGAAAGAGATATGATTTAAGTATGAATCTATGGCAATTAAACGGTATTGCATAATGGGTTTTCTGGCTAGTCAGAGATGTGAAAAGAGCAAGATCGGAACATTAATATTATATCTTGTTGATTTTCTTAAAACTAAGCACTTTAGAACTAATGGTACTTTTAATGTTCCTCAGTGATATTTGGGACCTTGGGGAGGTGTGTGTGGCTGTGTGTGTGTGTGTGTGTGTGTGTGTGTGTGTGTGTGTTTCTGCTTCGGGAACTTTGCTCTGTTTCTTTGGCCTACCTCATTTACTCTTATGCCAATATGACATCATAGTAATATAAAATGGCTCTTAATATTTGGTTGAGTATAATTTGTACCCCTTATCTCACTATGTAATCCTTCTTCTTTATGAGTATCTTCACCATTATTTACTCTTCACTTAAAAAAAAAAGAGACTCTTTTTTTGCCTTTTGAAATGTCACAAGTATATTTTGCCTTGGAGATCAGCTTGCATTAATTCTGGAATCTTGGCTTCCAATTTTTTACCATCAGCCCCACAAAACTAAAATGTTCTGTTCACAAATGCACAAAAGTGAAACATTTATTGATTCAAGTGCTGCAAAAATGTTGAGGCTTTAAGGAATTTTATTCCAGATTGAAAAGTTAATCCTACTGATTTCCATCATCTGCAAGACACTTTAAATATAAATACACATTAAACACATTAAATTTATAATATTTTAATATTTGGCATCCTTTCAAAATTGCTTATGCTAAAACTTTGACAGATCTCTATAATTATCCATAATATTCCTTTAATCTAAGATCCAAAACATATAATGATAATGGAAATAAACAAACTCCATCACTGGAACTTCTCAGAGCTCTTATACATTGGTATTGGGATTTGTTAATTCATATACCCAATCTCCTGAAATCAAATGGCTTGGGATTTCTAATTCCATGACTTCTCCTCAGGTAAGAGTTTTATAATTAACTGATTCTAAGAAGCACATGTTCCTTTTTTTTAAATTATACTTTAAGTTCTGGGATACATGTGCAGAATGTGCAGCTTTGTTACATAGGTATACACGTGCCATGGTGGTTTGCCGCACCCATCAACCTGTGATCTACATTAGATATTTGTCCTAATGCTATCCCTCCCCTAGCTCCGCACCCACTGACAGGCCCCAGTATGTGATGTTCCCCTCCCTTTGTCCATGTATTCTCATTGTTCAACTCCCACTTATTAGTGAGAAGATGCAGTGTTTGGTTATCTGTTCCTGTGTTAGTTTTCTGAGAATGATGGTTTCCAGCTTCATCCATGTCCCTGCAAAGGACATGAACTCATCCTTTTTTATGGCTGCATAGTATTCCATGGTGTATATGTGCCACATTTTCTTTATCCAGTCTATCATGGATAGGCATTTGGGTTGGTTCCAAGTCTTTGCTATTGTGAATAGTGCCGCAATAAACATATGTGTGCATATGTCTTTATAGCAGCATGATTTATAATCTTTGGGTATATACCCAGTAATGGGATTGCTGGGTCAAATTGTATTTCTGGCTCTAGATTGTTAAGGAATTGCCACACTGTCTATCATACTGAATGACAAAAGCTGGAAGCATTCCCTTTGAAAACCAGCACAAGACAAGGATGCCCTCTCTCACCACTCCTATTCAACATAGTATTGGAAGTTCTGACCAGGGCAATCAGGCAAGAGAAAGATATAAAGGGTATTCAAATAGGAAGAGAGGAAGTGAAATTGTTTCTGTTTACAGATGACATGATTGCATATTTAGAAAACCCCATTGTCTCAGCCCCAAATCTCCTTAAGCTGATAAGCAACTTCATCTCAGGATACAAAATCAATGTGCAAAAATCACAAGCATTCCTATACACCAATAATATACAAACAGAGAGCCAAAAAATGAGTGAACTGCCATTCACAATTGCTACAAAGAGAATAAAATACCTAGGAATCCAACTTATAAGGGATGTGAAGGACCTCTTCAAGGAGAACTACCAACCACTGCTCAACGAAATAAAAGAGGACACAAACAAATGGAAAAACATTCCATGCTCATGGATAGTAAGAATCAATATCGTGAAAATGGCCATACTGCCCAATGTAATTTATAGATTCAATGCTGTC
This sequence comes from Homo sapiens, assembly GCF_000001405.40. NCBI lineage: Eukaryota > Metazoa > Chordata > Mammalia > Primates > Hominidae > Homo > Homo sapiens. The sequence goes on along the minus strand of NC_000014.9, from coordinate 44,245,701 downwards.
CCCATCAAGCTACCATTGACTTTCTTCACAGAATTAGAAAACCTCCTTTAAATTTCATATGGAACCAAAAAGGAGCCCGTATAACCAAGGCAATCCTAAGCAAAAAGAACAAAGCGGGAGGCATCACACTACCTGACTTCAAACTATACTACAAGGCTACAGTAACCAAAACAGCATGACACTGGTACCAAAACAGATATATAGACCAACGGAATAGAACAGAGGCCTCAGAAATAATGCCACACATCTACAACTGTCTGTTCTTTGACAAACCTGACAAAAACAAGCAATGGGGAAAGGATTCCCTGTTTAATAAATGGTGTTGGGAAAACTGGCTAGCCACATGCATAAAATTGAAACTGGACCCCTTCCTTACACCTTATACAAAAATTAACTCAACATGGATTAATGACTTAAATGTAAGACCTAGACTAATGACTTAAATGTAAATAATACTAGAAGAAAACCTAGACAATACCATTCAGGACATAGGCATGGGCAAAGAATTCATGACTAAAACACCAAAAGCAATGGCAATGAAAGCCAAAATTGACAAATGGGATCTAATTAAGCTAAAGAACTTCTGCACAGCAAAAGAAACAAGAAACTATCATCAGAGTGAACAGGCAGACTACAGAATGGAAGAAAATTTTTGCAATCTATCCATCTTACAAAGGGCTAATATCCGGAATCTATAAGGAACTTAAACAAATCTACAAGAAGAAAACAAACAACCCCATCAAAAAGTGGGCGAAGGATATGAACAGACACTTCTCAAAAGAAGACATATATGTGGCCAAAAAACATATCAAAAAAAGCTCATCATTACTGGTCATTAGAGAGATGCAAATCAAAACCACAATGAGATACCATCTCACACCAGTTAGAATGGTGATCATTAAAAAGTCAGGAAACAACAGATACTGGAGAGGATGTGGAGAAATAGGGATGCTTTTTCACTGTTGTTGGGAGTGTAAAAAAGAGACTACTTAATTTGCAGTTTTAGGTCCATATTATGGAAATATTGAGAGCAAGATATGGAGACTTCCTATATTCCCTTTGGCACTGTAAATGCAGAGCCTCCTGCATAATCAACATCCTCTACCAGAGTAGTACATTTGTTACAAGTGACAAAACTATATTAATACATCATAATCACCCAAAGTTTATAATTTACAGTAGAATTCACTCTTGGTGGTATACATTCTATGGATTTGGACAAATATATGTGACATGTATCCACCATTATAGTACTGTACAAAGTTTTTCATTGCCCTAAAATTTCCCTGTTTTTCAACTTATTCATCCTCTCACCCTCCAACTCAACCTCTGGCAACCACTGAACTTTTTACTGTCTCCATAGTTTTCCGTTTTCCAGAATGCCATGTATTTGAAATTACATAGTTTGTAGTTTTTACAGATTGGCTTCCTTCACTTGGTAAAATGCATTTAAGATTTCTCCATGTCTTTTCGTGGTTTGACAGTTCATTTATTTTTGATACTGAACAATATTCAATTGTCTGGATATACCACAGCTTAATTTACCCATTCTACTGAAGGACATTTGGTTACAAGTTTTAGCAATTATTAATAAAACTGCTATACCATTCACCTGCAGGGTTTTGTGTGGACAAAGGTTTTAGCTCTTTTGAGTAAATACTGAAGAACAAAATTGAATATGTTTAGTTTTGTAAACTGTCTTCCAAAGTGACTGTATTATTTTGCATTCCAATCAGCTGTGAATGAGATTTCCTGTTGCTTCAGATTATTGTTAGTAGTTTGAATTTTGGTCATTCTAACTGGTCTGTAGTGGTATGACGTTGTTTTAACTTGCACTTACCCGGAAACATATTATGTGCAACCTCTTTCGTATGCTTATTTGCTATCTGTATATCTTTAGTGAGGTGTCTGTTAAGGTCTTTGACCCTATTTTTAATCAGGCTGTTTATTTTCTTATTGTTGAGTTTTGAGAGTTTGTGTATATTTTGGATAACAATCTTTTATCAGATGTGTCTTTTGCTAATACTTTTATCCCCATCGTTGGCTTGTTTTCTCATTCTCTTTACTTTGTTTTATGAAGAGGAAAATTTTCAGTTTTAATGAAATCTAGCTTATCAATTATTTCCTTCGTGGATTTTACCTTTAGAGTTTTATCTAAAAACTTACTGCAATACCCAAGCTCATCTTGAGTTTCTCCCATGTTATATTTTAAGAGTTTTATAGTTTTAAATTTTACATTTAGATCTATCATTTATTTTGAGTTAATTTTTTGAAGGGTATAAGGTCTATTCTAGATTATTTTTCTATTTTGTTTTACATTGCACATTCAGTCCTTCCAGCACCATTTGTTGAAAAGACTGTCTTTGCTCCATTTTATTGCCTTTTTTCCTTTGTCAAAGATTGGTAGACTTTCTTTATTTTGAAATCTTTTTTGTCTGAAGTCAATGTAGCTACTACTTCTTTCTTTTGATTAGTGTTAGCATTGTATATTTTTTTGTGAACTGTTTACATTTAATTTTTGTCTTCATATTTAAAGTGGGTTTCTTGTAGACAACATATAATTGGGTCCTGTTTTTTGACCCAATGTGACAACTTCTTTTAATTGGTACTTTTAGACTATTGATTTCAAAGTGATTATTGATATTGTTGGATTAATAGCTACCATATTTATAGCTGCTTTTCCTCTGTTGCCCTTATTCTATGTGCTTGTTTTTGCCCTTCTTTTTTTTTCCTTCGTTTTGTGGTTTTAATTGAGCTTTTTGTATAACTTTTTTTCTTTCCTTTAATATCATCAGTCATACATTAAAAAAAACTCTTTTCAGTAGTTTCCCCAGAGTTTCCAATATGCATTTACAGCTAATCCAAACCTGCTTTCAAATAACACAAATATGACTTCATGGATAGTGTGAGTACAGTGAGTCCTCAATATTGTCAATAGGTTATTGAAAGCTGTGACTTAAAGTGAAACAATATAAAAAGCAGATCCTCAAATAGTATCATTTCCTTCAACGTCAGTTTGTTATAACATTAATGGGGAAAAATTATTTCATTATATGTCATTTTATTAAAACTAATATTCTCTAATAACTTATCAATGACATTAAATGAAGACTTACTAAACCTTATAATAACAATACAATCCTAATTTTCCCATCCTCTCCCATGTATTATTGTTTTCATTCATTTCATTTATATATAAGTGTGCATAAGCTGAGATATATACATATATATATTTACACACACAAAAGATAGATACATAAGTCTACATAAAATATATTGTTGCTATTATTATTTGATTTGATTTCATTTGATTTTAGAGACAGGCTTCACTGTGTCCCACAGATTGTAGTGCAGTAGCATGATTATGGTTCACTGCAGCCTCCAACTCCTGGCTACTGGTGTGAGCCACCAAATCAAGCTAATTTTTGGTTTTTCTTGGGGAGATGAGGGTCTCACTACATTGCTCAGGCTGGTCTCAAACTCCTGGCTTCAAGATATCCTCCCTCCTCAACCTCCAAAGTGCTTGAATTACAAGCGTGAGTCACTGTGCCTGGCCCTATTATTATTTTAAACAAAGTGTTATCTGTTAGTTCAGTTAAGAATAAGAAAAATAAAAGTTGTTATTTAACCATCACTTATTCCTCTTCACTAATCTCTTTTATATGAATTATGAGTAACTGACCTATATTATTTTCCTTCTCCCTAAAAAACTTCTTTCAATGTTTCATGCAAGGGAGATTTGCTGGCAACAAATTCCCTCGATATTTGTTTGCCTAAGAAAGTAATTATTTCTCCTTCACTTTTAAAGCATAATTTTAGAGGAAACAGAATTCTATTTTGGTGTTTTTTTCCCTTTCAACACTTTAAGTATTTCATTCCACTCTATTGTTGCTTCCATGCTTTCTGAGAAGTCAGATTTAACTTTTCATTGCTCTCCTATAAGTACAGTGGTTTTCTTCCTCTATCTTCTTTCAGAATTTTTTCTGTATCTTTGATTTTCAAAAGGTTGATAATAATATACCTACATGTAGTTTGTGTGTGTGTGTGTGTGTGTGTGTGCGCGCGCGTGTGTGTTGTTTGGCATTCATATGGCTTGGTATCCTCTGAATTTTCCTGAATCTGTCTGATATTAATTTGGGGGAAAATCTCAATAAATGTTTCAAATATTTCTTTTGCTCCATCTTCTCTCTCTTCTCCTTCTCTAATTTCCCTTTTGCTCAAATATCATCTTTTAAAATTGTTCCACAGTCCTTAGATGTTCTGTTTTGGTTTTTTAATCACTGTTCTTTTTGCTTTTCAGTTTGGATGTTTGTAACCCAAAGATTCTTTCCTCATATATGTTCCATCTACTAATTAGCCTATCAAAGACATTCTTCATTTATCTTACAATGTTTCTGATCTTCAGCATTTTTTTTTTTTTTGGAATTCTGTTCTTTCTTAGGATTACTGTTTTTCTCCTTACATTGCCTATCTTTTCTTACATGCTCCCTCTTTTATCCATTAGAGCACTTAGCATATCAATCATTGATTTAAATTTCTGGTCTAATAATTTCATCATCTCTGCAATATCTGTTTTTTGTGCTTGCTCTGTCCCTTAAAATTGTGTGGTTTCTTTTTGCCTTTTAGTATGCCTTGTAATTTTTTTGATAGCCCAACATGATGTTCCAGGTAAAAGGTAAATAGGTTTTCAGTAATGTGGTGTAATGTGAGGGAGGACAGGAGGCATTCTATAGTCTCATGATTGGGTCTCAGTCTTTTTTTTAATTTTATTATTATTATACTTTAAGTTTTAGGGTACATGTGCACAACGTGCAGGTTTGTTACATATGTATCCATGCACCATGTTGGTGTGCTGCATCCATTAACTCATCATTTAGCATTGGGTATATCTCCTAATGCTATCCCTCCCCCGTTCCTCCACCCCACAACAGTCCCCGGTGTATGATGCTCCCCTTCCTGTGTCCATGTGTTCTCATTGTTCAATTCCCACCTAAGAGTGAGAACATGCGGTGTTTTGTTTTTTGTCCTTGAGATAGTTTGCTGAGAATGATGGTTTCCAGCTTCATCCATGTTCCTACAAAGGACATGAACTCATCATTTTTTATGGCTGCATAGTATTCCAAGTCTTTTAGTGAGGCTATGCTTCTGTATTTTGAACTTCACAAGTGTTTCCCCACCTAGGTGGCTAGAATGGGCTGGAATTGGGTATTTCTCTTTCCCCATGCCAGTTAGGATCTGATAAAATCCTAGCACTTTAGGCTTTGGTTAAATAGTTTCTCTTGAGGGCAGACCATATTAAGAACAGAGTGCTCTGGCATATTTCCAAATGGTTCTGCTTTCTATCCCTGAGGCAGAAACAAGGGAGAACTGCTCTCCAATATTTACTGATAGAACCTGGCAGAAGCATGAGAAAACTGCTTTCCAATATTTACTGTTAGAACCTGGTCAGGCTCCTGGAGATAAAACTCACAGAAGTGAAGCCCCTCCCCCGTGACTGAGTCCCCCTTTAGTTATTTTTATTTAACTCTTGCACTCGCCCACACTTAGCATAAAGCAATGTGCCAGTTACAGTTCAGATTTTCCTATCCCAGCACTGGTTCTCACAGCAGTTTCTACTCATTAGTCTCTGCTCTGGTAAGATATGATTCCCTGCATTTGTTTGTCTGTTTCTCTAATTTTGGGGGCAGTGGTTTGCTCTGTGTCCTCATTTCTCTTAAAAATCCCAGAAGAGTTGCTAATTTTATTGGTCTTCTAGATTTTTACTTGTTAGAACAGAATGGCAGCTTCTATTCTTCTTACATGGGGAACCAAAAACTGAAAGTGTATTCTTCATTTTTAAATATGTATTTAGGTGTGAGCTTTTCAAGCTTATCATGTTCTACCAGGAGAGAGAGGGAGAGAAAGAAGAAGATGGAGGAGAAAGAGCAAGGGCAGGAGGAAGGAAGGGAAGAAGGAGAGAGGAAGAAAGAAAGGAAAGAACATTAAAAAAAGGAAAAAGAAGAGAGGAAGAAGGAAGGAAAGATGGAAGAAAAGACAAAACAAGAAATCTTGCTTGGAGTTTTTTAGATTATTCTTCAAGCCAAGTATCAATTTATACTAACAATTTGTCCTACTTGGCATATCTCTCAATTTGCTTAGATTTGTTAATGTATATCAATACAAATGCTTATTTTTGAAAAGCCATGTCATGTCTTTTCAAAACTTATTCCTTGTTGACTCATGTATTATAGTTGTTATTGCAAATGGTAACTTTTTGAAACTAAGTTCTTTTCTACCTGCTTACTAAATAAAAATGCAAATAACTCGTAAATTTGCTTTATATCAAAATAATTTATTTAAGATAATTTATATTTAAAGTAATTGACATCTTATTAATTCTAATCTTTTCTCTCAATTTTAATTTGGGCATATACATCATAATGACCACTGGTTAAAGCACTTTTCCAAACCATAAAATTTATTTCTTTAACTTTCTTACTGTAATAAATAATAGTTCCAGTGAAAGAGCTAAGCAAAGTGGTATTAGTGGGTATCTTGTTCTTGTTTTCAATAGAAATTATTTCATTAATATTTTTAAAAATACTGTACATTTACTGTAAGTGTTTAACAGCCCTTCTCATATTAAGCAAGTTCTCATCCACTTCTAGTTTGCTAAAAAATATTTTTAACATCATGAATATGTGTTGGAGTTCATTGAATACATCCATTAGTTGTACCTGTCAACATAAATATATGATTTTCTTTTAGTATTTTATGCTTTAATTACATAATCATGTTATTCAATGTTAATTCCACTTTATATACCTGAGGTACTCTCAACTAAATCACAAGGTAATACAAATTATTGGGGTTTGCTAATATTTTAACATTGATTTTTACATTTATACTTACGAATAAAATCACTCTGATATTTTCCTTACTTAAATAATCTCTGTGACATTTTGTAACCAATTTTATACCAACTTCATGAGAAAAATAAATTGGAAGTGCTTCCATATTTTCTATCTACTGTGATAATATTTTCAAGATTAGAACCATTTCTGAATATGTGATAGACTTTGTTGAAATATTATGGACCTGGAGTTTCATCTGTGAAAATAATTTTAGCAAATGATTTTATTTATTCATAATTGTAAACCTGACCATGTTTTAAATATCCTTTTGAATCAGTTTTGGTAACATAATTTTCTGTGATTTATATATTCATCTGAGTTTGTCAATTTCTTCACATAAAATTTATACCGTTCTCATTATAATTTTAGCTATATCAATGTTATGCCACCTCTTTCATCACTGATATTATTTCTTTGTGCTTTCTCTCTTTTCATCTTGAGAAAGTTTGCCAGGAGTTTCCGTTTGCTTTCAAAAAAGCAACTATTTGATTTGTTGATCCTCTTTATTACATTTCTGCTGTTTTACTTCATTCTGCTATTATGTTAAGTATTTCATTACTTCTACTGTGATTAATTTATTTTAAAGTTCACTTTCTAAGTGCTTAAGTTTTATACTTAGTTGTTTTTAATCTTCCTTTCTTTCCAAAAAATCTACATTTAAAATGATAGTCTTCTAATTATTCATTTAGTTACATTCCATAATTGTGCTATATAATATGATTCCTTATTTGACATTGAGTTATTTTTGTGTGTTTTAAATTTTCAAGCATTTGCTTGTATCTTATTTGGTTATCTTTTAGCTATTATTTTCTAAATTAATTACATTGTGGTTAGAGATAGTATCCTGTATTATACAGGTGTTTTAAAGCTTATGGAGATTTCTTTTCTGCACAGAACAGTTAAGTTTTTACTTATATTCTGTTAGTACCTTAAAACAACGTGTATTTTCGGATTGAGGAATACAGGATCAATATTTGTCCATTAGAGTGAGCATATTATGCTTTTCCTAAATCTTACACATTTTTGTTGAGTTTAGTAAGTTGCATTATATATCAGTTGAAGATAAAATTTGGTTAAATATCCCTATATGGTGGTGGATTTGTCAATATTTCTTTGTCATGAGTATTTAGAAACTGTTTGTAGTTTCATTCAAGTTTGGAATTATTATGTCTTTCTAGTAAATTAAAACACTTATTGTTATGCAGTGATCGCCTTATCTCCAATAGATTTTTGTATTATAATGTATTTTTTCCTATGTCAATGTAGCTATGCAAGTTTCAGTTTTTTCTTTTATTCCTAATTTGCATTACATGTCTTTAAAAATCCTTTTGTCATATTCTAATTGTTGGGTACAGAGTTCTGTTCATTAAATCAAACATTACTGATGATATTCAAATATTCTGTACCTTTACTCATTTTTATCTGCTTGATATAGCTGTTACTGAACATTCATAACATTTTATATCATAAAACTTTGATATACATGCCCTGTGTATTAGTCCTTTCTCATGCCTCTAATAAAGACTTACCCAAGAGGGGGTAATTTACAAAGGAAAGAGGTTTAACTGATTCACAGTTCAGCATGACTGGGGAGGCCTCAGGAAAGTTACAATCATGGCAGAAGGGGAAGCAAACACATCTTTAATCACAAGAAGGCAGGAAGGAGAAGAATGAGAGCTGAGTGAGCAGGGAGGCCCCTTGTAAAACCATCAGATCTTGTGTGAGAACTTACTATCATGAGAACAGCATGGGGGAAACTGCTCCCATGATTCATTTACCTCCCACCAGGTGCCTCTCACTGCACATGGGAATTATGGAAACTACATTCAAGATGAGATTTGGATGGGGACACTGCCAAACCATATCACCCGGTTTAATTCCCTTTTCTTGAATGTGGACATAACCAGTGAATACGATAGGCTATCCCTTCTGTAATTAGATTACTAATCAGTTGATTTTCAGTTAATCAAAAGAGAGATTGTCCTGTTTGGGCCTAGTCTAGCCCTTTATGGAAAAATGAAACCTCAAAGAGATGCTTTGCTGATGGCCTTGATGGTTAGTCTTTTTGAATTCTATAGCTACAAGAAAATAAATTAATCCAATAACCACATTAGCTTGGAAGAAGACACCAAGTCTCAGATGAACTCCTGGCCTCAGATGTCACCTAGATGTTCGTCTTGTGAAATCTTCAGCAGAAAACCCTGAGCCCTGATTGGAGTTTGGACTTCTGGCAGTCATGAACTAAGAGATCATGAATTTGCATGATTTTAAGTTGCTAAGTTGTGATGATTAGTTATGCAGCAATTGAAATCTAATAAATCTAATACAGCCTTTAAAAATACCTATTTATAAATTGTTTTTACCTTTATTTCTTATTATATTATCTACCCCACCACCATTTTGAGAAGGTTATCATTCTTATGTAGCTATTTTGGATCCTTTTATTATATGTGTATATTCTTGAAAAATACATGTAATTTTATATTTATATACTTTTATAGGTTGTATGTTATATATCTCATTGTGATCTTACAACTCTTTACGCAACAAGTTTTCTATGAATTATTCAAATGGTGTTTACATCTAGCCCATTGCTTTTCATCACTGTCTGGTATTCCCTGGTGTTCATCCACCATGCTCTTATGAAAGTTCCCCAGTAATAGCCCTCAAATTTGCCTCCAACTTCCTGTCACAGAAAGAAGTGCTGCAATTATCATCACTTTTGAACTTGTGGGCACTTTCTGTGGAATATGTGCTCAGGAGTACAATTGCTGATTCTCACAGAGTGTGTAGGCTTAATGTCACTAAGTATCATGAGACTGCTCCCCAGAATTGCTGCATATTTTATACTAGCATGGGTACACACGAAGATATCCATATTCCTACTCCCTCTACAACAATTTATACTGTCTAGCTTTCTAATTTTTGCTGATTTGATTGGTATGGATTTATATCTCATTGTTTAAATTTGTTTTTTCCTTTAGAAATTAGTTTTGAGTATTTTTCATATCTTTATTATTTAGGTTAGTTCTTCTGTAATTAGAACTTTTTTGAAATTTATAAATTTTTATGTTTACTAAGTAAAACAGGAGACTTCATTATGCAATCACATTAATTTTCATCCGATTCTTCCATCACTTTAATGTTGTCTGTAACTTTAGGGTTAGGTTGTTATGAATATGTCTTTACTTTTTCTGTTGTTCTTATATTTTTAAGTTTGCCTATGAGAAATAATCATAAATATGTTGACATTTTCAGGAAACGTGTATGACATCTCTAGGTTTTTTTAGGACTATCCTTAAATATACACTCACACAACATCCATCTTCACCATAGATCTTTGCTCATGCAGGTACCAAAGATATATTTCACCTTTTAAAAAATATTAAATTCAGTTGAATGGTTAGTATAAGAAATAAGTGGCCTAATAAAATACCAAGAAGAATACTCCCTTCTTAGAACAGAGATTACCTAATATGAGTGGGCAGTTGTTTTTGTAGGAAGATAGGATTTCATGTGAAGAAATACCAAAAAGGAAAATGTATTAGACTGAAAATATCATTGATTCCTATAGGTCATTGATCTTGGAGTGATTTTTTTAGCTTTATTGAGGAATAATCAACAAGTAAATATTGTATACATTTAAGGTATAAAATGTGCTTATTTGTTATATGTATGTATTATGAAATGTTTACTAAATCAAACTAATTAACATATCCATCACCTCACATACTGATCTTTTTGATGGTGGCTACACTTAATATCTATTGTCTTAGCCTATTGTAATTATGTAATACATTATTTTCAACTATAGTCATCATTATGTGCATTAGATTTCCAGAACTTATTCATCTTATAACTGAAAGTTTTATGCTTTGACCAAAGTCTCTGCATTTTCACCGCACCCCAGTTCCTTGCAACCATTATTCTACTCTGTTTCTGTGAGTTTGACATTTTTAGATTCCACACATAAGTGAAATAATGCAGTATGTTTCATTCTGCATCTGGCCTATTTCATTAGCATGATATCCTCTAGCTTCATCCATGTTATCACAAAAGGGAGGATATCTATTTAGTTGTAGCTGAGTAATGTTCCATTGTGCGTATACACACATACACATATATTTCACACACCATAATGTCCTTCAGTTCAAGCATGTTGTCACGAATTATGTGACAACTTTTTTCTTTTTAAAGGGTGAATAGTGTTCCATTATATACATACATATGACATCTTCTTTATCCATTAATCCAGTAATGGCTAATTACGTTGTTTCCATATCTTGGCTATTGTGAATAATGCTGCAGTGAACATGGGAGTGCAGATATCACTAAGATACTGCTTTCATTTTCTTTGTATATATATACCCAAAAGTGAGATTACTGGATAATACAGTAGTTTTAATTTTAACTTCTATATTGTTTCCATAGTGGTTGCATCATTTTACATTCTCAACAACAGTGGAAAAGAATTCTTTTTCCAAATCCTCAGCACTTATCTCTTTGGAGAGTCTTTTCATATTGTTGAATATATTTTGTTTTCTTGTGCAAAAGTTTTTTAGTTTGATTTATCCCACGTTTATTTTTGCTTGTTCTCTGTGCTCTTGTTGTCATATTCAAAAAATCATCACCCAGACCAATGTCATGGAACTTTTTATGTATATTTTCTTCTAGGAGTTCTATGGTTTCCAATGTTACATGTAAGTCTATAATTTAAGTTAATTTTTGTGCATGGCATAAGATAAAAGTTTGATTTCATTCTGTAGCATGTGGATATTTCATTTATTTAGTCCACTCCACTTATTTAGTCCATTTCCATTTACAGTAATCATTGATATGTAAGGACTTTTTATTGCCAATTTGTTCATTGTTTTTGACATTTTTATAGTTTCTTAGTTTCTTTCTTCCATTCTCATTGCATTCCTCTGTAATTTGTTTACTTTTTTCTAGTGGTATGCTTTGATTTATCTTTCTTTATCTTTTGTGTATCTACTACAGACTTTTTTCTTTGTGGTTACCATGAGGCTTACATAAAACATAGTTGTAACTGTATATTTTAAGGTAATAACTAACACCAATCACATACAAAAACTTAACAAGATTACTACCCCCACCCATTTTATGCTATTCATATCTGATATGGTTAGGCTTTGGTTCCCCACCCAAATGTCATCTTGAATTGTAATCCCTAGGTGTTTAGGGAGAGAACTGGTGAGGGTGATTGGATTATGAGGGCAGTTCCTCCATGCTGTTCTTATGATAGTGAATGAGTTCTCATGAGATCTGATGTTTTTATAAGCTTCTGGCATTTCGCCTGCTTGCATTCACACTCTCTCTTGCCGCCTTATAAAGAGGTTTCTGCTTCCCCTTCTGCCATAATTGAAAGTTTCCTGAAGCCTCCCCAGCCATGTGGAACTGTGAGTCAATTACACCTCTTTTCTTTATAAATTACCCAGTCTTGGGTATTTCTTCAGAGCAGTGTAAAAACAGACTAATACAGTAATTGGTACCAAGAGTGGGGTACTGCTATAAAGATATCCCAAAATGTAGAAGTGACTTTGGAACTGGGTAATGTGCAGAAGTTGGAACAATTTGGAGGGCTCAGAAGAAGACAGGGAGATATGGGAAAGTTTGGAACTTTCTAGAGACTTTTTGAATGGTTTTGACTAAAATGCTGATAATGATGTGGACAGTGAAATCCAGGTTGAGGTGGTCTCAGATGGAGATGAGGAACTTACTGGGAACTAGAGCAAAGGTTACTCTTGCTATGCTTTAGCAAAGAGACTGGTAGCATTTTGCCCCTGCCGTAGAGATCTGTGGAACTTTGAACTCGAAAGAGAAGAACTGAAGATGGAACTTATGTTAAAAAGGGAAGCAGAGCATAAAAGTTTACAAAATTTTCAGCCTGATGATGCTAGAAAAGAAAATCCCATTTTCTGGAAATTCAAGTCTGCTGCAGAAATTTGCATAAGTAATGAGGAGCCAAGTGTTAATCACCAAGACAATGGGGAAAATGTCTCCAGGGCATGTCAGAGGTCTTCACAGCAGCCCCTCCCATCACAGGCCCAGAGGCCTAGAAGGAAAAAATGGTTTCATTGGCTGGGCCCTGGGCCTTGCCGCTTTGTGCAATCTCAGGACTTGGTGCTGTGCATCCCAGACCTGGCTAAAAGAGGCCAATGTACAGTTTAGGCCATCACTTCACAGGGTGCAAGTTCTAAGCCTTAGTGGCCTTTCATGAGGTGTTGGGCCTGCAAGTACATAGATGTCAAAAATTGAGGTTTGAGAACTTCCACCTAGATTTCAGAGGATGTATGGAAAGGCCTGGATGTCTAGGCAGAGGTCTGCTGCAGTGTTGGGGCTCCCATGGAGAACCTCTGATAGGGCAGTGTGGAAAGCAAATGTGGGGTTTGAACCCCCACCCAGAGTCCCCACTGGGGCACTGTCTATTGAAGCTATGAGAAAAGGGCCACCATCCTCCAGACCCTAGAATGCTTGATCCACCAATAGCTTGCACTGTGAGCCTGGAAAAGCCACAGACACTCAATGCCAGTCTGTGAAAGCAGCTAGGTTGGGGGTTGTATCCTGCAAAGCCATAGGGTTTGAGCTGCCCAAAGCTATGGGAGTCCATCTCTTGCATCAGCGTGACCTGGTTGTGAGACAGGGAGTCAAAGGAGATCATTTTGGAGCTTTAACATTTAATGACTGCCCCATTGGATTTTGGACTTGCATGGAGCCTGTAGCCCTTTTGTTTTGGCCAATTTCTCCCATTTAGAATGAGTGTATTTACCCAATGCCAGTATTCCCATTGTATCTTGGAAGGAGCTAACTTGTTTTTGATTTTACAGGGTCATAGGTAGAAGGAACTTGCTTTGTTCAGATGAGACTTTGGACTATGGACTTTGGAGTTAATGCTGACATGGTTTAAGATTTTTGGGGACTGTTAGGATGGCATTATTGGTTTTGAAATCTGAGGATGTAAGATTTGGGAGGGGCCAGGAGCAGAATGATGTGGTTTGGCTTTGGGTTCCCACCCAAATCTCACCTTGAATTGTAATCCCCAGGTGTTTGGAAAAAGACCCCTTGGGAAGGAATTGGATTATGGGGGATGTTTCCCTCATGCTGGTCTCATGATAGTGAGTGAGTTCTCATGAGATCTGATGGTTTTTTAAGCATCTGGCATTTCCCTCGCTTGTGCTCATCCTATCTTGCTGCCTTGTGAAGAAGGTGCCTGCTTCCCCTTCTGTCATGATTGTAAGTTTCCTGAGGCCTCCCCAGCCACGTGAAGTGTGAGTCAATTAAGCCTGTTTTTTAAAAAAATTACCCATTCTCAGGTATTTCTTTATAACAGTGTGAAAATGGATTAATATGATTCATACTACCTCTTTTGTATTGCACATTCATTAATAAATTATTGTAGCTATGATTATTTTTAATACTTTTAACTTCTAATTTTCTACTAGGCTTAACAGTGATTTACACACTACCATTACAGTTTTAGAATATTTCAGATTTGACTATATTTAACTTTACCAGATAGTGTTACACCTTCATATGTTTTCATGTTATTATTTAACATCTTTTTGTTTCAGCTTGATAAACTGACATTAGCATTTCTTGTAAGGCAGGCTGAGTGGTGATAAACTCCCTCAGCTTCTGTTTTTCTGAGAATGTCTTTATTTCTATTTCATTTCTGAAGGGCATATTTACTAAGTATAATATTCTTGGTGGCTGTGCTTTTGATTTTAGTACTTTGAATACATCATTCCCCTTCCCTCCTGACTTGCAAGGTTTCTGCTTAAAAATCCATTGATATCTTTATGGGGTTCCCTTGTATGTAAGAGGTGCTCATGTCTTGCTGCTTGCAAAATTCTCTTTGTCTTTGATTTTTGAAAATTTGATTATAATATACCTGGAGATAGTGTTCTTTGGGCTGATTTTGCTCGGAGTACTTTGTTCTTTATGAACCTGGAAGTTTATATTACTCCAAAAATTTGGAAAGTTTCAGCCACTATTTCTTCCATAATCTTTTTGTTCCTTTCCTTTCTTTTGTCCTTTTTGGATATTCATAATGCATATATTCCACTTTTGATGATGTCTGATAGTCCTGTGCCCTATATTGTTTAATTCTATTTTGCTTACTTTTCATACTGGCTAATTTAAAATGGCCTATTTTTGAGTTCACAGATTCTGTCTTCTGCATGACCATGTTTTCTATTGAAGGTATCAGTTCAATTTCGTCAGTTCTGTCATTGTGCTCTTTAGCTCCAGGATTTCTGTTTGGTTCTTTTTATGGTTTATATTTCTTAATTAAACTTCTAATATTCTCATTCATTGTTTTTTCTGATTCCATTTAGTTGTCTTTCTGTCTTCTCTTAAGTCTAACTGAACTTTTTAAAGATGATAATTTTGAGTTATTTTTCAGGTAACTTTTGATCTCCATTTCTTTTGGTTTAGTTACTGAAGTTTAATTAGTTTCCTTTGGTCATGCCATGTTTGCCTGATTCTTCGTAATCTATTTAGGTTTGCATTAGCTTCTCTGCATATGAAGGAGCAAATGCCTTATCCAGGTTTTACAGAATGATTTTGGCAGGTAAAGGCCTTCTTTTATTGGGTCCTAGGGCTGACATTGCCTACTCTATTGCTGCTGAGTGCAGTTAGAGCCCTGAACAAGGGTTCACTTTAGGGTTTAAAAGGTTCACAAATGGAAGGCCTTTTACCATGTGGGTGGATGGCTGTGACTCCTGCTGGATCACTGTGGGGTGGGGTTTTCCATCTGGTCACTATTCAGATCCATAGGAAGTCAGGACTAACACTGGATCACAACTGAGTGGGGCTTGAATCAATCACAGGGTTGCTTCAGGTTCTGCAGCTGAGACTGAGGTCTATAGACCTGTCTCTGTTGGCACAGATGGGCATATCTCTCTCCATATTCTTGGATTGGCAGGATTGCTCTTGGACTATTTCTGAGAGTGGCTGGAGCCAAGTTACAGCTCTGCTTCAAGATCTGCAGTCAAAGTGTGGACAGTGGGTCTGCCTCTGGGGACATGGTCAGTTGTGACTTTTCCTGTATCCCTTGGTAGATGATGCTGGTAGCAGGACCAAGGCCAAATGGGGTTTTAGGCAAGTCCAAAGTGAATAGAGAGCTGTTTCTGGGTTGGTAGCTAGGACCATGGTCAATGGCTTTTCTACTTGGGCATGGGCCAGCCCTTACAAAACATTTCTTGGTCCTGAACCCCTCTGGGGTTTTGCAAGCTTCTTCCTGCATCCCAGATCCCACAAAGGCACTTTGTCCATATGTGACTACCAAATTATTGTTGCCATGAGGTAATACAAATGGGGACTTCCTAATTTGTCATCTTACATGATATTAGGATGATGTTAATATGAAAGTATTATTATCAAAAATATAGACATTTCATTTGATTCAAAATTATATACTGTTCTCAACCTAGTACTACTTTAATGAAAAAGTCTGAAGGAATAATAATATTAGTAGCTACTATTTATACTTTTTACAGGATTTGCCCTTTTAGTTTATTCAGTGCTTTATTGGCAATAGCTCATATAATCCTCAGAAGGCCTCTATGAGATTTATAATCTTATTTTCATCATTTTACAAATGAGAATCTGGAGGCTTATTGTAACCAAGAAGCAAAAAGCTTAATTGTTTTATCATGTGAATTTTACTGTGCTATGCTGCATCAATTTAAACTAAATGTTTTTGCCATAATGCAGAATATGAAGGGGTAGTAATAGTCTGGGTATAACTTACTAGAGATTATGTATGTGAACAATATTGAGATCCTGGCACCGTTGCTGACACTAGTTCTTCACTAAGCAGTTTCAGAGTTGGGGTGGCAGCCTATATTGAATTGGGCAATATCCAATCTAAATGCATTTGCAAGACTTGGTGGTTCTTAGTCTTTTCAGTTTTGGTGGTCCTTATTCCATTCCAACTCCTATTCACTAGAAGTTTTTGAATTTTGAACAGAGCTACACTTATTTAAGATTTCAAGGGAAACAACATAGAAAACCCCATGTATTCTGCACTATTTTTAGTGCCTAGAGAAACAAAATTCTGAAATAGTAAAAAGAACATTTGACTGTATAGATATCACTGCCAGAACACACTATTGCTATTATAACAAGATTTCAGGATTAGTAGGTGAAATTGATCATTAAGGCATCGCTTAGAGGTTTCACCTTATGTGACACTAAACATTTGCATTTTAAGTAATGTGGTTCTGAGTACAAAGAAAACTGCATACTAAACATGTGGTTATTGATATAGCAGGTGTATACTGAATATCTGTTTACGTGTATTTAAACATGAGATTCTGAGTTTGGACTCCTCCTTTAGATATGGTTTTCTTCTCTTGGAGGCAAAAAGAAGCTAAATTTGTAGCATGTCGTAGCATCAGAGAGTCGGTATTATGGAAAAAGAAGTTAAGCCAATAATGGCTTAATCCTTGTTATTCTGACTGAGTTTTTTTGAGAGCATAAACAAATGGGGGATATGTTCCCACTTTATAAAAAGGGAGCAGTGGAAATCTTGTTTAGCATCAATGGCTATGAATCAAGAGGAGAGGCACTGTAGAAATCCCAAGCTCAGGCCACAGATTAGTGCTGCTAGAGATGTGTTTGTATTCATTTAGTCAAAGTGCTCCGCTTATACTTAAATACTTTTCCTTAGCTTTTGCTGAGATTGAAGAATGGGGATGCATGCAGATGCAGTGTGTCCAAAGGAGCCATGGAAATCATTCATGTGCACTGAGTCTGAATGGGGGACCTACATAAGTCTTCCATCCCAGAAGGAGGCCTGAGATATTAGGAAGCTGAATACTTGATGTTACTTCTACTTTTTCCCTTCGTCTATGTACCTTCTGAATATGCTTATTTTCCTTTTTTAAAGTGCCTACTGTTAAGGAGTGCTGATTTGGTCTGAACTATGTGGGTCGGCTAGGGCAAAGTGGAACAGATTGAAATTGAAGTTAATCCAGAGAGACCAATCTGAAACAGCTGGAAAATTTTCAATTGCTTGTCATATGATGCATTCTTTGTTGCTTTTGATCCAGATATTTTAGACACTTGTTGACCTAGAATGTGTTTTTAAACATTCTGCTTTTAAGATAGTAGACCTCTTATCCCAAATCATTATATGCATTTAGTATTTTAAATTAGCTCTAGGCAGTTTTGTCACAATGTACCAGCAGTCATTTACTTTCTCTGCCAAATATTTATACACAGTTAGTCTTCCCTACCAAACTGCCAACTTTCAAAGCTTAGGTAAGAGTACAAACAAATGACCACTGAAAATAAACCATAAACACCTAAATAACTGTTAAAATAATCACTGGAGTTAGATGGCTCTTTTGTTTAAGAAAACACATTGATGGGCTTCTCAATTTAAAGGATTCTTCTCTACCTCAACTGCAGCTCCTAGCCTGGGTAAGAGAGGGCAAGTCGTATGTGTATTGCAGTTGTTTTGCATAGTCAAGCAAGAATAATTTGCATTTCTTCCTTGAGAGATGGTGATGATGAGAAACATGGGAACGGAGAAAAGAGGATAATATAAAAGGCTACCGAGAGAGGTAATGTTAGGCTGGTAGGACATGGTGGGTGGTAACTTTTATGGTACTCAAAGTCAAGCATAGAAACATTCTTTGATTAATTTTATGGGAACAAAAGAAGAGGATAGTGTTTATTTTGTGATAATGAGTTGTAAAAAGAGGCTGGGCCTGGTGGCTCATGCTTGTAATCCCAACACTTTGAAAAACCAAGGCAGGAGGATCACTTGAGCCCAGGAGTTTGATACCAGCCTGGGCAACATAGCAAGCCCTCACCTTAAAAAAAATAATTAAAAAGTTAGGCATAGTTGTAGTCCCAGCTACTTAGGAGGCTGAGGTGGGAGGATCATTTGAGCCTGGAAGGTTGAGGCTGCAGTGAGCCATGATTGTGCCACTGCACTCCAGCCTGGGTGACAGTGAGACCCTGTCTCACAAAAAAAAAAGAGCTGTAGAAATGCAGCAAAGGAGTGAAGACCATTACGAGGTGAAAACAAAGAAGCAGAGAGTACATAAATCTTTAAGAAGGTGAGAGGTGTCTGAAAGTTGCAGAGGGCTTTAGAATTTCAAAATATCTTCACTGTCTCTCCCATCTCCCATCATCTATTATATATCTATCATCTATGAGTGAACTTGGGACTCCAGGCATCCAAAGATCTTATAAACCTTCAGATTGAAGACATCTTGGTACTCTTAGATGAAAAAAAAATACCTTATTTTTATGAAAAGGATCATTTCATGGACCAAGAGGACTTCTAAGCCTTTTCTTCCTTCTCCTGCTCATTACTGCCTTAAGATGAGAGCATAAAAGAAGAAAGATGGATTCTATTTTCCAGTGGTTTTAACAAAAGAATAAATGGTAGACAAAGTTTATAGCTATTAGCTAAAATGAAGTCTATAGATGAAACTTTTTGTAATGTACATTGCATCCCAATAAATAAAAGATAATTAAAGTTTAGATATACAAAGTATTTACTAGATTTTGAAATAGGACTCCATTTATTTTTAACTTTGTATATTTTAAAACCCATGGTAATGTAAAAGAATAATACAGAGACATCAGTGACTAAAGATGGATATCAGGACTGGTTTAAAAAAATTCCTGTGGTTCCTTAGATCTTTTTTTAACCTCTTCCCCTTGCCCTCTCAAAAGGGCTTCACTATAGATTGAACATTTTCAGACTAAAATTGGGTAAACGTTATGTGCATGGAGGTGGAAAACACACATTATTTCAAAAGAATGGAAGATGATAGAAGGTTATCTTTGAACCTCAAAGTTTTTCTTCCTGGCAAATGAACTATAAAATGTTTTTCTCAATATGAGCCCAATTTAGCACAGTCCTAAATTTCAGTGACTCTTGGATTTTTGAGGTCAAAAAGAATGGACAAGTGGGTTTCCTGTGATTGTCTCCTATAGAAATTCCATGCCTGTGATCAAAAGAAACTTTGTTTACTTTTAATCTGGACAATGTGTCAAGAGAAATATGAGTGAAAATCAATTACAGAAACATACTAAGTTACTTTTTATTTTGTTTCTGGTCTATTATTCAGTTTTTCATCAAAGTTAGAATTGAAGCAAGCTAATCTATTTCTCATCAGGAAAACTTATACTGTGTTTGGAAGAAGTGAAAATCAATAGCAATAGACAGTTTTGAAAAAGAGTGCTCCTATTGGTTTGGAATTCTCTTTTAGTAGGTTTTTTTTCAGTGGGCATGAACCTAGTGGACTTTTCACAGTAGCTGAGTAAGGTGCTGCCTAGAGTGACATAGATGGGAAACTTCTGAGTGGATCTTATATAGTACTCTACATAGACATTGAAAATGTCACCAGTAGAAACCCATTTCTTTGAATTAAGCTATATTTGTCTGTTTAAATGTAATATAACCACAATTTTTTATAATCCACTTTTATCCAATTACTTAAAATAACCCTCGTTAGTGGGCTCATAGAGGATGCCCATCCCTTGCTGTTTTTTCTTATTCTCTATTATTAGCATCTTTAGACCTTACCTCTTTCCTCAATCTTTTTTTGTTTGTTTGTTTTTGTTTTTTTTTGAGACGGAGTCTTGCTCTGTTGCTCAGGCTGGAGTGCAGTGGTGCGATCTCGGCTCACTGCAAGCTCTGCCTCCCGGGTTCATGCCATTCTCCTGCCTCAGCCTCCCGAGTAGCTGGGATTACAGTTGCCCGCCACCACGCCCGGCTAATTTTTTTTTTTTTGTATTTTTGGTAGAGATGGGGTTTCACCGTGTTAGCCAGGATGGTCTCAATCTCCTGACCTCGTGATCTGCCCGCCTCAGCCTCCCAAAGTGCTGGGATTACAGGCGTGGGCCACTGCGCCCGGCCTCTTTCCTCGATCTTAAGTGCCCTTTTTCTTACTTCAGTACTTCTTTTGCCAATATCCTCCTAACCTTTGTATAATTGTAATTCCATTGCATCAGCTTGGTAAAGCACCAACCCTGGATAAATCTTTGGATTAATTAGTTTTTCTGTATAGCTCATAGATATCTAAACACTCCTTAGAAGTGTGAGAGATGTTTGTCTCTATAAATCATTGTCTCCAAGTTTGTTTGATGCTTAAATATACCCAGAAGTTTTTCTAGATATTTGTTGCCAGATTTCATTATTTATTTCACTTTTTTTTTTTTTAAATCAGAGTCTCTGTCACCCAGGCCAGAGTGCAGTGACATGATCTCAGCTTATTCCAACCTCAACCTCCCGGGTTAAAACAATTCTTGTGTCTCAGCCTCCTGAGTAGTTGGGATTACACTGTCTTAATATTCCTCTACTTCTTTCAAATCTGGGACCACTTTCCTCTTGCTTTCTCACAGCCTCAGATTGTCCCTACCTTTAAACAGAAAATAATAATCCCCAACTTCCTGCCTCCCCATTTACTAACTTCTCTGCATGCAGTATTTCTTCTTGACCACAGATTATCAAGGAAAATGTGTCCACTGAAGGAGAACTCTTCCACTTTTTTTCTGAACTCCATTTCATCCCACGTTCTCAGTAATCTCACTCTCTCTGCCTGTATATTAAATATCTTCTCCTTAACAGCACCTTTATATCAGATCAGTATTCTGGTATACGCAGTTCTCCACTGTCTTAAAATATTTTTTTCTGTTCTAAGTCTCCTTACAGTTAAAACTCTCTTTCTCACATTGAAGAGTGTTTTAGAGTTGTCTGTACTCACTGTCTTTATTCCTCTCTCTGTCACTCCCTCTTTGCCTTCATTCCTTTCTAATTTTATTAGCCAGCTTTTTTTGAAATAGCAAATAAGCCCTTTAATTTTAACATCTTATGCCAACAAACCTTTACTTCTTGCTCATGTTCCATGTCAAGCACCAATGCTTTGCTGCTTTGGTGCTTCTCTCCCTGTGTCTCTTCATTCTGGGACCCAGTCCCTTTGGGGAAATGCTGTTTTTGTGGCAGAAGGAAAAAAGTGAGATGAGAGCTGGTGAAAATATTCCATGCCCTTTAAGCTTTTACTTGAAGCTGGTTAAGCTCTATGTCACAAACTTTTGTGATATTCAGACACAACCACCTTTTGTGTAATTGGTATACATTATACGAAACCATTTCTGGGATATAAACCAATTTAGTAATTAGAGCAAAAATTTAGGCCTATAGTTTGTGCCCCCAGTACTGAACACCAGATCCCAAAAGATAGAAGTGTCTATGTGTTGCTTTAACACATTTATTTTCTATGTCTGTTTCTGATATATGGAGTCCCTTAAAGAGCAGCTCCCAGAATGGGGCCCTTTTGCCTGAGCCTGAAGGCGGCTTTTACTTGGACCTTCCATATTAACATTTAACATAACTGAAGATAATTTTTTTTTGTCCCATATATGCTCCTTCTCCAGGGAGCATGAGTGCAGAGATCATATTCTTCTCTTTGGCACAAATCCTGATACTCCAATTTATTATCATATTATTACTGAGCCTCTGTCTGAACTAGAAATGTGATGATATGCCCCTCTTTAAAGCTCAGAATATCCCCACTCTCACAAGATTAAATCACAAAATTCTGGCTAACCACAGTTTATGCTTCTTTCTCCTTTCATTTTCTTACATGCACCATTTTGGCAGTTTGAACTAGTAAAATTTGTACTCTTACATCTGCTCTTTGTTCCAACATGTGTCTATCAGTAAATTATTTATTCATTGATCTCCTGTTCATTTTCTAAATCTCAACTAAGAAGCTACCTTCCTATTGGACCGTATCACCATATACAGACTTTTGCATGCTTTTCTAATTCTCACAAAACATTTAATTCACTATCTTATATAATTATTGGTACAAAGTCACAGTGACACATATATGTGTCATGTATAAACATATATAAAACCATACACATATGCCTAACAGTATATACATATATATGCATACGTATGCAAGTACAACATGTAGAATGTAATATAAAATAGGAGGTCAATACATGTTTACTAAATAAAGTGCTCTTGTCAAGCACATTTTTCTTAGGCATTAAGAGACAAACTATTACTTTGAAAATTTCTGAAATAATCATGGTCCCAAAATAAGAAATTCTGCTTTTTATTTTATATATGGTTCTTTTCAAAGTAATTAGTTTCAAGTGGGGAACAGTATACAAATCACACATATGCCTAAAATTTTCAGATCCTTCTTCAACTATTTAAAGTTATTAAAGATACATGCCTTAACGATGTCTGACTGCCATTCATTTCCATGTAAATTACATGAAGTGTTGAATTCACATGTAGAATTTAGTAGAATAGATGAGTCTGAGCAAATAATTCATATAATTTATATGTCAACTTTCCTTCATTTATATTACTTTGGGTTCCCAACAGTTTTATTTGAAATATTGTATTTGTCTCATAAATTGTTTCCTTACCCTGTTTCTTCTCTTTCCCAAATGCATTCTTCAGAAAGACTTTTTAAAAATATAAATCTAGTCCTTTTACTCTTCAGGTAAAACTATCAATAACTTTCTTTTTCCTATACTATTTGTAGTAGACACCTCTCTGTCCTTCATTTTTTATCCCCATTCAGTCAAATTGTATAGGTTTTTGCATATCGTTTATCATATTCAACCTTTCCTTTCTATCCCTACAGCTACTGATAATTAAACCATCTATCATATTGTCCCTGAGCTATAATAGCTTCAAAATTAGTCTCTAATTTTTGGGATTTGTCTTTCTACAATGCATTCTCTACCCTGCTGTCAGATTGATTTTTTGTAAGTTAAAATCAGATTAAATTAGACACAAGCTAAACTCCATAATTTTAGCACACTTTTTGATTTGCTTTTATCTTCTCTTTTTTTGTGTGCTAATAACTGTAGTACTTCCATTTGGAAAACCTTTAGCATATTTTTTATCGATGTACTCATTGATAAACACTTAGGTTGATTCCACATCTTTGCTCTTGTGAATAGTGCTACAATAAACATGCAAATTCAGGTATTTCTTTGATACACCAATTTCTTTTTCTTTGGATAAATACATAGTAGTAGGATCGCTGGATCATATAATAATTCTATTTTTAGTTTTTCGAGATAATTTTGTTTTTCATAGCAGTTGTATTACTTTACATTGCTGCCCATAGTGCATAAGAGTTCCCTTTTTTTGTCTCTGCACCAGCATCCATTGTTTTTGCCTTTTTAATTATAGCCATTCTAATTGGGGTAAGCTGATATCCTATTGTGGTTGTGATTTGCATTTCCCTGATGATTAGTGATGTTGAGCATTATACACCTGTTAGACATTTGGATGTGTTTTTTGAGAAGTGTCTATTCATGTCCTTTGCCTTCTTTTTAATGGAATTATTTGTGTTTTTCCCTTCCTTCCTTCCTTCCTTCCTTCCTTCCTTCCTTCCTTCCTTCCTTCCTCCCTTCCTTCCTCCCTTCCTTCCTCTTTCTTTCTTCTTTTTCTTTCTTTCCTTTTCTTCTTTTCTCTCTCTCCTTCCTTCCCTCCCTCCGTCTCTCTCTCTCCCTCCCTCCCTCCCTTCTTTCCTTCCTTCCTTCCTTCCTTCCTTCCTTCCTTCCTTCCTTCCTTCTTCTTTCTACTATTATTTAAGTTACTTGTATATTTTGGATATTAGTCTCTTATTGGATGCATATTTTACAAATATTTTCTGCTATTCAAGAGGATGTCTCTTCACTCTGTTGTTTCCTCTACTATGCAAAAAGTTCTTAGTTTAGTATAGTCCCACTTGTTTATTTTTGTTTTTGTTACCTGTTCTTTTGAGATCTTAGTCATAAAAATCTTTTTCTAGAACAATGATCTGAAGTGTTTTCCCAGTTTACTTCTAGAACTTTATAGTTTCCAGTCTTGTATTTAAGTTTTTAATCCATGTTGAGTAATTCATTTTATTTCCTTGTTGAAGGACCTCAAACTGATAGGAAATGAAAATTAGAAAATAACTATCAAAATTACATATTTAAGCCTAACTATATAAATAGTTAAAAGAGATTTTCAGACTAGGTTTTAAAAAATGCAAAACCAAGACCCTACTGTATAATATCTAGAAGAAACTCATGTGAAATGCAAATATGAAGATAGCATAAAATTGAGAAATAGGGTTTGGGGTATTCCTACTTAGTCAGCTTCCCGGGGATAACTTTTCCCCTTTGGTCCAATTTGTGTCAAAAATGAGTCTTAGACACCACTGATGTTTTAGCACTTTATTGTGGGACCCCTGTTACATGGTAGGTAACAGAAGCAGGCCAGTGGAATTGGCCAGATACAGTCAGGGATTGGGGGGCCATATGTAGTAAGGAGATTAGTTAACTGCTTACCAGGATAGTGTCTGTCTGGAGACCATTCTTAGAGGTTTGAGAATCCTTTCCCTTTTCTTATACCGGTATTTAATCCCGGTCACTTACCAGGTGTTTCTTTCATAAAGGAAATTTAAGCTATTGTTGGCCTACAGACAAGTGGCATTATCTTCTGCATTTAGAATTTTCATGCAAATAAATACCAAATTCTGAATATTCATTGGAATTTTATATCAAAACTGTGTGATCATTTACAGAGTAAAAACAGATTTAGAAAAATTCCAGAAGTATTTATTTGAAAGGAGGATTATAGCTCTGAAGAGTTTTCCAGAGTTCATCAGAACAATACTCCCAAGATTTTTACTTTTCTCAATTCATTTACATTCACATACTTTATTATTCAAAAAAGTACATTTTAGAGGCACCGAAGAATATTTTCTAAACTGAGATTTTCTACATATTTATTTTCCATTGTGATTAAGGATTATTATGATCAACATAACTTTTTTTCCTTGGGATTACCTTTTTGATTCAAAATGACTGTGTTCAATCTTCTTATTTTTCATAGAAATTTGTAAATTATTAAATGTACTTTATTAATTAAAGGTTCTCAATACTAAATATGTGGAAGAAGATAATGTGATGGAATGTTGACAAGTAGGGGAATAGAAAAACTGAATAATTAAGAAGCAGTTTTATAGTAAACATCAGAAATCACTTGATGTTCAATAGATTTAGTAGTAACTGAATGTTTAGTACAAATTTAGGTTTGAAAAACAATGCGATGATTAATTTTGATGGCAAATATAATCTAAATTCCTGTATTTGTTTCAAATGAGAGGAAACACTTTAGTAATTCTAAAATTTACCCATGAATATAGATATAAGTATGTAATGAAGCCATTTATATATATCTATACCTATGAGAAAACACTGAACTCTTATTCACCTACCTTTGATCAGACCTACTAATTAAATGAAATACGCAGTTGAGAGCATTCCTCAGATTTTAAGCAGGAAGTGTGAATTGTGGTACGAAGAACACTTTTTGAGTTACTGTTTTAACCTTCACTCTGCTTGGCAAGTTTGCCAAAACATCTGATAAAGACTAATTTACAAATGTTCAGGAACAATTAAAACAATATTATTTCAAGCACTAGAAAGAAAAATGCTTATTTTATTCCTTAATAAATATAACACCTAATTCCACAATAATTTTTATTTACATTCTAGTAAAAGCAATTATGCTTTTATTCAAAGTAGTATTTAGAATATGGTCAAACATATTTTAAAAAAGTATGAATAGGAAGAAAGAAAACAAGAAGGAAAGGTAAAGAAGAGGAAAAAAGCTGCACTGTAAACTTTTGAGTGAGGAAAGGTTTCATATGTATTGAGTATATTTAATTTTCAGTTTTATAACACCTGGGAAGGATGGAAATATAACACTTATTGTCACAGTGGCATACATACCAACAAATTCAGTGAATAAATAATTTTATTTTTTAATTATATGTATTTAGACAAAATAATTTTCTAAGATTTAAGGAAACAAAAACATCTGTTGTCTTTGGATGAGTAATTTACATAGGTTTCTTGTCCAGGATAATGTGCAACTTAAATGTCAAGGTAGTTTAAGAACTTTTAGTTCATTTACAGAGTAATAATGAGGTCGAAGTTTACCTATTTATTAATTTTTATTTAATTTTCACATTATTTTCTAACTTTTGTTTTAGGTTAAGGGAGTACATGGAAGGATTTGTCATACAGGTAAATTGTGTGCTGTGGGGGTTTGGTGTACAGATTATTTCAGCACCCAGGTAATAAGCATAATACTCTATAGGTAGTTTTTAGATCCTCACCCGCCTCTCACTCTCCACTCTCAAGTAAGCCTCAATGTCTATTGCTCCCTTTTTTGTGTTCATGTGTACTCAATGTTTAGCTCCCATGTATAAGTGAGAACATGTAGTATTTGCTTTTCTGTTACTTCATTAATTCACTTAGGATAATGGCCTCCAGCTCCATCCATGTTGCTGCAAAGGACATTATCTTATTCTTTTTTAAGGCTGCATAGTATTCCATAGTGTATATGTACCACATTTTCTTTAACCAGTTCACTGTTGATAGGCATTTAGGTTGACTCCAAGTCTGTGCTATTATGATTAGTGTTGTGATGAACATATACACATGTGTCTTTGTGGTAGAATGATTTACATTCCTTTGGGTATATACCCAATAATGGGATTCCTAGATCAAATGGTAATTCTGTTTTAAGTTCTTAGAGGAATCTCCAAACTGCTTCCCACACTGGCTGAACTAATTTATACTCCCACCAGTGGTGTATAAGCATTCCCTTTTCTCCACAACTTGCCAACATCTGTTCTTTTCTGAGCTTTTTAATAATAGTCATTCTGACTAGTGTTGAGGTGGTATCTCATTGTGGTTCTGATTTGCATTTCTCTAATTATTAATGATGTTGAGCATTTTTTCATATGCCTCTTTGTCATGCCTATGTCTTCTTTTGAGAAGTGTCTGTTCATATCCTCTTACTGAATTGACCACTTTATCATTATATAGTGATCTTCTTTGTCTCTTCCTATAGTTTTTGTCTAGAAATCTTTTTTCTTTTTTCTTTTTTTCTTTTTGAGATGGAGTCTCACTTTGTTGCCCAGGCTGGAGTGCAGTGGCGCGATCTCGGCTCACTGCAAGCTCCGCCTCCTGGGTTCACGCCATTCTCCTGTCTCACCCTCCCAAGTAGCTGGGACTACAGGCACCTGCCACCACGCCTGGCTAATTTTTTGTATTTTTTAGTAGAGACAGGGTTTCACCGTGTTAGCCAGGATGGTCTCAATCTCCTGACCTTGTGATCTGCCTGCCTTGGCCTCCCAAAGTGCTGGGATTACAGGCGTGAGCCACCACACCTGGCCGAAATCTTTTTTCTTATATAAGTATAGCAACTCCTGCTCTTTTTTGGTTTCTGTTGGCATGGAATATGTTTTTCCATCCCTTTATTTTCAGCCTATGTGTATCTTCATAAGTGAAGAGTGTTTCTTGTATGCAGTAAATCAAAGAGTGTTGTTTTTTCATCCATTCAGCCACTCTGTCTTTTGATTGGAGAATTTAGTCCATTTACATTCAATATTATTATTGATAAGTAATAACTTACTCCTGCTGTGTTGTTATTTGTTTTCTGGCTGTTTTATGGTCTTCTCTTCCTTCTTTCCTCCTGCCTTCCTTTAGTGAAGGAGATTTTTTTCTGGTGATATTATTTATTTTCTGGCTTTTTATTTTTTGTGTATTCATCGTATATTTTTTGGTTTGGTGTTACCATGAGGCTTGTAAATACCATCTTAAAACTAATTATTTAAACTTGATAACAGCTTATCACTCTTTGCATAAATAAACAAGCAAGCAAAAAGAAAACTAATATAAAATCTGCACCTTAACTTCATCCCCCGTGGCTTTTTAACCTTTTATTGTTTCTATTTATATCTTATTGAACTCTCTATGTCTTGAAAAGTTGTAGTTATTATTTTTGATTGGTTCATCATTTAGTCTTTCTACTTAGGATGACAGTAGTTTTCTTTTTTTTAAATTCTACTTTAAGTTCTAGGGTACATGTGCACAATGTGCAGGTTTGTTACATATGCATACATGCGGATAACGTAGTTTTCATACCACAATTACAGTGTTATGCTATTCTGTTTTTTTTTTCTTTTTTTTTTTTTTGAGATGGAGTCTTGCTCTGTGGCCCAGGCTGAAGTGCAGTGGTGTGATCTCGGCTCACTGCAACCTCTGCCTCCCGGGTTCGAGTGATTCTTCTGCCTCAGCCTCCCGAGTAGCTGGTATTACAGGCATGCCACCACACCTGGCTAATTTTTGTATTTTTAGTAGAGATGAGGTTTCCCCATGTTGGCCGGGCTGGTCTCAAACTCCTGACCTCAGGTGATACGTCCACCTTGGTCTCCCAAAGTGCTGGGATTACAGGTGTGAGCCACCATGCCCAGCCACTAATCTCTTTTTAAAACACCCCTCACATTCACACACCTGGAAATAATGTTTTACCAGCTACCTGAGCTTTCTTAATCCCAGTAAAATTTATACAAAAATTTACCATTACGCCATCCATACTTCAAGTCAAATGTAATTTATCAATCAATGGCCATTTTTACCATAAGAAACCTTGCCTGGTAATACAGCTGACAGTATACTTTATCAAGTTTCCAGGGAAACAGAAATAGAAAGTTAACCCAAGTCTAAATATGTCCTTAACGAAAAAGATGAGATTTGGTTGTCCTTTACTCTCACTTTATTTTCTTTATTAATCTTTTTGCCTTAAAGGATATATTTTCAGATATTAGTGTAGTTATGCCAGATTTCTTTTAGTTGAAACTTTCCTGGTATATTATTTTCTAATGTTTTTATTTTCAAACTTTCTGTATCCTTATAATTTTTGATATGTCTCTTGTTAAGAGCATACAGCTATGTTTAGCTACTTAGTTTGGCAATATTTTTATTTAACTAAATATTTTTTGCTTCCTTTTCAGTTAATTATTTATTTCTTATAATTCCATGTTCTCTTTTGCCAATGCTTCTTGCCTCCATTATTGTTGTTTAAAAGTCAGCTGTCAATCTAATTATCTCTTCCTTTACAGTTTTATATCTTCTTTTCTCAACCTTTATTTAATATTTTCAATTTGATGTAGCTTTTTGTGGTGTATTTGTGTGTGTATATATATGTCTGTACACACAAAAAGATATCTGTACACACACACACACAGAAATACACAGATACCCTTACCCCCACATGCAGATTTTTTAAAAAAATTTATATTCTTGGTGATAAGTTTGGATTTCCAAATTTGAAGACTTGTCCTTAAGCTGTTTTTATAAATTGTCATCCATTTTTTAAAAATAATACTTCCTCTGCTCAATCCTCTCCTTTCTTTTAATACTTTGATTAAACTTATACTAGTTTCATTCACTTGTCTTTCTCTTATTTTTTTCTTTTAACCTCTATTTTTGTATTCTATATAATTCTAGATAATTTATTCAGGTATATTTTAAAGATTCTGAATTTTCTAACTGTGACTAATCTATTCAAAGTTTGACTCTAATATTCTGTCTTAATTATTTATATATATTTGAAGACATAAATATATGTATATTATAAATATAATTGAAGATATATATCAATAGATATAAAAATAATTGAAATTAAGACAAAATATCAGGTTTATATATATCAGGTTATATCTATCTATCTGTAATTTCGAAGCACTCTTTTTTATTCTTTCTTAAATACTCTTGTACTGAACTAATATTTTACCACAACTTTTATTTTTTGACACATACTTGATATATTTATTTAATACATTTTAATCTTATAGTTTCAGGAGTTAATTTTTGCTGAATATTATTGTATTGTTTTTTGTTTTCAATTTCATATCATGGGGACTTCTTTATTAGGTCCTTATTTTACCAGGAACTTAACCTCAGCAATTCTTTGATATCTGTGATGAACAGGGATTTCCTCAGAAAAGACTGCTTTCTCTTCTGATGAATACCTTAAATATTAGACATCCCAGAGTACTTTAAACTCAGTTCTCATTTTATAAACTTTTACAGCAATAAACTCATGTGGGGATTAATTGTGACTGTAAATTTTTAGAGGATGTATTTTTCTCTCTTCACTTACAGCTGGAGCTTAAGATAGATGGTTATTCTTTCAATTTCCTGGGAGAAGAGCTACTTCTACTTTATTTCCAGGATCACATGAAGTTTTAGGCAAAGATCTCCTAGTAGACTCTCCACTTAAATAGGACATAGGTTTTCTCTTCTATCTCCTGTGTTATGTAGAGAATGGCATACAAATTTGTATTTCTGGCAAAACCATCAATGTAAAAGCTGAAATTCATCTTTGGTTTATTTCTCTGTATACCCATAATTGCTTGGTTTCTGGACTGAGTATTTTTTTAATTTCTTAAATGAATTCTAGATAATCTTATAAAATGATGTTCTTTTCTGGAAATTTTAATTATTTTCAGAAGGTGGGTAATCTCAGCATCTTAGTCTATCAGGTTGCTTCAAATTTACACCACAAACTATTTTTGAATGTAAATTCAAGTTTTCCTTCACTTAAACTTTATTTTCGCAAAGTAAAAATTATTTTATTTTAATCAAAGTTAAGAAAACATACGATGTAATACATATGTTAATTAGCTTTATTTAGCTATTCCACAGTGTGTATATATGTATTAAAACTTCATGTTGTACACAATACATATAGACAATTCACCATTAAACCATCCATACTTCAAGTCAAATGTAACTTATCAATCAGTGGCCATTTTTACCATAAGAAACCTTCCCTGGTAATACAGCTGACATTATAATTTATCAAGTTTCCAAGGAAACAGAAATAGAAAGTTAACCCAAGGCTAAATATGTCCTTAAAGAAAAAGACAAGATTTGGTTGTCCTTTACTGTCACAATTTTTAGGTGTGAATTGAAAATAAAATAAATTTTTTGAAAGTTAAGGAAACAAATTAGGGTACACAGAGTTTGTTGGCTTTTTTCCCCCTCTGTGATTCTGCTTCCTTAAGAATCTCTTCTTTCTTTTTATTATTATTACACTTTAAGTTCTAGGGTACATGTGCACAATGTGCAGGTTTGTTACATATGTATACATGTGCCATGTTGGTATGCTGCACCCGTTAACTCATCATTTACATTAGGTATATCTCCTAATGCTATCCCTCCCCACTCCCCCGACCACACAACAGGCCCTGGTGTGTGATGTTCCCCTTCCTGTGTCCATGTGTTCTCATTGTTCAATTCCCACCTATGAGTGAGAACGTGCGGTGTTTGGTTTTTTTGTCCTTGTGATAGTTTGCTGAGAATGATGGTTTCCAGCTTCATCCATGTCCCTACAAAGGACATGAACTCATCATTTTTTATGGCTGCATAGTATTCCATGGTGTATATGTGCCACATTTTCTTAATCCAGTCTATCATTGTTGGACATTTGGTTGGTTCCAAGTCTTTGCTATTGTGAATAGTGCCGCAGTAAACATACGTGTGCATGTGTCTTTATAGCAGCATGATTTATAATCCTTTGGGTATATACCCAGTAATGGGATGGCTGAGTTGAATGGTATTTCTAGTTCTAGATCCCTGAGGAATCGCCACACCAACTTCCACAATGGTTGAACTAGTTTACAGTCCCACCAACAGTGTAAAAGTCTTCCTATTTCTCCACATCCTCTCCAGCACTAGTTGTTTCCTGACTTTTTAATGATCGCCATTCTAACTGGTGTGAGATGGTATCTCATTGTGGTTTTGATTTGCATTTCTCTGATGGCCAGTGATGATGAGCATTTTTTCATGTGTTTTTTGGCTGCATAAATGTCTTCTTTTGAGAAGTGTCTGTTCATATCCTTTGCCCACTTTTTGATGGGGTTCTTTGTTTTTTTCTAAAGCTGAAACTGGATCCCTTCCTTACACCTTATACAAAAATTAATTCAAGATGGATTAAAGACTTACATGTTAGACCTAAAACCATAAAAACCCTAGAAGAAAACCTAGGCAATACCTTTCAGGACATAGGCTTGGGCAAGGACTTCATGTCTAAAACACCAAAGGCAATGGCAACAAAAGCCAAAATTGACAAATGGGATCTAATTAAACTACAGAGCTTCTGCACAGCAAAAGAAACCATCATCAGAGTGAACAGGCAACCTACAGAATGGGAGAAAATTTTTGCAACCTACTCATCTGACAAAGGACTAATATCCAGAATCTACAATGAACTCAAACAAATTTATGAGAATCTCTTCTTTCACAAGCTAGAGATATTTTCTTTTTCTCTCTTTCTTTTTTTCCCATGCTTTGTTTTATTTTGTTTCTTACTTCTCCTCTTTCTAATTCTTTCCCCTTTCCCATCCTTCTACTGTTTAGTCCTAAACTCTCTCCTTATCATTTTTCTCCTTTCCCATTATTCACTATTCAGGCTTTTTCTGGTATTCACATTTATACTTTTAATCTCATTTCTCAAGAGAGGTATTATTCCTTAATTTTTGTTTCAAAGGTTTTGCATGATCTTCCACTTTCCTATTTTTTGATTCTCAATTTTTCAGCCCAAGCTGGTCTTTGCTTAAAAATAGTATAGGTCATTTTGTGTGGAGACCCATTTTTATATACCTCTCTATTTATCTGAATTATTTTCTTAGAACTTAAGAAGGGAGTTTTGTAGTAAATATTTTCATTATACCATTTAATGTCAAGAGGTTCTGAGGAAGAAACTGAGATTCTGGGCAGTTCCAGATTTGGGTAGAACTCAATACTGACCTAGTTTTTCTCTATGTTAACTAATGCACTAGGAGCCATTGTTTAATAGCTAGAGTTTCATTCATTCATGTTTCTACTCCATGTACACAGTGTGGTTCTGTTCAATTTTTATCCATGGTACTCCTCTCTCTAGTTTTGAGAGCACTTGTTTTGTCACATCTCTTTTAAGTTGTCTATTAATTATTGGTGAAATAAACCGTTACGGCTACTACTTCCTGTGGGTTTTTGGTTTGGGTGACCACTTGGGTTTTCCTATCAGCATAACCTTCTCTTCCTCTTTTAGTTCTTAGTGCAGAAAATAGCTATGGGCATATTGAGACTATCTTTCTAATGTCTGTCAAATTTCTAGACTTCAATTCTTTTTACCATCCATAGTTGAGAAATTCTGCTCCCCACTTACTTATGCATCCCCATTTTCCTATTAAGAAATAGTATTAGAGCAAACCACTAGAACTCATTTTAAATTTTCATTTCTTTATCTGGTACATAAGAAAGTGTATTAAATAGGAATGACTTTATTTTCCTTGGTTTGCTAGAGTTTCTAGATTTCACTTTCTTAAATAAGGGGGTACAGTAGGAATGACCAGAAATTCCTCTAACTGGGTTCCCATTGAATCCTTGGATAGTCTTTTATTTAGAATTATGTATTTGGTACCTGGAAGGATTCCTTAAATATTTGTGACATGGAGTAAGAACATTCTCTACATTCATCTTTTGGCTTCTGTATTCCTTTTTCACCAATCTTTCTCTTCTCTTCTCACTTAGGGTTGGTTTCAAGGAGGGACTCTGTTAGAAGTTACCTTTACCAGAATTCTTGTCAATATAATTTTCTTTTTTTTTATTATACTTTAAGTTCTAGGGTACATGTGCACAACGTACAGGTTTGTCACCTATGTATACATGTGCCATGTTGGTGTACGGCACCCATTAACTCATCATTTACATTAGGTATATCTCCTAATGCTATCCCTCCCCCATACCCCCACCCTACAACAGGCCCCGGTGTGTGATGGTCCCCTTCCTGTGTCCGAGTGTTCTCATTGTTCAATTCCCACTTATGAGTGAGAACATGCGGTGTTTGGTTTTTTGTCCTTGTAATAGTTTGCTGAGAATGATGGTTTCCAGCTTCATCCATGTCCCTACAAAGGACATGAACTCATCCTTTTTTATGGCTGCATAGTATTCCATTGTGTATATGTGCCACATTTTCTTAATCTAGTCAATCATTGATGGACATTTGGGTTGGTTCCAAGTCTTTGCTATTGTGAATAGTGCTGCAATAAACATACGTGTGCATGTGTCTTTATAGCAGCATAGCAGCAATATTTATAATCCTTTGGGTATATACCCAGTAATGGGATGGCTGGGTCAAATGGTATTTCTAGTTCTAGATCCTTGAGGAATCACCACACTGTCTTCCACAATGGTTGAACTAGTTTACAGTCCCACCAACAGTGTAAAAGTGTTCCTATTTCTCCACATCCTCTCCAGCACCTGTTGTTTCCTGACTTTTTAATGATTGCCGTTCTAACTGGTGTGAGATGGTATCTCATTATGGTTTTGATTTGCATTACTCTGATGGCCAGTGATGATGAGCACTTTTTCATGTATCTGTTGGCTGCATAAATGTCTTCTTTTGAGAAGCGTCTGCTCATATCCTTCGCCCACTTTTTGATGGGATTGTTTGTTTTTTTCTTGTAAATTTGTTTAAGTTCTTTGTAGATTTTGGATATTAGCCCTTTGTCAGATGAGTAGATTGCACAAATTTTTTCCCATTCTGTAGGTTGCCTGTTCACTCTGATGATAGTTTCTTTTGCTGTGCAGAAGCTCTTGAGTTTAGTTAGATCCCATTTGTCAATTTTGGCTTTTGTTGCCATTGCTTTTGGTGTTTTAGACATGAAGTCCTTGCCCATGTCTGTGTCCTGAATGTTATTGCCTAGGTTTTCTTCTAGGGTTTTTATGGTTTTAGGTCTAACATGTAAGTCTTTAATCCAACTTGAGTTAATTTTTGTATAAGGTGTAAGGAAGGGATCCAGTTTCAGCTTTCTACATATGGCTAGCCAGTTTTCCCAGCACCATTTATTAAATAGGGAATCCTTTCCCCATTGCTTGTTTTTGTCAGGTTTGTCAAAGATCAGATGGTTGTAGATATGTGGTATTATTTCTGAGGGCTCTGTTTTGTTCCATTGGTCTATATCTCTATTTTGGTACCAGTACCATGTTGTTTTGGTTACTGTAGCCTTGTGGTATAGTTTGAAGTCAGGTAGTGTGAAGCCTCCAGCTTTGTTCTTTTGGCTTAGGATTGTCTTCACAGTGCAGGCTGTTTTATGGTTCCATATGAACTTCAAAGTAGCTTTTTCCAATTCCATAAAGAAAGTCATTGGTAGCTTGATGGGGATGGCATTGAATCTATAAATTACCTTGGGCAGTATGGCCATTTTCACGATATTGATTCTTCCTACCCATGAGCATGGAATGTTCTTACATTTGTTTGTGTCCTCTTTTATTTCATTGAGCAGTGGTTTGTAGTCTCCTTGAAGAGCTCCTTCACATCCCTTGTAAGTTGGATTCCTAGGTATTTTATTCTCTTTGAAGCAATTGTGAATGGGAGTTCACTCATGATTTGGCTCTCTGTTTGTCTGTTATTGATGTATAAGAATGCTTGTGATTTTTGCACATTGATTTTGTATCCCGAGACTTTGCTGAAGTTGCTTATCAGCTTAAGGAGATTTTGGGCTGAGACGATGGAGTTTTCTAATTATACAATCATGTCATCTGCAAACAGGGACAATTTGACTTCCTCTTTTCCTAATTGAATACCCTTTATTTCTTTCTCCTGCCTGTTTGCCCTTGCCAGAACTTCCAACACTATGTTGAATAGGAGTGGTGAGAGAGGGCATCCCTATCTTGTGCCAGTTTTCAAAGGGAATGCTTCCAGTTTTTGCCCATTCAGTATGATATTGGCTGTGGGTTTGTCATAAATAGCGCTCATTATTTTGAGATACATCCCATCAATACCTAATTGATTGAGAGTTTTTAGCATGAAGGGCTGTTGAATTTTCTCAAAGGCCTTTTCTGCATCTGTTGAGATAATCATGTGGTTTTTGTCTTTGGTTCTGTTTATATGCTGGATTACGTTTATTGATTTGTGTATGTTGAACCAGCCTTGCATCCCAGGGATGAAGCCCACTTGATCATGATGGATAAGCTTTTTGATGTGCTGCTGGATTCAGTTTGCCAGTATTTTATTGAGGATGTTTGCATCGATGTTCATCAGGGATATTGGTCAAAAATTCTCTTTTTTGGTTTTGTCTCTGCCAGGCTTTGGTATCAGGATGATGCTGGCCTCATAAAATGAGTTAGGGAGGATTCCCTCTTTTTCTATTGATTGGAATAGTTTCAGAAGGAATGGTACCAGCTCCTCCTTGTACCTCTGGTAGAATTCGGCTGTGAATCCATCTGGTCCTGGACTTTTTTTAGTTGCTAGGCTATTAATTGTTGCTTCAATTTCAGAGCCTGTTATTTGTCTCTTCAGGGATTCAACTTCTTCCTGGTTTAGTCTTGGGAGGGTGTTTGTGTCCAGGAATTTATCCATTTCTTCTAGATTTTCTAGTTTATTTGCATAGAGGTGTTTATAGTAGTCTCTGATGGTAGTTTGTATTTCTGTGGGATCGGTGGTTATATCCCCTTAATCCTTTTTTATTGTGTCTATTTGATTCTTTTGTGTTTTCTTCTTTATTAGTCTTGCTAGCGGTCTATCAATTTTGTTGATCTTTTCAAAAAACCAGCTCCTATAATTTTCAATATATTTTTTCGAAACATAATTTTTTGAAACAAGTAAACATTATTTTAAAAATACTTAATGGGAAAAACATTATTTTATTGCTAACTACTGAATTATAGAAACAAGAAAAACATGGAGGCCTTTCATAAATTCACCCTATTACGAAGACTTTAATTTAAAAATTTCTAACAAAAGCCATATAATCATCTAATGAAGCCACTCCTTATACATAGGTTGTAATCACTATGAAGGTATTCACTGAAATTGGTTCTCTGATGTGAAATTCAGTATAATTTAATTGATAGTTCTATTTTGTTTGTGGTAAGGACAGAAGATATTTTATTTATTTCCCAGTTGTTAATACTTGTTTCAGATTTTCCTGTGATAAACATTTTTCTGTTTTTAGTGTATCTTTTTCTTTACATCCAGAAAGGGCAACTCAATTCTGATTGCTATTTTCCAAATTTTTCTTTATACACAAGCATTATTTTATTCAGCAGTAATGTTACTTTCTAGAGTACAGTTGTGTGATTAGAACAATCTCTAACTCTCTTAGGCCATGTGCGATCTATTTAAAACATACTGTAGGAGAAAATAGGGCAATTAATTATTGTTCTATAGTGTCAATTGTGTATTTGTAAATATAGAGAAAATTCAAATCTCTATGAGAACATTGATTATTAACTGTAGGTCCTTATGTAAGGGAAATAAATTTTTATTGATTTACTTAATAAAATTTGTTCGGCTGCGTGTTGTGGTTCACGCCTATAATCCGAGCACTGTGGGAGGCAGAGGTGGGCACATCACGAGGTCAGGAGATCGAGACCATCCTGGCCAACATAAGGAAACCCCGACTCTACAAAAAAAAAAAAAAATTCAAAAATTATCTGGGCATGGTGGTGCGTGCCTGTAATCCTAGCTACTCGGGAATCTGCGGCAAGAGAATTAGTTGCTTGAACCAGGGAGTCAGAGGTTGCAATAAGCTGAGATCGCGCCACTGTGCTCCAGCCTGGCGACAGAGCAAGACTCTGTCTCAAAGAACAAACAAAGTTGGGAAGTGTAAGAATTATATTTTGCAAATCTCTAACATGATTCAATTTTGTATGGCCTTTCGTGTCATTATGATAAAATTGTAAGCTTAATGTATGTGTTTCTAGTCTCCACAGGATGGTTTTATTTATATATATATATGTATATATATATAAAATCTCTAAAATTATTCAATTGGGCTGCAAAGAGCACATAGTATTTTCTGAAATCACCATTGTGGGTGCATTTTATATAATATAAAGCTTAGTTTTATGGTTATAGGCTAAATTTTAAAAACTTTACATGTAGTAATAAGTCTAAATCAGTAGACCAAAATATTACTTGTAGTATTACTTAAATTATAATTTAAAACTAGAAATCCAAAAATATGTGAAACTAAATACATCAAATCTCTGGATTATTGAATTTGAGATTTTTTTTTAGCTAAATACATTTTCTACATCTTCTAATGATAAAAAGCTACACATGATATATAAAGTTTCTAAAATGTAGCCTACTAACATATAGCTAAGCTTTTAAATTACGTATTTTTAAACGGAACCAGATGTCAAGAATTGTGATGGGTCTGACACTTTGCCATGCAAATTAACCTGCTACAATTTTACTGATGCTAGTGGAAGACTCTATAACCAGAGGTAAAGAATGGTCCATTATCAAAACAATAACAGTATCAAGAATATCAACATTTTTATGCCAATTCTCTGAGCCCCAATTCCCACAAGGTGATATAAACAGAGTCAGTGACACCTGTACACACACTGTGGATTGCATCACAAAAGAGGACTCCTAAGCTTCAGGAACCCAAATATTTTATGAGAATCTGTATATATACCTGAGAGCTAGATATACCTAAGAGCTACAGTTAATTTCAAGCATAGTGCCATTCCTTACCAGTTTTTGAACGAAATCTTTTGAGTTGAGATTGTAAACTGTTAATATATTTTGGTTCTTTTGTCTAACTGCTGATATGCATATTAACATAAATATTTTTCAAATATGTCTTTAAGTTGCTCATAGAATATTTTTAACATTTTAAATAACATTTTGAGGGCATCTATAATATTATAATATTAAAACACAACTTTCATGTTTTTCTTTGTTAGTCTCAACAAATGTGAGATTTCAACTCGTGAAGGCTACAACAAACAATTAGATTCAGAGGCATGAGGGTCAAACTTGTTGGTTCCTAGTTTTCATTCTAATTTAATTGAGTATCAATAAAATATGGTATCTTTGACTAGATTTAAAAACTAAAAATTCAAATGAACTTTTAAATTAGTCTTCACTTTGATCTGGACCAGGATTTTCTTTGATATTGCATAATATTTTCTAAAAGTTCAAAAAAGTTATTTTGGAAGTTGTGTCCTAGTCAAGCTGTGCCAGGTATGTGTTAATTAGCACTTTAATTCTATTGCTCTAAAAATTCAGTCTTAAGCTCGGAAAATACATTTATTTTTCTGTAATAAAACAAATTATGTGGCATCTTGTGTTGCCTACTAGAAAGTAATTTGGTTCATATTATTTGGAAGAATTATATTCTTTTTAGTTTATTGCTTTGAATAATTTTTTACTAAAAATGTTATCTGACTTGCACATACATTGTTTAGATAAAATTTCTATCTAACAAATTATAACATGTAATTTTATTAACAGCATTTAGTTATGAAAAGTTTTTAGTGTTAAGAGTTTTGAACAATGTGTATGGTCCATGGGTGCAAAATTTTTTCATCATTTTAATAAAAATTCAAAGTTATGAAATAAATATTTTTTCATCTTAGCCTACAGGGAGATTTATTTTACTTACCTGACTTAGAGGTATTCAAAATGCTACATGGAGCAATATTAAAGGGTCCTTTTAAGTGCAAATGGAATTGAATCCCATTTTCCCTTAACTTTATGAAAAAAAAAAAGAATAACATTCAATCTTTCTGTTTCTATTCTCTTGCTTGTTATTGAACTGCTTCTTCTTTAGCCAATGACTAGAGCTTTCATGAGTTTGCAGGGAGAATAAGAAGGAAGGGTTATATATGAATTTTATAACAATGTGTTGTGTTTTCTTGCATGAAAAAGATGTGTAGATACTAAGTGACAAAACTGGAATTCAAACTTTATTG
Organism: Homo sapiens; assembly: GCF_000001405.40. Classification (NCBI taxonomy): domain Eukaryota; kingdom Metazoa; phylum Chordata; class Mammalia; order Primates; family Hominidae; genus Homo; species Homo sapiens. Next base: position 44,205,193 of record NC_000014.9, on the reverse strand, counting down.
TCTCAAAAATATAAAAGAGATGAATATTTGGAAAGGTAACTCATGATGGATGAATAAATATCTTACTTATATCTAGAAACATACACAGATGAACACCTTTCTAATAATACCTACGAACTTACTTTTGAATGTCAACTTGCATACTTGGGAGCTTGACCGACTCATCAAAGATAATAAAATACTTGGTCTATATCTATACTTATGAATTTCTTCAGATATATTGCTAACTTTCTACCCCACGTGTTGTCAATTTTGAGAATTAATTTATCTTTCCTTCATTCATTTTAATAAGGATTAAAAAGGATCTTATTTCAATGGAATAAAGAAACTGGGGAAAAATATAATACAACATTAACTTGGGCCAGAAAGAAAATAGTTTAAAAAAAGGCATTTCAGCTATCCCATCAGTTCAGAAGTTTTCCTGATATAAAATATTTTTTATAATTCCAATATGTGAAGGATGAATGGAAACATTTTGGCAGTGAGTTAAGCCTGGTATGTAAAAGGCTGTTCTTGGGTGCAGCATTCATCTGTTTTGTAAGAGAAAACTGAGTAATGTGACCAGCTAGAAGAAAATGTTTCCCAGCTTTCATTGCTGCTAGGTTTGTTCATATGTCCAACTTCTGCTCACTTATATAAAAGCATAAGCTAGGTAGGACTTCAGGGAAGGTTCCATAAGTGGAAGGAGCTCAAAGCTTTTTTTTTTTTTTTTTTTCCTCTCCTACTTTCTCCTATTGCTTGACTGAAGCACGAGTATAATCGCTGGAGATTTAAGAGTCATTTTTGACACTGAAGTGACTTTGAAGATAAAAGCTAGGCTCTTAAAGATAGAACTGTGGAAAAAGAGAAGTCTGAGTCCCTGAGGACTGTGTATAGCTGCAGATAAACTCCAAACTGCTTTTTACATAACAGAGAATTACCTCCTATCTTGTTTAAGCCACTGGCCCTTAAACTTGACTGCAGAATGAACATTCCTGAAGAGTTTTGAATATCTGAGATGCCAGGGTTCTATCCCTAGAGATTATGATTAAACTTATATAGAATGCATTGGGAATCTTCAAAGCTCCCCAAATAGCTCTAACACGAAGCAGTTTGATAACCACTGGTTTAAAAGTTACTTATTTTTTTTGGGTGAGGGAGTAGTTTTTTACAGCCGAAGACTTCGTTAACTTTTACATCTTATTTTACACAGTTGGATTTAAGTAAAATTTTTGTATTTATTATGGCCTGGTAATCTCAGATGGATCCTCAGATACAAAATGTATCATGTCAAATATGTTAAAGCTGAGCTGGTTTCTGTCTACTACAGTTAGGAAACTGTATAACTTTAGTATTCACTACTTAAAAATACAACCAAAGATAAATTTGTTTAAAAATTTATGGATATTCTATTAACGTGTCTGGCACAATATTTCCAGGGTGACAGTGAGTAGCAAATAAAATTGAAATATTTTTGCTCTATTATGTTGTAGGGAAGATTATTTCTCATAATAAGGAGTTTAAATTTACTGATTTGATTATTTTAATTAAATTTAATAAGAAATTTAAACAGAATTTAAAGTGTTTAAAAATATTAACATTTGTATAAATTTAAGGGGTGCAAGTACAGTTTTGTTATGTGAGTATTGCATAGTGATGAAGTCTGAGCTTCTAGTGTAACCATGACCTGAATAACGTTACATTGAACCCATTAAGTAATTTCTCGTTCCTCACACCTCTAGCACCCTTCCACCCTTACAAGTCTCCAGTGTCTATTATTCCACACTCTATGTCCGTGTGTATACCTTATTTAGTTCCCACTTCTAAGTGAAAATATGCAATATTTGACTTCCTGTGTCTCAGTTGTTTCACTTAAGATAAAAGCCTCAAGGTCCATCCAGGTTGCTGCAAAATATGTGATTTCATTCATTTTTATGGCTGAGTAGTATTCTATTGTATATACATTTTATATTTTCTTTCTGTGATTATCTATTGTTGGACACTTAGGTTGAGTCCACGTCTTTGCTATTGTGAATAGTGTTGCGATAAACATGTGAGTGCAGGTTATCTTTTGCACATAATTTTTTTCAGGGGGTAGATACCCAGTAGTGTCATAGCTGGATTGAATGGCAATTCTATTTTTTAATTCTTTGAGAAATCTTCATACTGTTTTCCACAAGGGACTAATATCCAGAATTAATGAGGAACTCAAACAACTCAGCAACAGCAAGGAACAAATAACCATTAAAAAGTGGGCAAAGAAAATGAACAGACATTTTTTAAAAGAAGACATGCAAACTACCAACAAGCATATGAAAAAATGCTCACCACCGCTAATTATCAGAGAAATGCAGATTAAAACTACTGTCTTATACCTTTCAGAATTGCTGTCATTAAAAATTCACAAAATAATGGACGTTGTCAAGGATAAGGACAAAAGGGAGCACTTACACACTGTTGGTGGGAAGGCAAATTAGTATTTTTGAAATCCTTAAGACTATAAGAGGCTAGATTGCATTACCTGGATAATATAGAGCCAAATTTAAAGTAGATTTTATAAAATTGAGACATTTTAGAATCCTGAGAACCCCAGAAAGAGGGATGCATCCAATCACTCACTAGTATTTTTTTATGGGCTTTTATCAGGTATTCAAGAGAAAGACTGGTGAAAAGGTAGGAGACATGGAAAAGCCCTTCTTAGAGGCACAGGTAAGCAAGACTTGTCAATGTTTGAGGTTTGACAAGAGTACTTGGAGAAGTCCATTCATGCTATGGGCCCTGTATGAATACAAGGTGGTGATAGGCTACCATTGAGGGACATGCACACACACACACACACACACACACACACACACACAAAGCTGAGGAAATTGTCTGCACACCTAAACTATAAGAAATATACAAGGAAGCTTTAAAAAAATTACACAAGATAAAAATCTAAATTTACTTAAAACATTAAGAATTCTGGAAATGATAAACTGGGTAAAAATAATATATGATTTTGTTTTTAGTTTTTTTCTCTGTAAAAGATAATTGTGCTGTGCCTGGTGGCTCACACCTATAATCCCAGTACTTTGGGAGGCCAACACGGGTGGATCACCTGAGGTCAGGAGTTCCAGACCAGCCTGGCCAGCATGGTGAAACCATGTCTCTACTAAAAATACAAAAATTAGCTAGGTATGGTGGCACATGCCTATAATCCCAGCTACTTGGGAGGCTGAGGCAGGAGAATCACTTGATCCCAGGAGGCAGAGGTTGCAGTGAGCAGAGATCATGCCACTGCACTCCAGCCTGGGGAACAGAGCAAGACTCTGTCTCAAAAAAAAAAAAAAAAAGGAATCTGTAGTTAAAAGCAAAAGTAATCATAAATTTGGGGATCTATAACATATTTTGATGTAAAATATAATAGGACAAGAATAAGAGAGGGAAATGAAAGTGAACTGTGGTAAGTTTTTCACATATGTGAAAAGTTATATGAAGGTTAATTATGATAGGTTAAAGGTGTATGATGGTTAATATTGTTAATCTGTGTATAAAATTCTGGAAAATTAAATATTCTTGTAATGTGATTCATTTCTTGTCTCTGGATAGTTGAGTACCTTAATTCTTGTAAGTATAACCAACCCAAATGTCCAACAGTGATAGACTGGATTAAGAAAATGTGGCACATATACACCATGGAATACTATGCAGCCATAAAAAATGATGAGTTCATGTCCTTTGTAGGGACATGGATGAAATTGGAAATCATCATTCTCAGTAAACTATCGCAAGAACACAAAACCAAACACCGCATATTCTCACTCATAGGTGGGAATTGAACAATGAGATCACATGGACACAGGAAGGGGAATATCACACTCTGGGGACTGTTGTGGGGTGGGGGGAGGGGGGAGGGATAGCATTGGGAGATATACCTAATGCTAGATGACGAGTTAGTGGGTGTAGTGCACCAGCATGGCACATGTATACATATGTAACTAACCTGCACAATGTGCACGTGTACCCTAAAACTTAAAGTATAATTAAAAAAAAAAATTCTTTGGTTTTAAAAATTCGTAATGTTGTGAACTGAAATAAGTGATGTATACCCTCTTGATTTATTTTCAATTCCTGTTTCATTATTCAAGCTTTATAATACATTTTCAAATGTCTTAAAGTGGTACCAACTATCAAGTTTTAATTTTGATGGGTTTCTTTACTATTCTTGAATTTTTTCCCAATTGAATTTATTGTCAGTTTGTCATTTACTAATCTTTTATTTTATTTGGTATCCCAACAAATTGAGGAGTCAGTTTAGGAAATATTGAAAACTTTATGAACTTTTGTATCCAGGATCATGATGCATGTTTCCATTTATTAACATATTTTATTTTGTCACTCATTAGTGTTTTATTATACTCTTTCCATACTTTCGACTTACTGCTTATTACCATGTATGCAATATTTTTGTTTTTCCATAAATATGGAACTAAATTCCAATAATAACTGATTGTTGTTTGTGCACTAGAAACTGTTCATTCTTACACATCAATTTTATAAAATGAAAATACTAGATTTTATGTTTATTTGTAACATTAAACCTGGGATTTCTACATATATAATCATATTATCTAAAATATAATGGCAATGTTTTGCTTCCTTTCCAATGCCTTTTTACTGCTTTTGACTTTCTTGTCTTGTTCCAGACTTTAAAAGGAAGACTTCTGAGGTTCCAACTTAATCATTGTGTTTGATTTTGTTTTGACTTGCATTATTTTTTAGAGACAGGGTCTTGCTCTGTCACCCAGGTTGGAGTGCAGTGGTGCAATCATAGCTCATTGTAATTTCGAGCTCCTGGGCTCTAACGATCTTCCTGCCTCAGTCTACCTTGTAGCTAGGACTACCTTTGAACAGCATCATCCTTGCTAATTTCTTTCTTTCTTGCTTGCTTCCTTTCCTTTCCTTTCCCTTTCTTTTTTTTCTTTCTTTCTTTCTTTCTTTCTTTCTTTCTTTCTTTCTTTCTTTCTTTCTTTCTTTCTTTTTCTTTCTTTCTTTTCTTTCTTTCTTCTTTTCTTTTCTTTTGTTTTCTTTTCTTTCCTTTCTTTTTTATAAAGACAAGGTTTTGCCATGTTGCCCAGGCTGGTCTTGAACTTCTGGGTTAAAGTGATCTTCCCACTTCCACCTTCCAAAGTACTGGGATTGCAGGTGTGAGCCACTCTGCATGACCATGACAAGAATTTTTATTGGGCATGATGATACTTTTTGTCAACAGCTATGATTTGATCATGTTATTTTAATTATTCATAAATAAATAATTATTTCCCAATATTAAACATTCCTTGCATTCCTGAAACAACCCTACTTTGTCATACAGTATTGTCCTTATAATGTATAATTCTGTTATAACATAATATAATTCTGTTATGTATATAATATATAATTCTGTAATGTCTTATTGAATATCTTTGCATTAATAGGCATACTAAATTCAAATGCAAAATAACTATCTTCATAAATTTTTAGAAGGATTATTTCCCATTGACTTTTGCATTATTTGTTCTTTGCCTCAAATTTGCCCTATGTCTGATATTAGATATAACATATAATATTTTAATAAACATTTATTTAGCTGGCCTTTCTTTACTTCCTTCTGTCTTCCCTTTCTTCCCTCTTCCCTCCTTCCCTCCCTTCTTCCCTTTTTTCTTTCTTTTCTCCCTTCTCCTTTTTTTGTGTGTGCTGTCTTTGAGTTTGCAAAGTGATTAATTTCCTTTTTTAAGCTTATCTTTGAATTTTAAAATTTTATTTTAAATTTTATGTAAAAGATAAATTTTACTTAAAAAGATATATATACATAGTTTAAGAAGTCAAAACCTCAACGAGTCATGTTCCATAAACAAGATTACCATGCTTTACTTTTCCATTTCCCAATTCCTACATTTTAGATTCAAGTGCTTTCATTTATTTGTACATTTATTCTGGCATTTACATCCATATTTATAAATAATTTGTTTATGTTACTATTTCTTGCTTTATTCAGAACTATAGTAAATTCAGTCATTTATTTGACTTTCTAGTAAGAGAATCTCAAGTTTTGGTTTACAGTAACCATTATCTTTACAGGATTGTGCTAGGCACTTAGATGTCAACACAGAGTATGTGGTAATTTTATTACAGAGTGTTGTGCTGTGAACAGTATGGGAAAGTCAATACACATAGTGGAGACACCTTCTCTCTCCACTTGCCTCCTCATGGTTTGGCTCCTTCCTGAAGTTGGCTTAATAACTACATCACCCAGGTAGAATACCGGAAGATGCCACTCTTTTTTCTTGGAATGATTCTTCCTTTAAAAGTATTTAATGGACACTTAATCTCTTTTTTTCTCACCAGATATATCATTGTAATTATATATATATATATAAATATATATAAAATATATTTTTAAATATGTAAATAAAATATATAAATATATAAATAACAAATATATATAAGTAATATATAAATAAATATATAAATATATTTATACTATATAAAAATATATAAATAAATATATTAATAAATTTTATATACACACACACACACACACACACACACACACACATATGGTGTTTGTGGCAGAGCTGAGAGCAGTGGGGAGTACATGTCATTACTCCCAATTGGGATAAGTCAGTCATGATCAAATGGCACTATTTCCAAATAGCATCGAGGAAGTTTTTCCTAGAAAAGTTTGGAGGTTGACCCTTGGCTTACTAGTGTAAAACGTATTACCAGATATATATATATATATATATATAAAGTTGCCGGTTTATATATATACACACACACACACCAGTTACACACACACACACACATAAAGTTTGAGTCCCTTCATTGTCCTTGTTTCTCTGCTTTCCTTTTTGCTTTTTTGGTTTGATTTCTGCTCTCTTTGTTAACATCGTTCTCTAATGGGAGGTGCTACTTGATTATCTATTCATGTTTAACAATTAGGAAATACTGCTTGGAAGGAAATCGAAGACTTTTTAACTGATAGGCTAATTTATTTGGGAATATGACTGCTGGTATTACTGTCTTTTCCCTTTGGTTGGTTCATTTCTCCAAACAGAAGTTGTTAAATCTTTTGCCTGGGGTTATTGAGTCAAACTGGAGAGGAAGCTTGAGGAAGAGGTAAGTGGAGAAGGAAGGTCTCTGCATTGTGTGTTGACTTTCATTTATTTACAGCATAACACTATCGCATGTAGTAATTCCTGCTTTCCTTCGGTCAAATGTTATTCTGCCTTTACATATCCAAATAATGAGTCTTGTGTTTCTGTCAGAGTTTGTAGGTGTAGTCACATTACAACTGGCTTTTAAAGGAGATCTGAGCCTAATAACTTTTTATATTGATTTTAAGGTCTGCCTCTTTTCTGCTTCATCTACAAAACAGCCTTCAGAAGTGTTGGTTGGTTCTCATACCTGAGCATTTCCCATAACAACATGAATCAATATTTTTCCTTGGATGACTCTTGTAAACTGAAGAATGTTTTATGTGGTTTATAATGTCTCCACTTATCCATTTGCTTTCCAACTACCAGTATTATCATATTTCATTAGCAATTGTGTCCTTTGCCATTCTATTTTCTTGTTTGTGGAGTTTTTATATCCCTTTATTCATATTTCCGTGAGGTTTTGATAGCAAGTTTATTTTTAATCAAATATATTTAGCCAGAATCTTTCCAGATGTGTTTCCTTTTTTTTTTTTCACTTTTTGGGGATTGTTTTATTATAAGTGAGTTTCATGCAAGTATGTTGAATGTATGTGCAAATGGGTGCATGACAAGGTGGGGAATCTTAAAGAATCTGCCTAGAAATATAAGGTTTAATTCATTCTCATTATTTTTTATGATTATGCTTTTGGGATTATTTCTGTAAACTTATTTTCTCTTCCCTATTTATCATTCTTTTTTTTTAGTATTTCATTCTATTAGACTATTTGAGATATTTTATTTCTTTTTTCCTTTACTTACAATTATTCCTTTTTTCTTTTACTCTTGTTTCTCTTATCTATACCTTTCCTTTTATTTCCTGTAAGGTAATTTTCCCTTACCTTTATTTCTTGTTTACCCTTACACTTAAAATTTAAACAGAATATTTTAACTTTTAAGTTTTTTAACTTTTTTACACTTATGCTTAAAATTTAAAAGGAATATTTTAACTTTTAATTTTCTAATATTTTTTAGATTAACTTTTTATTTATATCCTGCCAATGAAATACACATCCCCTACCTCTTCATTTGAAATCATATCAGATTTTTATTCTAAATGTTTGTATATTTTTATGTTATACATAAATAATTATGTTGACTCAAACTTACTTTTAATATATAATCTCTATTTCTAAGTCCTTGATTTATCTTTCTTCCTTTTGGTTAAACTATAGATTCTATACTGAAGTTGGTAACATTTCTGAGGATTCGCTTTTCCAAATTGCTAGTTTTTTTTTTTTTTCTTATATTTGGATGCCAGTAGGGAGAGGCTGTAAGTAAATAAGTGTACTGACTTGCTCACCAATCCAGGGTTCCATATCTTTTTCCAGATATCTCACTTCAGAAAAATTAAGCCCTAAACTGAGTTTGTCAGCAAATCATGAATCACAATATCCTCGGGTCCTAATACACCTTTTCTTTTCCGCCTTCCTCTATCTTTTCCTTCCCTCTTCCTTTTTTCCTTCCTTTTTCACAATTAATTTTCCCATGCTAGTTTTGTAGAGGTACAATTACTCCAGGCTCTAATCAGATTCCTTCCCTAGCCTCAACTGAGCCTTAGAATCTTTTCCAGAAAGATCTTTCCATTTGTTTCAGAAAAATATCTCTCAACTGTCGGACACTAATAATAACTAGAAGCAATAATTAGCATACAAATTACAGGGAAGAAACTTCAGGGAAGGGGCTTGGAAATCTGAATTCTTTTTTAACAGATACGTGAAGATTCTTATTAGATAACTGTTTTCAAGATTTTAACCTGAGAGTAAAAAAACACTGTTTCCAGTGCATATGTACAAGCATATGTGCTGTCACAAGGATCTAACTGAATAAGTTATTCTTAGTCATTTGTGATTACTGGCACCGAAAATTATCCCAAAGTCCCTTTATGCTTTAGATAGTTGTTGATAATTAGCTTGGAGTTTGAGTCTTAGAGCAGTCTTTTAAAAGAACTGCTTTTGATTTTGAAGAACTGATTTTGGTTTTCTGTTATTTTTTTCTGCTTCAAATGCTTCAACGGAGGCCAGTGCAACATTTTATGGAATGAGTGCTTAGGGTTGAAGAGAACCAAAGCCAAAGGTGTCTGTGGCAGAGCTGAAAACAGTGGGGAGTACATTTCATTAAAATGAAACTGCCAATTGGGATAACTCAGCCATGATCAAATGGCACTATTTCCAAATAACATAGAGGAAGTTTATCCTAGAAAAGTTTGGAGGTTGACCCTTGGCTTACTAGTGCAAAATGTATTACCAGTTTATTTCCTAAATGACCAGGTACCATATTACAACATTTACTCTAGGAATAAAGAAGGAAATTAATGGAGAGAATGATATTATATGAAACAACTATTATACCTCCTCCTTATCTGCGTACATTAAATCTGCATTAACAGTCTGAGATTGATTAGTAAAGACAAATTTAATTGCTTCTAAGTGAATAGTTGCGGTAGTTTAATTACCTCTGAGTAGAGGAACAGCTAAAACTAACAACATCTAATAGTATAAAATTAAACAATAGCACTCTTTTTTTTTGACTTTACAAATTAGGATTGAACATATCATCCTAACCCTGAATATTTCTTTAGGATGTATGCTTGCATGTTAAGTTTTTGTTTGCAGGCAAAATAGAGATAAGATAGACTGTATTACTCTCATGAAATATGTAGTATAAACCATGATCCAATCTTTGTAAAAGTAAATCATTTGTGAAAACATTATTATTATCGGTCAACCTATGGACAACCTATAAACAATGAGCAGCTATTTTAAAATAATTTTAAAATATTTGTGTAAAACCTAAGTGGGTAGTTAAGTCTAACTTTACTTGTCTATACAGTGACTTGACTGGCTTTCATGTCAAATTTATTTTAAAATTCAGATTGAAACTTCCAGGAAATAGGCAACAGCTCTAAGCTCTAGGCCTGAAACACATTTAACCTTGTATTTGGCTGGCCAGTGTTGTTATATAGCTTCACATTGCTGTAGCTTTTAGCTGATTAAATATCCGTGTGTCTGGGTTTGCTCTGTCTTCACCAAGTGTTCTTTGTTTGTCCTGACTCTGTTCTGGAGGTTAAGTAAACTCATGTTCTCCAGCCTTTTCTTTTCTTTCTGTTGTCACCCTCCAGACCTTTTATATTTTTCTTGGTTGATTTAAGATTCTTTTATTACTAGTAAAATGCATAGAAAAAATTCTTCTCACCTTGAAGCACTATTCTTGAAACCTGAACATAATGGTATATTTCTGATTCTTTGTTCATACTTCTTCTTGGTAAGGAAGACGTAGCACAAATATGCTGCATAATAGAAAGGTCATACTCTTCCTGCATCACTGTCATCTGGCTTGGTCCAAAAACTTTTTTACCCCCAAAATACTTATACTATATGTAACAAATCTATTCTTGTTACTATAATTGCCTAATATAAGGGCAACAATTTTTCTTGAACCTTTAAAAATATTAGAATTCTAACAAATACCCTTAAAAATTATTGAACAAACTATGCCTTTCTACAAACATATGTTTTCCTCACACTGTAACTAATAACAACCTTTGAAATTTCTTTATGATTCAATCAAAATGTGCTATGAGTAGTTAAGAAGACTCTTAAGGCCTAAAATATTCTTAATGACTCTACCAGGTTATTTTAGTTTAGTATACAGACATTGGAGGGAGTACTCTTAAATTAATTTGTAAACATAAATATCAGATTTTAAGGTTCATCTTAGGTCTTATTAGCTGTCTGTCTGTGTAAAGCAATTGCAAAACAGGCTATTTAGCTACCAGAGCAGTTGTAATTAAAGTTAATATACATACATTTCTACAACATTGCAATTATCTATAACAAAACATTTGCGTTTTCAAAATGCAAGTGCAAATAAAACCCAAATTCACACTACAAATTCTAATTAGTTATCAGACAGTGATATAGAGTGAGCAAGTTCAAACCAAAGAATCTTAAAATATTAGCAAAATTTATTGTCTTCTTATTTTGACCCTGTCCTAGAGGTTCCACTATGCCTTTGTGTGTCTCTTCTCCTCTTGTCTTTCAGTTAATTCGATGTTCAGTTGTGATATTTTCATGAGCTTATGCTTATTACTTAAATGACTTACAATGTTTCCACAGAAAATTTTGGAAATGGCTCACATACTCTAATACTTTGTGGAATAGTTTGTGGAAAGCCTCTGCACTGGAACTTGTTTTAATTTATGATTGTGTGGAGGGTAAAACTGAGTATAAAGATTTAAAAAATTGTTAAATAATATGAGTATATACTGACAATGTCTGCTGTGGATGATATGTGCCACAAACAATAGCTATGAATGGGACTTCTAGCCCTCATCCATCTCATATCGTTCTGGGCATATAGGAGGATTTTGTTTCTATTAGTGACTGCAATCCAGCAGTTAGTTGGAGCCATGATCTGTGATAGAAAGTGAAATTGTCACTTTCTGGTTGAGGCATTTAATTAAGTCTCTCTTAAGAGAGACTCTTTAGTACTCTCTTCCCTGGCCACAGTGAAAATGAAGACCACAAATACCCCGTGGTGTAGCTCCAAGATGGTAGTGTCTACCTTAGACCCTGAGTGACTGTGAATTAGTCTCCACACCTGTCACTCACCAACCACATTTTGCACATATAAAAAGAAATAAGTTTTGTTTGAAGCTGATGAGATTTAGAAGTTGTCAGTTATTGTAGCATCACCTAGTCTTAACTGTTCAATGTATGTATTAGTCTGTTCTCATGCTGCTAATAAAGACATACCAGAGATGGGGTAATTCATAAAAAAAGAAAAAGAGGTTTAATGGATTTACAGTTCCACATGGCTGGGGAGGCCTCACCATCATGGCAGACCGGGAAGGAGGAGCAAAGCCATGTCTTACATGGCAGCAGGCAAGAGAGCATGTGCAGGGGAACCACCCTTTGTAAAACCATCAGATCTCTTGAGACTTATTCACTATCACAAGAAGAACACCAAAAAGACCTGCCCTATGATTCAATTACCTCCCAGCAGGTTACTCCCACGACACCTGGGGATTTGGGGAACTACAAGTAAAGATGAGATTTAGGTGGGGACACAGCCAAACATTATCAATGTATTATCTTATATTTAATTGCTTTAGCTTAAACAGCACAAATCTGTGAGATATCATTCACCTTTTCCAGATGAAGAGACAAACTTCAGAAGTTAAAAGGACAAATTTAAGGAAAATAGCTGGAGCAAATTCCAAGCCTGGTATTCTTTCTACTATTTCAACTGCATTGTAAAGACAATCATAAAATATAGTTGCATTGTGTTTCATATTAGGACTGTATTGGATTGCTGGATTACACAGGGTTACACAGAGAGCAATTTAGGAAAGGCAGGGAGCAGAACCACAGTGATTTCTTAGTATTCAATTTTAGTTTAGCTAAAGAGAAAACATCTGCTGTCTTCTTCGCTGTTATAGCTGTTGGAGGTGCTCTTCTTAGGTTGATGCTGAGCCTGAGGAGAGAAAACCAGTTGAATGTGTTTAGAAGGATTTGTTTTCTCTCAGGTTGGAAGGTTACCTTAGCACAGCCTTCATCGTAGAAATGCAAGCAGAAGGGTAAAAGACTTTAGTACTGCCTGTTGCTTCATGTTGCTCCTTTTGGGGACAATACATTTTTAAGATGCCCTTTCGGCACAAAATTTGTGGTCAGACCCTGTTCTGGTATTTGGTTTAGATAAAGGATCATTGTAAGCATAGTTCAAATGAGAGGTTAATTTCACATACCGGACATTGTGTATTGGGGAGAATAAGAAAGAGAAAGTATTAGAGGAGAAAGATTATCCTGAGTACTTGAGAACAATCGTTACCTGTGTAGGATCTGAAATCAGAACACTTACGATCTGGGTGACTTTGGAATGGTTACATAATCTCTTTAATTCAGATGCTTTATCCTTTAAAAGAGAGAATAATACAGTTTGGTGAGTTTTAATGAGGCCGTATATATAAAGCACTTATCTGAGTGTCTGGGACATAGAAAGCAATCAAATAATGTTAGGATTTGAAGGTTTTCCAAGTTTTCAATCAGTTGAGATACCAGACTTCTACGTTAATTAGAATACTGGTATGTGAATTGCAGAATTCAACTTAGACAAGAGGCCACCATTGGTACTGATATGTTTAACTGAACCAAGTCATTGTATTAGCTTTTTTAGGTGATATTGTGGTAACAAGCTATCTCAAATATCTGTAGGCTTACAAAAACAAAGGTTTAGTTCTTGTTTACATTGTACATTGGCTGTAGGTCATATTAGGCTCTGCACTATGTCTTTATTCCAGGATCCAGAATGAAGGCATAGATGCTATCCAGGATATTATTAGGCTGGTGGTACAGAAAAATAAAGGAGTGGTTGATTTGTGAAATAACTTTTCTTAGAAGTAGCATCTGTCACTTCCACAGATATTTCATTGGCTAAAACAATGACAAGCCTGATATCAGTTTGACAGAGATATATAATCTACCTTTTAGAAAGAAGCTGTGGATGTTTTTACAGTAATACAGTTGACAAGAGTTCACACTTTAGGTGTAAATATTTATTTGCTTTTCTTTCATAAGAAAAGCACATTCACCCTCTCCCCAAGTGCAATGTCGATCATGGAGTTGGGTTCAAGGTCTGTGAGTGATTACCTTTGCATCAGCTCTGGATGTGGCTTTGCTTATTTGGGGAGTTATTAACTATAAAATAAATGTATTTTTCCCCTAAGATCTATTTATATAATGGAATAAGGGAAGGGTAACATACACACACACACACACACACACACACACACACACACACACACATATATATCATGGGGGAATATGGTCAGAAAATTTATGAAGTTAGCTCTTTTAAGAATGCATATTAAATTTGAACCATCCTAAAGTGACTCATGCAGAGCAAAAACAGATAAAATCCTGGTTTAAGTTATATTCTATGTAGAATTATCCAAATCAATGGTGACAAGGTTGGTAAGATTTGTGTCTTATTGTCTTCATATCTTACCATGGAACACACTCAAACATTGCTATTCAGAAAAGGAGAATATACCGTTGCATTAGTCTACTTTCACACTGCTATAAAGAACAACCTGAGGCTGGGTAATTTATAAAGAAAAGAGATTTAATTGACTCACAGTTCCACAAGGCTGGGGAGGCCTCAGGAAACTTACCGTCATGGCAGAAGCTGAAGGGGAAGCAAGGCATGTATTACGTGGTGGCAGAAGAGAGAGAGTGAAGGGGGAAGTGCCACGTGTTTGAACCATCAGATCTCATGAGAACTCAGCTACTATCATGAGAACAGCATGGGGGAAACTGCCCCCATGATCCAAACATCTCCCACCAGATCCCTCCTCTGACACACGGGGATCACAATTTGAGATGAAATTTTGGTGGGGACACAGAACCAAACCATATCAACCAAGTTCAGCAATCACTGTTCCATAGTAATTCTGAAGTCCTTTTGCATCAATATCCTGAGCGCCCTTCTATACCAGACATGTGGAACACACTTTGATTAGGTGCCTGCTCCTCGCTTGCTTCTTTTTCAACCTGATTCATGGCCTTTTTTTTTTTTTTTTTTTTTTAGCAGTACAACCCTCTCAAAAACATGGTCAGCTACTTTTTGTTTTGCTTTGTTGTGATATACAAAGAACCTCACATTTGCTGTGAACAATTTGATGCATTTGAACATACGCAAACACCTGTGATACCATCACCATAATCAGAGTAACAGACACATTCAATACTTCTCAAAGTTTCCTTGTACTCCTATGCTGTGTTTGTGTGTGTCTATTAAAAGCACTTAATATGAGATCTACCTTCATAATAAAATTTGAAGTGCACAATACTATATTGTTAACTATAGGTACTATGTTGTATAGCAGATATCTAGAACTTATTAATCTATCAAAAGTGAAACTTTATACCCATTTTAGAGCAACTTTCCATCTTCCCATGGGTTTTCAGCCCCTGATAACCATTACTATCTTGTCTGCTTCTATACATTTGACTATTTTAGATACTGTAAGTGGAGTCATGCAGTATTTGTCTTTCTGTAACTGGCTTATTTCACTTGGCATAATGCCCTCCAAGTTCATGCATGTTGTCACAAATGGCAGGACTTTCTTTTTATGGCTGAATTATATTCCAAACTTCTTATCTATTTTATACCATTTAGCCTTATTGCTCATGCTACACACTTAGTTCTTCCTAATAAATGTCTCTAGATTTAATCAAGGGCAGCTTTAATTTATTAGGTCTCCTGTGGAAGAGTCAAATCTTTAGTCTTTGTCTTCCAAGATATTTTGTCCAATTAAATGGATTTAATGGATGCTGCATTAACAAGTTCGGATGCCTTAAAATTCATGTAACTCTATTTGATTTGGTCTTGCCACCAGGTTGAGGTTTTGCAGACCTTTGTATTTTTCAGTTTTATCTTTTTTAATGTGTAGAAGTGAGAACCAGTTGCATTGTAACCTTGAAGGTGAAAGAAATTCTAGATTTTATAAACTCCTTTTTAATTTGTTTGCAAACTAGCCATTTATTTTCTGAGATCATATATTTCTTACAGATTTTTAAAATATATATTAAATTCAGTCCTGGAAGTTAAGTCACACTACTGAATTCTGTTTTACAACTTTAGCTAAAGCCACAAGCTCATTAGGTACAGTTATTATAGAAAACAGTTTCAGCAGATGTTTACCACTGTATAGCATGCATCTTCATATCTCTTGTCACCAATAATAGTTGGATGAATGTCACCTGCCTGGTCCCAGAGCCAGAGCCACTCATTCCAGATATTTTACTGAAGCATCCTAATTATAGTTACCTCTTGTTGTATTAGTCACCTTTCTCTATGCTATGCTACAGTAACAAGTACATCCCAAATATTAATGTTTTAGTAAAATAAAAGATTGCTGATATTACATGACAACTATGGCTTGGCTGTGGGTAGCCTGTGGCTCTGGTCCCTGTCTTCTTTATTCCAGCATCTAGGATGAGGAGTAGGAATCATTATCAGACTCATTTTAGTGAGAGAGAAAAAAAGATATAATCATCATGTGATAGCTCTTGAAGCTTCTGTTTAGAAGTATTAGAAGTGGCATTATCATTATCATTCATATTTTTTGGACATAGCAAGTCACATGGCCGAGACTGACACAAATATGTAGGAATGTATAATACATCTGGTTGATGGGAGCAGTAACGAGTTTCAAAATGATATAGTCTACTACAGCATCTTTGATCATAGATACTTGCTTTTGCAATGAAGGGGTAGTGAATGAAAAAGTAATACAATCTACCTCATCTACCCACTCAGTTATAGTCTGAGGAACTGAGAAATTACAGGCCTTCTCCATAGAATGGGGAATCTCTGCCTGAAACTTCTTAACACATGAAAGAGGGACCAATGAGGAGAGCACACACTGCAGTAGGTAAGCCTCTCTGAGAGAGAGAGAGAGCGCGCACCAAAAAGCTAGGTCTTGTGTAAGACCTCTTCAATTTTTACAGAGACCTCTTCAACTTTTATGCAAGATGGACATTCCACCAGCATTAGTCTCTTCTCCTTTGACAAGGAGGAACAAGAAGGAATCATAAATAATGATCCAAAATGATTCCCTCTGCTGAAGTGCAGTAGAAATTTCTTACTTTCTTTGGAAGCATGTTTTCCACTACTCTCCTGATTATTGTCCTGTTATCCCAGCAAACCTAATAGTTAAATCTAGAGACAATTGATATTTGGTTTCCTCCCTCAGTGGGGAACAGATCCAAGCCCAGGCCATGCATACCTTAGTCCTACTTTATCAAGATAATTCCTCAATAATAGCTACTGCTTCTTTATATATTTTCCTAGGATCCAGGGTGAGTATGCCACTTTGTTCTCCAGAAATCGCTGAAATGGTGCCACAATGAAATATTAATAAATTAACCCCAAAGCATACTTTATTATCAACTAAAATTTCACTGCCTATTTTGTTTCCCACCTTCAATTACGCTTAGCCCTTTGTTCAATATAGCTGAGCTAAGATTAGGCAACAAGTAAATGTTGTCATAAATTATAATATACTGCTGCAATGTAAGAATTCTTCAAACAGAAAAACTATTCACCTCTGCACATTATTGGCTCAAATGGATAAACTGAAGTAAAAAAAAATCCTTTATTGCATCCAAAAAATAAAGTATGAAGTTTTACCCTTTCCAGTGTCATAATTTTCTTCTTATTTGCTGACATACATATTTCATTCAGTTGCCTGGGTAGAGATAAATGTCTATCAGCAGTGGTAGCTTGGGCTGTCTTCCTTTTGAACAAGTGCAGTTTGTACTTGCAAAGTTACATCAACCCAACCTCAACTCTCTCCTGGGACCTTATTTTCCAAAGAGCTAGTAAAGAAGACACAAGAGAATATCAATGCACTAGTCATACTCACATATGAAATTCTGAAAATAAGAGAAGCCAATCAAGTTATAATACCATCAAAATTATGCCAAAATATTTATAGCCACATTACTCTGGCCAGTCAAAAACTATAGACAAAGTCAAGTTATCTAGAGGAAAGAAATGGGGGAGGGAGAGGAAATGGGAATAAATTGGGAGGGTGAAATGAAGAAAATGAGGAGGAATAATCATGAAAACCCTCATTTGCCTATGAGTTTCTAACTTCACAAATATCATAGCTCTAATTTGCCCTCACTATGAATGCCAAGATTTCTTCACTATTAAAATCCAGGAAAAGAGAAAATAGAAGGTGATATTTTATGGGCCATTTAGAGATGGATAGCTAAGAATCAACAGAGCTACAGATTTTGCCAGAGCTTGAGTCAATTAATACTTTTTATCTAGAAATAGAGGAGTTAAAAATTTTCAGTAGCAATGGGATTGCTAGAATTGGAGTACTGGACTTAAGAGTTTTGAGGATTTTTTATCTTAACATTTCATAAAGCATTTTTAGCCATTTGAAACAACGGCTGTGCTATTACATCTGATCTAGAGAGTTTTAGACCTATTAATTTTACTCCCTGAGGAGAGTCTCACATTTTGTCCATCTTTTGTCTCAGTTGGAATTCATACTCAATGTGTTTTTTTCTAAAACAATATCTTCAGGGTTCAAGTGAGTAGAAATATTTATTTTTTAAATATGTATTTCTTACGATCTTTTCTTCATATGATAAAATTTTCAGGTAATCAGTACATAACTGATGATATTTCATGTAGTAGTTAAATCACTTCTGCGCAACACTTCTTTCTCTGTATCAATGGCATATGTCTGTAGTGTTTTATTCTGTATGCTTTCAATCACTTAAAAAAGGGAAATTTGGGTTTCAAAGCTTTAATGTGCGCTTTAACGTGTTCTTTTTTCTTTCTCTACTATGTGAAAGGCTAGGTAATAATGCTTGCTTTCCTTTATTTCCCCTTTGCTCTAGACTTCAGACATTTCTTTTCCTGTTAGGTTTCTGTAGATTCTCCCCTGAAGTGTGTTCCATGGTAAGATATGAAGACAATAAGATGCAAATCTTACCAACCCTGTCACCATTGATTTGGATAATTCTACATAGAATATAACTTATACAAGGATTTCATTTGTTTTTGCTCTGCATGAGTCGCTTTAGGATGTTTCAACTTTAATGTGCATTCTTAAAAGATCTAACTTCATAAATTTTCTGACCATATTCCCCCATGAGATACATATATATATGTATATATATATATAGTTTTCTCACAAAAATTAAAACAAAACAAAACTACCAGAAACAAACAAACAATAAAACAACAAAAAGTGTTACCATGAACACAATCAAATACTGCTTGAAGTATTTTAAACCAATCTTCTTAGTTTTCCTTCTCAAATCTTTCTGAATTTTTTTCCCAACCAGCTGGCTGTCTTTGTTTTCAAGCTGAGGGTTTCAAATTGCATTTAGTATCGACTCTCTATCTGTAGCTTTGAATGTTTTTCAATAGTTTCTTGGCAATGGATTGTCCCTGTGAGCATAATTTTATTGTATTTTTTTCTGTGATCTTCTTTCCCTTCCTTATTTAAGTACCTTTGGGGCCCCAAGCCCTTCATTATTTGTTAATGAACAAATATACACAATTCTTACTTTATTTCCTTTCATTTCATGTTACTATTCCATTGGTTTTGCTCCAAAAGCCAGGTTCAACTTGCTTTTTTTTTTTTTTTTTTTCAGATGGAGTCTCACTCTGTCACCCAGGTTGGAGTGCAATGGCGTAATCTTGGGTCACTGCAACCTCTGCCTCCTGGGTTCAAGCGATTCTTCTGCCTCAGCCTCTCGAGTAGCTGGGATTACAGGTGCCTACCACCACACCTGGCTAATTTTTGTACTTTTATTAGAGGCAGGGTTTCGCCATATTGGCCAGGCTTGTCTAGATCTGACCTCACGATCTGCCCACCTCGGCCTCCCAAAGTGCTGGGATTACAGGTGTGAGCCACTGCGCCTGGCCTCAACTTGCTTTTAAAATTAATATGTTTCCTTATTGATATTCTGAATAAACTTAAATTCTATAGTGAGAGAATTAAAATGTATAATTATTAATAATGATTTTTTTTGCTATCTCAACCTAAGAGGAAGAAAGAGTCTCCGCTTATCAGTTGGTTGACAAAAACAATCACTCCACTATGATAGGTGCAGTCCCTGGGTTTCTAAAATCAAAAGGCTTCGTGAGGTCTTAAGTAATTAATCATGATAAGCCCACTTGAGATTATTGTTTGGAAGTAAGTAACAAACCACATGAATATATGAAGTTGGAATTTTTCAGTGTCCTTTTTGTTCTTAGGTGAAATTTAACACACCTACAAGGGAAAAACATTTGATGCAATGTTCTGTGCATTAAAGTTTAAAAGTGGTGATAGAGTGTAAAATGGCCATGTTTTTTCACCTTTTTTTATAGCTACATGCTTTGTGTGATTTTGCAGTTCCTCTCACTAGAGAGATAGAGTTTTTTCCATTCTCTTTGAACTTGGGCTTGCCTTCTGACTTATTTTGGCCAATAGAATAGAGTGGAATTAAATGTGTACTAATTCTTAGTCTTTGTCTCAAGAAAGCAATTCTTGTTCACCTGCACTTCTCCCTCTACCATAAGAATGATCGTACCTACTTGAGGCATGAAAGAGATTCATCTGAGAGAGATGAGGCCATCATGGACCAGCCAACAATCAGCCTATCCTCAAAGACTTGAGAAGGCCAATTAAGATCAGTAGAGATCCTCTATGACCCATTGCTGATGCACAAATATAATTGAGACCAAGGTGACCACTCAGCTGATTTGCAGATTCTTGAGCAATAATAAAAGACTTACTGTTATAAACCATTGACTTTTAGGTAGTGTGTTACATAGCAATATGTGGGAGTTGATCATTTGTAAAGAGAATCATGCACTAAAACCCTATGGTCTACAAAGAATTTATATACTCATCATAACTTAAACTTTGGGACTACAGCCCTGGTTGAAAACAGAATCCAATAATTTCATTTAGTAACTCCTTCAGAGCCTATCCAGAGAAACTATGACAATTGTGATGTGAACCTTAATTGAAATTAAATGATTGCATGTACTGGCTTCATCTTCAGTATGACAAAAGGTCAGGTTATGCCAGGAGTATAGTCAGATCTGTGTTTGATTTTCCACCAGCTAATTGTCCCTATTCTAAAGGCACATATTGAAACTAGACTTGGGGTTACAGAAACTTACCATTACATCACAAAAGATGTTTTATTGTTTTTTTTTGTTTTTTTTTGAGACGGAGTCACACTTCGTTGCCCAGGCTGGAGTGCAGTGGTGTGATCTCAACTCACTGCAACCTCCGTCTTCCGGGTTCAAGCAATTATCTTGCCTCAGCCTCCCGAGTAGCTGGGACTACAGGTGCGCACCACCACAGGTGGCTAATTTTGTGTTTTTAGTAGAGATGGGGTTTCACCGTGTTGGTCAGGCTGGTCTTGAACTTCTGACCTCATGATCTACCTGCCTTGGCCTCCCAAAGTGCTTGGATTACAGGCGTGACCCACGATGCCTGGCCAAGATGCCTTATTCTTTTCATGTGTTTCTTGGTCTCCTAGTTTCCTACTTTGTTCCTGTTTTAAGGTTTGTTTGCCATGTTTTGGTTGAACTAATGAGCTAAGAATGATATTGGTTGGTGGTTTCCCCCATGCTATTCTCATGATAGTGAATACGTTCTCAAAAGATCTGGTGGTTTTATAAGGGGCTTCCCCCTTCTCTTGGCTCTCATTCTTCTCCTTCCTGCCACCATGTGTAGAAGGGCATGTTTGCTTCCTCTTCCACCATGGCTGTAAGTTTTCAGAGGCCTCTGTAGCCTTGTGGAACTGTGAGTCAATTAAGCCTCTTTCTTTATAGATTACCCAGTCTTGGGCAGTTTTTTATAGCAGTGTGAGAGTAGATTAATACAGTATATGACTTACTTTGACTAATGAAGCCTTTTAGAGCAATATGTGATTCACTAAATTTTTTCCCTTTCTTTGGAACTCGTTGAAGTATGTGAGAATATATAGGATGTCCACTAGTCAATGTCCCTGGTGGAGTAAATATTTCTAATGAACCACATTGAACACATTGAAGATATAAACTGAGTAAGAAATAAACTTTTTTGAAATTACAGAGATTTCAGTGTTTTTTGTGTTTTGTTTTTTGTTTTTTTTGAGACAGAGTCTCTCTCTGTCACCCAGGCTGAAGTGCAATGGCGTGATCTTGGCTCACTGCGACCTCCGCCTCCCGGGTTCAAGTGATTCTCTTGCCTCAGCTTCCCAAGTATCTGGGATTACAGGCACCTGCCACCACACCCAGCTAATTTTTGTATTTTAGTAGAGACAGGGTTTCACTATGTTCACCAGGCTGGTTTCAAACTCCTGACCTCAGGTGATCCACCCGCCTCAGCCTCCCAAAGTGCTGGGATTACAGGTGTGAGCCACCGCACCCAGCCCAGTGTTGTTTTTACTATAGTATAACCTGCACTGTCCTATTTTTTTTTAGTTCATAAAAAATACTAAACTACCATAAGTGACTGCTATCATAGGTTTTTATTATGTTAGTGCTCACTTACAGTAGCTTCAGTTTTTTGTTTCCGGAGACTGGAATGATGGCATTATATGATTTTCAATGGAGAAGTAATTGGAAAGACTGAACATTACAGTAATTTGAAAGGCATACAATGTACTTAATGAGCATTTAAATCTAAGAAAATAAGTTGGAAAAATAGCATATTTTATATTAATAAAATTATATGTTAGTGCTAATTAGCTATTAACTACATTTCATAAGAAATTACCAAGAAGATATAAGCCCAGAAAATAAATTGCTCTCATTATCTTGAAGGTTGATAAGAAAGAGAATAGATAAAGATCAGACATTTGGGGATTTCTAGAGATGAAAAGGTATCTGCTTCTTAACCTCAAGCAGTAAAATGATAAAATGGTGAGATTCGCTGGCTAATAAAAATGGATTAGTCCTTAGCAACAAGGGAATATTTAAATCAAGGGAATGGCTGATACGCTCATTTTGTTAAAACCTCTAAATCAACTAAGGTGTCTGAGTGGAAAGGTCCAACTAAGAAGGTGGTTCCAATAAATCTTTTTAATTAGAAGAAATAGCTTAAGGAAAAGAGACTAAATTTCTAGTTTTTCCATTAAATCCTGAGATGGTGCAGAGACCTGCAATGAAGTCGAGAAACAAAAGTATCAAGGGGACAACAAAGCAGAGATACTAGAAAAATCTAACAAGTCTAGAAAATACTATACATAAAGTTATGGGATTTGCTGGATTCAACTAGATAAGAAGTCTGTGAAGTTTTTAAAAGGCTTGTACTGTAAAACCATGAGGTAGATTAAGGTTCTGCCAAGAACCAAGTAGGACAATGGACTAAGTAGCTCTTCTCAAGGAACATAGTGTGAATTATTTGAATAATATTTTTCATCCTATAGTAGGGCATCCTTGAATGATTTTTCCAAAGGCATTTCAGAATGTTACAGCAAGTGGCTATTGGAACCCTTGCTAGATTGGCTAGATTTCCCATTGTTCCATTTTCCAAGTTAAAGCCTTTATTATAGTTATATGGTCTCTGTACCTCCATTGTATACTGGCTGCATGGGGAACAGTTATTTGGTCTTTGATTTCAGATCAAGGAACACGATTGTTTGATCCCTTCCTCATACCATACACAAAAGTAACTTCAATGTGGAATAAATATCCAAACTTTGACAGTAATCCTATTGATATTGATATTGATATTTTTGTGTGTTCTTAGATTCTCAAATTAGAACTTAGGAGGTCTTAAATGAAACATTTTTATGGTAGGGATCAAAAAGAGGAACAATCGATTGCTAGGATTAATGATGGTGGCTTACAGCAGTGGCATGAGTGATGTTGTACAGGAAAATAATTTGTCCCTGAAGTTAATCCTAACTCTGTGAAGTGCCCAAACTCATCAATCATTGTTTAAATTCACCATCTAATTATTAGTTGTGTGAAAAAGTAAGTTTTCCTGGATATTGCATTATTAATTTCAAGTGTAATAAAGGGGGGTGTGATACATTTTGAAATATTTAATGTTAAACAACAGGAAGATCTGATTGGGTAGATGATTGAATTCATGCTTCATGTATTCCCACATCAGAGAAGGAATTAATATAGGAAAATGTTTAGATAGAAAATTTAAGCCGTAATACAGTTTTACAGAAGCCATACAGAAAAAAAGCAAACTTGTAAACACTGTGCTAATGACTCACACACAGATTCAGCTTTAGAATACAAACAGCTGGTTTTGGAAAAATCAGCCTTGAAGAGAAATATGCTTTGATTGCCTGAAGCTAAATTATCTGGCTTCAAAGCACACAGGAAAAAAAAAGTAACATTTTCTAGCATAACTTCTGGCATCTTAATCTGGTGCTGAGGCTTGAATAAATGTCATTCAATTCTCTGTTAGGGGTTATGGTAGAGTTTAACAGAAACATGTTTAGATTAGATAAGCCAGAGGGCAAGAGCATAGAGTATGTTGAAAGAGAACAGCTTATGCTGAAAATCTTTGCAAAGTGGGATGAAGGTAAGACATTTTGAAAGCTTAAACCTTTCTAAGGTTGTTATGCTATCATTTTTACTTTGAGGATTCAAGGAAGTTTAATCTAATTTTTTTTTTAAAAAAATAAGAGGATAGCTGGCATTTAAATATATGATCAAGTTCACACAACAACTCACATTCTCACTTTTCATTCTCATTTGTCTATACTGTTATCTGCTTTCCCCTCCATCATCAATTATTCTCTTCCTACTGGGAAATTCCCATTGCTGTACAAGTATACTATCATATTTCTCAACATATATTTCACATACACTTTCAGCCAATTCCTCTTTTCTTTGCTCACTTTTATGGCAAAATTCCTCAAAATGCCTACATTCACTATTACCACTTTCCTTAATCCATCTAGGTTTTCATGTCTATCCCTGCACAAAAACCACTGGTTTCAAGAATACCAGTAGTTTCCATGTGGCTAAATCTAATGATATATCTTAAACCTCATGTAACTGGACATAAGTAACATTCGACATAACTAACTGACATAACTGACATAAATCAGTTTCTTGCAACCATTTCTTTACCTGACCTCCAGAAAAACTCTTGTTTCTCCTCCTGTGTCATTGGATTCTCTCCTTTAGTACTTGTTCTGGTTTGTCTTTATTGACCAGACGTCTAAGCACTAAAGAGACACCGGACTCAGTCCTCACACATCTTTTCTGTATCAGTAGTTTTCTAATTGATCTCATCCAGTAATGTACATGTACATCTCATCCACATGTAGATGACTCTCAAATACATGTCCTTAGTATTAACTCTTCTCTGAACTTCAAACACATAAATTCAACTTGCAGTTGAATAGGCAACTCAAACTTAACATATCCAAAACAATTATTGATTTTTACTTTGAAACCCTCATTTATATTCATATCTAAAAATAGTAGCTCTATTCTAACAATTGTTTAGGCCAAAATTCTACAGTGACCCATAAATACTCAAATGCCAGCATAAACTGTTGGTTTCAGCCTTAAAATATATCTAAGCCCTAACCATGTTATTGCATTTCCAATCTTTGCACGCCCATCCAAGCTATCATCCTCTCTTGTGAATTACTGCAATACTAATTTTCCAACTTCCACTTTTCTTGAGTGTATTTTTGTTTCTTATGCTTGTGAGGCTCTCATCTCTTCTTCGCATAAGAGAAAAGAAAATTCATTTAGCTCAGGTCTTCATTTCTGTAAGGTATTTGTCTATTATCTCATTATCAAAAAGACCTTACTCCTCTGCGTAAAGTAATATCTTATTTACTATTCCTTACATCACCTTAATTTGCTGAATTTTCATTGATAACATTTTTACTTCCTTAGATACTACCCATACATTTTTTTCATTCATTCATTCATTCATTCTTTTTTTTTGTTTGTCATTCTTCTCTGGGATATAGGCTCCATATGAGAGATAATTCATAAGTTTTGTTCACTGTTGTGCCTAGAACACTGACTGGCAGATGATAGGTGCTCAATAAATATATGTTGAATATATCCTAATCTTATCCTCATTTCCAGTGACTTTTTAATAGCATCTAGTCAAATAAAATAATAGGTAAAATTTTACTTAAAGACATTTGTTTTAACTCCAAATATCCTTTAAAATCCAAGTGTAACAATCAATACCACTTATTCATAAACTCTATGAAAGAGATATATTAATGTTTAATTCCCCACGAACTATTTTTCAAATCAACTTTTCAATAAGACACTGCCTCTTAATTTTTGCTCTTATTTCTGTGATTACTATTGCTTTTTTCCACCGGATTCTTTTCCATTTATCTATTACTTTCATTCCCTGCTTTCTTTTCTTTATTTTTTTGCCCTGGTAACAGTTTTATTAAGATGCAATTTACATATCATAATTTGCTTATTTAAACTGTACAACTGAATGATTTTTAGTAAATTCACGGAGTTGAACAACCATAGCTACGATAAATTTTAGAAAATTTTTATTACATTGAGGAAAAGTCCCATGTCTTTAGCTCTCAGTTGCTCCCATCCCTTTCCCACACTAATGTACTTTCTGTGTCTATATATCTGTCTATTGTAGACATTTCATAGAAATTGAATCACTCAATATGTGTCCTTTTGTTACTGGCTTTTTTCATTTAGCTTCAAGGTTCATCCGTCATGCAGCATATGTCAGTACTTCATTTCTTTTTATTGCTGAATAATGCATAATGTTCTGGTTATACTATATTTTATTTATCCATTAATTCATGAGCATTTTGGTTGTTTCCACTTTTTGGTTATTATAAGTAATGCAAATGTGGATATTCTTGTACAAGTTTTGTATGGATATACATTTTTATTTCTCTTGGATATATAGATAGAAGTGGAAACTTGGGTCAAATGGTAATTCTATGTTCAATTATTTGAGAAATTGCCACATTTTTTTCCCAAGCTGCTGCACCATTTTACAGTCCCATCAACGACGCACAAGGGTTCCAACATGTCCACATCCTCACCAACACTTGTTATTATCTGTATTTTGTATTATATCCGTCTTACTGGATGAAAAGTGATATCTCGTAGTTTTGATTTGCATTTCTCTGGTGGTTATTAATATTGAGCATTCTTTTATGTGCATTTTGGTAATTTGCATATTTTATTGGGAGAAATGTCTATTCAGATCCTTTGCCCATTTACAATTGGGTATTTGTCTTTGTGTTATTGATTTGTATGAGTTCTTTATGTATTCTCAATACAAATCTTTTATCAGACATATGATTTGTCAACATTTATTCCCCATTCTATGGTTTGTCTTTTCTCTTTCTTGATGCTGACCTTTGCAGCACAAATGTATTCAATTTTGATGAAGCCCAGTTTATCTTTTTTGTTGTATGTGCTTTCAGTGTCATATCTAAGAAACCATTGTTTAATTCAAAAGTACAAAGATTTACACATTTGTTTTCTTTTAAGATTTTTATAGTTTTAGTCCTCTTTTAGGTCACCATTCCATATTGGGTTAATTTTTGTATATAGTGTGAGATGGGGTCCAGCTTTTGCATGTGAATATTCAATCATTCCAGTACCATTTGAAATGCCTATTTTTTCATCTTATTGACTTTGCATGGCATCTTTATTAAAAACTAATTAAAAAGAGAAAAAATTTAAAAATCAGAAATAGGAGACACCAAATAAGATATCAGATATCACAAAATACTAATGAATTAAACTTGACTGTTAAAGGATAGAAATGCCCATATACATTGTAGAAGCCCAGCTGTATGTGGACTACAAAGAGACTCAGCTAAAACAAATAACAAATAAATCCTGAAATAAAAAACTAACAAACACATTTCAAATACTAATCAAAATAAAGAAAAAATGTGTAACATCCATATTATTTTTAGGAGACAGAGATATTAAAGAGAAAGGCGATTATTAAAGGTAAGAGCCATTATGCAAGGATTAATTATATGAAAATCTTAAATTTGAAGATGTGAAAACAATAGCTACACATATGTGTGTCTGTGTGAAAAAATATGTGTGTGTACATTGTATATCTCTATAAAGAGATATGCATGTAGTATGTATATAAAATTATAATTAGAGAAACCTATAAATTCAACATCATATTGGAAGATGTAACAACGTTTCTCTTTTCTCTGAAAATAAAAATTAAACTAATAGAATAAAGAAGATAAAATAATTAGTAAACTTGTTTTATCAGACCTTTGGTATCCAGAAAATAGAGTAAAATTATTTTTGGCAATTACAAAATTGCCCAAATACCAGTCATAAAGAGTATCAAAAAATAGTAAAGAATTTGTGGTATAGAGAATGTGATCTCAGACCACAATGAAATACAATAAAATATCAATCATGAAAAACTTAAAAAATAAAGAAAAATCTTAGGACATTTTAAAATCTGAATAATTTGTTGAAAGAGAGATCATAAGTTTAATAAAAAAGTATTAACGTTTGACTCTTGAACAATACAGGGGTTAGGGACACTAAACTCCCAGGTAGTTGAAAATACATGTCTAAATTTTGACTCCTCCAAAACTTTACTAATAGCCTACTGTTAACCAGAAGCTCTACTGAAACATAAACAGTTGATTAACACATATTTTATATGTTATATGTACTATATGCTGTATTCTAATTATAAAGTCTACTGGGAAAAGGAGATGTTATTAAGAAAATTATAAGAAATAGACTGGGCACGGTGGTTCACGCCTGTAATCCCTGCACTTTGGGAGGCCGAGACGGGCGGATCACGAGTTAGGCGATCGAGACCGTCCTGGCTAACACGGTGAAACCCCGTCTCTACTAAAAATACAAAAAATTAGCCAAGCATGGTGGCGGGCACCTCTAGTTCCAGCTACTCGGGAGGCTGAGGCAGGAGAATGGCGTGAACCCGGGAGGCGGAGCTTGCAGTGAGCTGAGATCACGCCACTGCACTCCAGCCTCGGCAACAGAGCGAGACTCCATTTCGAAAAAAAAAAAAAAAAAAGAAAATTACAAGAAATAAAAAATATATTTAGTATTCATTAAATGAAAATGGATCAATATAAAGGTCTTCATCCTCATCATCTGCACTTTGAATAGGCTGAGGATGAAAAGGAAGAGGAGGGGTTGGTCTTGCTTTCTCGGGGATAGCAGAGATGAAGGACATGCAAGAGGTAGAGTGGGAGACAGTAAAATAAGGCACATGTGGTGTTACTTTTATTGAAAAAAATCCATGTAGCGGTGAGCCTACACCATTTGAAATCACCTTGTATAACTGAGCTTCTATAAAATATGTGTTAAGAGGGTTTTGATGGAGAAGAAGAATGTTTGTGCTAGTCTTAATAGACATTAAGAATTTTACAGTGCAGGGAAGAAAAGTGAGATAATGTGACAGAATAGAGAGCATAATATATGGAACTTGGTATAACAAACAGTTAAATAATTTGGAAATGAATAGCCTATTCAAGAAAAGGAGCAGGGATGGGGACTGTGAGTAGGAAAAGGATAAAGTTAGATCTGTATATTATACTAAATACTTAAAGTCATAAATTTGAAAAGCTGAATATTAAAATTTTTAGTGAAAATTATCAGAGAATAATTTTAATATATCTGTTTTTATCAAGATAAGGAAGTATTTAAGACAAAAAAGCACAAAATATAATAGAAAATATTTCATTAAGTTCATTAATATTAAAATTCCCTATATAACCAAAGATCCCAAAAACAAAGTTAAAAGACAAACCACGGATGTGGATGAAATATTTTTAAAGATTGAATCACAAAGGAAAACTATTTATAGGTGATATAGTTTGGCTGTGTCCCTACCTAAATCTCATCTTGAATTGTAGCTCCCGTAATTCCCACATGTCATGGGAGGGACTCAGTAAGAGGTAATTGAATCATAGGGGCAGGTCTTTCCCATGCTGTTCTCTTGAGAGTGAATAAGTCTCATGAGATCTGATGGTTTTGTAAAGTGGGGGTCCCCTGCTCATGCTCTCTTTGCCTGCAGCCATGTAAGACATGACTTTGCTCCTCATTTACCTTCCACCATGATTGTGAGGCCTCCCTAGCCATGTGGCACTGTGAATCTAGTAAACTTCTTTTCCTTTATGAATTACCCAGTACCAGGTATGTCTTTATTTGCCATGTGAGCATGGACTATTACAGTAGGAATTCCCACAATTGTGCAAAGACCACAAGCAAGCAAACCACAGAAGACAAAATCAGGAATGCTCATACAAATACAATGAAAGGCATTTGTATTTATATTTGATAAAATTAAGTGTTACAAAAATGTGGAAACAGGACACTTTCCTACAGCATCAGTAGAGTTTAAATTGCAGTAACTGTTTTAAAGAACAAGTTGGTAATGGCTAGATTTGCAAATCTGTATCTCAGTGACTCCACTTCTCTTTCTCTCTGTCTCTCTCTCTCTCTGTCACACACACACACACACACACATACACATGAGTTCTAGCTCATGTTCACGTGAAAATATAGAGAATAATATTGCCACATTTTAAAAGGAATGTATGGTGTATAACATGATGTTTTGATATATGTGTACATTGTGAAATGACTAAGTAACACCAATTGACATATGTATTACCTCACATACTTATTTTTTTTGGTGTAAGAACACTTAAAGCTAATCTCTTAGTAATTTTCAATAATATAATACATGGTTATTAACTGTAGTCACCATGTTGTACAATGGCTCTCTTGTTCCTTGAACTTCTTCCTTATATGTAATTGAAATTTTGTGTCTTTTGACCAACATCTCAGTTTTCTTTCCCCTCTCTTCTCCATCCTCCCGAAACTCTGGTAATGACCATTTTGCTCTGCTTCTATGAGTTTGCCAATTTTAGTTTCCATATATAAGTGACATTATGAAGTATTTATCTTTCTGTGCTTGGCATATTTCATTTAACACATTGTCTTCCAGGTTCATCCATATTGTTGCAAATGACAGGATTTTCTTTTTTAAGGCTGTATAGTATTCCATTTTTATAAATACCACACTTTAAAAATTCATTCTTTTTTTGTGATAGACACTTAGGCTGATTCCATATCTTGGGTATTATAGATAATACTACAATAAGCATGGGTGTGCAGATATTATTTTGAGATAGTGACTTCATTTCCTTTGCATATATAACATAGCAGTGAGATTGCTGGATCATATGGTAGTTCTATTTTTGGTGTTTTGGGAGATCTCTATGCTGTTTTCCATAGTGGCTATATTAATTTACATTTCCATCAACAATGTACATGGTTTCCCTTTTCTCCACATCCTGACCAGAACTTGGCATCTTTTATCTTTTTTACTGTAGCCATTCTAACAGGTCTGAGGTGGTTATAATTTGCATTTTTCTCATCATTAGTGATGTTGAATTTTTTTTCATATACCTGTTGGCCATTTGTATGTCTTCTTTTGTGAAATATTTAATCAGATTCTTTGTCCATTTTTTAATCAGATTATTTGTTTTCTTGCTGTTGAGTAGCAGGAGATCCTTATATATTTTTTATATTAACCCCTTATCAGATGTATAGTTTGCAAATATTTTCTTGAATACCGTAGGTTGTTTCTTCTACCAGCATTTTTTCATAGTAAAAAGTTACAAACAATATATAGGTAATAGGGCAATGGAGATGTCATATAATTGAATACCATAGAGAAGTTAAAATAAATAAACTAGAAGTGGCCGGGAGCAGTGGCTCACACCTGTAATCCCAGCACTTTGGGAGGCTGAGGCAGGCAGATCACAAGGTCAAGAGATCGAGACCATCCTGGTCAACATGGTGAAACCCAGTCTCTACTAAAAATACAGAAATTAGATGGGCATGGTGGAGCACACTTGTAGTCTCAGCTACTGGGGAGGCTGAGGCAGGAGAATCGCTTGAACCCGGGAGATGGAGGTTGCAGTGAGCCAAGATTGTGTCACTCCAGCCTGGTGACAGAGTGAGACTCTGTCTCCAAAAAATAAAAATTAAAGAAATAAACTAGGGGTACAAATTTCAAAATGAAAACCCCAAGAATAATAATGCTTAACAGAAAAACAAGTTTCAGAACAATATACATGGTATATTATAATTAAAGTACACTTGAAATAGGTATATATTAAATAACTATACATAACTATAATATGTAGTACATAGTGATACAAACATATCTGTATTGATTTGCATGAAAAACAGTAACTTCAGGTATTGCCTACCCCTTGCTGAAATGGGAAAGAGAATGGTATGGATGATGGCTTTTGTGTGCATCTTTTAAATTGTACTCTTAGAAAACAATATAAACCAGAAGCAAACATGGCAAGATGTTAACATTTGCCAAATCTGTTTGGTAGGTACGAGACTGTGTGCTACTTTTTATTCTTTGCATTTTTGTCTAAAATATTTTATAATGAAAATAAACCTCTAATGGAAACTGAGTTTTATGTTATCTGCTTATAAACCTCTATTATGTTGCTATCTTACAAATGCTGTTACTATCTGGTTCCAATATATTTTTTTAAATTGTAGGTACAAGGTCCCAGTCCTTAAGATGTTTTTCTAAGATCTTGTTGTTCTTGTATTTAGATGCCAAATTTGGGGAAGAGAGCTGTAATTTGTAAGCGTTTATTGAACAGTGTTTGCAATGAGTTCAGGTATCATGGCCATTTCCTAGGCAGGGCTGCAGAGCCTGTCTTTTTGGGGTAGGCTTAAGGCAGGAGACACTTGACTTTAAAAAATCAGGGACGTTGGAATTCATACCAGTTAAAGATGCTGATAGCCACCAGACTCTTTTAGACTTCTATTGGGTTTGAGCATAACTACTTCCCCAAGAAACAAATACCATCCACTGCAAAATTTAAAAATATACGGTGTCTGCCATTCCTGTCCTTAATAACAACAGTCACATGTTTCAATTGGCATTCTTCAACTTGATCTTTAGTTTGGATTTGTTTTCACTTTTTCCCAGTCATCCTTGATTCATTCTTTCTTTGTTTAGTCAAAATCCAGTTGGCATTAGGGCTTAACATTTTGTAATTGTGTAATCTTGGAATTTTTAATAGCTTGAATACTTGGAAATTGTGTATTTTCCTCTGGTTATTTAACTTTTTGTTATGTACCTTTAAGTAATATTACTTTTTCAAACCTTTTTCAATTTATTTCTAACAAAAATCACAATAAGTATACCTTTCTGAGACTACCAAATGTGAAAGGAAGCAAAAATTTGTTTTATTTACCTGTAAAGTTGTTTGTCCACTTAAAATATTTATATACGATAGTTCATTCACTTAAGGGGATTCACTTCAGTGAATAATTTAGCAAATTCATGATTCTTTTTCTTATATTATATAAATATAATGATAGATATGTGCAGGTATTAAATTTCCATTTCAATTTAGTTTACTGGCTTACAGTGAATTTCAGTGCCTCCCCAAACAAATATGTATACCTTTCTGGTGACAGGAATCTTTACAGTGTTTCTCATTATAGGACGTAGTTTAAAAATATATCTGTAATATTGTTCAATTCCCACCTATGAGTGAGAACATGCGGTGGGCCTGTCGGGGGGGTGGGGGGAGGGGGGAGGGAAAGCATTAGGAGGTATACCTAATGTAAATGACAAGTTACTGGGTGCAGCACACCAACATGGCACATGTATACACATGTAACAAACCTGCACGTTGTGCACATGTACCCTAGAACTTAAAGCATAACATATATATATATATCTGTAATATGATGAATTGTCTACTTTTTAATATTTAGAACATTATAATATATTTTATTAAACTCTTGTCATACTTTAATTTGCATGGCATCACAATGTTTCTCCTGTTTTGATCCCTCATATTTAGAGTATTGGTTTTGTGATATGGACAGGCTATGAATTCTTGCTGGCAATAAAACTGAAGTTTTTAAGTCAATATTCAAACTTCAAGACTCTTCAAGTCATTATGACATAACTTTTCTTTATCCGTAGTTTTATATGATGATAGATTTAATTTAATTTGATTTCTAGACCTGGCAGAAAGACAGCAGGGAAACTTGTGCCACGAGTTACCCTATGAAGATAACAAATGGCTCATTAAGTATAGCATATTAAGTATAGCATATTTAATTATAGAATCGCAGAATGGAAGAGATTTTTGAGGGCTTCTAGTTTAACCTTTTTTCCAATCCAGAAACTTTTGTCAACATGCCAGATGGATAGTTATTTAGCCTCTGATTAAATCTGTGCAGTGTTAAAGATTCCACAGCTTATCAGGGAAACCCATTACATTTGGGACCTGAAGAATTATTAGAAAATTCTTGCTCACATCTATCTAGCACATACTCCTTTAAAATTCTATTTGCCCCTGTTACACAGCACAGTATACATTAGCTTCTCCTTCTACTTGACAATCTTTCAGATATTTTAGTCTGCTGTTATGCATTTTTAAATAATCTGTTCTCCAAATTAAGTAGAGACGATTTAATATTCCAAGTTAAGTATTAAAATCAGCTTGTGAAAATAATGTATATGATTAAATAATAATGAAATAGAAAAGAATCATAAGAAAAATTATTATAAAATCAGTCCAACAAAGGGAAGGCCATAAACAGAAAATGTAGAGTCATGGTGGTTTTTAAGGTTGATCTTTAATTTGGACTCTGTACTTCCTAGTAATCAAAGTGAAAAAAAGTGATATGGTTTCCTCTGCCCGGGAGGCAGAGGTTGCAGTGAGCGGAGATTGTGACACTGCACTCCAGCCTGGGTGACAGAGCGAAACTCCATCTCAAGAAGATTCTCAGTGTAACCAAAAGTTTTTCATTGACATAAGTTCGGGAAGAATATGTTGTATGGTAATTCATATATAGCTCAGAGTATCTTAATGACCAGTGTCCTCAATAAATATGCCTTTGGTGAAGTTGTTGTCATTATTCCTGTGGTATTTGTAGAACTTTCAACCTCTGACATATTTAGGGGAAAAAACTGGACTATGTCATTCCTTTCCATATATGTTAGAAAAAATGGATAGTGGACCACTCATTTAATGAATCTTGGCAGGCTGTTTGATATGTCTCACTTTTTTTTTTTTTCATATATGTGCTGCCAAAACGAGCATGATATGTCTCACAATGTAAGCTACGAAGATGTTGCAATTCCCCAGGATAAGTCATGTCAGGAAATGGTCTTGGTCATCTTTGAAAGACTCGCTAGGGAGTTATCAGCTAGTGAAATGTCTTTCCTTTTTATACGAGTGGTAATAATAGAATTCCTGCTGCTTGCCACAGGTTATATATCTTCATTAGATAGCATTGAATACGTGTTGTACTTCAGACACCTCAATGCTTTCGTAAGGATTAAAGTGCTAATTCCAAAGCTTCATTCCAGTTCTATCAAATTATAAATTATTTTTTCTCAGTTTATTTTTATTCCAACTATAAGGTCATAAAAATGAAATAAAATGGAATGACATAAACGGTGGCTCACGCCTGTAATCCCAGCACTTTGGGAGGCCAAGGCAGGCGGATCATGAGGTCAGGAGATCAAGACCATCCTGGCCAACATGGTGAAACCCTGTCTCAACTAAAAATACAAAAATAGATGGGCTTGGCAGTGCGCACCTCTAGTCCCAGCTACTCGGGAGGCTGAGGCAGGAGAATCGCTTGAACCTGGGAGGCGGAGGTTGCAGTGAGCCGAGATTGTGCCACTACACTCCAGCCTAGGTGACATAGAGAGACTCCATCTCAAAAAAAAAAAAATTGTTCAAAAGTGACAAAAGTAACTTTAAAGATATTGGTTAAGGCAAAAGTCATCATTTCTGCATCAATATGTTTATTAGAGTATTTTTAGTCATAACATAGCTGGTTTTGATTGATAGACAATACAATCATTTTACACAACTTGACTGTGTGTCACTAGTAATTGCTACTAATAGGCATCATTTCTAAAGGTAAATTATATTCTCTGTAACAATAGCTGTTTATTAGGTACCTATTTAAGCTATACTGCCTGTTGTGTTCTCTAGTCATAGAAATACTAAAATGAGGCTGGGCATGGTTGCTCACACCTGTAATCCCAGCACTTTGGGAGGCTGTGAGCGGATTGCAAGGTCAGGAGTTCAAGACCAGCCTGGCCAACATGGTGAAACCCCATCTCTAACTAAAAATACAAAAATTAGCCGGACATGGTGGTGCATGCCTATAATCCCAACCACTCGGGAGGCTGAGGCAGGAGAATCACTTGAACTCAGGAGGCAGAAGTTGCAGTGAACCGAGGTCATGCCATTGCACTCCATCCTGGGCGACAGAGTGAGACTGTCTCAAAAAAAAAAAAAAAAAAAAAAAGAAAAGAAATACTAAAATGAAAATCATTTGGTGGAAAACCGTGTTTGGTCTAAAGAGTGTTGGAGATCTCAAAATAGCATTGCATAAAATAGAACAAAAAGATAAGACACTCTCAATAGCCAAATATAATTATATAAAGAATATTAAATAACAAATTACTTCACTGCCTTTATTGTTGAAGAAAATGTAAATAATTAATTGGAAATAACTATACTAATTAGAAATTCAGTTTGAGGCTTACAAGTAGACATTGCCATTCTCCTTTCTGTATTCATATAGCTGGCATAAACTCATGCAAAAGGAATGATGTGAAAACTTCATGGTTAATGCCTCAATAGAGACAAATTAGGACATTTAGCCACCACAGGAAATTGTTTCCTTTGAATTATCTGGTTTGACTCTAATTTTTAGCTGTCTGCTTTCATCTGGTCTTTACACAATCCTTTTCTTCAGGCTAAAGATAATGAGCCCTGACTCTGTTTTTCAATATCTTTGCATAAAAAATGAAACAAGTGCTGAAAGACACTTTCTCATGTTTGGAGTGTTTAGTGTTATGTATCTGATATTTAGTTTTGCAAATGGAAGTATATTCATGTGGGTGCATTTATAAATTTTAGCTAGTCAAACAATTGTAAAATACTACAACTGCATAATATGAATTACTCACGCTAATGTTAAGTAATAACAGGATAGATTCTTTAGCCATTTTCTGTCACAGGAAGCTTTGCAGATGCTGTTCAAGAAGAAATCTGGAGATCAGAGGTTGGAAAGGAGGGTCAAACATTGCGGGAGTGTTTCTGATTATGAAGTCCCTAGCGTGGAGGGGTAAACAGGTAGGCTATGGGCAGAGTTCTAAATTCTTTACATTGGCTTCTTCCCTTCTGGGATTCCCACTGTGAAGAGAGTATGTGCCCTCAGGACCCAAAGTGGGGTCCCCCAGGTACTGATGTCTTGGAAGCCTTGTGATGAGATGTCTGAACATCTTGGTGCAATGCACAGATGCTAGGAGGTGAAACGCAGTTAGAAATGTGCAGTTTTTATATCTGGCAAAAAAAAAATTAAGTGGTGTGAAAATCACATCTTAAGAGCAATACAAGGCTTTGGGTTTTGATACATAAGAAAGGAAAATTGAATGAATTCACTTTACAATATGTCTTTTAAAAGTTTTATTTACTTCTCCTAGTGTCCTTTGCTTCAAATAATGGATGCTGTGAACAGGCAGTGAATTAGATGCTTTTAAGAAGAAACACATAGTGCACAAGAGCATAATCAAAGCTGTGATAGGTGAGTTCAGATCTGTCTAGTGCTCTTGGTTTATTGGTCCTTTAGGGACTGGCTGGAAAGTACCAAAGGAAAGATAGTTTTAGGCTATAGGCAGTTGAAGTGCTATAGTGAGATCACTTATTAATCTTTAAACAGTACTGTCTGCTATTGTGTGTGTGTTTTAGAGTCCAATTTATCTTACTTTCTTCTGCTGGTATAGGATATAAGGTCACATTCATAAATACAATCAAACGGCACCATAACAAAAGTTGAAGAAAAGCCACTAGGAGTACTAAATCTTTGGCCAATTGCATAACTGTAAATTAAACTGAAGTCCATTATTCAGCTAATAAACTCTGTGTGTTTGTGTGTGTGTGTGTGTGTGTGTGTGTGTAAGTCTGTGTGCTTGTGTGGTGTTATGCTATCCTGCATAAGAAATATTATCACAGGATAGCAAGCCCTTCCTTGTATGATCTGAAAACAATATACGGAAAAGTCATTAGTCTGATTATGGGTAAGAGCAAATTTTCTTTGCTTTAATTTTTTTCTGGTTCATTAAAATGTCATTGTGAAGAAATGTAGGTTTCTAGCTAGGTTTTACCATCTATGTTATTATGCTATGTTTTCTCAAGTTTTTTTACATTCTGAAGGAAAGAACAAAGCAATTGGAACTCAGTATTAGATGCATAGACTACTTGGGAAAGTATTCAAGGTATACATATAGAATTTATGTGTGTGTGTACTTGTGTATATTTATGAGTAATTGTGCATCTAGTGTGGGGGACATGATGGAATACTATTCCAATTTTTCTGTATATTTGTTTTCTTTTCAGTGACATGGAACTTTTAGAAAGGAGTGTGAGAGAAGAGCGCTCAGATTTGAAAGAAATGCTTAGCAGATGTGTCTGTATATGGCAGGTGAAGAACTTACCAAAGGGGTGTAAAAGCAAAATGCTACTAACCTTATTGGATGTGAATAATTCAGTTATTAAGGCATTCCCCACACAGTAAAGAATGTACTACCTATATTTAATGACATCATCATTTATTTGCAATCATTTATTGAGAGATCTGTTTAGTGTTAAGTTTAGCAATATACATGGTGTGAGAGGTCATGAGATGCAAAGTCCAAGGAAATCGAATTATATACAGATTACTAAATATTTCTATTCACATTTAGAGATGATGCCATCAGATATATCTATGGGAAACAAATGCTTACATATTTCAGTGTAATAAATGAGGGAGAAAGGTGAAGAAGTGTCAACTTTCATACCCAAGCCATTAATTATACTATACTACAGGAAATCACATGAAATGAAGTGAAGGTACCAATACATGACATTAGTAACTTTTTAAATTCCTTGGGAAGTTAGTACCATTCACTACAGCCTTTAAGTGGAAATCACACCTGATTTTAGAAACTATATTGCTAAATTTTTCTCCAGCATGAGAACATGGGACATAAGCATGCATTTCTTTTCTCAGTATTTAGAAATGCTACACAATTCCAACTTTACAATTATACATATCTTTAAAGAGAAAAGTGGAAATTTGGTAGTTTCACGGTAAACTACTGCTATTTTATGCTCCTACTGTGCATATTTCATCTCCATCCAGTACAGAGCAAAATTTTCAGCTGTTTGGCTGCCGCATCACACTGTGGCTCTAGGTACACTGTGAAATAATAGACACAGTATTTCCAGCAGCAGAGACCTGAAAGAAAGTCATAAACAGAACCATGCCCTTTAGATAGAAATCATCAATCCTGTGAGTGTATAGGTCGCTATGTGTAACTGACTAGCTTTTAATAATATTTAGCTGTCATGAAAAGCTAATACAGTTTATGTTAACAATGTTATATGAATAACTGTTTCAGCTAATGATCCATTCATTTTTCCCATTAGTGCAAGTTTGTGTGGATGGTCTGATTTTATTTAATCTTCTTTAATGGAACTCAGCTTATGGTTGCAACAAACCTTTTAAAAACCAGTGTCTGATTACTTATCTTCTGAATTTTGGCAATATTACTGATCACTTACAAAACATTTTAACTCTAATATCCTTTACCAATTAAAGAAAATGATAGCATCCAGCAATTATAAATTGTGCATTATATTTCTACAATGGCATGTTTAAAAATGTACTTATATATTGCTATATTTGTTCATAATTCATAGATTATACTCCTAACTTTGCACATACTGAACATGTACTGTTTATTTCACAACTAAGTTTTTTAGCTGAAAGTCCATTTTTAGCTGTTTAGAGATATAATGCCATATGTTGCTTTCTGCAGTATAACAATGTGATGCACCTTCGTAATGAAGTCTGGACTTCTTCCAAAAAGGAAAGTGATATAATCCTTCTGGTGAACTGTGAAATCCTACATTTGCACAGTGTCTTACCCAGCTGGAAATGAGCATTCCTCATGCACAGATTTTGTTAGAGGTCTGAGGGAAAGGGATATGTTGGGAGATTCAATGCCAACTTTAGCAGCAAGTTAATTACTAGCTCTAAAATATTTCTGCAGTTTTTGTTGTTGTTGTTGTTGTTTTGTTTTTGTTTTTGGCTGGGGGAAAAATTTTCTAGTCACATACCCCAAAGCAATTCATACTTTACATTCCGTTGTTCTCACTATTGACATGCTTTTGTCGGCTTCTGTAAACATTCCTTAAAGATTTAGTGGTGGCGTTGGCAGCATCTGTTTAATTATACAAATCAGTAGTGCAAGTGACTTACTTGTGGTCACCATGCTTTTCATTACTTATCCTGTAATGATGGGAAAATTTGTGAACATAAAAAAATTAGCTCTTTTAAAAAAGGCATATGTAATATGTCTTATACCTTTACATTTGTAAGACTGTTTTTGTGGGATAGTAATTTTTAAGATGTTTTCTGTAAAAAAAAATGGGAATGGGGTTGTGAATTATATCACAGTGCTTATCTAGATATTGCATATGTAGTAGAAATAATAAGGCATTGGTTTTGGATTTAAATGAACCAATAACTAATGATGTAAAACAAAAAGAAGCCACACACCTTTCATAGTGCAGGAGGCATCCTATTGACGGTATCACAGTAACCATGCAAATATGATTTTCCAGGGAATTTTTACCAGTATCCCTGGACACCAGTGTTTTCAGAAAAATGATGATAACTCTCCTTGGATATGTTTTCTTTCAAACCTCGATCACAGTGTTGAGCAGCAACTAATAAATATGGGTCTAAAGCTTCTCATGGTTTTTTAAGGACTATAGACTATGGTGATGAAAGATTACCCTCTGTGAATTATATATGTTGGGTCATGAATATATTCATTTATTATTTTCTCTTCTTTTTTTTGATACCATTCACTTTTATATCATGTTATATTGTGTAGAACTTCATTGCTGACAAGGTTGTTAACAAATGTTATTTTACCCTTTAAAAACCCTCAGGTAACACTATGATTCCATATTTATTAAAGAAATTATGTTTTCCAGTTTTATACAACTTTCCTAAATCTACAAAATTTATAATACTAGAGAGAGCTACTGTTTCTTCCATGCTTACTTTTGTTTTCATATATTATTTAACTCATAACGTTATAAGGCTATTATTTTTAGCAGAAAGGGCATGTGAATTGCAGAGAGGTTAAAGAACTTGAAATAGTCTCTTAACTGAGCTGTCTTTCATTAATTCTTCTTTCCTCCAGTCTTGCTCAATAGTTGTTGAGTCACTTTTCTATAATGCCACTAGAATGGCATCCCTTAGTTCATAATATACTTTCAGTGAACATTCACTGCTTGTTGATGCTGCCTGAAAATAGTACAAATTTCCTACCCTGGTGTTTAAGACTCAAGATAAAGTTATCCTAAACTACAATTAAAAGCGTATGCCAGATTTTCCCATACTCCAGTATATCTAATATGAACTCTTCACCATATATCTTCAAATTTTCCAACATGAATTTTTACTTATGCCAGTAACTTTATCTAAAAAAATCTTTCTCAAATCTGCCTGTCAGCATTTGAACCTATTTCTAATATACGCTTCATGAAAGAGTTCTTAATCCATCAAGCAAATATGATAATTTCCTTGAATGAATTTCCATAGTGATTTGTACTTTCTCAACGGTGCTTTGCAGATTTCACCTCATCTTTTAATTTTTTCTTCTCTTTTTTTGACATACAAAATGCTATACATGATTCATGCATACAACTTGATGATTGAGAGATAAGTATACAACCACGAAACCATCATCATCACAATCTATGCCATAAACTACCCATCACCTCCAAAAGTTTCTTCCCATTCTCTTATTATTGTCATTTTCCAATAAAAATACTTAATATAAGATCTACCAACTTAGAAAAATTTTAAGTATACACTATTATATTGTTAACTATAGTCAGTGTATGTGGGTGTGTGTATATATATATATATACACACACACACACACACACTTTATCTATATAGTACAGTAGACCTCTAGGACTTATATATCTTGTGTATCTGAAATTTTGTACCCTTGACTAAAATATCTTTGTTTTTTTCTCCCCCAAGTCTCTGGAAACCACCATTCCAATGTTTTAGTTTTTGTCATTGAGAAATTTCAAATACCCAAAGCCTATAGTATCTTGTTAGGAAATGTAGGCATTTTTACTTTCTGGTCCATAATGTTAATATTCATATATTATGTAGTATGTGGATCGAACATATATAGTCACATCAAGTATAATAGTATATCAACAATTGACAAATTTATATTTTTTATTAAAGTCAGATAATAATGTATTTGTATGAAAGTATAGTTTCTAATTTAATGTCATCCTCCTTCACAGTAAAAATTTAACAGAAACACAAAGACAATAGAATTGAAGTGGAATTATTACTTCGCTTTTTGTTTAAAAGAATGTGATATCCTCCCATGTTGATCTTACATCGGCTTTGTTTTGTCGTTTTTGTTTTTTGCTGGTTTGAATTTATATAAAATCCAACCCCAGTGCTTTTTAAAAAGCAGTAAAATAGCTTAGAACAGAGGGTAAAGTGGAAAGCAGTTATATTTGATAACTAACCTCCCCACAACACACACACACACACACACACACACACACACACACACACACTAAAACTAACAGTGAACTGATTCAAATTTGTGCATCATTGTCTTGCTCAGGGTCAGGTTCCAGCCCCAGCTGAGGGCCGAGGAGAGTGGGTAAACGTGGGGCAGGGAGCTGGAAGAACACTTGAGAGAGAGCAGGTAAATGAAACATGGCTTAGTTAGCAACTCCTTCACAGTGTCAGTGTTACATTTATACATCACACAAACAATAGTGGCTGAGAGCCACGTGGTAAGCTTCCCTATGTTATGTCTTCCTGGCTATGATTATATAAGACAACGGAACTGTGCGCATGCACCACAATCTCGCTGAGTCATTCAGGCTGTTTACCTCGGCCTATGCCTGCTGCCCTGTGCCTGCTTGGCTGCAGCACAGCCATGTTCTTTACAATCATTTTGTTTAGGGAACTGCTCCTTGAGTTGGCTATCCTGTGTGAATGGAATTTATGACAGCCTGAAAAGTATATCTTGGTAGAGTTTAGGGTTCAATTACTTTATGGGTACTATTGGGAAGCAGTAAATACATCAATGTAACTTTCAAAATTATATGGGTTATTTCCCTCTAGATCCTAGGTAAGTTTTCATCCCAGCTTGTGATACCATATTGATATGCTGGGTGTGAAATAACTATAAGTTTTAAAATTAAAGATAAAAAGACTGTTGTGATTTAAAATGGCTGAATATCTGTATCATATGTTGGAATTTAATGGGATTGGATTTGAAACACTACACCACTCTGAAGGCATCTTTAGCTAATCATAGGCTCTATATGGGATGTCTGTGTGAAAAGCAAAGTGGAATAAAGTCCACTTCATGGAGCTCTTCAAAGAGTTACCTATTTATTTAGGACAACTCTCTCTAGGTTGGTCCTCAAAGGGGAATATAGGGGTGTTGGAAGTCCTGTAGCTGCTTCTTTGCAGATTCAATTTATAACTTAAACTACATTTTCTAAATTTATCACTTTTAAAATTTTATTTAAATGTCTTCTCACAAATTCTATTTGTAATTTATTTTTTGTTGTATGAAGTAGTCTTGTTACCTTTAATAAAATATCATGCTTTAATTACAGTTATCAATATGTGACAATAATGCCTAAGCCTTCATCCTACTAGTGAAAAAGGAGGCTTCTGAAATGACACTTGATCAAATTAAAGGTGTTCACTTGAATTTGAATTCTTAGGACTCAATATTCATATATTATAACTATTATAATGAAAGCAGATGACATTTGCTGAAACAACATAATAATTAGAGCTGATAGTACAAATTTAAACTGACCCATATGATAGAGATGCTACTTCTCCTTGTAGTTTGCTTTAATCCTTTCTGTTGACAGTGCATAGAAAAGCTCAACTCAGCCATGCAGTGCTGTACACAATGAGGAGGGGCTTTTCT
Source organism: Homo sapiens (assembly GCF_000001405.40). Lineage (NCBI taxonomy): Eukaryota > Metazoa > Chordata > Mammalia > Primates > Hominidae > Homo > Homo sapiens. The sequence continues at coordinate 44,161,357 of NC_000014.9, read as the reverse complement.
CTCTAGCACTGATAACAGCCCCGGAAGACAATCACAGCAGTTATCTGGAGTGAAAATCAGATTGTAAAATGAAATGAAGTGCACTTTTCATTAATACTTATTAAATGAAAAGATTTACAACAAAATATAGAGTTGTTCCTCGGTATCCCTGGGAGATTTCTTCTTGGACATCTCTAGATCAGTGTAAGTCAGGGATTTTTCCACAGTCCTTACTCACAGAAAAACAAGTAGTATGGTTAATATATCCTTAATAATATTCCTATAATAACTACAACAAAAAGGACTTTTTTAACATGGTCTTTCATGGTAGGCTTTAAACTCATGGATAATACCAAAGAGCAATTGGTAGCAAAAATTTATTTTTTTAAAGGAGACATAATACGTTGGGTTCCTAAGCAAATAGTTTTGGCTTTACACAAAATAAAATTTAGAACAGATAAGAAAATTTATATTTATTTCTGCAGGATATCCTTCATAAATAGTATTTTTTTCATAGTTAGATATTGATAAAGGTTGGGGGAAACGTTGGTTCATTCTGCATAATCTTAAAGTACTGGTATTATTTGTTGCTGCTTAAATACAGTTACACATGCTTTGACAATAATCTTGACAAAGGTTATAGACACGTTAGGAAAATTATGGTACTTAATCAGCACATGTATCTGAATAGAAGGACAAGGAATGATTTTAGGGCAACTCTAAAATCTTTTGCATAAAATTCGTCTGGTTCTATTTGAATACATGAAAAAGTGGACAATCTCTTCCAGAATATTTTGCCAGTGATTTCAGATATAACTCATATCTGGAAATGATTTTATCCCAGTTGGCTCCACTAATTGCCCATCATGATTATAGAAATGTTTTCTTGGTTCTATTTTTAATAAATGCAGAGCGACTTTATGAAAGCACATAACAAAATGCTTATTCTAGATTAATGTACACCTTATTCAGCTTTATTGAGGTATAACTGACAGAAATTGTATGTATTTAAGGAGTACAATGTGATGTTTAGCATATGTATACATTGTGAATTATTTCCACTATCAAGCTAATTAACATATCCATTATCACATAGTTACCTTTTTTTTTTATTATACTTTAAGTTTTAGGGTACATGTGCACATTGTGCAGGTTAGTTACATATGTATACATGTGCCATGCTGGTGCACTGCACCCACTAACTCGTCATCTAGCATTAGGTATATCTCCCGATGCTATCCCTCCCCCCTCCCCCCACCCCACAACAGTCCCCAGAGTGTGATATTCCCCTTCCGGTGTCCATGTGATCTCACTGTTCAATTCCCACCTATGAGTGAGAATATGCGGTGTTTGGTTTTTTGTTCTTGCGATAGTTTACTGAGAATGATGATTTCCAATTTCATCCATGTCCCTACAAAGGACATGAACTCATCATTTTTTATGGCTGCATAGTATTCCATGGTGTATATGTGCCACATTTTCTTGATCCAGTCTATCATTGTTGGACATTTGGGTTGGTTCCAAGTCTTTGCTATTATGAATAATGCCACAATAAACATACGTGTGCATGTGTCTTTATAGCAGCATGATTTATAGTCCTTTGGGTATATACCCAGTAATGGGATGGCTGGGTCAAATGATATTTCTAGTTCTAGATCCATGAGGAATCGCCACACTGACTTCCACAATGGTTGAACTAGTTTACAGTCCCACCAACAGTGTAAAAGTGTTCCTATTTCTCCACATCCTCTCCAGCACCTGTTGTTTCCTGACTTTTTAATGATTGCCATTCTACCTGGTGTGAGATGGTATCTCATTGTGGTTTTGATTTGCATTTCTCTGATGGCCAGTGATGATGAGCATTTATTCATGTGTTTTTTGGCTGCATAAATGTCTTCTTTTGAGAAGTGTCTGTTCATGTCCTTCGCCCACTTTGTGATGGGGTTGTTTGTTTTTTTCTTGTAAATTTGTTTGAGTTCATTGTAGATTCTGGATATTAGCCCTTTGTCAGATGAGTAGGTTGCGAAAATGTTCTCCCATTTTGTAGGTTGCCTGTTCACTCTGATGGTAGTTTCTTTTGCTGTGCAGAAGCTCTTTAGTTTAATTAGATCCCATTTGTCAATTTTGGCTTTTGTTGCCATTGCTTTTGGTGTTTTAGACATGAAGTCCTTGCCCATGCCTATGTCCTGAATGGTAATGCCTAGGTTTTCTTCTAGGATTTTTATGGTTTTAGGTCTAACGTTTAAGTCTTTAATCCATCTTGAATTGATTTTTGTATAAGGTGTAAGGAAGGGATCCACTTTCAGCTTTCTACATATGGCTAGCCAGTTTTCCCAGCACCATTTATTAAATAGGGAATCCTTTCCCCATTGCTTGTTTTTCTCAGGTTTCTCAAAGATCAGATAGTTGTAGATATGCGGCGTTATTTCTGAGGGCTCTGTTCTGTTCCATTGATCTATATCTCTGTTTTGGTACCAGTACCATGTTGTTTTGGTTACTGTGTAGCCTTGTAGTATAGTTTGAAGTCAGGTAGTGTGATGCCTCCAGCTTTGTTCTTTTGGCTTAGGATTGACTTGGCGATGCGGGCTCTTTTTTGGTTCCATATGAACTTTAAAGTAGTTTTTTCCAATTCTGTGAAGAAAGTCATTGGTAGCTTGATGGGGATGGCATTGAATCTGTAAATTACCTTGGGCAGTATGGCCATTTTCACGATATTGATTCTTCCTACCCATGAGCATGGAATGTTCTTCCATTTGTTTGTATCCTGTTTTATTTCATTGAGCAGTGGTTTGTAGTTCTCCTTGAAGAGGTCCTTCACATCCCTTGTAAGTTGGATTCCTAGGTATTTTATTCTCTTTGAAGCAATTGTGAATGGGAGTTCACTCATGATTTGGCTCTCTGTCTGTTGTTGGTGTATAAGAATGCTTGTGATTTTGGTAATAAGAGCTATCTATGACAAACCCACAGCCAATATCATACTGAATGGGCAAAAACTGGAAGCATTCCCTTTGAAAACTGGCACAAGACAGGGATGCCCTCTCTCACCACTCCTATTCAACATAGTGTTGGAAGTTCTGGCCAGGGCAATTAGGCAGGAGAAGGAAATAAAGGGTATTCAATTAGGAAAAGAGGAAGTCAAATTGTCCCTGTTTGCAGACGACATGATTGTATATCTAGAAAACCCCATTGTCTCAGCCCAAAATCTCCTTAAGCTGATAAGCAACTTCAGCAAAGTCTCAGGATACATAGTTACCTTTTATGTAGTGAGAACATTGAAGATCTACTCACTTAACATATTTCAAGTATATAATACAGTATTATTAACCGTAATTGCCATGCTGTACATTAGATACGTAGAAAATACTGATTCTGCATAACTGAAACCTTATACACTTTGACCAACATCTCTCTGTTTCCTTTCTTTCAAAACCTTGGCAACCACCATTCTGCTCTCTGCTTCTAGGAGATTGACTTTTTTAAGATTCCACTTATAAGTGAGATCATGGAGTATTTGTCTTTCTGTGCCTGGTGTATTTCACTTAGAATAAGTGAACATGTCGGATATAGATGTTTATTGCTTTAACTTTCTTCTTAGAACTGCTTTTTCTGTATTTCATAAGCTTTGGTATGTCGTGTTTCTATTTTCTTTTGTCTCAAGATTTTTTTTAAATTTCCCTTTTGATTTCTTGTTTAACCCATCAGTTATTCTGAGTAGAAGTATGTTGCTTAATTTTGATGTATTTATAACTTTGCAATTTTCCTCCTGTCATTGATTTCTAATTTCCAACAATTGTGGTTAGAAAAGATACTTGATATGATTTTAATCTTCTTACATTTATTTTGTGGTCTGATGATCTATTCTGGAGAACATTCCATGTGTACTTGAAGAGAATGTGTATTTATTGCTTTTGTATGAAGCATTTTGTATATGACTGTTAGCTCCATTCGGTCCATAGCGTTGCATGAGTTCACTGTTTTCTTGCTGAATTTCTGTCTGGATGATCTCTTTATTGTAAGAATGGGGTACTGAAAGTCCCATACTATTATTTTATTACTGTCTAATTCTCCCTTCAGTTCTGTTAATACTAGCCTTACATATATAGGTGCTCCAACAGTGGGAGTACACTTTTTTTACAACAGTTACATCCTCTTGATGAAATGACCCCCTTATGATTACATAATGACCTTCTTTGTCTCATGAGAGTTTTTGACTTAAAGTTTACTTTGGCTACATAAGCATAGACCCCGCCTGATCTCTTTTGGTTACCATGTAGATGGAATACTTTTTTTTCAGTTCTTCACTTTCAGTCCATGTGTGTTCTTCAAACTAATGTGAGTTTCTTACGGGCAGCATATGCTGGGTCTTATTTTGTATCAATTCAGCTATTATTTCTTTCCACTAGAGAATTTAATCCATTTGTATTTAAAGTAATTATTGAGATGTAAAGACTTACTACATCCATTTTGCTAATTGTTTTCTTACTGTTTTGAAGTTTCTTGTTGTTGTTGTTCCTCTCTTGCTGTATTCCTTTGTAATTTGATGATTTTTTTAAATAGAAGTATGCTTTGATTCTTTTTCTCTTTTGTGTATCTACTACAGGTTTTATTCTTTGTGGTTATCATGAAGTTTACATGAAGTATCTTTTAGTTAAAACATTTATTTTAAGCTGATAATAACTTAATGTTGATTGTGTACAAAACACTACAGTTTAACTTATTCCACACACATTTTGTTATTGATGTCACAATCAACATCTTTTTACATTGTGCATCTATTAACAAATTATTGTAGATATAGTTGTTTTTAATAGTTTGGTCTTTTTACTTTTTTTTTCTTTTTTTGAGACGGAGTCTTGCTGTCTCCCAGGCTGGAGTGCAGTGGCGCGATCTCGGCTTACTGCAAGCTCCACCTCCCGGGTTCACGCCATTCTCCTGCCTCATCCTCCCGAGTAGCTGGGACTACAGGCGCCCGCCATGAGCCCGGCTAATTTTTTGTATTTTCAGTAGAGACAGGGCTTCACCGTGTTAGCCAGGATGGTCTCGATCTCCTGACCTCGGGATCCGCCCGCCTCGGCCTCCCGAAGTGCTGGGATTACAGGCGTGAGCCACCGCGCCCGGCCAGATCTTTTTACTTTTATGCTAGAGTTAAAATTGACTTATGCACCACCATTACAGTGTTAGTGTGTTCTGAATTTGACTATATTCATTTCTTTACAGTGAGTTTTATGCTCTCATATGTTTTCCTACGTTTAGTTGGCATCCCTTCATTTCAACTTGAGTAACTTCCTTTAGCATTTTCTGTAGCACAAGTCTAGTGGTGATGAATTCCTTAAGCTTTTGTTTGGGAATATCTGAATCTCTACTTCATTTCTGAAAAACAATTTTGGCACGTATTTTATTCTTGGTAGCATTTTTTGCTTTCAGCACTTTGGCTATATTATACTAATATGTCTTAGCCTACCAAGTTTTGACTGATAAATCCATTTATAGTCCTACGAGGGGTTCCCCTGTAAGTGATAATTCACTTTTCTTTTGCTGCTTTCAAAATTCCTTATTTTTTTCTTTTGAGAATTTCATTATTGTATTTTGGAGAAGAACTCTTTGCACTCGATCTATTTGAATCTATTTGGGCAAACTGAGTATTCATTTTCCTTTCCAGATTTGGAAAGTTTTCTATCATTGTTTCTTTAAATAAGCTTTCTGCTTTTGTCTCTTTCTGCTCCTTCTTAAACTTTCATAATGCATATAATGCTTCTCTGGATGGTGTTTCTTAAGTCCTATAGGATTTCTTCACTCTTTTCCTTATGTTTTCTATTCGATCCTCTGACTACATAATTTTAAATAACCTGTGTTCAAGCTCACTGAGTCTTTTTTTCTGCTTGAGTAAGTCTACTGTTGAATCACTCTATTGAATTTTTTAGTTGAGTCTTTGTATTCTTCAGCTCCGCAATTTTCATTTAATTCTTTCTTATGATATCTATCTCATTGTTAAGCTTCACAGTTTGTTTATGTGAACATAAACAAATTTTGATTTTATTTTAATTGTCTGTCTTCCCTTATTGGTCATTATCTTCTTTCAGATAATCATTTGAATTTTTTTGGCAGGCAGTTCATAGATCTCCATTTTTGTAGGGCTGGTTACTAGTGCTTTATTTCATTTATTTAGTGGTGTCATGTTCCCATGATTGTTCATGTCCCTTGTGGCCTTGTGTTGTACATTTGCCTAAGTAGACATGTCTTCCAGTATTTACAGAATGGCCTTGGCAGAGAAAGCTCTCATTAGTCAGCCCTTCTAGAAGAACCAGGGCAGGCTTATTGACAGAATACTTGGGCAGGATGCCTAGTGCCTGGGTCAGTGAGTGGGTATGCCTAGTGCTTGTATTTGAAAGGATGATCCTGGTGCCTGAGTCCATTGGAATGATACTGGAGCTTGGGTCTATGCTGGTGGGCCTGGCACCTGGTTACACAGAAGCAAGCCTAAAGCTTCAGTCCATGGGTATGGGCCTGGATCCTGGGTTCTTGGGAGCCAGCCTATAGACTAGGTCCATGAATATGAACCTGGTATCTGGTGCTGCAAGGGCTGGTCTGGAGCTTGATCTGGCCTGGGTTGAGCCCAAAGCTTAGGTCTGAAGGGGCAAGCTGAAGTCTGATGTCCTAAGGATGGTCTGGCACTGGGTCAGGCTTACAGCCTAGGACTGCGAAAACTGGCCTGGCATTGGCATCAGCCTGAGGCATGGGTCCTCAGGGGTAGGTTGGAACCTGGTCCTACAGGGGCCAACCTGGAGCCTTGGGCCATGGAGCAAGACTTGCACTTAGTTGGAACTGAAGCCTAGAGCTGTGGGGGTTGAACTGGTGGCTGCAGCATGGGAATCAGCTGGCTCCAGAATTCACTGGGATGGGCCTGGTACTTGGGCAAAGTCAGGCACTCACTTTACTGTCTTTCCCCCACAAAAAGGGCATTTCTCTCTAAGCGGCACGGGCTTAGGGGTGGGGTGATGCCAACAATGTGAAACTATCCTTCCTACCTTCTTCAATGCATCTTTTCTTATTTCTGTGTTCCACTTGGGTGCTGTAATATCTCACTTGTATTCTTTAGCTCTCGTGAAGTTATTTTTGCTCGTGATAGTTGTTCAAATTTGCTTCTGTGAGTGAATGAGTGGTGGAAACTCCTATTTCACCATCTTTCTAATACCACTCTCCTCCACTCTACTGAATAAACACACACAGAAACATATATATAAATTTATGAAAATTTATTAAAAATAATGATCAAATTTTAGAGTATTTGACCTTAAGCCAGATTTAATTGTCAAGGCAATCCTAGTGTCTCAAACCTCATATCATGTGTAAATTTAAAAACATTTAGATTTCCATTCTCAATTTCTGAATATATATGCAGTTTATAGTTTCAAATCATTAAGGTGAAAAAAAATTCATAAATGGAAGACAGACCCATTTCTGTTTTAGAGTACTCTAAATAAAGTGTTCTAGCTGTCTATAATATTTCTGTTGACCCTGATGTCTATAAGGTATGAATATGCAAGTTCTATCTGAGTATCAGTAATTGGGGGTGAAGATTAAGTTTGACCCAGAAAAGTTTCAACTCAAAGGAAACAAAACTACCAGTAAAAGCTAAAACAAATGTTTCACTTTATTCATAACCATTTTTTTTTTGACAAGTTGATTAAACAGGGCCAGGATGAGGGTGAGGAAAACTTTGAGCTTGAGGCACAAAATTTAAGGGAGTACTCATTCTCAGCTGCTAACAAGAAGACAAGGAGTATTCATGCAGTAGATATCCAGGGTTTTTGCCTCAGGTATAGGCAATCAGTATTTCAGTGAAGGAGCCGGACACTCCACAGGTGAGCTTAGAGGACACAGCACAATGATGTATTTTAGTGCTATTTGCACAGATGGTGGAGGTGGCTTCCATGCTGATTTTTTAAATGGCGCAGTTAGCTGACATGAGCACCTAGGAATGTATAGAAAAGTCATTCCTTGCACAACTTTGAAGTGTGTTTTTTTGGTGATTTTACATTCTTCAAAGCTGCTGATACAAAATATAAGCATTTTCATAGTATGCATGTATATAGATACCTCAAAAATTTAATTTTACAACAGGACGATTTGGATATTTTAATATTATATATTTTAAACAAACTGAAAGCGAGAAGGAAGTCATTGTATTTCGTCCTTCCAGAGAAAGAGGAGCCAGGCACCTAAGTCCAGTATTTCCCCCATATTCCACTACGAAGAGCCATTCTATTACATAAACATACATGGCTTGCTCTTTTCACTTTAGAGTCTACATTTTGTGAGCTCATGACCATATAATTATTTATACTTTCTCCAAGGTATCACCTGATAATTCAGATAATCGAAGGTTAATAATTAATGACCCTTCCTCTTCATTTGCTTCTAGACCAATTAAAAAAAAAAAAAACTAAAAAAGAGCCTTATGGAAAAATACACAGCAAAATGGTTTGAAGACTAACATTCCAGCTCCAAACTAAAGGGAGCTTTCATAATACTTTCCCCATCCCAAATCTAAGAAGTCCAGAACCGTATAGCTAAGAGTCAGAAGGCAAATGTGAAGGACCTCACCCTTGCCTCAAACACCTTGAAGTAGTAGGGTGAGTAATGGGTCTGGATTCCCAAAAACAGAGGTGAAAAAGAGAACATGCTTCATCTGCTGGCCATTAATTGAAAGCAAGCAGGGAAAGAGAGAGAAAGTGAGAAACCTGGGGCACACTGGACCAGCTATCTTCATGTTATGTTTACCTATAAATCCTAATCTATAGGGAACAGTAATTGAGAAGTGAAGAACAGAGGAAAAGCCTTTCTTCTAATCCTCCTCTGAGAAGAGAGTAGTAGCACTAAATGTTTCTATATGTTGTTCAAAGCAGTAACATGTGGAGAGGGAAAGTAGAGTTTCCTTTATGCTGAGTCCTACATACTAGGGAAGCATTTTTAAATGTATTATCTCTTTTTATCCTAGCAAGAACCCTACAATTCAGGAAATCTATATTCCCATTGTACAGATTCAGAACTTGAGGCTTAGAGAGATATAGTAACTTGGTTCATGTCACAAGGTAAGTGTAGAGCAGAGCTTGGACTCAAACGTGTGCTTTGAAATACTACATGGCCTTTTATCACATACACTCATATGGCTCAGTTGGAATATTATTTTTTCTGTGACACTTCCTTTATTCCTCTGATCATATATAAATATTGTTCTACTCTCAGCATCTCCATATTTACTTAGTAGTATGTAGATTTCAAGCCACTCTAGAATTTTTGATTATTTATTTAGGTGTATTTGTTATCTCCTTTACTTGATTTTATGCTAGGTGGGAGAGAGGCTTATTTCTAAATCCTGTTGGTATACAACATAGGACCTAACAAAGATTTATTCAGTGACTTAAATTTTGCTTCTAAAAATGTAATAATTCCACTAGTTTTGAGTTTTAAAAAATGATGAAAATTTACTTGTAACTATAGGGAAAATTTCTGTTTCCTTTAAGATAAAATTGACATTTTGATGTTTTGGGCATTGTGTTCAGTTGTATGCAGAATTAATCTCCCAATATCAAGGTCTTTCATTCAAATTATTTTCTTTAGCAAAAAGGCCATTTGGCAAGAAATGTTCTTTTGAACCCTATAGCTCTTGAATTGGTGCCATCGTGTTAAAATCCCTAACACTGTTTTGTACCATTTGAATTGGGATGTAAAAAGAAAGCTATTATTAACCTGCAACTCTTTTTCTCAGATGGAATTCTGCCTAGGGTCTGACAGGCTTTATTTTAAGCCCCAACTTCTTACTTGAGGAGTTTACATGCAAGCCCTGAGATTTTTGAAAGCTAACCATCATGGTGTGTGCATGAAATCCTGAGTCTTTTCTACATCTGTTATCTGCTTGAAAATTCTGACCTGAAGGCACAAAGCATTTAAATTACAGACCATATGGAACATCTGGAAATTTCTCATTTCCATTTGGTGGGCCATAACTAAAACCCATCTCTTCCTAGTTCATTACTTCACTCACTAATGATTAGTGCTACATCAGGTCTGTTTCAATTCCCCTTTCTGGTCCGATAGTTCTCTATGTCTTTTATTTCCTGCTGTCTTGAACTCTGCTTCACTTGCTCCCCTCCATCTCATTTACTATAATGATAAGCCTCCCTCCACAAATTATTTTGGTTCAATTAAGTATCCAGGAAGGCCAGACATTAACAACACTTTATCCCTCAAGTTAGATGACCACTTGTTGTGATCACACCTTGTTCTAAAGAGCGCTTGTGATATTTTCATTCATAAGCCTCATGCTTACATAAGGGACTATGAACAATTGTGTCAAAATATATATATTATTTTACTTTCTAATTTTATACAGATTCAACTGTTGTACTCTTGACATTGAGCTTTTTTTTTGTCATGTATTTGAAGATGACAGAAGGGATAAGTTACCTCTATGACATTTTTATACTTTTATATTACTTAGTTTTAGTAAGCAGTTCAGGGAAAAAGTTACTGCATATGCAGTAAGCAGCTCCTCTAGGGTCCCCTTTTTATTCTGTGCTTCTTCTCTAGATCCTCCTCACCTAAGATTGTCACTTCCAGCCAAGCTTGCATTAAGTCAGCTTGCTCTTCCTTCCAATTAAATATGCGATGTTAACATTTTGGAATGCAATAATGGCTTTGGAGATGAAGCCAGTCCTAGCAACAGTGTAGGAATGTTGAAAGCAATGAGAGTTTTATAAATTTGAAAATCAGACTTTTCCTTGCTCTTTCCACTTAGGTAAGATGTGTAAAATTTGGTATGGGTGGCACATGTAGATACCCTGTAAAATTTTGTATTGACTTTTAAAAAGCAATAGAAAATGCCCTTGATGTTTTTGGGGCTTGAGTGCATGCTAATGATGCATATTCTTTTTTCTGTGCTGTGAACCAACTGAGAACTAGACATAGGGAACAGGAGTAAAAATATAGGCTTCACGGCTGGGTGCGGTGGCTCTCACTTGTAATCCCAACACTTTGGGAGGCTGAGGCAGGCGGATCACCTGAGGTCGGGAGTCCGATTCCAGCCTGACCAACATGGAGAAACCCCGTCTCTACTAAAAATACAAAATTAGCTGGGCATGGTGGCGCATGCCTGTAATCCCAGCTACTCAGGAAGCTGGGGCAGGAGAATCACTTGAACCCGGGAGGCAGAGATTGCGGTGAGCCGAGATCGTGCCATTGCACTCCAGCCTGGGCAACAAGAGTGAAACTCTATCTCAAAAACAAAAACAAAAAAAAAAAAAAAGAAAAAACATTATATAAATATAAATATATGTAATATATATAAACATATATTTATATATATATAATACTATCTCTCTCTCTATATTATTATATATATAGGCTTCACAACTACTAACCCTAATTTCTAGAACACAACTTGGAACAGAGCTCCTTACTTTTTTTCCTCATGAACTTTGGGATCCACACTTGGCGAGAGCTTGAGGAGAGGTATGAAGGACTAGGACCTCCCTTACCAGCCACTGGGAAGGAGCAGAGAGCACAGGGAAGAACATGTGTAAACTAACTCAGTACCTTAGGTCTTGTTCAGTCCGAAAACACTGACCAATAGATGGCAGCCTTTCCCCTTCCCACCAGCCAGAAAAACCCACCTGTCCCCTCATGCAGGAGGCCCTGGAGAAACAGGCAGGAGCCTCTTCAGTATTTTAGGGAAGGTTAATGGCTCTAAAATGAGTTGATAACAAAATAGGGGGAGAACGTGCATGGTTATCCTTGCTGAAGACATCTCTGTTAAGAAGAAAACAAAAGTGCTTTCATCTTTACTATTTTGTATACAAGCTAAGTTTTTAAGCTTGAAATGCAATTTTATGACTGAGATACTGTTATATTTTGAAATGTTGTGAACCTATAACTTTTGCTAGTTTGCCAAGTAACCATATATTTTAAAGTAAGTTCTTTAGGAGAAAGTGTTTAACAGAAAAGTAGTCATCTGTCTTGGAGCCAGAGCAGGGAAGTGATAAGATTAGCATGAGGAGTTTTGGGCAAGAAGCATGAATAGGAAAGAAAAATAAAAGTTAGGAAACAAAAGAAATTACTACCCTAAGAAAAAAGAAAAAGCAAGAAAAAAGACCAAAAAGTATAATTTAAAAAAAAATAGACTATTTTTAGAGTAGTTTTATGTTTACAGCCACATTGAGAGGAAGTTAGAGATTTCCAATTAATCCCATGTTTCTGCACGTGCTTGGATTTCCGCTATCAACATCCCACTTCAGAGTGGAACGTTTGTTAGAATCAACAAACCTACATTGAGACATCATTATTATCCAAAGTCTGCAGTTTACTTAGGGTTCATTTTTGGGGTTGTATATTCTATAAGTTTTAGCAACTGCATAGTGACATGTATTTACTGTTAAAGTCACACAAAATAGATTCATCACCTTAAAAATCCTCTGTGCTCTGCTAATTTTTCCTTCTCTCCACTTATCCTCTGGAAATCATGAATCCTTTTACTATCTCCATAGTTTTACCTTTTCTAGACTGTCATATAGTTGGAATCATATAGTATGTAGCCTTTTTAAATTGACTTCTATCATCTATCGTTTAGTAATATACATTTAAGTTTCTTCCATGACTTTCCATGATTTTTTAGCTTATTTCTTTTTAGCACTGAATAATACCCCATTGTCTGGATGTGCCACAGTTTATTTATCCATTCAGCTACTGAAGGATATCTTGGTGCTTCCATGTTTTGGCAATTATAAATAAAGCTGATATTTATGTGCAGGTTTTTATAAGGACATAAAATTTCAAGTTCTTTGGGTAAATACCAAAGAGTGCAACTGCTGGATCAGTTTTGGAAGAAATTGCCAAATTATCATCCAAGTTTGCTATACCTTTTTTAATGCTTAACAGCAATGAATGAGATTTCCTATTGCTCCACGTCCTCATTCTTCTATCGATCCATCTACAAGTGTGTACCTAAGAATGTGGAATTGTATACCAAATATCCTCATTCCAGAGCCCTTTGCTATTAATTAAGGCCAAAAAGGAAACATTTCTACTCCTAGAATAGTAAAAAAATGCTAAGATTTTTTGCAGGTTAAGCATCCAAATGAGCATTTGTGAAGTAATTGTTCATTTTCTGCTATAATATTTCTTCTCAAGTAGAAGGTATGATTTCTTTGAAAAGTTGACCCTAGTTTGAAGTCCTGGATCCAATTTTAACCTAATTTAACAATATGTAGTACTGTCTTAATTTAATAACATATGGCATTGTGAAAGCTATTCACCTCTCTGTGTCATAATTTCTTCACATTTATAAGCTAGAGTTGACTAGACAATTTCAAAGATTTCAATATGTTTTCATTCTTAAATTCTCTGACTGTAAAGGGAGAGAAAAGGTTCAATCCTGTGTATATAATGAGCAATCCCCAATTTTGAGAACACTTTGTTTTTAACTTTAGAAGATCAATTCATTATTTACTATAATATAACTACTTACTGCTTTCTTGTTTGAGTGTCACATTATCAGGGAAGAAAAATTAATTAATTAATGTTCATCCCAAAGTAGGGAATGTTTTTAAGACTATTGAGAAGTCCAGAATTAAAACATGTGTACATGGTCTGTTCTGGAAAATGAGATATTGTTATTAATTTAGGCTAACATTAATCATTGCTGCATCTGATACTATTGCTTATCAATACATCATTGAAAAGTTTGGAAATTTATATGCAAACTTCCACTGGACATAGTTTATGTTTCATGTACTAAACACAAGGGGTAGTAGAAGAAGGAGGTCAGTAAAAATACAAGTAATATGCTTCCTGAGCAGAAGCAGTTTTTATTCTAATATATGAGACAAATATAAGCCAAAAATACATGTCAATGACTATGAGAACTATGTGATATGCATTGATTAAAACAAATTTTGAAAATACCTGATTTCTAGTTTCCAAAGTGGAACACCAGAAATCCAATGTGATATGATCACCCTTGCTTAGCAGTTAAGGGCATGCTTTTGAATCAGATGAGCTTGAGTGTTGCAGTACAATTGATACACTGTTTTACCTTAGGCAAGTTACTTTATTGCTGTAATCCTCACTTTTCTCACTTAGAAAGTGGGAATGATAATTTTATTTGTCTCAAAAGACTAATGTGATAAATGAGATATTTTTGTAGCGTTTAGCATCATGCCAGCACATATGTGGTTAAAATATGTTAACAATCATTTGTGAGTAATTACATGTTTCTATGTTAATGAATCTCACTGTAGGGAATGATGAATGCCAGAGAATACTCCTGGCTCTAGGAAAGCAGGTAAAATACTGGAGATTTTTTTTTCTCCTTTCTCTTTAATTCTTTGATTTATATAACCATGAAGTATCAAAAGAGTAATGTTAATCGGTATAGAAGACTGAAAAGTTAAATATTATTATGTTAAAATGGCTTTGTGCAGTCTAAGATCTAATTTTGTTGAAGAAATGAATTCATTTACTACAAAACACTATCTCTTTTACTGCAAATGATTTGTATGTAAATTGCCTTGCTAGGAGATTCTAGAATTGTACACCAATGCCTTTCTCCCTACCTTTCAATTAAGCTTTTATGTATAGATCAGAACTCAATCACTTGGTCATGAGTAGAGCATGCTAATAACTTATTCTGGCATGGAAATTTAAAAACATTTATCAAACATCTATACAAGAGATATTTCCTCCCAACTTTTGGTTTGCTTACTATTTTAAATAATTAGTTTGCTTTTTTTACTATAGAGTATTAAAGCGAGATAAAAACTAATTATGTATCAAATTTACCTGTAATTCTTTAGCTTTTCTTATTGATCCAATTAAGTACTTACTCTAAGCATAAGCCAAGTCCACAGCATATGGCAACAATTGTAATTTACCTTAGTCATTTGTTGCAACTTAATATGTGTCTATTGATTTTGGTTCTTAACTGTTGTAAACACTAACAGTTTTCATCATTTAGAAGTTACCGCACCCTCGTCTGATAGTTAAATCTGAGGGAGGGATGCTTCATTTGGATGAGAAGCTTTTTATGCCAACATAAAAAGCATCATGACTTACTTTTACTTAAGGCTATTGGAGTTAATGATAGATTAGGGAAACAGCATGAGATTATAAAGCACATCGTGTATGCATGTATTCCTCATTTATACTCATTCAGGAATGGAAAGTATTGTCTGTCATTACAAGTTATTTTAAGACTTTGAGTGTGTTATTAGTTTCAAATTTTCCATGATTACATCTTAGATATACAACAGAGAGAATATAATGATACTATTAAATGCACACTCTCTTTTCTAATATCTGTCAATTAATGAAAAGCAAAAGCTTTTAAATCATTGCACTTTGCCTGAAGTATAATGAAATGAAGTGCTCTCTCTTGAACAGAAAGGATAATCAAAATCTAGTTAGGCAATTAACATCTTTGGTTTTTGTTCCACTCCATACTTCATCATCATGACACCCATATATTTATCTCTGAATGGACGCATATGAGAAGTTGAGTCTAGGAAGCTGAAAAACTGCTGGAACTTTTTCACATATCATAAAGGTAGAAGACAATGGACACGATTTTATTGTCTATATACCATCATTTATCTTCTTTAACATTCACCCTTCCTTAGAAGACTGAGAATAACACCTTGGAGGGTTTGGTGTATCATTCACGTAGAAATGCTAAGTGGCTTTAGTTCCTAATAACATCTCCATATAACATGGTTCTTACGAGAACAAGCTCTTTGCACAAATCTAGAAGGAGGAATAGTGAGTAGAAATGTGGCATTGTCTGGTTTGCATGTTAATGTGGAAGACTGCTTTGGAGATGTGTATATATACTTCTTAGGCTAAATTTATCTCTGTCAAATAAATAATTGTGTAAGTCACAATTTTCGTATATGATAAAATATTTTACTAAAAAAAGCAAGAGCTAACCTGATTAACCAAATTTAAATAAGTTATGTAAAACTCAAACAAACAAAACCAAAAAAGCACACTTTTGCTTGTTATCTAGATTTCATTACAGCTGGCTTGTGGATATTTATTTTGTTCTTTTATTTGGAACATATCCCCTTGTTTCTTCATTTTCCTTGACTCTCTGTTGGTTTCTGTGCATTGTAAGAGAACCATCTTGTATTAGACCATTTTCACACTGCTATAAAGAACTATCTGAGATTGGGTAATTTATGAAGAAAAGAGATTTAATTGATGACTCACTGTTCTTCAGGCTTAACAGCAAACATGACTGGAAGGCCTCAGGAAACTTATAATCTTGGTGGAAGGCGAAAGGGAAGTAGTCACCTTGTTTACATGGCAGCAGGAGACAGAGCGCGAAGGAGCACGTGCCACACACTTTTAAACCATCAAATCTCATGAGAACTCACTCACTATCACGAGAACAGGAAAGAGGAAATCTGCCCCCATGATCTAATCACCTCCCACCAGGCCCCTCCTCCAATTTCACATGAGATTTGCATAGGGACACAAATCCAAACCATATCACACCACTCCCAGTCTTGTTAGACTTACCCACCCTCAAATTCATTTGTTAAGAAATACCAAAAATGAACACATATTTTGAGGAAAATAGAAACCTTGAAATATAAGCATTAATTTAAAGCTGCTTAATAATTATATCTACATGTGATGGAGTAATTGCATTGTACATGCTTAACAAAGATTAGACAAATACATAAATATTTTTAAAAGACAGATTATGAGAAAAATCATGAATCCTTTTATATTTCTGTGCAATAACAGATGAAATTTGTGTTGATTTTACTGTGTGTATATAACATTTCTTTGATTTTTCAATTTTTACCTTTTGCTTTATTTTGGAATTTATTTTTAGATAGTTCATATATGTTTTTGCTCTACAAAATAAATAAACATATTAGTTAAATTATATTATTTAGTTCTGAGGTATTTTTTTCTGGTAGATGCAAGATACACTTCTAAAAGACAAAAAAGAGAAGCATTTAATTTAACCTTAGGTTGTTTTGCTTTTTTAATTTTTTCTTAAGGGTTTGCAGGGAAAAAAAGCTCAGTTGTATTGACTTTTGATCACCTGTCCTTGGAAATGAAAATGATGCTAAGTTTCTTCCTGTTTCCTGTCCTCTTCCCTGTTGAGTAACTATGCTTGAGAATCAGTTTTACTAATGGAAGACTGCTTAATTTAATAGTTGCAAAAGATATCTTAGGAGAGCAATTTGGCAATTGTGAAAAGTGAAATGGGATCTTACTTGTCAGGTTTAGAATTAAAACAACAATGATAGCCACCTAATCAAACACATTTTATGGGTTGTGGGAGTAAGCATGAACTTCCTTAAATCACTCACTGGTCAAGTATTACAGGCATAGTGTGATTCAAGCCACGGCAGAGACATTCTGGTGACTTTGCTTTTTACATATTCTCATGCCCTTTTTCCTCTTGTATGTATCTCTTTTATGTTGCTTTTCCATTAGATATAAACCTATAGGAGGAGTTTTCCTGTTGTCACTATTGAATCCCAGAACTGACATCTGACATGTCCTTCACCTTTAGGTCTGATTGTATATGTTATATTCTCAATGCCTAAACAAAGTTTGTCTCACCATGGCTATTTAACTTTTGTTTTAATTTTTTAAATAATGAAGAATGAATGAGAGAGACAGCAGGTGAAAATGGATGCTAACTATGAACTACATACAGGTAGGGAAGACTTCCCAGAAGAGATAAAGTGAGAGCAGAGAGCACAATAAAACGAAGCCACAAGCTGTGTGGGTACCCGGTGGAAGAACGTTCTTAGGCAGCAGGAATAGCAAGATCCTCATCTCCAGAGTGAAGTCTGAATGGTGTGTTTGAGAAACACCAAGAAAGCAAAGAGAGCAAAGGCAATGATGGCAGAAGGTGACATAGGAGAGGCTGACAGGGCCCAGGCATATTAGGGGCCCATGTAGACTTCTGTAAAACCCTTTGGGTTTTACTGTAGGTAAAGCAAGAGCCCATCAAGGGAGTTTGAAAGAGCAGTGGCTTGGTTAAATTTCTATTTTAAAGGAGAACTCTGAAAACACGGCGAACAACATAAGTAATGAAATTCTACCTCATAAAACCTGAGATACAGCAATAGTAGAGCTTAGAAGTAAAAGTATGTAAAGTTTAAAAACAGGCAAGAGTAAACTGAAGCAAAAAAAGCCAGGAAAGCAGCTGCATATTGGCATGATGACTGGGAATTCTGGGATGCTAGGAGTGTTCTATTTCTTGATTTGGGTGCCAGTTATACTAGCATATTTATTTTGCATACAGTTCTACACTTAGGATTTCTGCACATTTCTTTATGTGAACAAGCAGAACCTTTTTTTTTTTCAAAAGGACAACTTAAGAATCCCCAAATCAGCACTGAAGAAAAATCCAGCAGAGGATTTGCTTTATAAGATATTGAGACAATATAAATATACCAATAATAGTGTGATATGGCACAGAGAGAAACAAATACATAGAAGGAAAAGAATAGAGAACTCAGTTTCATACAAATAGAAACCTGAAATATGATATGGTTGACTTGTACAAAATCATAAATTCTGGATAGATTACGGTCTTACATCTAGACATTAACACCGTAAAATTATAAAACCTTTAAATAAAATATAGACTGGCTTCAATGATCTTAAGGCACAGCGTGATTTTTAAAGTATGATTAAAAGTCATAAATCATTAAGGGAGATAAATTGGCAAAATCAATGAAATTAAATTTATGAACATCTGTTTATCAAAAGATACACATTTCATAAGAAGAAAGATAAGCCACAGCTAGGAAAAACTGTTGCAACACATGTAGCAGATAAAAGACTAGCATCTCAAATGTATAAAGAACTCCTATGAACCAATAAATAATAAACCAAAAAGAAGACTGCAATAAATATTTAATAGAAGAGGAAAAACAAAAGGTCAGTAAACATATGAAAATATTCATAATGCTATTAGAATTTAGAGAAATGCAAATTGAAACTACAATGAAATTCAATCTCATATCCTTCCAATTGGCAAAAATTAAATGTGTGTGTATATGCATGTGTCTTCTGTTGCTACTAAGTATTGGTGAAGATGCAAATTGCTAGTAACATTCACATAGTGCCAGTTGAAGTATAAATTTGTCTAACCACTTGGGAAAATAAGTTGGCATTACCTACTAAAGTGTGAATATGACAATGTTCTACGATCCAGAAATTCTTCTCATAGGCCTAGCAATACACATAGACATATACATGAGGAGATATATATGGATGAATTTATTTATGTGTGTATTATAAATGAACCTAGATAACAGACCAGAATGTGGACAGTAAAAACAGATGCATGTGTGTATGTGATTGGCTGGCTGGGGGGTAGGGGTGGGGATACCCAACTCAAAACACGGAGTTAAGTGGAAGTCAAATAGAGTGAACAAATTTCTACCTGCCTTTTCCCTTTTGTCCCCAAAACACTGGTAATTGGGCAGTCAGCCTTATACTTCCCTAATATAAGTTTAGAACATTCTTTTTTTGGGGAAAAAAGAGACCCAGATGTATTGATAGTTTGAATATATGTGTTTATAATTCCAATTACAATTTATATACTTTTACTTCTAAGCTCCACTACTGTTGTATCTCAGGTTTTATTAGGTATAATTTCATTAGATTTTATTCTCTGTATTTTCTAATTTAAATTATAATTTCTTATTTAACCTATAGATTACTTAGAATTGTGAGTTTTAAAAAATATGTATTTATAAATGCATTGAGTATTTTTAGTCATATTGTTATTATTAACTTTTAAAGTATTTCATTGCACGTCAGTGTCCTGATTGTGGCCAATTTAATAAATGTTCCATGAGTACATGAAAAGAATAGGTACCATTGTCTTAATTTGTGTTTATTTGTTCTGTGTGGTCTACAATACATTTTTTTCTTTTTTGTTACTTTCTTAATTTCTTCTATTTTAATGGTGTTTTGATTTTATTTACCTTAATACGTTTTTTACCTTTACTAATTTTGAAGTTATAGACTTTATTTATATGCTTTTTGTAGTTACAGTAGCTCCAAGCTTTATCTCCTGGTTTTGATGCTCTTGGGGCCAATTGAGTCTCAGGTGCTAAGCCAGATTGGGAAGATTCCCCTCAGTGAAACTGTCTGCTTGGATGTTCTCTACTTGTTTTGTAATCTTGCTGCTTCATTCCCTCTCTCTTTCAATTGTTTCTCTCATCCATGTTTTGAAAAAGTATTTTAAAATTTATCATACTATTTGTACATTTTAAAACTATTTTTATACTTAGTTTCCCAGGTTGTTGAAAATTTTTAACAATTAATTAAAAAAATAAAATTTCTGGCAGTTCAAGTAATTTGGGATCATTTTAGGAAGTGGACGTACAGACTCAGACTTTCTGAGACGTTTAGTTAACTGGTTCTATCTTTTTCTGCCTCCTCAATGGTTCTCAGATAATTCTAGTGATTTCTCTAGTTTAATCCTCTTAGTCAGAATTATATGCAGTACCGAGATTCTTGAGTTCATTTCTGAGATCTTGGCCTAATGGCGGAAGAAAAAGGATATGCACTCTATTTTCTGATAGCCCTTGGTTTAAATAATAGTTTTTGTACTTGCTAGTTGTGTGACTTTCTGTACAGCACTTAACTTCTTTTGGCCTCAGTTTCTGCTTTAGAAAATGAGCATCCTATTATTCAAATAAAATGTTAAATATTAATCTTAATTTTAATTAATAATGTATGTCTGCCATTGTCATCCTTCTGTCCCTTCAAATTTATTTCCTATCCTTCTCCACTCTCCTCTCTCATCTGGGAGTCCCACTTTTGTGGACTACACTCAATATACCACTCCAGAGGACATACAGTATTATGTAAATAGCCTAGCATAGTGACTGAAATAGGAGAGGTGCTCTTTAAATATTTGTTGAAGAAAGAATGAACTTTAAATTATTCCTAATTATTATTATTGAAACTAAAGAAATTTATAAAGTTAAGATCCAACAATAGTAATAACATGAATACAACATGGTGTTGTACCATGTTTGAAGCCCTATAGTAATCATCTTTCATGCATGTTAGCAGGGATCGGCAAACTATGGCTTGCAGTGTACATCTGCTCTGTCATTTGTTTCTGTAAGTAAAACATGGCCACCTCCATTTCTTTGCATGTTGTCTGTAGCTGCTTTCATGCTACAACAGCAGCATTGAGTCACTGTGGCTGAGGCTATACAGCTCACATAGTAGAAAATATTAACTAGTTGACCTTTTTCCAAAAAAAAAATTGTTTATAGCATTTAATCTTCACAATGACTCCATGAAGTATATACAGTTTCATTCCCATTTCTCACATGAGGAAACTGAGACTTAGAAATATTAGTTCGCTTATAAATGCTATTGCAGAATAGATTCAAGACCATTTTAATTATTTTAAGACAACTATGCATTTCCCCAACCTATTTAGATGTCTTGACAAAATTGTCCATTCTTTATATATCAAAATCTAAAAAGGAAAATAGACCTATTAATTTAGACATTATGGATCAAAAGAGAAAAGAGAAAAATTGTACCAATTTAATTCTTCTTTTCTTCTGCCCTCAGTCCTAGGAAAGTATTTCTTACCATTGGATGTCTTTCTCAGGAAGGATGTGGTAGGATGTGGTGGTCATAACTTGATGGATTTAAGGCTTCTATTTGGGGTTACTTATTAGCTGCTCTAGGGCATTCTTGAGAGTCTCAGCTGACCATGGTTTGAATTAGTGATATTTTCAATTAACTGTGGGTTTATTGGGATATAATCCCATTATAAATCTAGAAGTAGCTGTATTTTATTAATATATAAAACTAACAATTTTATTGCTATCAATAATAATATAAAGTAGTACAGTATATAACAAGGAGGTGTCTATTAAAGTGATATTTATAGCTATTACCATTGCTATAATTATTATCCAGCAGTAATGGTAATACTAATAATAATGGTATAATACATATTTACCACCACCACAACTGTTTTTTACATATGCTATCGGCTGAACACTCACTGCAATAACCAATCTAATTAGTGCAGTTTAACTTCCACAGTCCCTCAGTTATGTATCCTCCTGGATAAATATCTCTTATAGTCTGAACAAGCCTTACTCTTCACCACTATGCATGTATGATGTATTTTTTTCTTTTTCAATAGATGCTAGAAGACAACAGGGATGCTCCGAACTCCTTAAATAGTTAAATCAATTATCACTATCTCTGTGAAAACTGTATAATCTTCTCCAGGCTCTTGAAGAAGATTACATTGAAAAATTCAATGTAATCTCCTATCTGTGATTACATTGAATTTAAAAAATATCTCTCAGATGGTTATACTAAAAGCCCAGACTTCACCACCATACAATATATCTATTTAACAAATTACACTTGTACCCCTTAAATTTATACAAATAATTCAATTAATTAGAATATAACAGAGTGATTGATATACTGTGTTACAATTACTTGAAAACTGTAGTGAGTACTCATTGAGTATAGACAGTCTTCAATTTCTGTGTTTATTTTCAGGAATTATCACTTTGCCTAATAAATTGTACTTGGTGTTCAGTAAATGTTTGTTGAATAAATGGATGAATTATTTAGTGAATGAATGGGAATAGAAATATGATGAAAGTTGATCAATGGATATGGACTAAAGTATTACTAACTGGAGACATCAACTAGGACATTTCTGGACTTAATGCAAAGGAGATGAGTGATACCACATATTTCACATATATATTTAACGTTTTAAGAAACAAATACAATATATTGTTATAAATAATTTTAGTGTTATATAATTATAAAATATTTAGTTTCTAGATTTGCTTCTCAGAAATATTGCCTATATTAGAGTTTGAAAAAAACTACAGCATACATTATATTGTCTTCTGCTTAAAGTAAATTTCATTTAATTTAGTTGCTGTTTTTAATTTTAAAAATATAAAGGGAAACATTAACAAAGAGTATGTAGGGTTTACTGGAGAAAATATTTAGGAAAGCAAGTGCAGTAGTAAAGAAGAAACAAGAACAAGAGGGAATAGGTAAACATTTTATCTGTCAATTTCATTCAATGTACATTAAAAACACCTCCATCTGCTTATGGCTGTAAAAGTCCCCTGGATGCTAGTAAGCTGTCTCTTATTACCTAGTAATCTGGTATCACTTGCTTCAGCTAATTAGTAATATCTCATGTATAGTCAAAGCACATTATAGTGTCTACCCTGATATTGGTTGAGTCTTTCTAGAATTTTTAACAAAAATATCTGGTCAGATTTCTCTTTGACAGTATAGAATTTACATAAATGTTATAAATAACAAGTTTATTTGTATTAATCATCCTCACAACTAATAACAGGTTTATTTATATTAATCGTCCTCACAACTGATGACTTTTTATTTAATAGAGTTGATACAATTTTGGTTGCTATAGTTATTTAGCCTAGTCTTCAGATTTTCTTTTCTTTTTTAGGGGTTGGGCAGTGGGCCCCTGTGCTGGTTAATTTATGTGTTAACTTAAGTTGCCCAGACATTTCATCAAACATTATTCTGGGTGTGTATGTGAGGGTGCTTCTTGATGAGATTAACATTTGAATGGATAGACTAAGTAAAGCAGATTGCTATCCCTAATGTGGGTGGGCCTTGTGCAATCCATTGAAGATCTGAGGAGAGCAGAGGGCTGAGTAAGAGGGAACTCTTTCTGCCTAAGTACTTCAACTTGCATTAGTCTTCTCCAGCCTTCAGACTTTAACTGTAACACTGTCTTTTTTTGGATCTTGAGCCTGTTTGCTCCAACCGAAACTTATACCATCAACTCTCCTAGTTCTCAGGCCTTCAGACTCTTACTGAAGCTATATTAGCAGCTCTGTAAGGTCTCCATTTTACCAACTGCAGATCTTGGGACTCTTTAGCCATCATAATCACATGAGCCATGCATCTTTGAAGGAGAATTTGTAGGAGATGGAGCTTTAAATGTTGGGTCCTTTTTACTCCGGAGACAAATGTAACTGTGTCAGTCTATACTTTGGTGAGTTACAGGAAGGTAACCGTAAATATTCATGTCATTTATAGACTCTTAGGAGTCACCTCTCAATTTTCCTTTCTAGCACTGATAACCAACTGAAAATAGGTAGAAATTGGAGACATGAATCCAATTAACTTTCCCAATGAATTTTGGCAACAGTTTTTAAATAAATGATGGGGATGTTATAAAAAGTTAATGAATTATTGAGAGAGTTGCTTGATTCATGCAAAATTCTCCATGACCTACATTTTATACAGAAAACTAAATGAAAGAAGGGAGGTTCATTTAAAAAGTTACGTTCAGTATGATACCTCCTTAGTATCTCCTGCACTAAAGCGGTAAATTACAAAGTTAGATTTACCTAGTCCCTCTTTTTATCCCAATTCAGTATTTTTCCTACTAAAAAAAAGAAAATATTCCAAGCTGAAAAGAATCTTGGTATTTCCATCACGTTTGTTCTGAAAACAAAGTTAAACTACCATTCTATTTGAATTAGGCAATGGTGATTGTGACATAAGACATTACCTAAGAAATAATATTATGCTAGAATATGCTGATGCCTTAGGCTGAGGCAAACGTTACTAATCCCTTAGTAATACACAGAATTTTAAATAGCTATTACATTCCTGATATAAGATGAAAAGCAAATGCTATAGTCCAGATATTTTTATTTCTTATTTTAGTTGCCTAGAAAAAGTAGATTTTTTGTAATTATGAGCAAAAATAAACTTTTTCTAAAGCGTTCTTTTTCATATCTGCTCTTTTCCTTCACTATGTTTTCTTCCTTTATTCTTTAATTCAATTAAAATACGTTTGTGCATCTACTAAAATAAAAGTATTCACCCAAAGGCCATGGGGAATGTAAATTTTGTGAAGACACTCTATTTTTGTCCTCCATAGGCACACAGTTTTGTGAGAGACTATGCAGGTAAGTGAAGCACAAAGCCAAACGAAATTATTTTTATTCTAGAGTTACAAAATACAAACGAAGAAAGGTAGCCATACTGTAATCACATAGAGGAATCCATAAATGCACGTGGAGAAAGGGATGGAGTAGAAGTATACTTTTCTCTACCTCTACACATCAATTAGGGTAGACTTCTGTGGGTTGCAGAAACCTCTAAATAGGGACTTAAACAAATAGGAGGTTTCATTTTCGTTTTACATGACAGTAGTCTGCAAGTGAGTATTCCAGGGCCAATATAACAACCTGTATTAGTCCATTCTCACACTGCTACAAAGGATACCCCTCGAGACTGGGTAATTTTGAAGGAAAGATATTTAATTAACTCATAGTTTTGCATGACTGGAAAGGCCTCGGGAAACTTACAATAATGGCAGAAGGGGAAGCAGGCATGTCTTACACAGTGGCAGGTGAGAGAAGTGAGGTGCGAGCACCAGAAAAATTGCCATGTTTACAACCATCATATCTCATTTGATTCACTCACTATCACAAGAACATCATGGGGTAAACTGCCCACATAATCCAATCACTTCCTTCCTAGAACATGTGGGGATTACAGGTCCCTCCCTGGACACATGGGGATTACAATTCAAGATGAGATTTGGATAGGGAGACAGAGCCAAACCATCTCACAACCTAATACTTCCCTGAAGGAACCAAGTGCTTTCTGTCTTTATGTTCCACTGTTCTTAGTGACAAATGCTCTGCTGCAGGTACAACATATTTCATGCAGTAAGAAGGAAGGAAAAAGAAGACATGACACTCATGTACATCTACTTATGGCTTACTGGAAAATGCTCTCACACTGCCCCACCTAGCAGCACAGGTATCTAGTATTTTCATTTTCTAGCCATTGGACAGTAGGTAAGAAAAAGAGGAAGGGATTGGAATGTGTATGGAATAAGACAACTTATATTAGCTGCAATAATTAAAATGTTTGACTACTAGAACCACTCAGAATTGTAAAGAAAGTGATATTACTTTCTCTATATGTAGATGACATATTATGTTTCTGGAAAAACCAAAAGAAATAAAAAAAGAACTGCAAGCAATATACATAAAAATTGATATAAAATAGCCATAGACTTAAGTGTCATAGCTATATCTATAACATTTTTAAGTACAAAAAGAGGAGAAAATTATTGAGACATTAGAGTATGCAAAGATTAACTGAATCAGAAAAAGCATGAATTAGAAAATAGAAAATGGTAAATTAAACTTTATCAAAATGGGAAACTTTGCTCTTCAAAAGACATCATAAAAAATAAAAAGACAAGCAACATAGTGGGAGAAGTTTTTGCGATGCATACATCTCACAAAGAATGTTGAAGCAGAATATATAAAGAGTTCTTATACTTTAATAGTATTCTTTCTATAAAAACTTGTCAGATTTTTTTAGAGACGGGGGTCTTACTATGTTGCTCAGGCTGGTCTCAAACTCCTGGCGTAAAGCTATCCTCCTGCCTCAGCCTTTTGAGTAGCTGGGATTACAGGAACGAGCCACCACATCCAGCTATTTCAGTAATATTCTTGAATGGCCTACATGGACAGACACTTAAAAACATACAAGTACAGGTATATATGCATATAAACATATTAATATAATATTCAGTATATTTAACAATCAGATTGGTAGATGCACTGACCAATCCGAATTGATACTGACTTTGGGACTGAAGAAGTTCCATAAGCCTCTTCTTTGACAGGCTACTAGATCCAAGATTGTGGAGAATTATTTTGGGATCCCTGGGAAGAGCTGGGATTGGAGGAGACACTTGGGTAACCTGAGAAACAGGTATTTACCAAATTATACAGATATTTTACAAACTGTAGAAACATACCAATGGATATCAACTGCATATTATAATACTATTTATGAATTTTATTTTAGTGATTAATTTCTATATTAACCCTGTACCAATGCCACAATGTATTAGTTACTGTATTTTATAGCAAATTTTGTCAGTCAAGACTCCTAATTTTATTTTATTTAGAAAATTATTTTGTATTTTTAAGCAGGTTTTTTTCTAGTTTAATTTGAGAATCAACTTGTTAAAATTCTTAAAACTCCTTATTCTGAATTTGTTTGTAATTGTATTGAATTTGAGAAAAGATAACAACTAAAATACAAGTTTTTGCATGAAAAAGTGTATGTATCTTCACTTGTTCATACACCATGGTGAAAACTTAATAATCACTTTTGTTAGTTACAGAGTAGCATAACTCACTTAATGAATAGATGTCTGACATTACAGTCCAAAGTATCTTGATTTTACTTTCAAGAATCAAGTTCCTATAACTGCATAAAATGTCATATTTTTAGCCTGCCCAGTAGGTCACTGACTCACTCTAGGATCCTGCTGTGCCCTTGTCCTTCAGAATCTTCTACAAGATTTTTCCTGAAGGGTTTCAACATAAACTCATAATCCAGTTTATATTCTGGATATGTATATATATTTTATATTTTGAAATGTGATCTTATATAATTCACAAAGATTGAATTTTTAGCAGTTGAAGTTTCCTTTGATTTGGTAATGTAATTGTCACTCTATGTCCCTGAGAATATTTTGGAATTTGTCATGCTCAGCAATGAGTTTCCTTTAATAGACTTTCCCTGTGTCCTGGCAGCTTTTACTCCTTTGTAGATTTTGAATGGTTAGAAGACAGTGCAAAGAAGGCTACTTTACATATAAAGATACTTCAATTAGCTGAACAAATACATTTAACTTATTTTATTCTTGAATTATAAACTTCTTAAGGCCATAAAATGAGTCTAATTCAAATTTCCCAGAGTGCCATGGTGTCTAGCATAGGTATTTTGTGACTGGCAGGTGGTTGTATTTATCTAGGAAATAAAAGACAATTAACACCTCTTGCACATTTGCTGTGTGTCAGTTTGCTAAGTACTTCATATGAATTTTCTCATTTTACTTTTTCAACAAACCACTGAAGTTATGCTATTATTGCTATTTTACATATGTGGAAAATGAGACTCAGAGAAATTATGAAAGTTGCTAAAATTCTCAGAATTAAAGAATTGTGGAACTATGCATCAAATCTAGGCAGATGTCAAAAGTTCATTTTGAAATGAACAGTTAGGTCTTCAAGATGCTTGTTAGTGAATTCAAGCCAAGTTTATGGTTTTCCTTATATGTGCTTCTGATCAGATCCTCCATGTTGAGGTGTATAAGGTTCTGGTCAGGTAATTATGAGAACTGAGGCTGAGATGAGCTCTGCTGCTAATTAACCGTGAAACCATAACCATTATTTTCTTGTTCTTTCTAATAGAAATTATTTACATACGTATAATACTTTGTGATCTACAGGGTGCATTTGCGTATATTACTTGGGTAATTGTTATGGTAGGCAGAAAAATTATCCCCTCTGTCCTCCTTCCGCGCATCACCAAGGATGGCAACCTACTAGTCCCCAGAAATGGTGAATATGTTGTGTTAAGTGGAAAGGGGAAATTAAGGCTGCTGGTGGTATTAAGGTTGCTAATTAGTTGAGATGGGGATCTTGGGATAATAAGAATACTCTGGTTTATCCAGGTGAGACTAATGTAATCACAGGGATTTCTATAAGGGAGAGGAGGTAGGAGAGTCAATGTGAAAGTGGAAAGGAGAGTGCTAGAAGCCGAGAAATGCAAGCAGTCTCTGGAAGCTGACGATGGCCAGGAAACACATTTCTCCCTCGTGTCTTCAGAAGGAATTTAGGCCTGCCAGCGCCTTGATTTTCCTCCAGTGTGACCCGTTTTAGACTTCTGAAACTCTACCTCCACAATTGTAAGAAAATGAATTTTTATTGTTTTAATTCACCAAGTTTGCAGTAATTTGTTGTAATGGGACTGGGGAGCTAATACAAGTATCATTACAAATCTGCATGGTAGATACAATTATCACGGTATTGTAGATGTGCAAATGAGGTCCAGAGTAAAAAATGACATGCTTAAAGAAAGTCCGCCATTAAATACTGATTGAAAAATTAGCTCAGGTGTTTTGGTTACAAACCCCATGGCACTTTTTACATAAAATGAGAGGGTTGAATGACATACTTTCTAAGGTCTTTCCAGTTCTAACACTCAATGATTTAAAGTGTCAAATGAAATCACAGACTAAAATGTGAGAATTTGTTGGCTGTGTACCTCTCGGTTCTCAGGAGCATTTCTAAAGCAAAAAGGTTTTGGTATCTTTCTGCTGCATTGCAAAATAGATGTTTTTCTCCTAGTGTAAGCCTTGTGGCCTTTGCTCCTAGCTCTGAAGTTTAGCTTCTTGGACTCTTTCACATACATAACTAAAGTAGTTTTCTCATGTGCCTTTTAAGGGTTTACTAACAGTTCACTCAACTGGCTTTCAGCTGACAGCAACTGATTTTTTACCTGACCTGTTTCTTGAATAAAACTTGTCTTTTCAACAGTTCAAAACATTTTAAATAAATAGGGTTAAATTTGGCATCTGTTTTGAAATAAATTACAATTTCTTTGACATATTAACTAATATATGTATTTATATAATGATGAAAATATATACACTATTAAAATACATTAAAATTTTTTATTTCTAAATATTACTCGTAAGAGACAGTGTTCTATTTTCAAAGTATTTAATAAGATTTACAGATGTGTGTACAAAAATGATCCATGATTGCACCTCTGTCGAACTTGAAGAAAAAGAATAGAAATAATATATGCACATGGTTAGAAAATGTAAATGGAATAGAATGGTGTAAAATGAAAGAAAATGGAAATGATTTTTATGTGACCAGTTGAGTTTATGTGTATAGCTATCACTTATGTGATCTGTCCATTCCAAAAAACTTATATCCTGGCTCTAAACATCATTTGGGATTCACTTTGCTTAGCATACAGAGAGTAGATTTAAAAATTGCATTAAGTAAACTTTAATCTCAAACTTTATAAGTAAAGCAACAAATAAACTTGAGAATGACTGAACTTAGAAAAAATGAAAACAATACACAATTTAGTATGTATAGATAAGAGTAAATGCAAATGTTATTTTATTTTTCAGACTTAGTATATATGGGTGAAATTATTTGACAGTTATAGTTAAAGGACTTATTTTATTTTTTTTTCTTTTTCATCCCTTGCCAAAGTTTTGCTATGTTCACTGATCTCTTCTGTCTTCTGAATTTGGCACTAAAATAGTTGCTTCCACATGCCATGACTTATTTCAAATTGCAAATAAATATTGGCTTCTTAGTAGGAAATTGTCCATAGTTTAGACTTGACAAAAAAATCTACTTCAAATATACCCCACACTTGGTTGTTCACCAGTTGGTTCTTCTGAGTTCAAGATGACTGTGTCTGAGATCTGAGGGCTCTCTACATTTATGTATCTATTATAACTGTACCTGTTATGCTTCTCCTGAAATATAATGATATTGGCAGTGGAGCAAAGCCATTACAATCTGGTTTGGCAGGAAGGGATATTTTTCACATTGTCTAAGCCAAAATCAGTCACCTGATTGCAAAAAAAAAAAAAAAAAGAAAAAGAAAAGAAAAATGGTGTTACACAATCTTTATATTTTAATCTTAGACATTTCTTTCAATTGCAACATATTGAGTATTTTTGTTGTTATTTTGTTTTTGTTCTAATTTTAAAACTCTTTAGGACTGTTTATGAAGACTACTTCTTAGAGAATTTTTACATTTGCCACACAATTAAGAAGAAAATACAGAGATTTCCCATATCCCTCCCTCCTCTAGACATGCACAGCCTACTGCATTATCAACACCACCCACCGGAATTGTACATTAGTTACAATTGATGAACGTCCATTTACTCATCATTATCAACTAACATACATAATTTACATAAGGGTTCACTCTTGATGTTGTACAGTCTGTAGGTTTTAACATATTTATGATGACATATATGCATGATTATGATATCATACAGAGTAGTTTCACTGCCCTGAAAGTCATCTGTTCTTCACTGATTCCTCTCCTTCTCCTCAACCCTGTAACCAATAATCCTTTCATTCTTGACATAGTTTTGGCTTTTCCAGAATGTCATATAGTTGTAATCATACAATAGGTAACATTTTTAGATTGGCTTCCATCACATAGCAATCACATAGCAGTATGAATTTCAGGTTTCTCCATGTCTCTTCATTGCCTGATAGCTCATTTCTTTTTA
This sequence comes from Homo sapiens, assembly GCF_000001405.40. Classification (NCBI taxonomy): domain Eukaryota; kingdom Metazoa; phylum Chordata; class Mammalia; order Primates; family Hominidae; genus Homo; species Homo sapiens. Next base: position 44,130,165 of record NC_000014.9, on the reverse strand, counting down.
GCTCTGAATAATATTTCATTGTATAAATGTGCCACAGTATTTTATCCATGCACCTACTGAAGGACGTCTTGGTTGCTTCCAAGTTTGGGGTGTTATGAATAAATCTGCTATAAACACTTATGTGTAGGGTTTTTTTATGGACGTATATTTTGAATTGCTTTGGGTCAATGTTAAGGAGCACAATTTCTGGCTCATATGGTAAGAGTATGTTTAATTTTGTAACAAACTACCAACTTTCTTCTAAAGTTGTGGTGTCATCTTGCATTCCCACCAGCAATGAATGAAAATTTCTGTTGCTCTATGTCCTTGCCAGCATTTGATGTTCTCAGTGTCCTAGATTTTGATCATTCTAATAGGTATCTAGTGGTAGCTCAGTTCTTTAATCTGCAGTTTTTGATGACATATCAAGAAGATGATGTGGAGCACTTTCTTACATGCTTATTTGGCCTCTATATATCTTTTCCAGTGAGGTGTCTGCTAAACTCTTTGGCTTATTTTAAAAATCAGGTTGTTTATTTTCTTATTGTTGAGTTTGAGAGTTTTGTATATTTAGGATAATAGTCCTTTATTAGATAAATCTTCTTGCAAATATTTTCTTAGAATCTGTGACTTGTCTTTTTATTCCCTTGTTAGTGTTTTATGTAGAAGACATTTTTAATTTTAGGGAGGTCCAGCATACATAGTCTTTATTTTATGAATTATGCTTATTGTGTTATATATTTTAAAAAATCAATGTCAAAACCAAGGTCATCTAATTTTGAACTGTGTTATCTTCTAGGACTTTTATGTATATATTTTTTTACATTTAGATCTGTGATCCATTTTGAATTAAGTTTTGTAAAGAGTATGAAGTCTGTTTCTAGATTCTTTTTTTTTTTTTTTTTGCCTGTGTATGTCCAGACTCTAAGACTTTTATAAGAAAAACTGTGGTGCCACGGAGGGAAAGTATGTTAAGAGGGGTAGAAGAATTGTCTTTTGGGAGCTTTAACATTCACTTAGAATATGCATTATTCATAAGAAGTTCATAAGAAGTTAAATACTAGAATAACATAGAATTTGATGAAAAACGTACATATATATGTAATCTATGAATAAGTTAATACTATTTTAATCTTTTATTATAATGCATTATATATAAATGTGTAAACAAACCTTTCTTCCTTTATGGATTTTGAATCATTTGAATGAAAAAAGTGCCAACCGCTTGACACCTATTGTATCAGAAACTTTATACCTGAACTTAATAAATGATCATAACAATGGTATGATATATCACTATTTTTCTTATTTTATAGATCAGGAAACTAAGAAAGAGAGAAGTTAAATAACATAATGAAGGTCATATGACTAGAAAGTGAAAAGTGAAAATATAACTAGGGGCTTTTTAGTGCCAAAATACATGATCTTTCCTCTGTGCTCTACTGCTTCTGTATGGATAAGAATTGTATAATTTTTGTTAATATTTGTCTTATATTTTATACACTTATAAATATGCCACCAATGTGTTACCAGTTATGAACACTCTGAAGGGTATTTGCTACTCAGAGACAAATTACTTGATTTAGAAGTAACTTCTTCTAGTGAAAATACCTAGGACCACAATATGGGCATTCCAGATGACTTTAAGCAAGTAATGTAGACATGAAAGAGGAACAGTGGTATAAGCAGATCAATAGTTGAGTTATGAAATTTCAAAAGTATGTATATAAGCATAAGCCATCACTTTTTACATTCATTCTATAGTTATTCATCCCCATCAAGCTACCAATGACTTTCTTCACAGAATTGGAAAAAACTACTTTAAAGTTCATATGGAACCAAAAAAGAGCCCGCATCGCCAAGTCAATCCTAAGCCAAAAGAACAAAGCTGGAGGCATCACACTACCTGACTTCAAACTATACTACAAGGCTACACAGTAACCAAAACAACATGGTACTGGTACCAAAACAGAGATACAGATCAATGGAACAGAACAGAGCCCTCAGAAATAACGCTGCATATCTACAACTATCTGATCTTTGAGAAACCTGAGAAAAACAAGCAATGGGGAAAGGATTCCCTATTTAATAAATGGTGCTGGGAAAACTGGCTAGCCATATGTAGAAAGCTGAAAGTGGATCCCTTCCTTACACCTTATACAAAAATCAATTCAAGATGGATTAAAGACTTAAACGTTAGACCTAAAACCATAAAAACCCTAGAAGAAAACCTAGGCATTACCATTCAGGACATAGGCATGGGCAAGGACTTCATGTCTAAAACACCAAAAGCAATGGCAACAAAAGCCAAAATTGACAAATGGGATCTAATTAAACTAAAGAGCTTCTGCACAGCAAAAGAAACTACCATCAGAGTGAACAGGCAACCTACAAAATGGGAGAACATTTTCGCAACCTACTCATCTGACAAAGGGCTAATATCCAGAATCTACAATGAACTCAAACAAATTTACAAGAAAAAAACAAACAACCCCATAAAAAAGTGGGCAAAGGATATGAACAGACACTTCTCAAAAGAAGACATTTATGTAGCCAGAAAACACATGAAAAAATGCTCATCATCACTGGCCATCAGAGAAATGCAAATCAAAACCACAATGAGATACCATCTCACACCAGTTAGAATGACGATCATTAAAAAGTCAGGAAACAACAGGTGCTGGAGAGGATGTGGAGAAATAGGAACACTTTTACACTGTTGGTGGGACTGTAAACTAGTTCAACCATTGTGGAAGTCAGTGTGGCGATTCCTCAGGGATCTAGAACTGGAAATACCATTTGACCCAGCCATCCCATTACTGGGTATATACCCAAAGGACTATAAATCATGCTGCTATAAAGACACATGCACCCATATGTTTATTGCGGCATTATTCACAATAGCAAAGACTTGGAACCAACCCAAATGTCCAACAGTGATAGACTGGATTAAGAAAATGTGGCACATATACACCATGGAATACTATGCAGCCATAAAAAATGATGAGTTCATGTCCTTTGTAGGGACATGGATGAAATTGGAAACCATCATTCTCAGTAAACTATCACAAGAACAAAAAACCAAACACCGCATATTCTCACTCATAGGTGGGAACTGAACAATGAGATCACATGGACACAGGAAGGGGAATATCACTCTCTGGGGACTGTTGTGGGGTGGGGGGAGGGGGGAGGGATAGCATTGGGAGATATACCTAATGCTAGATGACGAGTTAGTGGGTGCAGCGCACCAGCATGGCACATGTATACATATGTAACTAACCTGCACAATGTGCACATGTACCCTAAAACTTAAAAGTATAATTTAAAAAAATGTTTTCAAAAAGTCCTTTTACCTAGAATCTGAATTATTGCCACATAATTATTTGTTCATTCAGTAGTCACTTGTTGATAATGGAAAGGAACCATACATGGTGACATTTAATTCTAGTTGACATTACTGTGTGCTTTTGTATTAGGTTATGATTTACCATTCTGAACCATTCTTTTGATTTATTTGTGGAGGAAATGTGGCACAAACTGCTATTAACTCTTCATCCAATGTGAGAACATTATGGACTAAAGTCAACATTGTTTTGAAAGCTGAAAACATGTTAAAATTCAAAATTCACTAATAAAAATAAAAACATTTAGATTTTAATAAAACCATTTTATGGAGATGAAATTTAATGATAGTGATTTTAAGCAAAGATATCTTAAGTGAATGGGAACAATTATAATTTGGTTTAAAATAGATTTAAGGCTTAAATGCATTTGTGGTGTATGTTCTAATGACATCTCTCTCTCTCTCTCCCCACTTCTCATTATCTATCTAGCCACTCATTTAACTGTCATGTATGTGCATTGCGTGTGTGTGTGTGTGTGTAAAATATCAGCATAGTGAATTACCAATTCATAAAATTATACTTTTTCTATCTTGAAATTTATCTCTTTATGTTTATTTATATGTCTTCATTTCTATGTTCATTTTCAATGTTTTAAATGATGGGAAAAGGAGAATTTATTTCCATACACACTTATGCAGGTGTCAATTTGTTTATAATAATGGTTTTCTGTCAGTGATTTGAAGTGAGGTAAAGAAGTTGCAGTAGGAGCGTCATTTAAATATGCAGTGAAGTCAGATTTTTCAGTCTTTGAGGAAGTGGAGGAAACTAAGGATAAAGTTGTGATCCACGCAGACTTAACTAATTGATCTCAGGCATTTTGTATTCATAATATTTTATCCATTCTAAGTTACACATTTTTAATTTACATTTTTCTCCTCTGAAAAATAGGTGCACCATACAATTGATGGTGTTTTACAATAATTGACCAGGAAGAAATTGTGATATAGTTTTTATTATTGCATATATATGGAGTGAGTCTTAGATATTTTGTCCCCACACCAATAGTGTATATACCCTGAACTGCTACAAAAGTTGAATTCAATTGACATTTTAGTGTCAGATCATTCAATGATCATTTGAGAAAGAAATGAGTCACAGTTGTTACCTTGAAGCCTTCCACTGATAATTTATAGCAAGATCAAAAAATTGTTAAATGTGGAGACTTAAAAATAGTATTTAGAAACTGAGATCTGGTGCTAAGTGTTACCTATTGCTATGGGTGTGTCACTGCTTCTAGGTCCTTTTAGTAGACAGACCTGAAAAATATGTATAATTACCATGTATATACGTACATATTAATATGTATTTCTATACCAATCTATCTCTATATAGGCATTAATATAAATATGAGTTCATAAGAATACCTGTGACTCTAAACCAGCATCATAGGATTTGTTTGAGCCCCTACCCCCTTGGTTATTTCTATTTTCTTTATCCAGCAGTGGAAAAACCTGACTCCCATTATCTATAATATATTTATCTGTTCAGTCCTAAGTTAACATAAAATGGTTTCAGAATTGCTAACACATACTCCTGTGAGAAGCAATTTACCAGCTAGAGTACAGTGTTGGTATACAGTACATTTTGTCTCTTGCCTTGCAGATAAAATGTTATTTTTTAAAGCTAGCTTCTAACTGTCTCTTCAGAGATATTTGAAGTATGGAAAGCACTCGATCTCCCAATTTGGTGGCTTTGAAAATGGAGGAAGGAGGGTACCAGCCAAGGAATGTAGTCTGCCTTAAAAGTGGAAATTGACCATGGCTGACAGTCAGCAAGGAAACCGGATATGAATTCAGACAGTAACCTGAATGAAGTTGAAAGTAGACTCTCAGAACTTCACGTAAGGAAGGCAGCCTTGCCAATACATTAATTTCAGTCTGTTATACCCAGGGCAGAGAAACCAGCTGAGTCTATTCAAATTTCTAACTTACAGGGCAGTGAGTTAATACATTTTTGTTGTTTTAGACCATTAAGTTCATAGTAATTTGTCATAGGAGCAATAGAAAATGAATGCCACATCCTTCCTAATAACTCATAACCTCAGTCTACTATGAGAAAAGATAATATGTGAAATACCTTACCTCTGCTCTTCAAAAGAGTCAAGGGCATAAAAGACAAGGAAAGACTGAGGGACTGTAACAAAATGACGGGCACTAAAGTGACAAGGGTAAGTAAATGCATTATGAGTTCCTGGATTGGATTCTAAGACAGGAGAGAGAGGAGTATGGGCAAGCTGGTATAATTCCATAAAGTCTGCAGTTTGATAATATGAACCATTGCTAATTTATCAGTTTTGAGAATTATATGTGGTTATGTAAGATAATAGCATTGGGAGAAGCTGGTTGAAGTTACACGGAAATGCTCTTTATTGCTTTTGCAACTCTATTTTAAGTCTGAATTTATTTTAAAATAAAAAGAAAACAATATGGAATAGGAGTCAGGATTTTGTGGGAAAAAATCCTGAGCAGTATAAGAAATGCTGCTTTTCTGATTTGCTTAATGACACAGAGAAAGTGTGGGGAAAATGCACTTTCAAGTAAAAAATGATTCAGAAGAGTGGTACACTAGGGAGATTTAAGAATAATGGGACCAATTTGTTTTGTTTTTATTACTTTTATATACAACATAATAATATATACAATATAAATCCATGGCAGAAAGATTTTTAAAAAGAACTATTTTTATAAGTATAAAATAAAACAATTAGAAAACATTGTTCTAACTTAATTGGCAGCATTTATAGTGATAATGGTGACATGAGAGCCTTTTACAATGTAAAGCATCTTAACTTTGATAAAATGTTTGTATAGCATTTAATCTTTACATCAAACATGAACTATTTCTTAATATTACTATATACAAAGGAGAATCTAGGATTCAGTGATATCAATTTACCTGAACTCATAGTAGTAATAAGGGGCATTGCTGGAATTCAAAGTAGCTCTCACAGTTACAGGAATTATATACTTATTCCAGAATAAGCCACCTTCTCTAACAAATGAAAGTACAATAGGTCACAAACTCTACCCTGAACTCCCAATATTAATGTTCTAATGTCTTAGACTGGTATATCTAACATATAGTATATTAATTTGGAACTAAAAATAATTCTATAAAGTAAGTAAGTACTCCTATTTATAAGGGTGAAATGTTGAAAATTAGAAGATAATCGCATGTTGATCCACTCTTGTGATGTTAATGACATCCTGAGACACAAAGTAGCCATTTGAATTTGAGAGTGGATTCATTTTATTTTCTTTAGATCAATTAAATTAGTAAAACATGCAATATTTTAAATTATGTTAAAATAATAATTTTCAGCCTAATAAGACAGTGAAGACAGAGGTGACAGTGGTGAATCTTCTCATTTTGAAGCTTCTATAGTTTTTGTGTGAATTTGAAGCACAAAAAATTCAGCAAATATAAAGCATAAGGTATCATATGAGTTATTCAGTGGTACTTGCTGATTTTTGAGAAAGAAGCATGCAGAACAAATAAAGGTGTTTAATTTCTATTTCATCCTTTGTGCCATGCCAGTCAAAACATTTTCTGTTTATTTCAAAGCTTTCTGAAATGAAATATTCTAGAATTGGTTTTTGCTTTCAACACCCAGTGCCTTAAAAATGGCATTTAAAAAGTTATAAATCTGAATGAGAAAGAAAAATAATATTTGGAAATCCTTGAAATTTAGGGAATTATCAATACATACACTTTTTGTGTTTTTGAAGTTAGGTTGGTCAAATAAGTCCAACTAATTTGAGGTTTTTAATATACATTGTCATAAACAAATTCAAGATAATTTAAAAGAAAACGTTATCTCTCCCTTTTATTATGTGGTATTTTCACAGTAGTTTTAACTATTGATTTAACTCCTTGAAATATTGATTTCTTAATACCAACGTTGGGATATTTGGGGGAAATATCTGGATCAGACTACAACCTGGAAAATATTATCAGTATTATCTAAAAAATCCAAGATATTATTATCATCATCACAACCATCATCTATACCACATTTAAGTTTTTTGAGTATTCACTTTTTGGAAGTATTAGTAAAAAAAGTATTAAAGTATAAATTGACACAACCACTGAAATTATAGTCAAATAAAGAACCTGCTTATTTAATTCTTAATAAAAAGGAACATGTGTAAGTAAATACATTATTATTCCTTGGACTTTTTCTTATTGTCAGAAACTGTTTAAATACAGAAGCAAGATGGCTAACTAGAGATGTCAGATATGAGTACTCAGAAAAAAAGATCTAACTTTACAGGTGAATGATCATGGCCTGAGTGGAATACTGAGGGAAGGGTGCCAAAACCTACTGAAAAAGTCATGGGAAGAAGCTGGGGGTACAGAAAAAGAAGGCAGCAAAGAGCTTGTTAGAGACTGACCCCCAAGGAACTTTGGAACTCCATGGAAAAGGTAGGCAAGAGTGATTATTTTCTCCCTCATCCCTGTGTCAGGCTGTTAACTAATGAATTTTTGGAGCACTACTCTACCTTTGCAAGCCCAGGCACTGCTGTTGGCAGATATTTGGGACCTTCTGGAGAGCAGAGCGCCTGGAAACCAGCTCATGTGGGTTTGCTGGCTTTCCACTCAAACCCAAGCTGAAGCAATGAGCACCATACTGGTTGTGCACCCATTGTGAGCCACTATCCTGCCCAGAGAACCTTATCACTGTTTCTCCACATCACTAGATCCCCTGCAAACATTCCATAGAATCTGCTCTGAAATGTGGCAACCACAGGGACCAGTGGGACTCTGTGGAACTGTGGGATCCTCAGAGTTCTAGCCCTCAGCACAGATTGCCTCTAGGGGAAGGATAATTGAAGTCCACCAAAGAGCCTCTGCAAGCAAAGGAAACCAGATCACACACTCTCTACTGCTCGGCAGCCTCTTGCTTGTGACCAGAAAGTGGCTGTGTACCTTCCAGTGGAGAGGTGGGCATGGTGCTCGTCTGTGAAGAGGGGAAGTGCTGTTCCACCTCAACAGACAGGAGGAAACAGTGGCTGGGAATGGATGTGGAGCTTCTGCTACCCCCAATTCACTACTGGAGATGCAGCCACGGCTTCTCCCCCTGAAAGTTGGTGCAAGTGTACTTGGAGACAGCCTTTTCAGCACTATTGGAGCAGCTGTTTCCCCACTGAAAGTGTGTCGACTGGCCTGGGCTTGCATGAAGGGTGGAGCTCATTTTCTCCCCTCTGGGCAGAGTGGCAACATTCCTGCAGGGGAGCTCAAACCAGCCACAGAGTTGTCTATTTTGGGTTGGGGAAAGAGATTCTGCTTTGCAATCGTTTGAGCAGCAGCCATAAGATGGGTGTTTTACATAAAAAAAATCAGCATGAAAACTCTGGCTGTGCAAAGAAGCAGGTGTTCCAACACCCTCAAAGGATAACACTAGCTTTTTAGCAATTATTCCTAACCAACATGAAAATTATAACATGACAAAGATTCAATATATGGATTGTAAGAAAGATTCAAAATATGGATTGTAAAAAAACTCAGTGAGAACCAAGAAAAATTGAAAACCAACACAAAGAAATTAGAAAATCCAGGATATAAAAAAGAATATATATATAAATGGATTCTGGAACTGAAAAATTTACTGAAGGAAGTTCAAAATATAGTTGAAAGTTTTAATAATATAGCCCATCAAGGAGAAGAAAAAATTTCAGAGCTTGAAGATTGGTTTTTTAATTTATCCAGTTACAGAAAAATAAAGAAGAATTTCAAAAAATGAACAAAGCCTTCAAGAAACATAGGATTTTGTAAAATGACCAAATTAAGCTTGGTAAGCAAAAGTGAGCAAACTAAGCATCATAAATGGAGACATAAAGCCTTTCTCAGATAAACAAACTCTAAGGAAATTCATCAACACTAGACTGGTCTTACAAGAAATGCTCAGGTGTTCTGGAGTGGTGCTGCTTGGGCCGGTGGAGGATTGCAAGCTGCTGGTGTTGTGGCTGGGGAGAGCGGCGAGAGGGTTTGGCATTTTTTGTCGGGATCCCCACAAGGATGAGTGCTGCCAGAGAGTCTCACCTGCATGGGGTGAAGTGTTCAGCCTCCCCAGATGATGATCTGGGATCTAGCAATTGGGAGGCAGCAGACTTGGGTAATGAAGAGAAAAAACAAAAGTTCTTGAGACTTATGGGTGCAGGAAAGAAAGAACATACTGGTCATCTTGTTATAGGAGATTGCAAATCAACGTCTCACTTCCAAACAGGGGAAGAAGACAAGAAAATTAATGTAGAACTGGAGACCCAATATCAGCAAAGTATGGACAGTAAATTATCAGGAAGATATCGGCGACATTGTGGACTTGGCTTCAGTGAGGTAGAAGATTATGATGGAGAAGGTGATGTGGCTGGAGATGATGATGATGACGATGATGATTCACCTGATCCTGAAAGTCTAGATGATTCTGAAAGTGATTCAGAGCCATAGAAAGAAGAATCTGCTGAAGAACTCCAAGCTGCTGAGCACCCTGATGAAGTGGAGGATCCCAAAAACAAAAAAGATGCAAAAAACAATTATAAAATGTTGTTTGTTAAATCCAGTGGTTCATAACTCCCAAACGCTTAGTCTTTGTATTAAAAGTAAGCCTTATTGTTATAATGCACAGTGGAGGACTGCCTATAGAGCACAGACCTTTGTATTATAATTTTTAAAAAGGCCCTTTTAAATAATTACAAAGAGTGTTTGCTTTCAAATGCCATGGGTTACACTTTTATGGGCATGACTATAACCATTTTTGTAAAGAGTAAGAGTTGTATAAGATAAAAATAAATACAGTACTCCACTTCCTTTCATATTAGCATCATCAACCCTCTAATTCACCTTATGGGGGAAATGCTTCTTTTTGTTTGTGATAGCTATTTTATCATTTCCTTCATATTTTTCTCTTATAAAAATGTATTCGATACTGTGATATGTTCATGAAAAGTATTCTTTAATTATTCTTTGTTATAATAGAGCTGTTCATCATGGATATTTCTGCTGCCAGTCACAATCTAAATTAATTTTGGCAAAAGATTGGGTACTTAGTTTCCTGTTACTGAGTTAGCTCTATTCTTTTGGACCAAAGCAACATGAGAGCAAGTACTTTTCACACTTGTTAAGATGGAGTTATAACTGTCATACATTTGGAATATTATGATCCCAAGTAGTCTTTTTATAATTTGGATTATATCGTATGTTAGATTTTTGATAAAATTTGGCCAATTTTTACAGAAGAAATTATTTCTCTGATCATTTAGTTGTATCTATTTAGAAATATGTAAAACTGGATTTTTTTTTTAACTAATATGTGACCAAAGTTAATTTTGTCCCAAAGGTCTAAATAAAGAGCAGTTTCCCATAAAAAAAAAAAAAGAAATGCTCAAAGGATTTCTAAACATGGAAATAAAGAATGATACTTGCCATCATAAAAGCATGCTCACAATGCTCACAAATCTATAAAGCAATTCCGCAATTGAGACTGCAAAGCAACAAGTTAACACCATTATGACAGGAATGGAACCTCACATGTCAATACTCACCTTGAATGTAAAAGGCCTAAATGCTCCATGGAAAAGATAAGAACTGGCAAATTGGATAACAAAGCAAGTTCCAACAATTAGCTCCCTACAAAAGACCCACGTAATGGGGAAAGATGCCCACAGACTCAAAAAAAAAAAAAAAAAAAAAAAGCGAGAAAAGATATTTAACACAAATGGAAAGCAAAAATGAACAGGAGTAGCTATGTGTATATCAGATAAAATGTACTTTAAACCAACAAACCTAAAAAAAAGACAAGGTCATAAAATAATGATGTTTCAATTTAACAAGAAGATATAACTGTTTCAAATATATATGAACCCAACATTGTAGCACCCAGATTCATAAAACAAATACTACTGGTCCTAAGGAAAGAGATAGCAATAGAGTAATGGTTGAGAACTTCAATATACCACTTACAGCACTAGACAGAATATTGAGGCCGAAAATCAGCAAAGAAAACTTTAAACTGGATTCTAGGCCACAGGCACCTAATAGACATTTACAGAACATTCTACCCAACAAACACATAATATACAATGTTCTTATCTGTACATAGAACATTCTCCAAAATAGACCACATTGTTGGCCATAAATTGAGTCTTATTAAATTCAAAAAAATAAAAATTGTATCAGGTATCTTCTTAGACCACAGTAGAATAAAATTAGAAAAGTAACTGTCAAAACACAAATGCATGAAACAAAATACCTTGCTCCTGGATGATTTTTGTGTAAACAACAAAATTAAGACAAAAATAACAAAAAATTTGAAATTAGTGAAAATAGACACAATATATTAAAACCTTTAGCAGTTCTAAGAGGAAAGTGTATAACAATAAGTGCCTACATTAAGGAGACAAATTTATCTCATACTAACATTCTAACATTTTAAATCAAAGAACTAGAAAAACAAGAAAAAAAAACCCCAAGGGTGGCAGAAGAAATAACAAAGATAAGAACAGAACTAAATGAGATTGAAAACACAAAAATGATACAAAGAGCAACAAAATGAAAAGTTGGTTCTCTGAAAGGATAAACAAAATCTATAGGTTGGTAGTGAGATTAAGGAAAAAGGATAAATGATTCAAATAAGCACAATCAGAAATGGGACAAAGGGGAAGCAAGAACATCTTCACATTTTGATGAGAGAGCAGGTGGGGGGGAAGTGCCACACACTTTTAAACTCAGATCTCATGAAAACTCACTCATTATCATGAAAACAGCAAAGGAAAATCTACCCCATGATGCAGTCACCTCCCATTAGGTCCCTCCCCCAACACTGGGAATTAAAATTTAACATGAGATTTGGTTGGGGACACACAGCCAAACAATATCACAATCTTACTGATACTGTTCCAAAAAATAAAGATGAGGAGGGATTCCTCCCTAACTCAGTTTATGAAACTAGTATCATCATGATCCAGAATCAGGAAAACATACAACCAAAAAGCAAAACTATAGGCCAATATCCCTGATTAGCATAGACAAAAAAACTTCAACGCAATACTTGCAACGTGTATCCAAAAGCATATCAGGAAGACAATTGATATGGTTTGGATGTTTTCTACTCCAAATATCATGTTGAAATCTGATTTGCAATGCTGGTGGTGGGTCCTGGTGGGAAGTATTTGGATAATGGGGATGGATTCCTCATGGATGGCTTAGCACCATCCTCCTGGTAATGAATGAGTTCTTTCTCTGTAGTTCATGTGAAATCTGATTGTTTAAAAGAGTGTGGCACTTCCCCTTCTGTCTCTTTCTCTTTCACTCTCTTGTTACCTCTCTCATCATGTAACATGCCTGCTCCTTCTTTGCCTTCCACCATGAGTAAAAGCTCCCTGAGACCTCACCCGAAGGCAATCAGATGCTGGTGCTATGCTTTCTGTAACAGCTGGCAGAATTGTGAGCCAACTAACTAGAACTACAGAAGACTGATGAAAAAAATCACAGATGACATAAACAAATGGAAAAGCATCCTATGCTCATGGATTGGAAGAATCAATATTATTAAAATGAACATACTGCCCAAAGCAATCTACAGACTCAACACAATCCCTATCAAGTTACCAAGGTAATTCTTCACAGAATTAAAAAAATGTTAAAGTTCATATGGAACCACAAAAGATACTCAAAACACAAAGCAATCATAAGCCAAAAGAAGAAAGCCAGAGGTATCACATTACCTAGCTTTAGACTGTACTCCCAAGACTATAGCAACTCAAAAAGTGTGGCACTGGTAGAAAACTAGACATATAGGTCAATGAAATAGAATAGAGAACCCAGAAATAAAGTCACATACCTACAACCAACTGATCTTTGACAAAGTTGACAAAAATAAACAATGGATAAAGAACGCATTACTCAATAAATGGTGCAAGGAAAATTGGCTAGCCATACACCTCTGAATGAGACTAGAGCCCTATCCCTTGCCATATATAAAAGTTAACTCAAGATGAATTAAAGACTTCAGTGTAAGCCCTGATATAAAGCCCAGAAGAAAACTTGGGGAAAACTCTTCTGGACATTGGCCTAGGGAAGGAGTTTGTGACTAAGACCCCTAAAGCAAATGCAACAAAAGCAAAAATAGACAAATGGGTTTTAATTAAACCAAAAATTTCTGCAGAGTAAAGGAAGTAATCAACAGAGTAAACAGGCAGCCTACAGAATGGGAGAAAATATTTGTAAATTGTGCCTTTGGCAGAGCACTAATCTCCAGAATCTACAGTGAACTCAAATGATTCAACAAGACAAAACCAAATAATTCCATTCAAAAGTGAGCAAAGAACGTGAACGGACGTTTCTCAAAAGAAGATATGCAAATGGCCAAAAAACATGAAAAAATATACAACATCACTAATCATTAGAGAAATGCAAATCAAAACTACAACGAAGTACCTTATACCAGTCAGAACAGCTATTATGAAATAGTCAAAAGCCACAGATGTTGACAAGGGTGCAGAGAAAAGGGTATGCTTATTCACTGTTGATGGGAATGTAAATTAGTACAACCCCTATAGAAAACAGCCTGGAGATTTCTCAAAGAACTAAAAATAGAATCACCATTTGATCCAGCAATCCCACTACTGGGCATCTACCCAAAGGAAAAGAAATAATTTAAAAAGACACCTGCATTTGTATGTTTATCACAGCACTATTAACGATAGCAAAGTCATGAAATTATCCCAAGTGTTCATCTTTGGATGACTGGATAAAGAAAATGTGGTATATATACACGATGGAATACTATCCAGCCATAAAAGAAAACAGGAAATCATGTCCTTTGCAGCAACATGGATGAAGCTGGAGGCTATTATTCCATGTGAAATAACTGAAAAATGGAAAATCAAATACTGCGTGTTCTTTCTTATAAGTGAGAGCTAAACAATATGTACACATGGACACAAAGATGAAAATAATAGACAATGGAGACTCCAGTAGGCGTTGGTTGGGAAGCAAGAGAGGGTTAAAGAAATACATATTAGGTACAATATTTACTATTTGGATGATTTGTGTACTAAAAGCCCAAATCTCACCATTTTGCTATATATCTATGTAACAAACCTGCACATCTACCCCCTGAATCTGAAATTAAAAAAAATTAAAAATAAACACAAAATTATATTAAAAAAAGAAAATATAGTATATTTCCACAATGGAATACTCTTCAGCCTTAAAGAAGAAAGACATTTTGTCATTTGCTACAATATGAAAATAACTGTAGAATATTATTGTAAGTAAAATAAACCAGGCAAAGGAAGACAAATACAGTACCACATTTTCTCATTTATTTATGAAACATGAAAACATCAAACTCACAGAAGCATGGAGTAGAGTGGTTATTAGAGAGATTGTGAGTATGAGGGGAATGAAAAGATGATGATCAATGGGTACAAAATCTCAATTAGATAAGTGAAAAATTTTTTTCAGATTTTCTATTGCATAGTATGGTGAATATAGTTAAGAACAGAGTATTGTACATTCTAATAATGCTGAGTAAATTTCACATGTTCTCACCACAAAAAAGTTAATATTTGAAGTGATAAATATGTTAACTAACTTCATTTAATTATTCTATATAATATTCATAAAACGTAACATGACATTGTACTCCATAAATAAACGTAATCATAAATTGCCAATTTATAAAAACAAATTTTCAAATATATTTTAACCATTTACATAAATAAATACAATATAAGTCACTAGCATTGGCAGCAATATTGAGGCAAGCATATTTTCTATATTTTGATTTACTTTTTCTTGTCATTAATAATGTAAATATAAACCATTCAATTTTATAGCAAGAAAATTGCTTTCAATTTGGATTCTGATGCTGGGACCTGTTCTTTCTCCTTTTGTATGACATTTCTGTATTGTCTGCTAGGGATAGCAGTCATTGCTATCATTTAGAACATTAAGACTTTAATTTCAGTCATGATAGATTTTGCACTTTGATTCTGGGTTTAATTACGTAAAATAGCACTTATAACATTTTGTCGAAGTATTGCTTTTATTTCTTATTTGATCCAAAATATCTATCCGACATAGAAAAATACAATTAACTTGCTTTTGGGGGGAAAATGTTCAGCTTATTTTAAACATGTGTCTGGCAATAATTTTAGATGTGGTTTGGTTTACATATTTAAAGATTTGATTTTCAAGCAGTTTCCAAAACACCAGTGGGTAGTGAGAAAGAGTATCATATTGAGGCTGGTTGCTGCGGCTTTCAGCACGTACGCTTGACACTGTTAAAAAGAACTCTATTTAGAATATGTTCTTATATTGCTATTAAGTTACTTGAGAATTGTCTTTTCTGAAAGCCTAGAGTTGTATGTCCTTGGCTTTATATCATGTTTATTTGACCACAAATATTGTCTCATGTTCATTTGCAACTGCTGAACTCTAAAACCCTGACTGCTACTCTGTGATAGTTGATCATTAGAATTTATGCTTTTAAAAGTAGCTAGTGGGTTTTTAAAACCAGGTTAGTAGAACTGTCTTTGTATGTTTTAACTGACTGTTTTGCTAATATTATACTTCCTCTTTTAATTTCAGTCTTACAAATGGCAAACTAAAAGAGGAGAATTATGCAAAAAGTTAATGCAGAAAGTTAGGGAGGTTGAACATTTTTCTGTTTCCCAACAGAGTTTCTATTAAATAGATCCCCATATTCCTTCTGTACTGAAGTCCCTAACACAATGCAGTGCGTAAGAAAAGGCTGACATTATAAACAGAAAAACCACTGAGCTGTGCAGCTCAGAAGAACCATCAACCCAAACTTCCCCCTTGACAGCACTAAGTCCACCCCAGGTTACAATTCAGCTGAATTGCCTGTGCAATGTTGTCTCCTTCTGTCTGGAACAATTCGTTCCCTTTATGAGAAAGGGGGGAAATTATACAAAATCCATGGTCTCTACTTTATGTGATTAATTGACATTAGCCAATATGCGCAAGCATAGTAGGAGAACAGCAAGTTAGAGGAGCCTCCCAGAGAGAGACTCCTGAGTATGCTCGCTCCGGTTTAGCTCAGCAGTTAATCAAACAGCTCTTAACTTCCCACTAAGGTTTTCTTTTCTTTTTTTTCTAAAGGAAGCAAAGCGAAGAATCAGTAAACATAACATTGGAATTTCTTTTACCTGTTCCAGAACAAGTAGGGAACATTTGTCTTTGTCAAGCTACAAGTTGAGATTTATTCTCTTAAGTGTACTAGGTCTTCTCAACATCCTTCCCTTAATGAAAGCTATAGAAAAAGGGATTTCCCTCAAAAGAGATTTTTGTTCTTTGTGTTGGTGGTTGTTTTTCATTTCCAAATACAGAGGTGGTTATATCTCTGTTTGACCATGATTATCTAGAAAAATAGAAACAGCATGAGTCATCAGAAATTATCTAGTACCCTACAGTGATAAAAAGTTAAATTTGTATTTCTCTTGCTTAGCCTATCACTAGATTTCCCTATGACTGTTGTATACTTCTGAGGAGATGGTTGGAGACTGTGATGAACAGAGTCATTGCAGTGACTCAGATGGGCATGGCAATGATTTCAAGTTTAACTTACCCAATCTGACATTATTTGCATTACCCAACTGTATCCTTAGGACCTTTCTAATTGCAAATCTTGTCTCATTCATGGACTCATTCCAGTTGACACTAATATCAATAGTTAATACTGCTGAATTTCACACACAGTATTATTTCTTTTAAAATGTTGCTGTGTGCTTAGTCCTTTAGAAGCTCAACTTCCCTAGTTGTACAATGAAGCAATCCTCCATAGTTGACTGGTTCCTCTCTCCTCAGATAGCTCAGTGTAAGAAGCCCATCAGCTTTCTCACCACATGGAATTAGTCATTCATGCTGACTCTTCAATATGACACTTGGGTCCTATTCAACTCTGGTAGTGTTATTGAAACTGCAGCTATAAAACTTAAATTCCAAAAATCTAATGGCTTCATTTTCCCTCACACCATGGCCTTTATGGGATGTGTCTTTCAAGATAGATGATCCTCTCCCGATGAAGCATGTTGTGAAGTGGATCTAAATGCAAAGATCCTGACCTTCTGGTTCTCCTAAATCTTATTTTTCCTGAAAGTAACATTAAAAACAATGTGTGCTATCCTTGTTGTTGAGACATACAACTTTCTGCTAGAAATAGGGATTTACTAAACTTGCTAATTATTATTATGTGAGCAGGTATATTATGGCATGCCTGGCAAATTAGACATCACCTCTTTGTGGGTCCACAATAACAGAAAAATTATATTTTAGCACTTACATTCCTTTTGTTAAGACATATGCACATTTGTCAGATGTCTAGTCAGTAGTCTTTCTCATTTTTATAGTATCTCTAATACAATAACATATTATCTCAGGAAGTCTGAATTCTAGCACCATAAAAAATCCTTCTCCCTGTAAATATATAATCTTGGATGTAAACTTATTTGGTGAAGGATTACTCTGATTAAATTATTTTATAAGATGAACTAAAGATAGTTAAATGACAGTTGATAAAGTAATCTTTAGCATCACCTTAAAATAGATATCTAATATCTAATCAACAGATTTTATTTCCTTTCTGTCCTGGATTCTGAGTTTGGCTGAAATATTAATAAGCATGCCAGGATGCATAGAGGAGCAAGATTGAATGAGGAATTCTTTAATTTTATAGGCAATTTTCTTCCGATAGAGGCTTGCCCCTTCTACATGTGGATATATCCCAGAAAGATTTTCTTTAAACTATATCTGGCATTAAGATCTGAAACTAAACAAACAACCCATTAATTTTTATCATGAAAGTAATCATAAACTTATTTTCATAATATATGTATATTATCATTGGAATTCTTATGTTACTTCACTTTTTTTATCAAATGTTTGCAAAAAGATGAAGCAAGATTGTAGCTACATGATTAAAAATTGCTATAACAGCTAAATACTCTGAGAGGTGGATTTCACAAGTCCCTTCTGATTTTTTTCACTATTCTGTTTGTGTGTGTTTCAAGTATAGAAAATTTAAAATAACAATCTATTTTCTATATTAAGTATAGAAACTTAATAAATTAAGAACTGCATTATATCTATTATTAAAACAAGTGTGATAATTAGATCAAAGGCATTATCCTTGACTATGTGGAAAAAACAAAGTGTAATTAATTATGAGATAGATGTTAAGACAACGATTTCATAGGATACTTTAACTGCAGTGCTCTTTATCACTTAATCTTCCACATAAAGAAAATGATGGCTGGGCATGGTGGCTCACGCCTGTAATCTCAGCATCTTGGGAGGCCTACGTGGCATATCGTGTTAGCTCAAGTGTTTGAAACCAATATGGGCAACATGGCGAAACCCCATCACTACAAAAAATACAAAAACTGTCCAGGCATGGTGGTGCACGCCTATAGTACCAGCTCCTCAAGAGGATAAGGTGGAAGGATCACTTGAGTCTGGGAGGCAGAGGTAGCAATGAGCCGTGATTGGTCCAATGCACTCCAGCCTAGGTGACCTTGTTGGGGGGGAAAAAAAACAAAAAAAAAACAAAAAAAGAAAACCACAAAAAAAAAAAAAAAGAAAGTGACACATAAGCAGACATGGGACAATAAAAGACTGTTACATTTCTAACACAAACAAACATTTTCTTTTTTTAAAAAATGCATTTTTATTGTGTGTATTAAAGGTATACAGTATAATGTCAGGGCCATTTTTGCTTTACTAAAGAAATACCTGAGACTGGGTAATTTATAAAGAAAAGATGTTTAATTGGCTCAAGGTTTTACAGGCTTTGCAGGAAGCATGGTGCTGGCATCTGCTCAGCTTCTAGAGGGGCCTCAGCAAGTTACAAAGTCCCAATCATGGTAGAAGGCAAAGGGGCAGCAGGCACTTGATGTGGTAAAAGGAGCAAGCAAGTGGCAGGAGGCACTTCATGTGGTAAAAGAAGGAGCAAGTGAGACAGAAAAAAAAAGAGAGAGAGAATTGGTGGAAAGGTGCTATACAATTTTAACAACCAGATCTTGTGCAAACTCACCGACTGTCATGAAGTCAGCACCAAGCTGTAAGGGATATGCCCACATGACCCAAACATCTCCAGCAAGGCCCCACTTCCAGCCTTGGGGATTACAATTCAACATGAGATTTGCACAGTTACAAATATCCAAATTATATCATTCTGCCCCTGGCCTCTCCCAAATCTCATGCGCTTCTCACATTGCAAAATACAATCGTGCCCTACCAAGAGTCCCCCAAAGTCTTAACTCATTCTCTCATTAACTCAAAATTCCAAAGTCCAAAGTGTCATCTGAGACAAGTCCCTTCCACTTATGAGCCTGTAAAATTAAAAACAAATTAGTTACTTCCAAAATACAATGGAGGTATAAGCATATCGGCATTAAGTAAACATTTCTATTCCAAAAGAGAAAGTGGTCAAAAGAAAGGGGCTACAGGTCTCATGCAAGTTTGAAACAGATCAGGGCAGTCATTAAATCTTAAAGCTCCGTTGATGTTATATCCCACATTCAGGGCACACTGGTGCAGGGGTGGGCTCCTAAGGCCTTGGGCAATTCTGCCCCTGTGGCTTTGTGGATTCATTCCCCATAGCAGCTCTCATAGGCTATTGAGTGCCTGAGGCTTTTCCATGCACAGGGTGCAAACTGCTGGTGCTTCTACCCTTCTGGGATCTGGAAGATAGTGGCCCATTTCTCATAGCTCTACTAGGCAGTGCCCCACTGGGGATACTATCTGGGGGCCTCAATTCTACATTGTCCCTTGGCACTGCCCAAGTAGAGGTTCTCTGTGAGGGCTATGCCTCTGGAGCAGGCTTCTGACTAGACACCCAGACTTTCTCATACATCCTCTGAAATCTAGGTGCAGGCTGCCGAGTGTTCTTCATTCTTGCATTCTGCATACCTACAGGCTTAAGGCTATGTGGAAGCCACCAAGGTTTATGGCTTGCATTCTCCAAAGTGGCAGCCCAAACTGTACCTGGGCGTGTTTGAGCCCTAGATGAAGCTGGAATAGCCTGGATGTGAGGAGCAGTGTCCCTAGGCTGTATAGGGCAGCAGGGACTTTGGCCTGGCTAATGAACCCATTCAGTCCTCCTAGGCCTCAGGGCCTGTGATGGGAGGGGCTTCCTCAAAGGTCTCTGAAATGCCTTCAATTGTCTTGGATATTAGTACTTGACTCCCTTTTACTTATGTGTATATCTCTAGTAAGTTGTTGCTCCACAGCCTGCTTAAATTCCTCTCTCAGAAAAGCTTTTTCTTTCTCTGCTACATGGCCAGGCTGCAGATTTCCCAATTTTTAGGCTCTGCTTCCTCTTTAAATGTAATTTCCAACTTTACGTCATTTCTTTGATCCTTCTTTGATCTCAGTGTAGGCTTTTTGAAGCAGCCAGGTCACATCTTGAATGTTTTGCCACTTAGAAATTTCTTCTGCCAGATATCCTCAAGTATTACTCTCAAGTTCAAACCTACACAGATCCCTAGGGCATGAACAGAATGAAGCCAAGCTCTGTTGGCATAACATGCATAACCTTTGTTCCAGTTGCCAATGAGTTCCTCATTCCATCTCATACCTCATCAGCTTGGACCTCACTGTCTGCATCACTATCAGCATTTTGGTACAACCATTTAACCAGTCTCTTAAGAAGTTCTGATGCAGAATTTTTTGCTTCTTAGTTCAGCTAAATCTGGGTTCTTGTCTCATGACCAGGAAAAAAATTATGCATGTGGACACATTGAAGGTGAGGAGGGTAGAATTTATTAAGCTAAAGGAAAGCTCTCAGAAAAGATAGGGGTCCTGAAAACAGGCTCCCACCTCACAATTGTATACCAGGGTTCCCACACATGAGCTGAAGAGGCCAGACTCATTGCCAGCAGAAGGCACAAATTCCTGGTGGCTCCACCCAGTTCTCCCAGTGCACAGTTGATTCTTTAGTCTGAGTCACTCCACACTGATGTATTTCCCTTGCTGCACATGTGTTAAAGGATGAGATTTTTCATCATGGGCATGTTTAGGCAAGCCCGCTGTGCACAATGACCTGGGCAGGTTGGAGTTTTTCTGGGGATTCTTCCCTATCTGCTTAGGCATGTGGTTGTCTTCTGCTTCTATCAGTTCCAAACTTTCCCACATCTTTGTGTCTTCTTTAGGGCCCTCTAAACTCCTCCAAACTCTCCCCATTACACAGTTCCTAATTTGCTTCCATATTTTCAGGTATCATTATAGCAATGCCCCACTCCTCAGTACCAATTTTCGGTAGTAAGCCATTCTTGGATTGCTATAAACAAGTCCCTGAGTCTAGGTAATTTATAAAGAAAAAGGGTTTAATTGACTCATGGTTCTGCAGTCTTTGCAGGAAGCATAGTGCTGGCGTCTGCTCAGTTTCTAGGGAGGCCTCAGGAAGCTTAAAGTCATGACAGAAGGTTAAGGAGGAGCAGGTACTTCACATGGCAAAAAACAGGAGTGACAGAGAGAGAGAGACAAATGGGGAGGGGAAATGCTACCCACTTTTAAATTACCAGATCTTGCACAACTCACTCTCATGAAGTCAGGACCAAGCCATGGGAGATCTGCCGCATGACCTAAACATCTCCCATCAGGCTTCAGATCCAGCATTAGGACTTACAATTCTACATGAGATTTGAGTGGGGACAAATATCCAAACTTCTCTATCTATCTGTCTGTCTGTCTATCTATCTATATGTATATCTATCTATCTATCTATATATCAAAATAGTTAAAATAGTTATTACAGTGAAATAAATTATTGCATCCTTCATCTCATATAGTTACTCTTTTTTCCACCCCATGACAAAAGCAGATATAATCTACTCATTTAGTGACAATTCTGGATATAATACACTATTATTAACTATAGTCCTCATGTTGTATATTAGATCTTTAGACATATTGATACTACATATCTGCTACATTGCATAATTTGACTTACATCTCCCATTTTCTCCCTGATGACCTGCCTCTGGTAAATACTGTGTTATTCTCTCTGTATGCCCTTCCCCCCTTTTTTTTGATTCAACATGTGAGTGAAGCCATGCGATACTTTTTGTATCTGGCTTGTTTTACTTAGTATAATGTCCTCCAACTACATACATGTGACAAATGGCAGGATCTCCTCCTTTCTTAAGGCTGAATAATATTCCATTGTGTTCAATAATATTCCATTGCAGCAGTCCTTACTTATTAATAGTTTTTCCACAGTTTCAGTTACGTGTGGTCAACCATGGTCTGAAAATGATAAATAGAAACTTCTCCAAATAAAAAATTCTTAATTTTAAATTGCATGCCTTTCTTGGTAGCATGATGAAATTTCATACTGCCTATCTTCTTTTCACATGGGACATGAATCAGTCTTTTGTCCAGTGTATCCAGACTGTATTCACTACCACTCATTAGTCACTTAGCAGCCACCTCTGTTATCAGATAGAGGTTGCTATATCATAGTGCTTGTGTTCAAGTAATCTTTATTTTACTTAGTAATAGCCCCAAAGTGCAAGAATACTAATACTGGCAATTTGAATATGCCAAAGAGAAGCCATAAAGTCCTTTCTTTAAGGGAAAAGGTAAAAGTTATCAATAAGAAAGAAAAAATTATATGCTGAGGTTATAAGATGTATTTTAAGAAGAAAATGTCTATGCATAAAATTGGGAAGAAGGAAAAAAAGGTGCTAGTTTTATTGTCACACCTTAAACCAAAAAGGTTATAGCCTCAGGGCTTTGTTAAGATGGGAAAGGCATTGAATTTGTGCATATAAGACATGAAAAGAAACATTTTCTGGTTAAAAACAATCTGGTTCTGGTTTGGCATCTACTGAGGGTCTTGGAATGTATCCCCCATTACTAAGGGGGCCTACTGTACCACAGTTGTTGTTTTTTTTTTAATATCCAGTCATCTGTTGACAGACACCTAGGTTGTTCCATATCTTGGATGTTGTGAATAAACATTAGAGTACAGATATTTTTAGTAGGTGGTAATTTTATTTCCTTTGAATATATACCCAGAAGAGGGATTGCTGAGTTATATGGTAATTCTCTTTTTAGTTTATCTGAGAGCCTCCATACTGTTTTCCATAATGACTGCACCAATCCATGCTCCTGCCAACAACGTACAAAGGTTCCCTTTTGTCCACACCTTCACCAACACTTGCTATCTGTTGTCTTTTTCATAATAGTTAACCTAATGGGTATAAAGTAATATTTCCTAATACCTTTTATTTGTATTTCCTTAATGATTGATGATGCTGAGCACCTTTTGATATAGCTTTTGGCTATTCTTATTCCTTTGGATAAATATATTTATCTATTGAAGTTATTTGCCCATTTTTAAATTAGGTTATATGTTTTCTTTTTGTTTCACTGTATGCATTCTTTATAAATTTTGAGGATTAATCCTTTACCAAATTTGTGATTTGTAATTTTTTTTCTAACTCATAGGTTGCCTTTTTTTTTCCTTTGCTATGCTGAAGCTTTTTAATTTGATGTAGTACCAGTTACTTATCTGTGCTTTTGTAGTCTCAGTTTTTGGTGTGTTATATAAAAAATCATCACCAAAACCAATTTCAAGAATTTTTTCCCTATGTTTTCTCCTAGGAGTTTTATGGTTTTAGGTATTACATTTAAGTCTTTTAGACCCAAATTATTACACTTAATTCTAAACATAATAGCTGAAACCATAAAAGCAAAATGGTGTGTGATAAGGGTTCACTTTCATTCTTTTGCATGTGGAAATTGTTTCCCCAGTACCAGCTATTAAAGAGACTATCTCCATTGTGTCTTATTGGTTGAAAGCTCTCTGGGCCCTTGTTGAAAATTAGTTGACCACGTATGTTTAGATTTATTTCTGGGACCTCTATTGTGTTACATTTATCTATGTGTTTGCTTTTATGCCAATACCATACTGTTTTGATTACTGTAGTTTTGTAATATTTAAGTTTAAATCAGGAAGTGTGATACCTCCAACAATTTTTTTCAATTCTCAGAATTTCTTTGGCTATTTAAAATTCTTTGTGGTTTTACACACAAAGACTTTTTTATTTCTGTGAATTATGTCATTGAGATTTTATAGGGATTGCCCTGAATCTGAATATTGGTTGGAGTGGCATGGACATTTAAACAGTATTAATTCTTCAAACCTATGAGCATGGAATATCTTTTCAGTTATTTGTGTCTTCTTCAATATCTTTTATCAATATTTTATAGTTTTCAGTGTACAGGTCTTTCAAGTCCTTGGTTACATTTATTTTCAAATATTTTATTTTATTTTGCGATTCTATCATAAATGGGATTGTCTTATTGATGCTTTTGCTAGGTCATTATTTTGTATAGTAATGGCACATATTATGGCATGTTAATTTTGTATTCTGCAGTGTTACTGAATTCATTTATTCTAATAGTTTTTGGTGAAGTATTTGGGGTTTTCTACATATAAGATCATGTCATTAGCAAATAAAGATAATTTTGCTTCTTCCTTTACAATTTGCATATCTTTTCTTTCTTTTTCTTGTCTGATTACTTTGCTAGTACTTCTAATACTACGTTGAATAGAAGTGGTGTTAGTGGGCACCCTCGCTTTGTACCACAGCCAATAAGGCATAATGTCCCCTTATGCTTCAAAGGGTAAGACACTACATAGTGGTGATTCTGGACCCTAGGATGGTATGACATGGCAGTATCCTAAGCTCTCTGAGATGGGTACAGTGGTAGCATGGACCCAGGAATAGCAGAATGCAATCATGGACGACCCAGGAGTGGCAGAATGGCCCTGTGGGGCAGGGGCAGTGAAGGGATGATTTCACTACCTGGGAAGACAGTACACTTCAGCAGTTCAGACTCTGAAAAATTAGTTCAGTTATAGGGAAGCAGGATGCTACAGTAGTTTGGTCTGGAGGGTCAGGTATCCAAGCTTAGCTGATTCTCTGTTTCCTTGCTATGTGGAATGCCCCATTAGCTCAGCCTTGGGAGGTGCTTCTGCTTGGCTAGGCCGAAACATTGATTCCCTGGGAGACAGAACACCACTTCAGCTTAAGCACTGTGGGTGAACATATGACTGCCTTGGGTGGCCAAGAAAACATTTTCTCAGAAGGCAGCGTGCTGAGTCAGCTCAGACCCCAAAGTGCTGAGTGCAGCAGCAATTGGAAGGAGCAAATGAAGCAGCTACCCAGCAACTGGGTCCCTCTGGATAGGATGTAGCAGTAGCTTGGGTAGAGGAGGGTAGTCCACCAAGAGTGGGTAGAGCCACAGTGACAAAGCCTCACCAATGGAAGGGTATTCTGGCTGCATGCCCCCAGAGCAGGGCACAGTACAACAATCATTGTGATTCCAAGATGACACTGTGCAGTAGCAGTGTGGGCCATAGGAGGGCAAGCAGCATTGGCTCCTTCTCTGTGGCGATCACAGCTGTGTGGAGTCCAAGTAGCTCCCTCACCTGAGCTTAGTAACTGAGTACAGTAGGAGTTACTTTCAGTGGTGAGGACTGTAGGTGTCCAAGGTGGAGATGGGGGCTGCTGAGGTCCCCTTGTTACTTTATTCCTGTAGGGAGAAGTCTCTCCTGGTTCCAAGCTGATCCCCGCTGGGAGATGAGGTGGCAAAGGCAAGGTGTTTCCTCTTATTCTCTATGTGATCATTCTAACTTTCTGTGTTATTTGCGGTTTCTGCACTCTATTGATATATTCCAGCACTTGCTTTTAGTTATTTTCTTCAAAATGTAGTTGTGTATTTGCTGCTTTGTCTTTGTCAGTGGGACAAGTGCCAGGGGGCTCTAGGTTGGCTATCTTGTTGATGTCACTATTCCATAGTTTATTTGAAAATAGTTAAGAATAAATCAGGTATAATATAATATTCTTTTGAATAATGTTAATAAGAATAATATACTCTGTTAATATTTTAAATTTTCAAAATTACTCAATATTGATAAGGATCAAAAGCAGAATTTTTAACACTAAGCACATATTGAATTGCCCATTGCAATCTAAAAACACCTACTTCAATTCTGCATAATGTAAAAATCAGGAAGCAGTTTTTCACTTGTTAACAGTGTAAAAAAATATGACACAACCTGAAGAATATTATCTCCAATATGGAACAAATTATGTATGCCTTAGGGAATGAAAACCCTGTCACCTTTTTAAACAAATTTTTATATTTGCATCATAATTTATAAAATTTATTTGGATATAATTTTGACTTACAGAAAATTGTAAAGATAGCACAGAGCAGGCTCATCTACCTTTTGCCCAGTTTCCCCATTGATTACTTATGGTAGTCTGAAACCACATACTTCATTATTGCTTAATATATTTTATAGGAGGCAGATGTCCATTTGTACATAATACATTAAAACATAAAATCTAAATGGCACTATTATCTCAAACACAGCCAAGTTTTTATGTGCATTAGCATAGTGAAAACACAGTCATCTTCTTAAGCAAATTTTTACATTTGTATTTTAATTAATTTAAAAAATAATTTTCAAATATTATTGATTTACAGGAAATTGCCCTGTTGGAATGTGTCAGGTGTTCTTCACCTAGTTTCCCCCAGTGGTTTTATCTTGTATAAAAAGTACAATATCAAAAGCAGGAAATAGGCATTGGTACTGTGTGTGTATAATTTTATGCCATTTAATCACATATATAAATTTCTATAACCATCACCAACATCAAGATAAAAAACTTCCATCAACACAAAAATCAACTGGTGTCAACTTTTTATAGTCCAAGAAACCTCACATCTTTTAAGTTTCCTTATCTTCTCTTGTTTGTAATATAGTTGTCTTAAACATATTCTCTACACACATGCATACATTTTCTTTATGTAGATATTTATATGGAACTCCACATCAATGTTAGACCCTAAGTATTACAAACTTGAAAGGAGAAGAAAACTTTATTACCCATATATTTGCTTTTATTCTTTTCAAATTTTCATCCTTAGAACATCTTAGAATACTATGAAGTTTTTCTAACACTTTTAGAAACAGAAGCTGTATGCAAACGCCTGGATGTCCAGGCAGAAGCTTGCTCCAGGGGCGAGGCACTCATGGAGAACCTCTGCTAGGGCAATGCAAAAGGGAAGTGTGGTGTTGGAGCCCCCAAACAAAGTCCCTACTAGGGTATCACCTAGTGGAGCCGTGAGAAAAGGGCCACCATACTCCAGACCCCAGAATGGCAGATCCACTGACAGCTTCCACCATGTGCCTGAAAAAGCTGCAGACACTCATCACCAGCATGTGAAAACAGCTAGGAGGGAGGCTGTACCCTGCAAAGCCATAGGGGCAGTGCTATCCAAGACCTTGGGAACCCACCTCTTGCATCAGCATGACCTGGATGTGAAACATGCAGTCAAAGGAGATCATTTCGAGCTTTAAGATTTGACTGCCCTGCTGGATTTTGGACTTTCATGGAGCCTGTAGCCCCTTTGTTTTGGCCAATTTCTCCCATTTGGAATGGTTATATTTACCCAATGCCTGTACCCCCATTGTATCTAGGAGGCTACTAACTTGCTTTTGATTTTACAGGCTCATAGACGCAAGTGACTTGACTTGTCTCAGATGAGCTGCTGGACTGTGGATTTGAGTTAATGCTGAAATGAACTGAGCCTTTGGGAGACTGTTGGGAAGGCATGATTGGTTTTGAAATGTGAAGATATGAGATTTGGGAGTGGCCAGGGGCAGAATGATATCATTTGGCTCTGTGTCCCCACCCAAATCTCATTTTGTAGCTCTCATAATTCCCACGTGTTGTGGGAGGTAGCTGGTGGAAGATGATTGAATCATGGGGCAGATCTTTCCCATGTCCTCCTGAGAGTGAATGGGTCTCACAAGATCCAATGGCTTTAAAAATGGGACTTTCCCTACACAAGCCCTCCTTTTGCCTGCTGCTATCTATGTAGTAAGATGTGACGTGCTCCCCCTTGCCTTCTGCCATGATTGTGAGGTCTCCCCAGCCATGTGGAACTGTAAGTCCAATAAACCTCTTCGTTTTGTAAATTGCCCAGTCTCAGGTATGTCTTTAATAGCAGTGTTAAAACAGACTAATATACTCTGTTTTGTAGCTTTTGTTCCAATTTCACTTTGTAAAGGGAGGTCATATAGTCATATATACTGTAAACATTTTACCCACAGTTATTTGTATTTTGATCTTATATAATGTTTTTTCCTTATTTGGAAGTTTTCCTTTTTTTTTTTTTAACTTGAATTTCTCAAATTTTTAATGGCTTTTGATAATTCAATCATCTTTTAAAATATCTCCCACTACTTGAGAGTTATAAAGGATTCATTTCTGACTTATCTTCAGAGAGGATATTGTGTTCTAATATACAGTTAATTTATTATTACATTTATTCCATTTTCCCTCTAAATTAGATCTAAATGTCATGAGCACAGAAATTTTTTTCCCCCACTGTTTTGTCTTCTGTATCTAGAATAGTACTTGGCATAAATTTCTAAGATTATTTGTTGAATGAATACATGAATGAATGAATATATGTTTTCTAGATCAGAACTTTAAAAGAGTAACACAATTAATGGCATAGAGATTGGATTAAAGTTGGAAGGCCAGTGAAGTTCTTTTGTAATAGTCTTTTATTTTGGGGTCTTCCAGATGAAAAATAACTAGGAAAGATTTCTTATTAAAGAGCAGTGATTAGGAGCTAAGTAGTTAGAATGGAAATGTGTATGTGTATGTGTAACCATATATTCTGTATATACCTATGAGAGTGTGTCATACGATGAACCACATGTGTCACAGAAAGAAAAAAGGATTTATTTTTCTTTCTTTGAAAGATAATCAAGGGCTGATTTCTGAAATTTATAACTGCAACATGTTTTCCTGTGCTGTCTAGAGAGGAGCTACTTGAATTACTTATGGCAGCCATTTAAAGGCATTAATTTCCCTTCAGTGGCTCTTCCTTTGCAATATAACCTTATTTTGGTTGTAAAACCTATGACACTTTAAGGGTACTTTAGGGACTAATAAATAAAAGAAAAAATCTGACTTCTTGAAAAGTTTTAAAAGAGAATAGAGGTATAATCATAAGCCCTTAAAAGTATAAGTTAGAAGTTAGCAATTTGTGTTCCTTAAAAAAAAAAAAAAAACAGTATTTTAAAGAATTTGGAAAAAAGGAAGCTAGAAAAAAGTATGGATAAGGGATTGAAAATAAAGCTAAAAAATCTAAAGGTTGGGTTTCATGTGGGTAGGAAGTAAAATCTGGATTTGCATGATCCTTGATCCTTATTGGTAAGATCAGGACCTAAGAAAATATTTGTTAGGGGGCCAGGTAATGCTATGGGGTTAATGCCAGTTAATGGCGTTTCTTTTTGCAATCCACAATAGAAAAGCACTGAAGTAAGATGGTGCCAAGAAAGTAAAAGCAGACTTTTTTCCATTTTAGAAATGTCACTGGTGGGTAGCCAACTATGTGTCAAGTTTCTTCACCTTTAAGCAATTGCAAAATCAAATTCTTAATTTTGCCTCTAACTGTCATCTCTTTGGCAACTGCCATTCTTTATTTGGTTATGTGTGCTCTTCACATATAAGAGATTCAAATATATTTTTTAGATTTCCATTTTCAAAAATGTGTCTCCCCCAGAATTCCTATGTTGGAAGTCTTAACACTCAACACCTCAGAACATAACCTTATTTGGAAATTGGGGTCATTAGCAGATGTAATTAGTTAAGATAAGAATATAATGGAATAGATTCAACCCTTCATCTAATATGACTGTTGTCTCTATGAAAAGGGGAAATTTGGAGCCAGAGATAGATATGCAAGGAAGAAAGATGATGTAAAGAGACACAGGGGAAATATGGTCAACTAACAAGCCAAGGAGAAAGGCTTATTTTTCTCTCACAGTCTTCAGAGGAAGCAAACTTGGCAGACATTTGATTTTGGACTTCTAACCTCCAAAACCATAAGACAATAAATACAATTTTGGTGTTTAAGCCACTCTGTAATATTTTGTTACAATCTTTTAATTTAAACAACAAAATTGGTATTTTAAGTTATAAATAAATATGAGTTTTCACTGAAGGATAAATATTTTATCTAGCATTCTCTTTTTACTCTCATTCTTAACACAGCACTATTTTTTTCTGGGCCATTTTCTTAATCTCGTGATGCATACTGGCTGATTTCTGTTTATTTTCTGAGGTATATTTATGTAAAAGTCCTTTAGAAAGCCACTTGCAATGAGATGTATTTCTTTTAATTAGATTGTAGCCTTATCTACTCAAGAGTCAAACTATTCCTAACGAACATGGCAATTAACACATAGCATAGCTACTGGCTTGTGGCATATAAGATGTGGAAAAGAACTTCTCTGACTTTGATATCTACAATTTTTTGACATTAATGCAGTTTAAACCTTAAATAAAGTAGTTTCTATCTAGTTTCTGCAAGCTACAGAACATTTGAGGAGCTCAGTTTATTTTGCTATTCCAGGAAATTTCTGATTTGAATGAGACTAGCCCAACTGATTAAAGTCAAAGTAGCAGGTTAATCAGTTTGCTTTATTTCCTTTAAACTTCCTTTCTATTGAAATGCAACATATTTATTTTCAAATTTGCAACAGAAGAAATAGCAGAGTTCATTAATAATACAAACAAAAGTTTAAGGCACAGTAAGAATACACTCACTTGTCAACTAATAGCATTCTTTGTTTTTTTCTTATTTATCATACACTTGGGTTGTCACACTTGGGTTTATGACAAACTGGCTTGGCATTTAATAACAGCTGAATTTTTGAATAAATGTCTGAAGCACTGTTCCATGTTAAATATCTCAAAGTGCTTCTACATTTACATCTCAAAATAGATTTCCTATCCCATTTTGTCCTTGGGTTTGCTATATGAAAAATAAGCTATGTGATTTGTAAAACAAGGCTTTAACCAAGGAGTTCTTTCTAGTCATTTTAGGATAAAAATTTACTGATGACAAAACTTATGGAAGCCATTCTTTTCCAACCGAATCAATTTTAGTTACAACTTTTTATTTTACCGTACATATTGCTTATTTTCTACATGTCTGTTTATCAGCCCATTAGTATAGAAATGGGTTTCTTAATTATGAACTATTTAAATAACTCTTGTTTCAAAAAGTTAATTTATTATTTATTTATTATCCTTTACTTATCAAGAAAACATATACTGGTGACTGAATTCTACCAGAATTAATATTGTCTAGATGGGAGAGTCACAATCATAACAAAAGCTACTCTCTAAGTGTTTTACGTAAGTCTATCAGAAAAGGAAAATCTGAAAGAAACATTTTTAAAAGTGGCCCAAGATGACTGTGGGTTGAACACAAAGATAATAGAAACTAGGCCTATACTAATCTGAACTCTTGTGTGGAAGGCTGTGGTCTGTTAAACATTTGACTGACACACAATTGTAACCTTGCGCATCAGATGAAACACAAAAGCAGGATAGAATCAATCATCCCTCTCCATACACTAAGATGTCTATATACTTGCTAAGATTTTACTCTATTTGCTTTATCTTATGTGTGATGTCACTAAGCTCCACTCAGAATTGTAAGAAATGTCACCTTTGCTTCATTGTCTCCTTCCCCCATTTTCTTTGTGAAAATCTGTAAGTACTATACTTCATGTAGCCCACTCTGGGGCACATTCTTGGTTTGCTCTGAACTTGTGTGCCTGAGCTATTGTCTACAAACATGGCTCAGAGTAAAATCAACTTTAAAATTCTCTTAAGTTTATAGTGCTTGTTATTTAAATCATGGTTGACATGTCAAATTATTTAATCCCAGCCACAGTTCTATGAGGAAACGCCATTAGTATTCACTTTTTACAAATGTAGAAGCTGAAGCTGAAGCTGAAGCCAGGAGAGTTGAAAGATAAATAAGTAAAATGTGATATTGTGTATTACCTATAGGATAGGTAAATAAATACTACTCTTTGATAATACTGGGGATAGAAATCAATTTGACCTAAGAAGGTAGAAAATGAATTCATAGAGTTGGCAATGTTGAGTTAGGCTTTTACATTAAAGTAGGAATTTTTTAAGCGGAGAAAAAGTTGCCAGATGACCAAAAATAGCTTATCTGTTCATGTCAAGGCTTTTACCATGGAAAAGAGCAAAAACCAACTAAAGTTAACTTAAAAAAAAAAAAGCGCAGGCTTATTTTTAAAATGCACATAAATCTCAATGAAGATGGAATCCAGAAGTTGTCAGGAATCAAGGCATTTAATCTCTGTCTCTCTCGGTCTCTGTCTCATTCTGTTTCTGTCTTTCTCAGTGTCCTCGATGATGGCTAAATTTCTTCTTCCAAGCCTGTGTATCTTTCTGTTTCTCTCTTTTGTTTAACTTCCTCCTCTCTTATTTTATCTGTAAACACTGAGCTGATGGCTTTCCAGCCGCAGAACCTACACGACTTCCTGGCTGAATTATCCGTGGATTACTATATCTATATATACTGTATGTATTCCTCAATGTACAAATTTTATGTTCTCAGTGGGGAAATCTCATTGGCCTCATTTATCTTTTGTATGCCAGAGATCACAAGTTATCAATGGTCCATTCAGCTACAATCAGGAGAATTAGGCATTGTCATTCTATTCTTGAGCTCTATAAACAAACATTCATAAACTAATGTCTCCTGGATAATAAGAGATAGTGATTGGCTCATTGTGGGAGGTATATATTTGCTACTTGGCAGTTGATAAAGCAGGATGATAGAGGGCCTCCCATGTAATTAACTGACATAGATTTTTGATCTATAGCAATTGGGAGACTGTTGTATTTTAAAGCTTCAGAGTATCATAATCATGCCAGTTCTTTAGAAATAACACTCGAACATGTGATGAATAAATAAGAAGGGAAAAAGGTCAAGACACAGGGAAATGAAAAGGGGACATTTGTGGTAATCCAGGTAAGAAATGAGGAGTAACTAAACTCAAAATAGGAGGTGACAATTCCTGACATTGATGATAAATTCAAAGTGTTCACAGAATGTCTTTCCATTTTTTAAATTTTGTCAAGAATGGAATATTTTCTTATTGTGGGGATAAATGATCCAAAAGGAATGAAAAACAAGAACAGAAATGAGGAAACAGAGAAAGAGGTAAACTAGAATCCAGAAATTGGTGAGTAGAAAAATAAGAAAAAAGAATAAAAGTGTAATTATAAGATTTTATATCAGCTATATTTTTTAAATAAGGGAGAGATAGAAGAAAATTCTATTTATTTTATAAAATGGCACATTTTGTCATATAGAACAAGGAAAGCACTTGCAGGCATGAACAGATTCAAGGAACCTGGAAGAAAGACATAATAAGCATCATTTCTCTGTGCATGAGATGGTATCTATGGTTTATAAACTCAGGAATGGCTTAATATCAGAAAAATGGTCCTGAATGTCCAAAACCATCCATTTTGGAGGCATTAAAGAGTAAAATCTAATAAATTATAACAATAGTAATAAAAGACAATCACCTATTAAGCACCACCAAATGTCAGGTACTGTACTAAGTACTATGAAGGTTATTACATTTAATCTTCATGACATCCCTATTGGGGATACAATATAACCATTTTATAGATAAAAACTTTAAGGCTGAAATAAGTTAACATGCAGGTTATTAATAATTCCTGTAAGAAGGACAGAAAGGTCTTAAACTAGTATACTTTATATTGCATTATCATGCCTCCCTAGAATACTGCTGAGAGCCAACAAACATCATGAAATTATGTGAGTTTGCAATAGCTGGAGGAAGGACTGTTAGGCATAGGTAGACATAAGTGCCACAATTTAGTACAAAGGCAAAATATTTAATATAGCATGGTTTTAGATAGCTGAAAATAATTCTTTTAGAGAACAAGGATTTGAAAAATTGAAATAAAAATGTTTATGATAAATTAAGAGAAGGAAAATATAGAAGATCAACAGAAATCAAGTATGTGGGGATATTACATGAGCACAGGTTTGAAAAGGTTTGCATGAATGCTGGAAAAAATGGCTTAGGTAGAATATACATGTAAAAGTTACATTTATAGTGTCAGGAATACAAAATAACAAATTATGTTAAAATCTTGATAAGATGATTTTTTAAAAGAATGATGTGTGTTTGATCATATTATAAGCAATAAGACAAAGACAAAGGAGACTTATCTCTTGAAGATCTAATATTAACAAAACAATAAATAAAATAACAACATTAAACAGAAGCTTAATCTCCAATCTCAAAGTGCTCAGGAAGAATATGTTTAAGAAGGAATGGCATCTAGGGTATAGGAAGAGACAACACAGCTGTTTGAATTGAGTTCAGTCATTTATTCAATTATTAAAATAACTTTAGGAGGTATTTGTACAACAGTTTTCATTATCAAAATCTATGAAGGAAGACAATTACAAAAATAATTTTACTTTATTTCAGAAACAAAAAATAATATTCTATAAGATATAAATAATAAGCCTAACAGTACTCTGACAGGTTTCTTAAATAGATGGGTTACAAATATTAAAAATGAAATTATGCATACTTAAATCACCATGGCCTACCAACAAAAGTTCCCTACAAGTCAAATTTATTCTATTTTTCAACATGCTTTAACAAGTTATAGACGTCTTTGACATCTTTTCTTTGTACATTTCCTTCCTTCCTTCCTTCCTTCCTTCCTTCCTTCCTTCCTTCCTCTTTTCTCTTCTTTTGTTCTCTTTCATTCTCTTTCTTTCTTTCTCTTTCTCTCCTTCCTTCCTTCCTTGCCTCCCTCCCTCCCTCCCTCCCTTCCTTCTCTCTCTCTCTCCGCCTCCTTCACTTTTCTCTTTTTTTTTCTTTGCACCTTGTAAAACAACCTTGATTTTTCTTTGGTGGAATCATCCCTACTCCACTCTTGGTTTTTTACTTTGATAGAGCATGGTACAAGATTTGCCAATCAGAGAATTTAATGTCAAATCCAGCTGATTGGATCAGATCATAAGCAGAAATCTGGGACTTCCCGGAAACATTTGGAAAGAAGAGAAGTCTGTCCTCTGGCACTGTTAGAGGGATGTGAGTTTGTGATTTTCAGTGGTCATTTTCTGTTGAGTGGGAAATTAACTGAGAGTACAGCCAACAAAACAGAACTTCTGAGCTGAGAAATGAAGACAGGGAAATACAGCAAAATGATTTGATTATTTGGAGTTTTCAGATAAATAAGCTACCATATAGCATTTTGCTAATGTCACTTTGTTTCCTGGAAGCCAAAAAGAGTTCTAATTCTGAAACTGGTTTCTGGAAGTGTGAACACTTAAACCGTGGATTAAGTTGATTTGCCAAAAAATACAGTATGAAGATTCTCCATTACCCTGGTTGAGAAGATACTGATAGGTATTATACAGTGGAAAAATATTTATACTGCCATATTCATGCAAATTCACTTGGTATTCAGACTTTTAGTTCTCTGTAGCTAGAGCTTTAGAAAATTCTGTAGAGAAATTTCAGTACTTTGAAATGTGTTGACTGTTTTTTTGTGTGGCTTTCAAAAAGTTCTTCTAAGAAAGAGACCAGCTTCTTCTAAGTAGCCTATCCGCAAGCAGAGAAGGAATAAATACAACCTAATGAAGATAAACTCTTTGTGCCTTCAGCTAGTGCCACAGTGTGGCTGAGAATTTTAAAATCCTCATTTGACAGCACCATAAATCTTAATATGCTGCCCTAAATAAAGTTTATAGTAGAAAAAGCAGTGAAGGAGGTAAGAAAGAAAATAGAGATGATACTATAAGACCTGAGAAAGGCCACTTTTCTCCCCTATGAACCTAATTTTTAAAATTTCTGACTGACAAATATAAAAATTATTTGACTGTGAAGTACAATCCACTGGGATACAACTATAGAGCAAGGTCTCTATAATTTCTACTGTTGCAGAAGAATTACCAAGATAGAAGCCATTATACTGAGTGCTGGGAAGATGGCAGAACAAAAAGCCTGTTGTAAAAAGGAAGACATTCCCAATCAATGAATTACATTCCCAATCAATGAATTAGATTCAGGATTTTGACTTCACTAAATCTCTGATTTTTCTTACTAGTCCATAAAGTTTTAGTTCACTAATACATATTGCATGTGTTGGAGTGGTTAAATTTCATCCAAGTATAGGTTTCTAGACCATAAAGAATACCGCACATCTGGCAAAGACAGAGACATGCTTGTCACTTAGAAATTCTGTACAGAGTTAAACGCAAGTTTAACTCTGAGTGAACTTTGCCTCTCAGTGTCATGAATGACTTGAGAGTTTTGACTGGATATGCCAAAGGCTCAAATGCTCTGTCACAAGAAAAAGTCATTAAAGAAGTTAGAGCATCCCTCTCTTTGTAATTGTGGTCCTCCATGCCTGCAAAGATTCTTCTCTAAGCATAAACTCTGTCTACTATACTCGATGTGCTAACCCCCGCTCCGCTGCCCGCAGCAATTTAGGACTTGGAATTACTCATAGTTGAAAAAAAAATCACATCTTAAATCAAAAGCTTAAATGCAGATAAAATATACATATTTAGTAGTATGTTTTACAAGGGATGAAGGAATTGTGAAACAATTTAACTGCTCTCTGACTATTGATGTATTGAAAAATTTTGGTCTCAATAATTTAAATATTCTAATTTTTGTCTTCTTCAGAGGTGAGAGGCTGCCCTAGTTTAGAAATCCTCAAATTTTGCCATTAAAGATGACCAAAATCTAACAGAAAAGTTGAAATTTTAGAATCTAAAATATCTAATAGAATTAGGATTCAAAAGATATACACATAAAATTTTTATTATTGAGATATAACTTTCAAAAGTAAAAACATGATTCTTTTACAGATTTAGAATGAATTTGTGTCAAAAATACTCAATTTATTATTGAAAGGACCAAAAAACAGTAAATGCAGTCTAAATGTGAATAAGAGGAACAGGGATTATATCATCTTTCAAAAAATGCATTAAAAAACCAATAAAATAAGATTGCTAGGTCAGATACACATATGGTTAATGTCTTATCAGGCAGGGCAACTATAACTTTTATACTGAACAAAAATATATGTTAAAATGTAAATTGACAGAATTTATGGCGTTACTTAACAGGAAATATCAGAAATAAACATAAGCATATTTTCCTATATCAGAGGGCAACAAACTATGCCTGCTGGCCAATTGCCTACTTTCATAAATAAAGTTTGTTTTTTTTTTTAAACACAGCCATACCCATTAGTTTAAACATTGTTGATGGTGGATCTAGAGTCGCAATAGCAGAACTGAGTAGTTGTGAGATTGTATGGCTTGCAAAGCCTAATTTATATCGTTAAAAAAAAAGGTTCGTATCTCCCTGATAATTAAATCATATTAAAATAACTTTTTATACAGTACATTCATTTTGATAATATATAATTTCTAAGGAGTACTCTTGAGGCCAAAAAGGCCATTCTTTTCATGCCTAGGTCTGTTTATTAACGTAGATATAGCAAGAGGTGTAAATTGACTATATATGTTTCCTTCAGCACAAAGTGTCAAGCAGCTTTGAGGCTAGAATAATTAACTTATTTCAAGACATTTCATTTAAAAATCACACTATGAACTTTAAAAAGTTCTACAG
This sequence comes from Homo sapiens, assembly GCF_000001405.40. Taxonomy (NCBI): domain Eukaryota; kingdom Metazoa; phylum Chordata; class Mammalia; order Primates; family Hominidae; genus Homo; species Homo sapiens. Next base: position 44,092,173 of record NC_000014.9, on the reverse strand, counting down.
TATATTTTTCTGCCCCAAGACTGGAAAGTCAAGTGAAAGAAATTCTCTCCACCACACTTTCCAGATCTGAGCTGCTTTCTCTCTCCTCAGGTTACACTAGATTTTCTAAAGTTCCTGGCCTGTCAGGAAGTCACCTTCCTCACCACCTGAGAGACTGAAACCTGTAAACTTTGTTCCACACCGTCTTGAAAATATTTATGGGCATTGACTCCAAGTATAAAGTGCAATTCTTTTTCATTGATGATGAGCTTATTATTATTAGATTAATGTATTACCAAATATGACACTCCAGGGTTGGCCTTGATTATTGCATAATCACTTTTTAAAATTATATCATACTACAGAGGAGGATTAATCTTTATTGTACTTATGTGAATAATAATATTATCATGAAAAATAAGGAGAATTAATAAAGTAATTGTTACCAAGTTTAATGGAGTCAGTGAAAGTTACACTAATTTTAAAAATGATCCATTTAATTCATGAAAATGTATTCTACCAACTTGAGTATTAGAGTCAGATTAAAAATGATTCCACATATGTTAATAAAAAATAGAATATTAGGACAACCTCAACACTATCACAAACAAATAACTACAAATAATTTCCTTCATCCACATAGTCAATCTTTATTTATTTCTTTTTTATTTTATTTGAAACAGAGTCTCATTCTGTTGCCTAGGCTGGAGTGCAGTGGCACAATCTTGGCTCACTGCAACCTCCGCCTCCTGGGTTCAAGCAATTTTCATGCCTCAGTCCCCACTGTCCTCCCACCCCCACAAGTAGCTGAGGTTATAGGTGCGTAGCAACATGTCTGGCTAATTTTTGTATTTTCAATAGAGACAGGGTTTTGCCATGTTAGCCAGGTTGGTCTCGAAGTCCTGGCCTCAAGTGATATGCTTGTCTTGGCCTCCCAAAGTGCTGGGAGCCGCAGCACCTGGTCCACCTAGTCAGTCTTTTATAATTAATTAGAACTTGAGGAAATTATTCATCTTCTAGATCTTGTGATAGTTTAATTTCAGAATCCTGTGATATTGCCTGACAGTTGTCTAAGCAATTATAGGTTTAAGCTCTGAAACTTGTACTCATGAGTCTGTTACTTAAAATGTCAACGCTCTGTTGTTGTATCCTTTATACATGGCTCTGAGAATATCCTTAATTGAAAATTCAGTTTCTGGCCTCAAGTTTAGAACAGCACCTTCAGACAAATACCAGAGGAAATGGTGGGTTGAATGCTTACAAGAAGCAACAAAAGGAAGACGATCTCTTTCTTCTGTATGTGAGGATGTAGCAAGAAGGCAGTAAGAGTGTCCCCACCAGACAACAAATCTGCAGGCACCTTGATCTTGGACTTACCAGGCTCCAGACTATGAAAATAAATGTTTGTTGCTTAAGCCCCCACCCTAGCCTATGGTATTCTGTTACAGCAGCTAAAACTGACTAAGAAACCAAGGCATATAAAATTCTCTTTCCTCAAACATTCTACAACTACCTATATGAACTCAAGTTTCATTTTCATAGTGATCTTTTATATTCTTAAGCAACCTGATACTTTTTCCTTAGAACAAAACTACTATTTTCCCTGAAAAACGAAAACATATTTCATTACTTTGCATATGTTCCTGTATTTATTTCCCATTATTATTTCTAGTGAAACTCAAAATATTTTACAGTTACTCAGTAAGGAGTAAATGCTTTTCCAGTTTTTCAATGTCAGCAATAGGTCAAAATAAGATTGAAAGCAGGACTATCTTACATCCATATCTCTAAAGCTATCCTGTTTTTCAATAAGCAAGAAGTGTTTTCCTAAATGATATAATGTAATATATTAAATATATAAACCAAACAAACCAAAAACAAAACAATTAAGCAAACCATTTTTTGTTGTCTTATCTGATAGAAAAGCAATTTGCATAATCTATGAAATTATCAGAATAAGAAAATGTCTTCCTTCAATGAAAAGCCCAAGACCTGGTGGCTTCACTGCTGAATTCTATCAAACATTTAAATAATTCATATCAGTCTTTCTCAAACTCTCTTAAAAAGTTAAAAAAGAGGCAATAATTCCAAACTCATCTTATGAGGCCAGCATTATCCTGATACCAAAGCCAGACAAGGAACCTCAAAGAAAAGAAAATTTAGGGGCAATATCCTTATGAATATAGCTATAGAAATTCTCAATCAAAAGACTAGCAAACTGAATTTAATAGCATATTAAGAGAATCATTCACCATGATAAAGAAAGATTTATCCCTGGCATCCAAGGATGGTTCAACATATGTAAATCAATAAATGTGGTATACCACTGAACAGAATGAAAGACAAAAACTGTATGATCATCTCAATAGTTGCAGAAAAATCACTTGACAAAATTCAACATCCTTTAATGATAAAAACTTGCAACAATGTAAGTATAGAAAGAATATACCCCAACACAATAAAGGTCACATTATACCTGTTACAAAGGTAACATTATACTCAAAGCTTCTCCTCTGAAAGCAAGCACAAGACAAAGAGGTCCACTCTCACCAGTTTTATTAAACATAGCACTGGAAGTCTTGGCCAGAAAGGAAATAAATAAAAAGCATTCAAATTGATAAGAAAGAAATTAAATTGTCTCCGTTACCAGACATGGTCTTATATGTGGGAAAGTCTAAAGACTCCACCAAAACCTATTACAATTAATAAACGGTCAGTGAAGTTATAGGATACAAAATCAACGTATGAAATTTGTAGCATTTTTATACACTAACAATGAACTATCTGAAAAAGAATAAAGAAATAAAGATAACCTCATTTCCAATAGCACCAGAAAGAATAAAATACTTGGAAATAAATTAAACCAAGAGGTAAAGGATCTGTACACTGAAATGATGAAAAATCAAAGAAGAAACACACAAAAATTGAGAAATTGTACATCCATGGATTTGAAGGATTAATATTGTTAAAACGTGTATGCTAACCAAAGTGATACACAGAGTCAATGCAATCCCTATCAAAATTCCATTGATTTTTTCACAGAAATAAAAAGTCCTATAATTTGTATAGAACCATAAAATACCCTGAATAGTCAAAGTAATATTGAGCAAAAAACTAAAACATCATTACCTGACTTCAAAACATATTACAAAACTACAGTACTCAAAACAGCATGTTACTGGTATAAAAACAGAACATAGACCAATGGTACAGAGTAGAGACCTCAAAAATAAATACAGCCAACTGATTTTTTTTTTGACAAAGGTGCCAATAACATGCAACAGGGAAATGACATTTTCTTCAATAAAAGATGCTGTGAAAACTAGTTATTCACATGTAAAATAATGAAATGATACGCATCGCTTACATAATCTACAAAAAAATTCAAAATGGCTTAATGTCTTAAATGTAAGACCCATAACAGTGAAACTTACTAGAAAACATAGGAAAAAACCTCCATGATATTTATCTGGGCAATGATTTTCTTGAATATGAACCCAAAAGCACACGCAACAGGAGCAAAATTAGACAAATGGGATTAAGAGAAATTAAAAATCTTCTTCACAGCAAAGAAAACAACAAAGTGACGAGAAAACCTACAAAATGGGAGACAATATTTTCAAACTATCCATCTGAGAAACATCACAAAAACAAGTGAGACCTAATTAAACTTAAGAGCTTCTGCACAGCAAAAGAAACAATCAACAGAGTAAACAGACAACCTATAGAATGTGAGAAAACATCAAACTATGCATCTGACAAAGGTCTAATATCCAGAATCTATAAGAAGCCTAAACAAATCAACAAGAAAAAAAGCAACCCCATTAAAAATGGGTAAATGACATGGACACACATCTGAAAAGAAGACATACAAGCAACCAATAAACATAAAAAAAGCTCATCATTACTAATTATCAGAGAAATGCACTTCAAGACCACAATGAGATAACATCTCACACCAGTCAGAATGGCGATTATTAAAAAGTCAAACAACAGATGCTGTCAAGGCCATGGAGAAAAGGGAACACTTATATACTGTTTGTGGGAATGTAAATTAGTTCAGCCATTGTGGAAAGCAGTTTGGAAATTTCTAAAAGAACTTAAAGCAGAGCTACTATTTGACCCAGCACTCCTATTACTGGATATATACCCAAAGGAAAATAAATCATTCTACCAAAAGGACACATGCACTTGTATGTTCATTGCAGCACTATTCACAATAGCAAAGACATGGAATAAATCTAGGTTCCTGTCAACAGTGAACTGAATAAAGAAAATTTGGTGCATACACCCCATGGAAAACTATGCAGCCACAAAAAGAACAAAGTTATGTCCCCTGCAGCAACATGGATGCAGCCCTTAGAGATCATTATTCTAAGCAAATTAACACAGGAACAGAAAACCAAATACCACACATTCTCATTTATAAGTGGGAGCTAAACACCAAGTACACATGGACAGAAAGAGGACAACAATAGACACTGGGGACTAGCAGAAGGGAGAGGGAAGGGAGGGTGTAGGCTGAAAAACTATCGATGGGATATTCTGCTCACTACCTGGGTGATGGGATCACCCATATTCCAAACCACAGCATCACAAAATATACCTGTGTAACAGATCTGCACATGTACCCACTGAATCTAAAATAAAAGTTGAAATTATTAATAAATAAAAATGGGGCAAGGTGTGGTGGCTCACGCCTGTAATCCCAGCACTTTGGGAGGCCAAGGCGGGTGGATCACCTGAAGTTGGGAGTTCGAGACCAGCCTGACTAACATGGAGAAAGCTTGTCTCCACTAAAAATACAAAATTAGCTGGGCATGGTGGTGCATGCCTGTAATCCCAGCTACTCGAGAGGCTGAGGCCCGAGAATCGCTTGAACCTGGGAGGAGGAGGTTGCAGTGAGCCAAGATCATGCCATTGCACTCCAGCCTGGGCAACGAGAGTGAAACTCCATCTCAAAAAAGAAAAAAAAATAGGCAAAGTATCTGAGTAGACATTTCTCAAAAGAAGATAGACAAGTGGCCAACAGGTATATGAAAGGGTGCTCAACATTATTAATCATCAAGATAATGGGAATTAAAATCACAGTGAGATATCACCTCACACCTATTAGAGTATTATTAAATAGATAACAGGTGTTGGTGAGAATAAGGAGGAAAGGGAATTCTTGTGCACTGTTACTGTTAATGTAAATTAGTACAGTCATAATGGTAAACAGTTTGAAAGTTCCTCAAGAATTTAAAAATAGAACTATCATATGATCCAGGAATCCCACTACTAGGTAAATACCCAAACAAAATAAAATTAGTTTGTTGGATGCATAGTTTGTGAATATTTTCTCCCATTCTGTAGGTTGTCTGTTTGCTCTATTGATAGTTTCTTTTGCTGTGAAGAAATTCTTCAGTTTTATTAGGTCCCACTTATCAATTTTTGTTTTTGTTGCAATTCCTTTTGAGGACTTAGGCATAAATTCTTTTCCAAGGTCAGTGTCCAGAATGGTGTTTCCTAGGTGTTCTTCTAGGATTTTCATAGTTTGAGGTCATACATTTAAATCTTTAATCCATCTTGAGTTAATTTTTGTTTATGGTGAAAGGTAGGAGTCTAGTTTCATTCTTCTACATATGGCTAGTCAGCTGTACTAGCACAATCAATTTAACAGGGAGTACTTTTGCCACTTCTTCTTTGTATTGAGTTTGTCATAGATCGGATGGCTTTGTGTGTGGCTTTATTTCTGGGTTCTTTATTCTGTTCCACTGGTCTATGTTTCTCTTTTTGTGCCAATACCATGCGGTTTTGGTTCTGTAGCCTTATAGTGTAGTGTGAAGTCAGGTAATGTGATGCCTCTGGCTTTGTTCTTTTTGCTTAGGATTGCCTTGGTTATTCGGACTCTTTTTTGGTTCCATATGATTTTTATAATTTTCTTTCTAATTCTGCGAAAAATGCAATTGGTAGTTTAATAAGAATCGAATCTGTAGATAACTTTGGGCAGTATGGTCATTTTAACAACATATATTCTTCCAATCCATGAGCACAGAATGCTTTTCCATTTGCTTATGTCATCTTTGATTTCTTTCAGCAGTATTTTGTAGTTCTTCTTATGAAGATCTTTTACCTCCTTGGATTGGTGTATTTCTAGGAATTTTATTTTTTGTGGCTATTTTAATGGAGATTGCATTATTGATTTGGGTCTCAGCTTGAACATTATTGGTAAATAGAAATGCTACTGAATTTTGTACACTGACTTTGGTATTACTGAAGTTGCTTATCAGTTCCAGGAGCTTTTGACAGAGTCTTTGGGGCTTTCTAGGTGTAGAATCATGTCATCAGTGAAGAGAAATAGTTTGACTTCTTTTTTTCCTATTTGGACACCTTTTATTGCTTTATCTTGACTAAATGTTCTGGCTAGGACTGCCAGTACTGTCTTAAATAGCAGTTCTAAGAGTGGGCTGCTAGAGGGGGAGGGATGAGAGGGAGGAAGGGTTGAAAAACTAACTGTTGGGTACTATGCTTACTAATTGGGTGATGGGATCCTTCATATCCTCAACCTCAGCATCACTCAGTATTGCCATGTAGCAAATCTGTACATGCACCCCCTGAATCTAAAATAAAAGTTGAAATTATAAAAGCAAAAAAGGGGAAAGGGAGAGATAGAGATTTCTGGCATGTGAGGACACAGTGAGAAGGTGGCTGTATGAAGCCAGGAAGAGAGCCTTCTTCAGAACCTGATCCTGCAAGACCTTGATCTGGATTTTCTAGCATCCTGAGTGGCGAGAAAATACATTTCTATTGTTTAAACAAAAATAAATAAAATAAAAGCTTTTCTAGTGAACATTTTCCAAACTTTTGTTCTAGTGCGATAATGCATCAGATTTCACTTAGTAATTATGTTAATTCAAAACAAATTTCCTGAGTGGATTATATTTCTTTCACATTTAGAACAAAAATGACATTTCTTAGATAACTGGGTTTCTTTTAATTCATCCTTTCATTCCATCTCATGTCAAAATTATTAAGAAGATACGTGATACTTTATTTGCATTGTCATCCTTGACTCATATCAGGTTTTGATTATTGTGTGATTAGGTTAATGAAATTGCTATATGCATCCTGCTTATTCTGCTAATTTCTTTAGACACACTCCTTCATACAGAAAAATAGATCTGCATCTCAGCGTCTTCAAAGAATTCAACATTTTTTTCTTAACATTTTTTAAAAGTAGGATTTGTCTTTTTCCACTTTTAAATACTTTAAACATAATTGAACATACAGCTATAAAAAACTGAAATGTATGATGCTTTTTACCGTGATTATGAATCAGCTGTATAACATGTACAGGAAACACTAATGATTGTATTATTGTCAAAAGGCAAAGAATATTAAATAGGTAAACACAAAAATTCATATGATGCAAAGTCATGAATAGACTGTATATTTTCTTTATTTACAATGTCACAAACTAAGAAATTCATAGTTTTTCCAATGAATTTTGGATATGCAATAGACAATCACTAGTTGAATCACAGGTCATAAATTAATAAATTATTTATTTTATATATTTGTTTAATATAATTGCTGCCTTGGCATTCATTTTTAAGCCTAAGTTGTTTGAAACCCAGTTGTACCCTGTCACTTTGGGCCTAGTTAAATGTTCTCTTTCCTGAGTGTTTTTTTTGTGATATAGCCCTGAATGATCCTAATCACACTGGCTCAAAACACAACAGACTCCACAGGTGTTAAACAGGATAAAACCCGGTGGTCAACACTAGAGCCATGTAAATAAGTTCCCTCCTTTATGTGTGTTTTCTTTTTCTTTTTTTCTTTTTTTTCCATTTTTTTTTAAATTTTTTAATTATAGTTTAAGTTCTAGGGTACATGTGCACAACCTGCAGGTTTGTTACATATGTATACATGTGCCATGTTGGTGTACTGCACCCATTAACTCGTCATTTACATTAGATATATCTCCTAATGCTATCCCTCTCCGCTCTGCCTACCCGACAACAGGCCCCAGTGTGTGATGTTCCCCTTCTGATGTCCAAGTGTTCTCATTGTTCAGTTCCAACCTATGAGTGAGAACATGTGCTGTTTGGTTTTTTGTCCTTGCGATAGTTTGCTGAGAATGATGGTTTCCAGCTTCATCCATGTCCCTACAAAGGACATGAACTCATCCTTTTTTATGACTGCATAGTATTCCATGGTGTATATGTGCCATATTTTCCTAATCCAGTCTATCATTGTTGGACGTTTGGGTTGGTTCCAAGTCTTTGCTACTGTGAATAGTGTCGCAATAAACATATGTGTGCATGTGTCTTTATAGCAGCATGATTTATAATCCTTTGGGTATATACCCAGTAATGGGATGGCTGGGTCAAATGGTATTTCTAGTTCTAGATCCATGAGGAGTTCCCACACTGTCTTCCACAATGGTTGAACTAGTTTACAGTCACACCAACAGTGTAAAAGTGTTGCTATTTCTCCACATCCTCTCCAGCACCTGTTGTTTCCTGACTTTTTAATGATTGCCATTCTAACTGGTGTGAGATGGTATCTCACTGTAATTTTGATTTGCATTTCTCTGACAGCCAGTGATGATGAGCATTTTTTTCATGTGTCTGTTGGCTGCATAAATGTCTTCTTTTGAGAAGTGTCTGTTCATATCCTTCACCCACTTTTTGATGGGGTTGTTTGTTTTTTTCTTGTAAATTTGTTTGAGTTCATTGTAGATTCTGGATATTAGCCCTTTGTCAGATGAGTAGATTGCAAAAATTTTCTCCCATTCTGTAGGTTGCCTGTTCACTCTGATGATAGTTTCTTTTGCTATGCAGAAGCTCTTTAGTTTAATTAGATCCCATTTGTCAATTTTGGCTTTTGTTGCCATTGCTTTTGGTGTTTTAGACATGAAGTCTTTGCCCATGCCTATGTCCTGAATGGAGTGTGTTTTCTTTAAGTTAGCCAATCTGCAACTCCCATGGGAAAGCCTAAGAGCTAATACCCACAGAACTTAATAAAGGCATAGTTCCACAGGTTCTGTCCCCACTCCCAATTTGCTGCTTGAGCTCCCTGTTGTCTCCAAACTTCTTATCCACACCCCTAACCTCTAGAGAACCTAGGGTAATAAATTTCTTCAGTTTCGTGCATTTTGGTTTTTACTTCCTTATTGTGTCTTACCTGGTTGACCCACTAAAACCTAACTTTCTCCTGTAAGGGCTCTCCTAGAAAGTGACTATCTTGGCGATGGCCACTGTCAAAAGACAGACCTCACCATCAAATTAGAAAGAATCTGAAACAGAAAAAAATCAAAACAACTTACAAATTCCAACTAAATAATAATACAGACACTATTTCCTGCAGTTTTTGGGGTTTTGCAAAAATTGCAATAAATTGTCTCTGAAATAAGGTTGACTTGCCCGAAATTTATTGGATGGTACTCTCAGTACCAAGACCTGTGATGGAGGGAATGAAGGAAGGAAGAAAGAACAGGCACAGCAGAGGTTGTACTGCAATTCCATGTGAAGTTCTACAGCTAGAATGTCCCTCAGAGTTGTAAATTAAATTAAAAAGTCTTGGGAGGCCGGGCATGGTGGCTCACACGTGTAATCCCAGCACTTTGGGAGGCTGAGGCAGGTGGATCACTTGAGGTCAGGAGTTCAAGACCAGCCTGGGCAACATGGCGAAACCCTGTCTCTACTAAAAGTACAAAACTTAACTCGCATGGTGGCACACACCTGTAGTCCCAGCTACTTGGGAGGCTGAGGTGGGAGAATTGCTTGAACCTGGGAGGTGGAGGTTGCAGTGAGCTGAGATTGCACCACTGCACTCCAGCATGAGTGACAAACCGAGACTCTGTCTTATGAAACAAACACACAAACAAACAAACAAAACCACAAGACAGTCTTGATATCATCAAATAGTAGGTGATACTCCCAGCAACTCAGGGAATAAGTGCCTTATCTAACGGGGTGAGGAATATAGGAAGCACACTCTAGCATTTACTACTAATGGATGATAACCCAATATATTTTGGTGATGTTCAGGCCTTTACTATACTTTTGTAATAATTATAAAAATCTAACGAGCATTTATCAACTAACCAGTATTTAAAAGTGATGCCCATTTAATGTTTTGAACAATATTTTGGTAAAATAGAAGAAACCATTTAAATTTCCCCAAACAGGTGAATATAAAAGTAAATTACTCCATCAATCAAATATAAGGCAAGATTCATATGTTAAATACAATAGGAATATCACTTTTTCAAAAACTAATACAATTTTTAAAAACATGTAAAACTTGTTGGGTGTGGTGGGGCATGCCTGTGGTCCCAGCTACTCTGGATGCTGAGGTGGGAGGATCGTTTAGACCAGGTTGTCAAAGTTGCAGTAAGCTGACATCGCTCTACTGCACTCCAGTCCCGGCAACAGAGTAAGACCCGTATCAAATAACTAAGTACATATGTAAGACATGTCAAAGTGTTAACAATAATAATTTTTTGATTTTAGTTTTTTTCTTTTTTTAATGAAGGCTTTTCTTAAAAATCTTTTTGGTTCTGTGATTTGGATTCAAACTGAGTGAAGGATTTTTACACTCTGTATATTTCAATTTTTTTATGTGCATGTATTATTTTGCTCATAAAATACAATGAGCAGGTATTATTTTGATAAACAGGCAACTTTTAAAATTGATCAATAATGACTTTGGGGAAAGCTCAACAGACAAATGTAGGAATCATGACATTATTCGATGTTGGACTTCAGTGCAGTTAAGGATAGTCATGTTTTAGACTCTTCTGGATGATTTTGCAAGCCTTGTATTTCTTGGCATTGGTTTATATTGTCCCTGGGCATTCTGTTGTTATTTTTAGCATGACTGTTTTGACCCACAGGTTGCATACTATTTCTGCTGAATCAAGACTACACTGTCCTGAACAGGATTATACTGGTATATGGATGACTTTTGTTGATAGCAGCTATTTTTCGACTGTCCAAATGTTTCACTGCATTTTTGAGGAATTTATCCAGATATCTTTGAGTGGTTTTGTTATTTTGCTTTTTAACCTCATGTATCAATATAATCAGATAATCATAATATTATATAAGAATCTACTCAAATCCTACTCTTGAGGTTTTTCTTGCCCAAGTACAGTAAACTGTAGAACATTTCTTTAAAAAACGGAGACTTATAAAACTCTGGGATATGAGAATTATTTTTAGATGAACAGTACTGGGGAGGAGAGAAAAAGAAGAGAGTATAAGTGGAAGGAGATGAAGAGAGAGAAGCAAAATAGAATGGTGAGGAAAAATAGAAACATGATTTCCAGTTAGTACTTCTGTCCTCATTCCATTAGCAACAGAAATAGCCTCTTGTCACAGCATCTTGTCTGACTGGAAGGCTAACACCATTTTCTAGAGGCATAGAGGAGAGCTGTGCTGTTTTGATTCTAGCACAAGGACATCTGTGCTCTAAACCTATGTCTTAATATGGTGAACCATCTGGTTCAGATATCTGATATCTAAAAATTGTATTTTGCATTAGCTGCATTGTTGTGTGGTAAGTTCTGTAGTCTGCAGTCCAATATAGTGGTAGGTAGATGTGTGTATATGAAAAAGTTCGTTCTGTAACTGTTCTATAATTGTGCAAATGTTGATATGTTTATCAGTCCTAACTTGTTCAGTATTTCTGAAAGCACACCAGTGTCTGTTACCTACTTTAAGCATTTCCTTATAAGTTATTTATCTGCCACAATCATGAAGTTAATGCCATATTTCATTAAATGATTTAATATGACTAAACAGTATCTACTGCTATATAGTATTTATTATTTTTACCATCACAACTAGGTAACACAGGCAACAAGTTTCTCTGTAATAAGAAGGATAAATGGAATTTATCCATTGTATACTTAAAAAAAAGTAGGGAAAGAGACTCACAAGAAAAAAGTTAATCTAACCTTAAAATCTTAAATCCTCATAATTTCACAAAAATCCATATATTAAAAAATTACTAGATTTCTCTTGAACACCAGTAGTATTTCTAGTGTTGTGCAAAATAGCTTGCATATTATTCTAAATGTAAATGTGTCATGTCATTGAGAGACTTTGAAGAAAGGATGTTGTTATTGTCCTTTGTATACAAAGTTAAATATTAGTTAGAGTTTTAACATGAACAATTCAATCTCAAAGGCAATAAATTGTGAAAGTTACTACTGTAGAACAATATCTGATGTCTGTAATTATCTTGAGAGGTGTGCATGGTAGCATTTCAACAGCCTTGAGCATATGTTTTTTGATTGTGCTTTTATATACACAAGGCATCTTGATAGATTGGTCTGCTGGGCTCATACCAGGTAGGTGGAAGGTCTGTGTTAGGATGTGGTGGTGGTATTACTAGTCATTATTCAAGAAAGTGGCAGAGAAAAATAGATGAAAAAATTAAGAAGTTTAATATTTGTTTTATAGATGGATGAGAATATATCAACAACAAAGTCACTAATCATTTTGGCCACTTTTGCCACACTGGCTTCACAGAACTGTGAGTGCTTTGACTGGAAATTTTGCTCCAGTATGAATAACTTAAATCTAACCATAAGATTAATCTGTGCAATTTGTACAGTAATGGAGCTGTCAGTTTGGCGGCTCTTTTGATTCAAGTTCAATTTAGTTGTTTTCTCTCCCTTTTTTCCCTCTCTCCTACACTCTCTATGTATCTCTACTAAATATATGTAGATATACTTACTACATATACTTAAGTATATGTATACATACTACATATACTTAAGTATATGTATCTCTGCTAAGCACTGCTCATCTGAGATACATATAAGAAGTGGAGATGAACAAACAACGGTGTTGAAGAAAATGCAAATTTATACTTTGACACCATGAAAATATGTTATCCCACAGAATAGTATGAACTGGCGAAAGAAACAGTATTAAGCAGTAAATGGAGGTATATCATAGTGAAACTAGAAAGAGACAAAGGAAAAGCTCATTGCCAAAAAAGAGCAAATAAACATTATTTTGAAATAACAGCATCAAAATACCATCACAATTTTTAAAAGTGTTAAGGCCAGGGTTAAATAAACCTTAAAGAACTTAGTGATGAAATTAGTTAGTGCTTATTAAATGTGAGCTATTAATATTATCATGTCATATAAAATCAAGCAGAAATTTTCATTGATCTTAATTTTTTTTATATCTAGGCATGCCTATGTGAGAACATTTTTTCCTGTTAGAATTTTAAGTAATTTTGCAGCATCACCTCATTTTATCAGTCTAATGTCAACAATTGAATTAACATATCCCTAAAAATGAATATTTTTAATGTGTCTAGTATTATCTTTTATGTAGGGGCTTTATCATATAAAATACAGGGCTGCAGCTCTTAAATATCTTAAGATGATAAACATAATATGCTTGTTTTGAAAAGCATTAAGTAATACATAGTCTGACATTTTAAAATGAAAACAAAACCCCTCACTTATATGGATTACTTTAGTAAAATGCAAATCAACTTCCATTTGTTAGCGATAGAGAACATGTGTAGTCAACTTTTCTATTCATGTTGGGTTATAGGCTACTATAGAAAGAACGTGAAATTCAAGTACCGAAACCACTAAGGGGCTAGCAGATTTGCAAATATTTTGGGGCTTTTAAAATTTAAAGTTTTATATACATAGTCATTTTTTTTTGAACTTTAAAGATCAGATTTATTTGGAGAAAACAAAAAACACACAACCCAAAGGATGAGCTTTTACATCTCAAGACATCTCCCAGGTAATAAGTCTACAGATGACAAATCATTTTCATAGAAGATATTTTTGTACAAATTTTACATGTATTCAGGAACGGGACATTAATCAATCCCCATTTCTGCTTTAACAGGGGGCAAGTTAGGGGAGAGGGAAAAACAGTTTTGGATACAACTATTTGGAAGGAAAGTAGACACGAAGAGGGCAAACCCTAGCTTTTCATTATCTACAATCAATGGTTTTGTTTTTCTTTAAAATAAACCTTTTAATCTGCAGTATCTCTTTAAAAGCCCACTTCTTAGCTACTAGCCAATCCACACCAATTATTTAAATTCACTTGGTACACACCTTTGTCCACTCAGTAAATTATATTCATTATGCTCACTGCTGCAGCATGCATAAACCAAAACCCCTGCATAGCTGACCAGGGCCTAATCTAGGACTGATGGGAGAAGGGCTTGCAAACCAAGCTCACGGGGTCATTTCTTTGCTAATACTGTCTACCAAGCTGATCCCTACAACAATGCACATAAAAGCAGGAAAGTTTAGTTACTGTGTTGCAAGAGCTAAGACACAGAGCAGCAATCTCTGACAAGTGGTGGGGGAAAAGTAGCTCCAGGTCAACCATCTGAGGAAGGACCAGCAAGGAAAGATGAAAATAAAGCAGATGGGATCAAGGTCCCAAAAGACCAAACTGGGAACTCTAGCTGTGGTCCAGGAGACGGAGGGAATAAAGACCACTGGAAGGAGTCAGATAGGAAAATGGCAAAAAGGATCAAGACTCCAGATCTGCACCTAAGCCAAAGAAACCTGAGGAAAATGCAGCTTCCAAGTTCAGTTCTGCAAGCAAGTATGCTGCTCTCTCCATTGATGGTGAAGATAAAAACGAGGGAGAAGATTACGTTGAATAGACCTCTACATCCTGTGCTTTCTCCTAGTTTCTCTTCATCCTGGAACATTTAAGAGCAAATCAAATCTCTATCCAGACAAGACAAAATAAAACTCACCATCTCCTGGAGACCTTTCTTACCCCTTCTTTAAAAAAAAAAAAGAAATTATTTTGTATGCTTCCACAGGCTTTACAGTATTGAAGTAACTGGAGATCGCCAATACAGCCAGAGAGAAAGAGGCTACAGCTTTTTAGTGGAAAAGTTGTGGTGCCTTATGTCACCATGAAGTTGCCAGTGTGGTTAGTGCCTAAGAGGCCTCCATTTAACAGAAATGGTAATGACATTGATATAAAGTCTGGAATCTGGTTGGGCAGTAGGGGAGGGAGGTACAAGGAAAAGTGTGAGATTTCTACCTTTCAGTTTTTATCCTATTGTGGCATATATGAATTCTCAAACATTATCTGAATAAATTTTCCACTCCTGGAAAGATAGATTTAGCCTCAAGTCGTTTTAGTCTCCAGGAGGCTTCCAGCCCCTCCTCTTATTTAATTCTGAGTTTTGGGGTCCAGGCTAAGGGGAATTCCTTCATTTTTTTTAACACCCGGAGGGGTAGTTGGGAGTGAGTCTGTAGGACATAAAGAATAGGACTACATTGGACCAAAATAAATGGGAAAATCGTGGTTTGAAAATAAGCTTTTGGGAGGTGATGGTGATGAGTCATTTTGTACCAGGTAATAGGGGAAAATTGTGTAACATCCAGCAAACACATGAATGGTTATTACCTGGAGCCAGAAGCACTTGGGGGTCATGGTAATTCCCAATGTTTTGTGTGTCCTGGTTTTACCCTTTCTAAACATTGTCCTTTGAAGGTTCAAATATATCCACATTCTGTTGAAACCTTGAAACTTTAAAAATTTAGACTTGAAACTTTAAAAATTTAGACTCTTGTTGTCATCTTAAATTCTTCATGCTACTCTTAACCTCCCCAGAAGGAGTCTCTAAGTCACATAGATGATCTCTTGGTCATTTTCCCTCTCAGCCATGGAGAACTGTGAAAGGAAGAATCTCTGCTTTTCTCAAGCAAATCGGTTTCTTGATGCCTTTTCGTTCTCACTCCTTGCCTGCTTCTGATGCTTTGACCACTTTTATAGGTGAGTGCTCCAGAATAATGGATGGTCTTGGGTGGTGAATAAAGGTGGATAAATAGGGACAGGGATGGTTAAATTGGGAGCCGTTCTTATAGCCTTGATGGGTTACTTTTCCCCCAAGTTTCCTTCTCCACTAAAATGCCACAACAATGCTTGTTGGATTGATGAGGTGGCTAGACCAATGTGTTGTTTTTTCTTCTTCTTTATTCTTTAAGCTTCCCTTGAGAGAATAAATAGTAATGGAGAGAACTATTTACGTAGTCATTTTTAAATAAGTGAACTGGCAACCTACAGAATGGGAGAAATTTTTTGCAATCTATCCATTTGACAAAAGGGCTAATATCCAGAATCTACAAATAACTTAAACAAATTTACAAGAAAAAAACAACCCCATCAAAAAGTGGGAGAAGGATATGAACAGACACTTCTCAAAAGAAGACATTTATGTGGCCAAGAAACATATGAAAAATGCTCATCATCACTGGTAATTAGAGAAATGCAAATCAAAACCACAGTGAGATATCATCTCAGGCCAGTTAGAATGGCAACCATTAAAAAGTCAGGAAACAACAGATGCTGGAAAGGATGTGGAGAAATAGGAACGCTTTTACACTGTTGGTGGGAGCGTAAATTAGTTCAACCATTGTGGAAGACAGTGTGGCGATTCCTCAAAGATCTAGAACCAGAAATACCATTTGACCCAGCAATCCCATTACTAGGTATATACCCAAAGGATTATAAATCATTCTACTGTAAAGACACATGCACACATAAGTTTCTTGCAGCACTGTTCACAATAGCAAAGACTTGGAACCAACCCAAATGCCCATCAATGATAGACTGGATAAAGAAAATGTGGCACATATACACCATGGAATACTATGCAGCCATAAAAAGGATGCGTTCATGTCCTCTGCAGGGACATGGATGAAGCTGGAAACCATCATTCTCAGCAAACTAATACAAACACAGAAAACCAAACACCACATATTCTCACTCATAAGTGGGAGCTGAACAATGAGAACACATAGACACAGGGAGGGGAACATCACACACCAGGGCTTGTTTGGGGTTAGGGGGCTAGGGGATGGATAGTAGGTGACGGGTTGATTGGTGCAGCAAACCACTACGGCATGTGTATAACTGTATGAGGAAACTACACATTCTGCACATGTACCCCAGAACTTAATGTATAATAAAAATAAAACATAAAATATAAAAATAAATAAATAAGTTTGACTTTTCTTTCTCTTCTTCGCATGTGAGTTGGGAAAAAGTGCTGTATGACCTTAGAAGAGTTGGTCATAATTGACCACAAAATCATTAATCTCTAACTCTAAAACACATTTTAAACAAATTCTTCGTTGGGTCTGTCGATTATCCACAAACATCACGAATGCAACATTTTTATTTAGCTTGATAATTCAACTTTCTATATATATTTTTTCTAAATGAACTATGCTCAGTGATTCATTAGTATTCTCTTCCAACAAAAGTTCAATAGAATCCACCAAAATTAATAAAAACAAACTTCTAATTTTTTATGTCCCTAATTTTAATCTTACCTTATTTTAGAACATCAGTTAAAAGAGTTGTTTTTCATTTTTTTAGATTAAATAAATGCTTGGCTGATTCAATTATAAAATGCAGAATAGACATTTGTTGAACATATATGCATTCCTTTATTGAACATTTACTGAGTACTCACTAGTGTTTTTTATTGTCTAGCTTCTGGGGTATCTGGGTGAAAGTCATCATGATCCTCCAGAAATTCCAAACTTTTGGAATCAGAATATGCGGAAACAACCTTTATGAGAAATACTATGAAAGATGTTCATCAGAGAAGATGTCAGGTCACTGGCAGAGTGACAGATTTTATAAACATAGAACCCTCCAGTTTTTGAGATTTAGTTGGTGAAATGAGAAATAAACACAAGAAAGTTAAATAACAATGTAAGTCTCCATATAGTAAATGTAAGCTGAATACTTTGTCCAGTAGACTGCAGAAGTTCAGAAGATGCAATCCTTTTCATTTTTGAAAGTTAGTGGTAGACATGATAAGAAAAAAATGGAACTTGACAAGGTAAAGGGTGAGGAGGTAATTCAAACTAAGACAGCACACTCTTTCTCTAAGGCAGGGTGAACTGGTGTCTAACTATGATCTACCCATTCAGATTTTTCTTTGCTGCAGTAAATGTGTGTGGCAGGTTTTCCACCAAAGCTGTGTGCCAGTTGTAATGGTGGAGGAAATTTAGCAATACGGTGGGAATCAGAGAGTTTCCTATCTGGTGCACTAGCTGACATTACTATGTGTGTGGCATTTTCATAAGAAACCAAATGTAATTTCTTGATCATTGAGATTATGATAATATTGAATGTACCTATGTCACTTACAGGATTGTTATATCTCTGATATTAAATAATAGACTTGAAAATGTCTTATACTTTTAAAAGTGTAGTCATTTTTAAAATAAAATAACTTTGGGCCATATTAGTATCATTACATAATCACAAAAACATATTCTTCCCCTGCCCCACTGGACCACATCTTATGTAATCTCTTTCTCTCTTTCTCTGTAATTGTGAACATGTGAGTATCATCATTATACTAAAAAAAAGAAAAAAGGAGATTTTCTTTTATACTGTGATTTTCCAAGATGAAGGATTTCTACATTAATGAGAGCTGGGTGCAAAAAGTTCACTTAAAAATACAGCTTGTTGTAAATTCTAAGATACCCTTTAAAGTCCCTAATATTTTATGCATTTTATTGATATAGAATCAATGTTAAGATATATAGCACAAGGCTAATTATTAGCAAAATTAAAACACAACCTGAATTCTGGAATCTCATTTCAATTTTTTTCCTAAGGGTATAGAGCAATGTTTGTGTTTTAAATCTTTATAATGTTTGAAAAAGAAAAAGTACTACCACTGAGAACCACTCGTACTTGCACATAACTATTTACTTTAGCTAATCAGAAACACTAGTTCCACTGTGGGGAAAATTAACATTTATAAGATTTATCAAAGATTCTGTTGGTGTATCATATCTCTAGAAAGTGGAAGCCTACTTTCTGACTCTTTTATGCATAAATTAAATAGACAGCTACAAATTTAACTTCTATTAATTTGCATTGTGCTTGTTTATTTTCCATTGCATTACATATTTTTCCAGATACTTTCATTTCTCTTACATAATTAAAAAGAGACACCTATTTGTTGTCCACCATAAGCACCCAACTCTTTAGACTAATTTGCGATATCAAGTGCTTTACTAATTTAATTTTTCTATAACTAGCACAAAATTTTGAACAATTGTATGTGTTTAAAATTCATTAATTTGGGACTTATTGACAGTACTTAGAGTAATATTAACCATGAATAAATAATTATTAAGTATTATTTTCCTGATGTTTTTACATCCAAGGTGTATAATTATGCCCAATGTGGAAATTCAATTGCAAAATTTGACATCTATGACAAAATTAGCTGCAAAGGATGTTATCTACCTTGATGATTTCCAGTTGTTGCTAAGATTATAGATTTATCACTTTAGAGATGTCAGCCTGATTCCACATGTTAAGCTGTATACTGAAGATTATTAAAGTAAGATATGTATAATCTACTTTTGAGGCTGATTTTCTAACCATGCATGACTGAGCTTATTGGAAGAAGAGAAGTTTAGTAAAATACATTCCAATTGAATTGAGGTGATAGATTCAAACATAAAATATTTTAAAATGTAATTTTATTAGTTCCATTTAAACTAAGCAAATAAAAATTTTTATTTACTTATTCTTTTGCACATGACCAAAAGATCAATTTTGAGGCATTTAAAGAAGTGATGGCTAATTAACATATGAATTGGATGCCTGGAGACTAGAGCAAGAGAAAGTTGGGGACTAATCCATTAAAATAAGGCCTAAACAAAGTCTTTATGTAGTTCTAGGATTTAAACTGGCTATAATGACATCAGAGCACTTTTTTCTCTGATATATTTAAAATTTATTGGGTAGCTTCAGTAGAAGCAATTTATTTGGAAAATGGTGTTTACAGAACTGGTTATAGTCTAATTACAATTATCTAAATGAGTATAAGATGTGTGGCATTCTTACATAAATGGTTTCATGAAGGAAAAAATCAAAGCTTCTTCAAGAATAATGGATAAAGATGATTGCAACATATTCAATAAAAATCTAAAGTACTTTAAATATATTTTATATTAATTAGTGTTCATGTATATTGGTTCATGCAAATCATGAGTAAATATAGAACTAAGAATTAAGACATCATTAGGGTTCTTTTTTAAGCTTCTTAATAATTTTTAAGGCAACATACCTTTGCTTCTACCTCTTATGTTAACTAAATTTGTAGAGTTTGCTTATTTGTATTGCATAGTTTCTTGAATTAAATGTTTTTGTAAACTTTATTACTCTCTCAGAGTTTTGTTGTAGCCTATGAGTAAAAGTTGTAAAATCAAGGGTCAAGATATGTTCTCTAGCTTAATTGTTTGCAGCATATCTTTACATGTGATTTTTATTATGAATAATAATTCTTAAAGTTAATAAAAAAGACCTCCTACTCCATTATGAATTTATTCACACTTTAAGGAGCTATGAATACAATGAAAATCTGCTTTTAGACATTAGGATTTTTTATAAACAAAGGTGAGAATTTTTAAATAGACCAAATATTTCCAGTAGAAACAGTCCATGTGTGCTTCATTAATTACTTATTACATATAATATATATTAGATACACACGTGTGTGTATGTGTGTGTGTATGATAATATATGACCTCCTTTTGGAATCTAATTTTATAATCACCGTGGTTTACTCTAGTCCCTGTGTGTTTTCCTGTATAAACTAAAAAAAGAAACACACAATATGAAGCAAAGTCTATCATGTTTCTCTGGCAAATGATTCCAGGTAGTTTGTAGAAGCTTTTATAGAAACTTGTGAATAACATAGCAAACATAAAACAAAAATATTGATCTGAAAGGATAGAACCTTGAGCTCTATTCTCAATGAGTAATAAAACAAGCCAGTTAGAACTTACTGACTGTGAAAGTCAGTCATCAGCTGCAAGGGAGCAACTTTAAAGAGCATAGATGTTACCAAAGAAAAGACCTCCCAGTATATAGACAAGGAACAGGGGAGGGGTAGGGAGGCAGTTCCATATGTACTCCTCGGAGAATATATTCAGTGATTCCTTCATGAAATACAATGGTATTAGGTCTTTCCCTGTGACCTTAGGCATTGTGTTCTAATAACATAGCCTCAGAAATGTAAAATTAATTTAAGTGACTCCAATAGAATGTCAACCATGTTGTTTCCTCTGTACTGATATGTAGATTTGCCTAGACATTAAAAAAATTCTGAGTCAAGATTATTAGGTAAGTTATGATACATTTTACTTTGAAATGATGCCTTCTATGATATAATAAGCATTTTTCATATTTAGAAATATATAGCACATAACCATTGGTTATATTTTATTTAACATTTAGTAAATGCTAATCTGTGATGGTACTAAGGATTAAACTCCTAGAAGCATTAAGAAGGCCAAGTGTACTCCCTTATAAAATATCAAACTAGAATGTAATGGTTGTATTCATCATGTTATGAAAATTAGTTACATTCTGTACTAACCATCTAAAATATAATATTGTAAAAAATAATGATCCTTGCAGTAAATGTATTGACTTTGGAGTTTGGAAGCAAATAAATTATTTGGAGGATACCCATTAACCTCAGTTTTCAAAATGCACGGTTTTAGATGCTTAATAATATGAAAAATTTAAAATCTTGTGCAGCTAGAAATTTAACTCAAGGGAGGATAGCACATAGGTCACCCAAATAAGGTACCCCTGAAAGGATCCACCAAAGTTGTGATAATGTAGAATCCTATTACTCTATTTCAAAGTTTTATTTCCCTGAAAACTCAAGAAGTATTCATATTGAATAAAGTATCCAATTATAGTAAATTTTGGTACCAAAATAAAATAAGGCAAAACAAAAGCATGTGTTCTGCTTCAAACTAGTGAATCTTTTTAAGGACAGGAAGCAGTATGCAATCCTGAAGTTTGGTTCCATGACAGCTGGTAATCGACATAAGCTAGCAGTCCCACTTGGGCTTGCATTAAACTTATTCCTTTGATACTGAGCTGAATTTTAAGACTCCAAGCCAGCTGCTCTTTCAGAAACATGCATTCATACAACATTTTTGCCTTGAGCTTAGCTACTTGTGCATGTTACGTGATGCGAGAACAGATTGAAAATCCTTTTTTGGAATGATGCCCTGGTGGCACACCAATAAATGGTAAACTCCTGTTGGTGCTTGGCACATGAAAATTTATTTTATAGCCAGAATATGTTTTTAACATAAGTTACAGGTTTAGAATAAAATGATCACACTGAAGTTTTTGGTCATTTATTAATTTTATTGCCAAGAGTGGCACAAAATTAATGTATTGATATACCCACTTACCTTTTTACTCCAAATTTAACCAAAGGAAGGAAGCAAAATACTTAGTTTTATTCAGAAGCTTCGTGGTATCAACACTTCTGATCAAAATCTAGAAATAAAACCCCTGGTTCTTATATTAATAAGCTACATATTGTCACCTGATTGACAAATTAAAAGAATAAAAATTGCTTCCTTGAGGAGAAATGACTACTTTCAATTCTGGTTTATATTATTATTATTTTTCCTTTCTCAAAATGATGACAAGAGTTTAAGTTCTGAGATTATAGTTCCTAAACTTGGTTCTTGTCATCAAAGAGGAAATAATTTAACAAGTTGTGCCTCTTTTTGAATCTTTTTCTTTTTTAATTTATCTTCCCCTTTTGAGGTAAACATAACCACATTACATGTTTTTTAAATTTTCTTGAACAAGTGAAATGGTTGTTCCCAACAATGAGTTATTAAGATTATAGGAAAAAACCAATACTAGTTTTGGAATATTTTAAAGAATTAACTTCTGATATAACTTGCAGAATATAATGAGTGACATAAAAAAGTGAAGATTATGTAATCTCTTTTGAGTTCATTTCAGTATAAACTTAACATTCACCTTAAAATAGACAAGACGAAGATACTAGACTGTGTTTTCATTGGCATAATGAAGGAGACACTGAGTCATCATACTTTATTGTACCATTATATTCTTATCCTTTCAGGAAATTATAGCAGAAAATTTAAGAAATACAGTTTCCCTATATCTTTTTTTCCAGTAACTATTTAATTTGAAGCTAAATATACCAGCTTAAAGCAACTTCTTATATGCGTATAACTTAGGCTAGTATTAGAAACACTAATCATCATTCTCAAGGTGACCAGTGGGTCTAATTAGAACTAGATAGGGAATATCATCACCATGAGGGAAAATGCATTCAATGATTTCCTATTTGAAAGCAGAAGTTATATGCTATTTCTTAGCACCAAAACTCTAGATGTTAATATCAATATTAACTTCTGAGTAATAGCATAGCATAGAAGTGAAGTACAACAATAGAATCAGACAACTTTGAGTCTAATCCAGTCTTGATTAATTTTTAATTGGGCAAATTATTTAGTATCTTTGGGCTTCAGATTTCTCATCAGCAGGATATGGGTAAAGTACCTATATCAGAGGGTTGTGGTCATGATTGAATGATCTTATACATGTAACATGCTTCCTGAGAGTTAATGGCCTAGAGGGGATAATAAACTTGCAAATAGTAATTTGGGTTATGATATGTAGTAAGATAAAGATGTTCATAGAAGAATGGAGAAGAAATTCTCAAAAAACTAAAAACTTAGAATAGAAGTCTCTAGAGGAAATAATGCTTGACCCAAGACTTCCTGAAAAATCCTCATTGTCATAACTGCCCAAGAAAAATTTATGAAAAGTTGATAGCATGAGAAAGGTACTAAGGTGTGAGAGAATGAGTGTGCAGATAAATTACTATAATATAAGGCACAAAGTACAGTATAAGTATAGAAAGTGCCATGGCTTATAGAATAAATGTACTTTATAGAAAATGCTATGGCTAATAGAAGAAATGTACATTATAGAAAATACTATGGCTAATAGAAGAAATGTACATTATAGAAAATGCTATGGCTAATAGAAGAAATGTACATTATTTCAAAGTAAGGCATTTAAGACAGGCTCTTTGGAAGCAGCCTTATTTGGGCTGTGTGTAGTAAAGAGTGAGTGATTTTAAAATGGTCATGCTTACTAGTCCTTTTATTAATTTTTTAATGTTTCTTAGCGGCTGGGAATCCAAAATGCCTTACCCTTTTACATGCCACTTTAAGAAAACCTGTATTTCTTACAAAATTTGCATTTATTTTTGAATAGGTAATATATGCAATTGCTATAAATGTTAAAAGGAAATGAAAAGTATAGTTTTCTCATTTTCTGTTTCCCAACATTGTAAATTTTCTGTGTATTCTTTTGCAAGTAGTATATACATTTCAGTCATATATACTCATTAATTTTTAAATTTTGTTCACAAATGCATATAATATGCATGTGTGGGTACCCACACATATGTACTGTTCTGCATTTTTTCACTCAACAATATACCTTGTAATAGTGCACTCAAGATTTCATTTTTATTATATTAACTGCTCAGTATTTCATTGTATGAAGGTGCTATAGTTTAGCTACAACAACTCTACTTATGGACCTCTAATGCATTTCCATTTTTGTAGATATTTAATGCATTTTCATTTTTAATTGCCATAAGTTTGCAATATAGGCTTTTATTATATGTACAACCTATGACTTGGGAATATAGTGACATATATTAAACTATTTCAAATAGTGAGCCATCCTGAGATTTCTGAAAAAAGTTCTAATTTCATTTGTGATTTGGCTGCTGGATTCTATGGGCTAATATTTGGAAGGTTCTCATATTCGTACCATGAATAGTATTTTTGCTGTGATTTTTACCCATGGCTATTTTTTGGAGCAGTGCATATTAGCATTATTAATAAAAGCTTTCTTTTTTCTTCCCCAATGTTTGGAACAGTTTATATAGGATTAAAGCCATGAGTTTCTTAAAGGAGTATTTTAGAATTCCTCTGTGAATGCGTTTGTGCCTAGTAGAATTGCTTTTTAGAAAGTAGGATGTTTAACAATCTTCTCCTTGAATAAAAAATATAGTAAGGTATTTGGCTCATATCTTGTTATTCACAAGCCAGGACAGTCTGTTGTTCACCTCTTGGCATGTACTCTATTTTGGGGAGAGCTGCATACTCTGAGAACTGCAATTGAACGAAGATGGACACTCTCGATGGGATTCCACTGACTGATCAATGTTCATCGCAACTGATAGCTCTTCCTAATTTTTCTGTGTAGGCGTTACAGATATTTTTGAATTTCAGAAGAAATGAGTTCTGCGTTTCTATGTATTTTCTTCTGCCTTGCTTTTGGGTGTAGTTTTAAGAATGAAGAATTAGAGTATCTTCTCTCTGAAATATTTTTTTTCCCAGAACATATTGATTCTGTCTAACTGAAACTTTTTAGCCTTTGACCAAAATCTCCTAATTTATCCTATTCCTGTAGCAACAACCACTCTATCCTCTGCTTCTATGAATTTGCCTTTCTCAGATTCTGCGTATGCAATTATGTGGTATTTGCCTTTCTGTACCTGACTTATTTCACTTAACATAATGTCCTCCAGGTTCATTCATTGTGTTACAAATGATAGGATTTCCTTGTTTTAAAAGGCTGAATAGGATTTCATTGTCTATATATACCAACTTTTCTTTATTCATCCATCCAGTGATGGACACTTAGGTTGGTTCCATATCTTGGATATTGTGAATAATACTGCAGTGAACTTGGGAGTGCAGATGTCTCTTTTACATATTGATTTAATTTCCTTTTAATATATATCCAGAAATGGGATTGCTGGACCATATGGTAGTTCTATTTTAAATATTTGAAAAACCTTCATACTGTCTTTCTTCCTCAATGTCTGCACCAATTTACATGCCCATGAACAATGTATAGGGTTTCCATTTTCTCCACATTATTTCCAAAATAAGTCTTTTCATAATAGCCATCCAAACAGGTATAAGGTAATATCTCATTGTGGTTTTGATTTGCACTCCCTTGATGATTAACAATGTTGAAAAATTTTCACATATCTATTGACAATTTATATGACATCTTTAGAAAAATGTCTTTTCATGTTCTTTCCTCATTTTTAAATTGGGTTATTTTAGGGTTTCTTGCTATTAACTTGTGTTGTTTCTCATATATTATAGTATTAACCTATAATAGATATATGATCTGCAAATACATTCTCCCATTCCATAGGTTGGCTTTTGATTTTGCTGATTCTTTCTTTTGTTGTACAGAAACATTTTAGTTTGATATAGTCCCACTTGTTTATTTTTTCCTGTGCTTTTGGTGTCATATCCGAAAAATTATTGCCAAGACCAATGTTAAGTTTTCCTTATGTTTTTATCTGAGGGTTTCATAGCTCCAAGGCTTATGTGTAAGTGTTTACTCCATTTCATGTTGACTTTTGTGAATGATGTAAAATAAAGATACAATTTTACTTTTTTGCATGTAGATATTCAATTTCTCCAACAATATTTATTGAAGAGATTATCCTTTCCTCATTGTATATTCTTGGTACCCTTGTCAAAGACCAATTGACTATATATGCATGGGCTTACTTCTGGGCTTTCTACTCTGTTCCATTTATCTATGTGTCTGTTTTTATGGAAGTACCATGCTGCTTTAATTCCTATAGCTTTGTAGTATACTTTGAAATCAGGAAGTATGATGTCTCCAGCTTTGTCTATTTTGGTCAAGATTACTTTAGCTCTTTCTGTCATTTGTGGGTCCATACAAAATTGAGAATTGTCTTTTCTATTTCTGTAAAATATGTCATTGGAATTTGATAGGAATTGCATGGAATCTGTGACCTCTTTGGATAGTACAGACATTTTGACAATATGAAGTCTTCTGATCCATGAATACTGAATAGCTTTCCATTTATTTGTCTTTAAAAATTTCCTTCATCAATATTTTATAGTTTTCAGTGTACAGATTTTTCATTTCATTGTTTAAATTTATGCCTAAGTAGTTTTTAAAATGTTGTTATACATGGGACTATTTTCTCCATTAACTTTTGGATAGTTCTTTGTGTATAGAAATGTTATTGATTTTTGTATGTTGATTTTTGTATCCTGCAGATTTACTGAGTTTTTTAATTAGTTATAACAGGGTATTTTTTGTGAAATCTTAGGGTTTCTGATCATGTCGTCTCATCTGCAAACACAGACAATTTTACTTCTTTCTTTCTGATTTGGATGCCTTTAATCTCTTTCTCTTACTATGACTTCTGACACTATGTTGAAAAGATGTGGTAAGGGTGAGTTGAATCATCCTTGTACCACAGGGATAAATTCTACTTGATCATGGTGAATAATTCTTTTTATGTACTATTGAATTTGGTTTGCTAGTATTTCATTGAGGATTTTTGCATATATGTTCAGGGATACTGACCTGTAATTCTCTTTTCTTGTGATATTCTTATCCTTTTTCTCTTTTTTCTTTTTCTTTTTTTTTAAATCAGGATAATGCTGGTTTCCTAAAATGAGTTTGGAGAGTATTCTCTCCTCTTCAATTTTTCAAAAAGTTTGAGAAGTGTTGGCATTAATTATTCCTTAAATATTTGGTAAAATTCATAGATGAAGCCATCAGGTCTTGGGCTTTAATGGGAGAATTTGTTTACAGATTCAATCGCCTTATTTGTTATTGGTCTGTTCAGATTGTCTATTTCTTCATTTTTCAGTCTTGGTAGGTTGTATATTTCTAGGAATTTGTTCCTTTCTTCTAGGTTTTTCAATTTGTTGGACTATAATTATTCAGAGTAGTGTTTTATGATCCTTTGTATTTCTGTGGTATCAGTTGTAATGTCCCCTCTCTTATTTCTAATTTTATTTATTTGAATGCTCTCTCTTGTTTTCTTAGTCTGGGTAAAAGTTTGTCAATTTTATTTATTTATTATGAAAACAGAACTCTTTGTTGCATTTATCTCATTTTTTTTCTGGTCTCTTCCGCATTTATTTCCGATCTGATCTTTGTGGTTTTCTTCCTTTTTACTTAGTTTGGTTTTTTTAGTGTTTTGAAACATAAAGTTAGTTTGTGTCTTTGAGATCTTTATTCTTTCTTCACATAGGTATTATCACCATAATTTTCCTTATTATTGTGGATTATGCTGCATCCCATAAGTTATGGAATGTTTTGTTTTCATTTTCCTTTGTCACAAGATATTTTTAAATTTTGTTTTACTTTATTTATTGGTCCATTTGTTATTTAGTAGTATGCTTTTAATTTTCACAAATGTGAATTTTCCATTTCCACCTGTTATTGGTTTCCAGAAAACTGCACATTTTCTGTCTTACTAACATTGTAATCAGTAAAGAGGCTTGATATACTTTCATTTGTCCTAAATTTAAGATTTTGTGTTATCTATCTTGGATAATGTTCCATGTATAATTAAGAATAATCTGTATTCTACTGCTGTTGTATAGAATGTTGTGTATATATCTGTTAAATCCATTTGGTCTAAAGTGTAGCTCAAGTCCACTGTTTCCTTATTAATTTTCTGTCTCAATAATCTGTGCATGGCTGAAAATGAGGAATTGAAATCCTCTACTGTTATGGTATTCTTGTCTATTGCTGCCTTCTGATCAGTTAATATTTGCATCGTATATTAAGATACTCTGATATCAGGTGCATATACATTTACAATTGTTATAGCCTCATGATGAATTGACTTCTTTATCATTATGTAATGATCTTCTTTGTCTCTTTTTACAATTTTAGACTTAAAGTCTCTTCTGTCTGGTATAAGTATAGGTATCCCTACTCTCTTTGGTTTTTATTTGCATAGAATGTCTTTTTCCATCCCTTCAGTATTAGTTTATGTATTTCCCTAAGTTCTAAGTATTTCTCTTGTAGGTACCATATTGTAAGTTTTTGTTTTATTTATCCATTCAGGACTCTGCAGTTCAGTTCTCCTGGTAGCCCTGCACCAATCCAGTTCTTCCCTCCCCTTTTCTTGCTTTAAGTTCTCAAAAACTGCAGAATATGCTGAGAATACAATATCCTGGGATAAGGAAGAACTGGCCAGAAGAGGTTGGGTTTTGTTCCTTTTCCTCATAGTAAAGGATGTCCTACAACAATTTCACTCAGCATATCAAATTTCTCTGGGGTATAAATCCTAGAGTAGGCCACTTTTCAGGTCTCTCAGTTGCAGTATAGATGGGGCATGTGCAGGTGAAATTTCATTTATCCTGGGCAGCTTTCCTAAGCAGGGGGGACTAGTTCACCATGAATCCTAGGCTTCTACAGCCCCTTTCCTTTCTATCTATTAGTAATAAATCTGCATCATGTAATTTGTTGTGTGAGTATTTTTTTTGTTTAATTGGACTTGAACAAGTAACCGAAATTGCATCTCAAGATGCAGTAGGCTAAAGTGGCTCAGCAAATAGGCTTTGCATGTTTTATATCTTTGATTGTAGAAAGTAATCTAATTACATTTAAAGTAATTGTGGACAGGCAAGGACCTACTATTGCTATTTTTTAGGTGTGTTTTGGCTTTTTTGTAGATTTGTTCTTCTCTTTTTTTCTTTATAATTGGAAAATATTTTGTAGTGGTATCCTTTGTTTCCTTTCTCTTTATTTTTGTGTAACTGCTATAGGTTTTGGTAACAATGAGGCTTACATAAAACATCTTACATTTATAGCGGTCTATTTTAACCTGATAACAACATTACTTTTATTGCATAAAAAACTACATTTTTCCCCTCCCACATTTGTTTGATGTCATAATTTACATTTTTGTACATAGCATCCCAGTTAATAAATTATTACAGTTGTATTAATTTTTAACTATTTTTGTTTTTTTAATCTTTACACCAAGTTATAATTGACTTACTATCCCTACTACAGAATTAGAATATTCTGAATTCTCTGTTAACTTTACCAGTGAGTTTTATAGTTTCATTTTTTGTCATGCTTCTCGTTAGCATCATTTTATTTCAGCTCAGAGACCTCTTTTTTTCAGCAGTTATTGGCATAGCAGGTCTAATGGTGATGAACATTCTCAACTTTTGTTTTTATAGAAAAGTTTTATCTCCCCTTCATTTGTGGAGGATACCCTTGCCAAATAAAATATTCTCAGTTGGCAGTGTTTTTTCTTTCAGAAATTTGAATGTATCATCCCATTTTCTCCTGGCCTACAATGTTTCTGCTGAGAATTCTGCTGATAGTCTTAATTACTGGTGTTTGAAGCCTCTTTTCTCATGCTACTTTCAAACTTCATTCCTTGTCTTTTATTTTGGACACTTTGATTTTAATTTGTCTTAGTGAAGTATTTTTTGGGTTTAACTTGTTTGGCAACTTTTGAGCTTCATGTACCTGAAGTCCGTATTTCTCCCCAAATCTGGAAAGTTTACAGCCATTACTTATTTAAATAATCTTTCTGCCCTTTTTCTCTTTCTGTTACTCTCATAATATGAATGTACCTCTTTTGACAGTGTTCTATAAATCCCACAGCCTTTGCTCATTCCTTTTAATTCCTCTTTTTAAATTTTATCCTCAACTGGATAGTTTCCAATGACCTATCTTGAAGTTCACAGATTCTCTATTCAGATTGATCAAGTTTGTTGTTTATGCTCTCTATTACATTTTTATTTCATTCATTGTATTTTTCATCTCCATAATTTATTTTTAACATGATTTTATCTTTTTATTAAACTAGTTGTTTTGTTCATTTTTTAAAAATTTCAGTGAGTTGTCTATGTTCTCTCATAGTTCACTGAGCTTACTTAAAACAATTATTTTAAATTCTTTGTCAATTCATGTATCTGCCTTTATTTAAGGTTGGTTAGTGGAATATCATTGTATTTCTTTGGTGGTATCATGTTTTCCTGATTTTTTTTTTTCATTTCTTGAAGTTTTGCCTTTCTGATTTTACATTTAACATGCAGTCTTCTCCTCCAGTCTTTATTGCCTAGTTTTAGGAGATAAACAGCCTTATCAATTAAATTGACTAGGAATTCTGAGGTTCTCTCAGACTTTTTCTTAATGAATATCCCTTCTCCACAGCTCTTGTTTTCATTCAGGTGAGAGATTCTTAAGACTATAGGCTTTCTCTGTGTCCTGCAAAATAAGCCAGGTGCTGAGATCCTCTTGTTTATTTTCCCTACGGTTGTGTTCTGAAAGTCTCATTTGTACACCTTCTCCCAACCCTGCAGAGTTTAGCTGGTTGTTTGCATGAGATGCTTGCACTCACTGTATCCAGGGGTAAGCTCAGAGGGCCGGCATAGGAGCGGAATGGAGGTGAGGCATGTGGAGCATTTGTGGTTCCCATAGGCCAGTTTCAAGGGGTTCTATAGATGAGGCAAACTAAGTATGTCATAGGCAGCCTTCCTGATAGAGTTTGCAGAGCAAGCAGTAGGGCACACAGCCTCTCATCCCTATCTCCACCCTCTCCAAATCACTCAGCTGTGCTGATCACCACAGTTTTCTGGTTGAGGCAAGAAAGAAAGGGACAGCATCTCTCTTGCCTGCTTGTGTACCATCTGCATGGCTGAGGGAGCTGGACACTTCCTCACTATACTCTTTTTCCCTCATGGGATAAATTGATAGTCAAGTGTTTCTCTCTTTGCATTGAGCTGTACCTTGGTAAAACTGTGACATGGGTAAAGGAAAACTATTCTTATTACTCCTTCAATTCATCTGTTTTTGGATTGTTTGCTTGCATGATCTCCTAGAACTTCTCTGCTGAACTCCTAGACTACTTCATAGGTACTCTTATCCAAGGGTAGTTGTCAAAATGGATGATTTTTGTGGGGAGGAAGATGACATTAAAAAGCTATAATTCTATTATCTTACTGACCTTACCTTTCTGTCTTTGAAACTAAGTATAGATTGTTATGGATTGAATTGTGCCCCTCAAAAATTTATTTGTTGAAGCCGTAACCCCCAATGTAAATGTATTTGGTGATAGAGTCTTTAGAAAGGTAACTATGGCCAAATGCGGTAATAAGGGCAGGGCTATAATTTGATAGTATTGAGATCTTTATACAAAGAGGCAGAGACACCAGAGATATCTCTTCACACACACACAGAGGAAAGAACATGTGAAGATGTTCACAGACCAAACAGTGGTCCAGCTGCTTGTTCTCTCAGTTCAATAACGAGATGCAGACAGACTGGGAAAGAAGGGAGTTTATTTCTGTAACTGGTTGCAGGGAAAAGTTTGTAGTAACTCACCAGACGAACTAAAAGTTACAAATTTTTTCCAGTGCTTATATATACTCAGTACACCTACAAGCTGAAAGCCAAAGTGTTTTACTCTATTCTTTGACTAGGGTCCCGGGTTTAGACAATTACTTCAGAGGCTTGGAAAAATTACTTAAAATATCATCTAAAGTGAATCCTGGTACAACATGTGCAAGAATGTCTTCATTATTTTAAAAACCTTAGGATCTAAGAAAGCCCAGGTGAGGTCATAATGGACTTGTTTTACTTTCCAGCCCTTTGCACTAAGGCACTAGTTTCTCCAGTTCTTTAATGTTAAACTTATACATTAATCAGAATTACAGCAAGTGTTGGTAAAGACCGAGAGCTCTGGTTCCTAATGGAGACCTGGCCTGCCACAAAGACACAACAAAAAGGTGGCTGTCTCTAAGCTAGGAAGAGAGACCAGAAACTGACTCTGATAGCACCTTGATGTCAAGCTTCTAGTCTCCATAACTGTTTTTTAAAAATCTGTTGTTTAATTCACCCAGTCTGTGCCATTTTGTTATAGCAGCTGTAGTAGACGTATATAAATTACATGAAACTCATTGTTGATAAATTAATAGGAAATTTTAAGTTCTTAATATTTGTCTAAATCATGATCATGTTTCCTTTTTTTCAGAAATAAAATTCAAAGCTTTAGTGTTTATCCTCAAATGGATAATAGAAGGAATATAGATACATTGATTAGGTGTCGATGTTAATATCTGATAAAATCTAAATAATCTAATTTTTCAAGGCGTTCTTTAAGTCCTAAGATTCCTATGTACAACAGTATTCTATAGGAACTACTTTTCTAATATAGCAGCAAATAATGAGATGACATGTTAAAGTAGCCTGTGTAGAAGCCAGAGTTCTACTTATTACCATTTTCAACTACATTTAATAACTATTGAATATTTAGTACTGACATTGAAATATTTATTTAGTCACGTTCTTTAGCTGAGTACTTTGTGCAGCTGATTTCAATATGTAATTTTAGTATTCTCCAAAGGCTATTTTTTTTTTTGAGAAGGAGTTTTGCTCTTGTTACCCAGGCTGGAGTGCAGTGGCGTGATCTCGGCTCACAGCAACCTCCACCTCCCAGGTTCAAGCCGTTCTCCTGCCTCAGCCTCTGGAGTAGCTGGGATTACAGGCATGCGCCACCACGCCCGGCTAATTTTGTGTTTTTAGTAGAGAGGGGATTTCTCCATGTTGGTCAGGCTGGTCTCGAACTCCGGACCTCAGGTGATCCACCCACCTTGGCCTCCCAAAGTGCAGGGATTACAGGTGTGAGACATGGCGCCCGGCCTCCAAAGACTATTATATAAGGCCCACAGTTTTGTAATTAGTAACACATAAAGAGGTGAAGGAAGATAGTGCATGTGTATATGTGTGTGAAAGGAAGAGAAGAGAGATTCTGAAATATTTTTTTCTGGATTTTTAAGACAATTTAATATTCAGTACTCTTTCAGAAAACATTTTACAGTATTTATTTTCATCTCTATACTTTAGATCTGGCCATTTATCTGGTTTCAGGAAATATATAATTACCCTATGTGACTCTTTTCATGGTTCTTAATCCTTATTGATGATACTTCTTTTCTTCTTTTGACTTATTTAGATTTTTTCCATTAGTCAAAGTTCAGATATTGTTATAGGCTGAATTATGCCACATCTTCCAATTCATATTTTGAAGCCCTAATTCCGAATTTGACTATGTTTGGAGAGAGGTATTTAAAGAAGTAATTAAGATTAAGTGAGGTCATAAGGGCAAAGCCTTCATCCCATAGAATTGGTGTCGTTTTAAGAAGAGAAACAGATCCCAGGTGTCTCCCGCAATTCACATGCACACAAAGAAGAGGTCATGTGGCATGATGGTAGCTGCCTACAAGCCAAGAGAAGAGGCCTCAGTGAAAGCTACCTTGCTGGCAACTTGATCTTGTACTTTCAAGCCTCTAAAACTGTGAGAAATAAATTTCTGTTATTTAAACCACCCATAGTTAGGCATTTTGTTATGGCCGCTCTAGTAGACTAAGGTAGATACTAAGCCCAACATTCAATAAAACAAGACAATTTGTGCCTATTTACTGTCCTTTATGAAACTATTTTTGTCATAATTGTGTAGTTTTAATTCATACTTTCTTTGATTTTTCTCCTCAACTAAATTTTAGACACTGAGGGCAGTTATCATCTCATGTTAGTTTTGTATGCCTATCAGAGAGGTGACTACAAAAATACAACACTTGATAGTTCTTGTAATTTGATTCCTTAGGGATTCTGAATGCTCTAAAGATGACAATTTAGCTGGAAAATTTTGCAGTTTCTTTTTTATTTCTGAGTGAAACTTTAAGGTAAATGACTTGATAAATATCTCAATATGTTAAAGATAAGTATTCTTAACCAGATATTCTGGATTTAATAATAAAATAGATAAAGAATGAATATTTAAATCAAGTTTATCTTATTATGTAAGATAAGATAGGTATTTATCTTACCTATCTTAAAAATACGGAAGTAAAATGAGATGAAATAAATGCAGTTGCATTTTTTATGATGGCTATGTTGTCAATAAATAGTATAGAAATTTAAAATTAACATGTAACTTATTTTTATCATTTTTTGAAGGAAGTTTGTACGTAGATATACAGTATATTAGAAAAATGATTGAGAAAAGATTGCTTTTTTATTTCAAAGAAAATATTATTTCTAATAAGTAATCCTTGGCCTTTCAGCATAACATTTATATCTTTGTCATAAGTCAGTACAAATATAATTTTGAATGCATGGATAAACAAATATTAAATTTAGACAAAATTAAATTAATTACCACGGGTAATATAATGACATAACTTCCATAAGTTATTACAACATGACATCAAACCTGCTGGCTTTAACACAAAAGACCTATTCTTTAGCTGCTGAGCTGAAAATTGGTGTTGGCAGACAAAAAGAAGCCAATTTCATTTTTAAGAACACAAGTAAATGCTAATTACAAAAAACTGACTTAAAGTTACCAGAGGGAACATTTTTCACCAGTCTTATGAAAAGAACTGCTAGGCAATACTGAATTAATTTAGACATCAAGATATGTCTTTTCATCTTGCATTATATTAGTTCAATATTAGTCTTAGAGGAGATAAAAGCATGAAGTTAAACTTTTCATCTGCTGTATCTTTATTTTTGCCTCTGTAGTATGGGAAATCCTTCCTTTCCATACTGACTGTTGGTATTTTGAGTATGAAATATAATAGGAAAAAATAGAAGTAGAATGTTTAGATTAATAAGTTATAGGACTAATTATATTAGGAAACATTTAAATTTTCATGGACATAATGAAAATGAAACTCAAATAGGTATATACTCATATTTACTTTCTACTGTATTTCATTGAATGATGAATCATGTAGTAAAGAAAAAATATTTGTGAATAACATAAATAAATAACTAGCCAAGAATGATAATAGTCTTCAAGTTCCTATATTTATATTTAGTTGTTTAGTATCATCATTAATCTTGCATTTAAGTTATCAAATTATTTCTCAATTCTTTTATCTGCTTTCTAACATGTTATTAAAATTGTAGACATAGAAGAAAATGTTTTAGATATTGGTCCAGTTTGTATATCAGTTTATTGAGGTTTGTTGGCATTTTCCACATTTAATAAATGAAATAAACCGTGGACAAAAAACTTCTTTTGGAGATTAATTTTAAGGACTTTTTTTCTAAAACAGAAATATATGGTGAAAAACACAAACAAAAGCATTAGATTAAAGGAAACCAATACATCCACATCTGAAAAAAATTTTAACATAGATATTTCTAATTCAATCATACTCCTTGAATTTTAAACATGAATCGTTCTCAGCCTGTTGCTATATATACAGAGAATGTAGTCATGGTACTCTTTTTTCTCTGGAGGAAGTCGTTTGTAGTAAAAACTCATGGAGTTTTCAGTGATTTATTTAGGACCAAATCTATTGAAGAAACTTTAAATTAATATTATAGCCACTTAGAAAAACTTTTAGAGAAAGAAATTAGATTGAATAGCATAGTTTTACTTTATCAAGTACAGGCAAGAACAAAAGATCTCTAGGGGATTATGAATTTGAGAACATCTTACTTTTAGCTTTCAACATGAAATGTTAAAACACACATGGGAACAAGTCTGAAATAAATGCTCACAGAATACAAATTTGTGTGCTTAAGGTGAAACAGAAGAACAAAAAAGGAATACAACATATTAACATCTCAAGAATGAAAAGAAAAGAATGTGGAATCAAAATTTTAGGAGCTGACATTATGGTTATCATTGACTAGGAAATTAAAATATTAATGGAATTTTATATGTTATTACATAAAAATATTGGCAGTATTTTGAAGGTGGGTAAGGGCAATAGATTTAGCCTTCATATAAAGGCTAGTGGAAGTGGCTGAATCAAGAGGGAATGAGTTCCCTATCTGTATAGTTACTCACTCTTCGGCATCAAATGAGAGAGGGGACCAGGTTGAAAGTTAGAACATAGCTACCTGAGGTTTCTTTGCAAGGATCAATGAATGTGTCCTCAACCGTGTGCACTCCCAGCTACTCTGGAAGTCAAAATAGGAGTAACATGCCTAAATACACTTTCAAGTTATGGAGAATGGTAGTGTTCACTTGTGCAGCTGACTTGCTTGAAACAGGCAACATCATTAGAAATGTGTTCATTCAACAAATAAGTACTAAGTGCCTACAATGTGCTAAGAACTTTGACATGTATCAGAATATAGCAGCGAACAAGGAAGAATCTGTTACTGGTCACATGAAACTTATAGGTATATTTTAGGAAAATCTCTGGATTGTGAGAAAGTTAAACTACATGGTGTCTAAATCCCCTTTTAAAATTTCATTTGTCAAGGTGTGATGGGAGTAATTATTGTACAATGATAGGAAAGTATAAGATAGTTGTTTTGTTTGTTTGTTGCCACTGTGATATTCACAATGAAGAACACAATTCTTTTATCCAAAGCGGCCTTAATATGACTACTTCAGCTTTCCACAACCACAATCCAGCACTGTGCAGGAACTTCTCTAGAAACTCTTCATTGTTCATATCCAAATCAAAATCTGTATCTGGATTAATCAAAATCTGTATCAAGATTTTACTTGATAAAGTAAAATCTCCTGTATCTGGAGATTTTAAATAAACTGATCCTCTGAGAAATATTACACATTCTTTCCCTTGGTTTCTAGCAATTTTGTAGTAACTTCTTATTTCAATGAGGCTATCTGAACAGAGTGAAAATCAGTTGAGGCTCAACAAGCACTAACTAAGTCATCATTTAATTCTATGTGCTGATTATATTTTAATTTCTGTACTCATTCACTTTTCTCTATAATAGCGCTTAAAACTTTATGACCTCATATTCTCTGGTCCACCAAGGTAATATCAAATGTATGATAGATATCGCCATCTCATTGAGAATAAAACACTTTGTTTAATAAGGCTTATATTACTTGGCTTTACATCTACTACTGGTTGTTGACGCCTAATGATCTCTTCGATAAACTCATGTATTCCTTGATGTCTTTTACTTTTGCTTCACAATCTTCTTGCCCGCTCTAATTTTGTAGTTCTGAGGGACTTTGATGTTTTTGTGAATAATCTTTTCAATAGCATGGTAATTTGGTTTCTTGATCACCCCTCCTCTAATGATTGTTTTGCCCACCTTGCCCTACTCACTTTCATAATCATACTCCAGAACTCGATTTTTCTTTCTTTATTTTTCTTCTTTATATAAATCTCATTGGAAAACTTTACACAGGAAACAGAAGGTGTTTTGTGCTCCAAACCCCATTCTGGTGAGCTAGTAAGATCTGTAGGGCATATTACCAGGTCAGAGATTGTCAATGACAATCCCAGACCTTTCATAATGTTTCATTGAAAACATGAAGTTATGGAATAATTAACACATGATGATCTCTTATTCTTATATTGTACATGGTCAACAATTGCAACAATTTGTCCTTTAACCTCAGGAGCACTTTTAGCCCACAATCCCAACTACTCTCTCCCTATTCATGGGATCTTTTTCCCTTTAGTTTCCTCTGATTCTAGCTAACATACTATAATTTGTTTTGTATTTTTTTCTTACCATTACTATTAACATTTACCTTTCTCTCCTTTCATTTCTGCTTGGGGAAACCAAGCTAAACCAAATCAAACCAACCCAAACCAAAACAAATACCATGTGTGAGCAAACTCTCTGCCTTCTCTACACCTGCATTGAAACAACTAAACCATGTAGAAAACAATCTCCTAGGCATGCTGATGATACCGCCTGTGTAATCAAAATCATCTACAGCCTCTGAGCCCCCAAACAATCAATTTTTCTGAATACATTACTGTAGCCAACTTGTTGTTCTCCTGTTGTCTACAGTGTTGAAAGATCAAATGTAGGAAAACTTGGATAAAATTGGGAACTCTAGGTGGCAGAAGATGATACAGTAAAAAGAAACAAAGAAAAGAGATGACTAGGACTCCTGGGTTAAAGGTTATATGCGTATACAATTTTGATAGCTACTTCCAGATTATTTTCCCCAGAGGTTGAAGCTATTTATATTTCTTCTAGTAACACGTGACAGCAGTTGTTTCCTCAACCCTTTCCTCTGTTGAATGTTAACAACTCATTTCATATTTCCCAATCCGATGGATACAGATAGTATCTCATTCTTATTTTAATTTACACTTTTCTGAGTAATGGTGAGATGAATTGCCTATTAATATAACTTGCTCGTCTTTCTACTAGGTCATTTTTCATTCTTTTGCAATTTTTAGAATCTCTTTGTTAGAGAACCGTTGTTTTTCTTTTCATATTGTTGTAAATATTGTCTCTGACATTTATCTTTATGTAGATTTTTCTTTTTTATTAAACATAAATCAACATGTTTTATGTGGTTGCATGACTATATATTTTTCATTTGACTCCTGCATATTCTATCTTACTTAAGAAATTCTCACAATTCTGTTGAATCTTCAGTGGTACAGTTTAACAATTCATAGCAGGTGGTTCTAGTGTGGAGCATTTAATAATTCTGGTTCTGTCTCATCCACCTGAACACATAATACCTTTGCCGCTGTCAGTCTGTTCATGCTGTACTGTCCCACTCTATTTGGACTTCTTATGAAACAGGCTCCAATTGTTTCAATAAAACAATGAAATCATTCTTAGTTTTATTATATTTATTCTTCCAAATATTAACTCTTTTGCTATAAATCATCCCCCACTAGTAGCAGATGATATAATGCTCAGAAAATAATTCTAATTTATTTAAAATATTATTATTTTAAATTATTAACACAACAAAGAAATTAGTTTAAATTTTAGGCTATTTCAATAGATAGTACACTTAAGTCATAAAAATCATGGCCTTGGAACTAGATGCACCTTACCATAAATTCTATTCACCACATAAGCAACATAAATAAGCTCCATGAACTTCAGTTTCGACAATTGTAAATGGAAGTATTGAACATTGTTGTTAAGGCAATTAAATATAATGTGTAAATCAAACTGAAGATAGTCACTTATCTGGCACATAGTAAAATGGTAAAATAAAAAGATAACTATTTTTTAAAAGCAATAGTTATTTCAGTTTAAATA
Source organism: Homo sapiens (assembly GCF_000001405.40). NCBI lineage: Eukaryota > Metazoa > Chordata > Mammalia > Primates > Hominidae > Homo > Homo sapiens. Next base: position 44,052,454 of record NC_000014.9, on the reverse strand, counting down.
GCTAGTGATGTGTTTAGTGATAAGAAATCCTTCCAACATTCTTGGTGGCTCTCTAGTAGGTATTACAGGGCATAGGTAATATCCTTCTCCATCCTTTAAGATGAATTATTCCCCTGATGGTGTCAACTTTTGTAAGATCTTGTCCATATCTCACTAAAATTCATGAGAAGGAAATCCATATCTGATACCACTATAACTGTGCCTGGTAATCTGCACACTGGAAATACTGGGACATGAGCTATGTTTGTTAATCTTGAAAAAATTTAAGTATTAAAAATATTTTCCCATCAGCAAAGCAGCAAAGATTTTATTGACCAATGATATGGATGTTGTTTGTGCTGCCTTTTCACAGTATACTCATACTATTTTTTAGCGTTTCACTTTAACATTTGTCTGTGTGCCAGAAAAAATTGGTCTAAGCAAAATAAGTCAGTCCTTTGAGTATTATTGCCAGGTCAGTGCAAAACCTTGTGAATAAATGTTTGAACTCTGTTTTTTTGTTGTTGTTGCAGAAGAAAAAAGAACCTTTTCTTAATGTGGTTCCATAGATGTGATGCCATAGATGGATCCATATGAAATAATACAGTAACACGTCAAAAGAACTTCAAACACAGTGCAAAAAGCCATCACTGGAAGATAAGTTACCATTTAGAGAACTGTACATAGAAAGGTGTGGGAGGTTAGACTGATGTGCACTGATTTGAAGACACACACTGACATGACACACTCTAATGTCTTTTATCTTTTTTCCCTTAAGGGCAACAAGCACAAAATAGGTCAATCCCATTTAGATTTATTCTGCCATAGATAACTTAAAAAGAAAACTTATTGACATTTAACTTTATTTTATTTTATTTTAAATATTGTCCATTTTTATTTATTTCTCTGGATGTTGAAGATAAGCAAAAGATGAAAGAAGAGTTATGCAATTTAAGAATAATTGTTACTAGAGAAAGTCAATATGAATTAAAATTAAAATTAAATTAAAGTTAAAATTAAAATTAAATATGAAACTATCTTTTGATATGTACTAAGATTTAGGTGGGAATTTGAACTACAGTTTGTAAAAAAAGAATAAATCTAGTAGTATTTTTAAAAATTGCTCTGTGGTCATTATATGTAAAACTTTTGTGTAATACAGACTTTTGCCTTCCCATAAAACATCATTTCTGTCTGGAATGTAATACTGATAGGGTAATGAGGACATTATATTTATACATATTTTATATACATGCATTTCACCTTACATTAATGCAACAACACATTTTTATAATGTAAACAATGACATATAATAATTAAAATTATCGTGATATCCTTCAATAAATATTCAAATGTTCTAGGCAATATTATAAGGACTTTACATATGAAGTAAAATAAATGTCATTATTATCATCATTTTGCTACTGAATGTTATCTTATTTGATCAAGGTCTCAGAGCTAGAAAGTGGTGTCAGTGGGATTCATGTCTATTTACATGAAGTATGCATAGGTACATTTAATAAAGTAGTGAATTAAAGAATAATTTATTGTATATCACCTATGTGCCAAGCGTTTCTATGCCCTGAAATAGAGCAAACAGTCAAAATCTCTTCTTCCCAGAAATTCATACATAGGTTTTAGATAAAAATATTAAACAACTAAATAAGTATACACTGTATTGCCAATTAGAGGTGTATGGTATGAAGAAAATTAAAGTACACCAAGTGATAGGGATTTGAAGGTTTAGAATGAGCTTTGAGAAGGTGGCCTCTGAACAGAGACCTGAATACTGTATAGGAATGACCCATGCAGATATGTGGAGGAAGAGAATTACAGGGAGAAAGAAGAGCAAGTCTCTACGCTTTAGGTTGCCCCAAGCTTGGAATAGTAATGAAAAGCAAAATGACCAAAGAATGGATCATAGGAAGAGGGAGAAAGAGTAGTAGGAAAATGAGATGATTCTGAGAGTGAGCATGAGATCAGATAGTGTACACCAAGGTAAGAATTCTGTATTTTATTCTAAGGGTGAGTGGAAATAATTAGAGAGTTGAGACCCGGAGAGTGGCTGGATCAGATTTGTATTTTATAAAGGTGGCTTTGAGTTCTGTGTGATCGATCGCCATTATGGAAAGACCAGGAACAAGGCTGTGTCTGTTTTCTGCATTCGTTGTCATGAGAAATGCTGGGGGTTAGACTATTTGAGGTGGTGGTGGGAGTAATTCTGGATAGATCTGATTGATTAATGAATTGCACTGGCCTCCTTTTCCTTGCAATATTTAGAGTTACACAAATATGCCATTGTTTCAGTTTTTTTTTCTTTCTCTAGAACAGGTATACTGCTATACTTTGAACAGAAGAGACAGCTCAATAAATGCCTATTGAGTAAATGAATGACAGAAATGTATCTCTTTCTTATTTTGCAGATCTATTTTCACATGCAGTATTGAATAATGTATTATCTCAATGTACTGTGGTAAATTCATCATATTCCATAGCTTCAAGGTCATCTTTTGTCTATACTTGTCTAAGTAATCTTAAAATGTGACATGGAGCATTGGGCTTCAAAATAAATACTATTTTCTTGAAAAGTGAATATCACCCTATCTTCTAAACATCATCAATGCTAACCCTTATTGTTGTATATTTATCAAATACCCAGCAGATGAATTGTTACACCAATCTTAATACTCTTTATTAGATCTGGGGAAAAGTCCAAAGAATTATTAAAACATTGGATAAAAAGAAAATTTCTAATGCTTCCATTATTTTTATCATTACAGGTTTTAAATGATAAACTAATAATTTCATTTTCAGTATAAACAATGTATGAAGAACCTGAAAAAGATATATTTTCTTAAGACTGTTAAATTGTTTTTGAACACTATGCTGAATATACAGATTTTTTTTTTCCCTGGCACTTTGCCTCTTCCTTGCTTTTGTGAGACATGTTTTTTTCTCTGAATCACAGAAACCATAGATGTAAAGGTGAAGAGTGTCGGCAAATACACTTTCTGCCATGTGGAAAAAGCTGGCCTGCAGTGAAAGGGAGAAATACAGCAGACACACATGGAGACTCTGAGGCAAGAAACAAAGGTGAGCCCTGGCAGTGTTCAAGCCCCAATAGTGCTTTCCTGGGGCTCTGTTTGGCACCATGCCTATCTTGTAAAGTCCTTGCTTAATGTGAGCTGGATTGATAACAGAGACTTAAATAATACAAACAACTGCTTAAAAGACATGTTCAGAATACTTGGAATAAATGCATGACTCCTCATTGTGAATATTTAACGAGCACATTTAAAATGTAAGGTTCTATAATTTTGTTTAAAAGGAATTAATGTATTTTTATATTATTAAACTATAGATGATATAATCTTTATTTATTGAGAAACTCAGCTACCTCAAAACTGTACAAATGAGAGTCATCACCAGTGATGTCATTAAGTTCCATGACTTTAAAAAAGATTAGGTTGGTGCAAATGTAATGGCGAAAACCACAATTACATTTGCAGCAACGTAATACTATTTCTATGTGATTTCCAAATTTATGTCTGTAGGGCAGATCTTTTCACTTGAGTTCATGCTCATATAACTCATATTCTCATATACCTTACATCCCAACATAAATGTGTAATATGCTTTTGCAACTTAACATACCCATTCTCATTTAACATATGCAATCCTTCTTCACATCCCATTGGCTTGGCCCTCAGTCTGCCCATGATTTGAGCACTCCTCACTACCACCATTATTTCCCTGACACAATCATTTTTTACCAAAATAGTTTAAAACCTTCCTTTTTTCCATTTTTATCACATAATTTTTTTATTATACTTTAAGTTTTGGGGTACATGTGCAGAACATGCAGGTTTGTTGCATAGGTATACATGTGCCATGGTGGTTTGCTTCACCTATCAACCTGTCATCTATATTAAGTATTTTTCCTAATGCTATCCCTCCCGCAGACACCCACCCCCAATAGGTGCCGGTGTGTGATGTTCCCCTCCCTGTGTCCATGTGTTGTCATTGTTTAGCTCACACGTATGAGTGAGATTGTGCAGTGTTTAGTTTTCTGTGTTTGTGTTAGTTTGCTGAGAATTATAGTTTCCAGCTTCATCCATGTCCCTGCAAATGACTTGAACTCATCCTTTTTGTGGCTGCATAGTATTCTGTGGTGCATATGTGCCACATTTTCTTTATCCAGTCTATCATTGATGGGCGTTTGTGTTGGTTCCAGGTCTTTGCTATTGTGAAGAGTGCCGCAATAAACATACGTGTGAATGTGTCTTTATACTAGAATGATTTATATTCCTTTGGGTATACACCCAGTAATGGGATTGCTGGGTCAAATAGTATTTCTGGTTCTAGATCCTTGAGGAATTGCCACACTGTCTTCCACAATGGTTGAACTAATTTACACTCCCACCAACAATGTAAAAGCCTTCCTATTTCTCTACATCCTCTCCAGCATCTGTTGTTTCCTAACATTTTAATGATCACCATTCTAACTGGTGTGAGACGACATCTCATTGTGGTTTTGATTTGCATTTCTCTAATGACCAGTGATGATGAGCATTTTTTTCATATGTTTGTTGGCCGCATACATGCCTTCTTTTGAGAAGTGTTCATTTATATCCTTTGCCCAGTTTTTAATGGGGTTCTTTGTCTTTTTCTTGTAAATTTGTTTGAGTTCTTTGTAGATTTTGGATATTAGCTGTTTGTCAGATGGATAAATTGCAAACATTTTCTCCCATTCTCTAGGTTGACTGTTCACTCTGATGATAGTTTCTTTTGCTGTGTAGAAGCTCTTTAGTTTAATTAGATCCCATTTGTCAATTTTGGCTTTTGTTGCCATTGCTTTTGGTATTTTGGTCATGAAATCTTTGCCCATGCCTATGTCCTGAATGGTATTGCCTAGGTTTTCTTCTAGAGTTTTTATGGCTTTAGGTCTTATGTTAAAATCTTTAATCCAACTTGAGTTAATTTTTGTATAAGGTGTAAGGAAGGGGTCCAGTTTCAGTTTTCTGTATATGGCTAGACAGTTTTCCCAACACTATTTATTAAATAGGGAATCCTTTCCCCATTGCTTGTTTTTGTCAGGTTTGTCAAAGATCAGGTTGTAGATGTGTGGTGTTATTTCTGAGGCTTCTGTTCTGTTTCTTTGCTCTATGTATCTGTTTTGGTACCAGTACAATGCTGTTTTGGTTACTGTAGCCTTGTAGTATAGTTTGAACTCAGGTAGCATGATGCCTCCAGCTTTGTTCTTTTGGCTTAGGATCGTCTTGGCTATGTGGGCTCTTTTTTGGTTACAAATGAAATTTAAAGTAGCTTTTTTCTAATTCTGTGAAGAAAGTCAATGATAGCTTAATGGGGCCAGCATTGAATCTATAAATTCCTTTGGGCAGTATGGCCATTTTCACAATATTGATTATTCCTATCCATGAACATGGAATGTTTTTCCATTTGTTTGTATCCTCTCTTAATTCCTTGAGCAGTGGTTTGTAGTTCTCCTTGAAGAGGTCCTTCACATCCCTTGTAAGTTGTATTCCTAGGTATTTTATTCTATTTGTAGCAATTGTGAATGGGAGTTCAATCATGATTTGGCTCTCTGTTGATCTATTATTGATGTGTAGGAATGCTTGTGATTTTTCAAAAGCTAGCAGAAGGCAAGAAATAACTAAGATCAGAGCAGAACTGAAGGAGATAGAGATACAAAAAACCCTTCAAAAAATCAACGAATCCAGTAGCTGGTTTTTTGAAAAGATCAACAAACTTCATAGACCGCTAGCAAGACTAATAAAGAAGAAAAGAGAGAATAATCAAATAGACACAATAAAAAATGATAAAGGGGATACCACCACCGATCCCACAGAAATACAAACTACCATCAGAGAATACTATAAACACCTCTACACAAATAAACTAGAAAATCTACAAGAAATGGATAAATTCCTGGACACATACACCCTTCCAAGTCTAAACCAGGAAGACGTCGAATCCCTGAATAGAGCAATAACAAGTTCTGAAATTGAGGCAGTATTTAATAGCCTACCAACCATAAAAATTCCAGGACCCGATGGATTCACAGCTGAATCCTACCAGAGGGGCAAAGAGGAGCTGGTACCAATACTTCTGAAACTCTTCCAAACAATAGAAAAAGAGAGAATCCTCCCTAACTCACTTTATGAGGTCAGCATCATCCTGATACCAAAACCTGGCATAGACACAACAAAAGAAGAAAATTTGAAGCCAATATCCCTGATAAACATCGATGCGAAAATCCTCAATAAAAATACTGGCAAACCGAATCCAGCAGCACATCAAAAAGCTTATCCACCTCAATCAAGTTGGCTTCATCCCTGGGATGCAAGGCTGGTTCAACATGTGCAAATCCATAAATGTAATCCATGACATAAACAGAACCAATGACAAAAACCACAAGATTATCTCAATATATGCAGAAAAGGCCTTCGACAAAATTTAACACCCCTTCATGCTAAAAACTCTCAATAAACTAGGTATCAGTGGAATGTATCTCAAAATAATAAGGCTATATGACAAACCCACAGCCAATATCATACTGAATGGGAAAAAACTGGAAGCATTCCCTTTGTAAACTGGCACAAGACAAGAATGGCCTCTCTCACCAGTTCCATTCAACATAGTATCGGAAATTCTGTCCAGGGCAATCAGGCAAGAGAAATAAATAAAGTGTATTCAAATAGGAAGAGAGAAAGTCAAATTGTCCTGTTTGCACATGACATGATACTTCGAAAACCCATCATCTCAGCCCCAAATCTCCTTAAGCTGATGAGCAACTTCAGCAAAATCTCTGGATACAAAATCAAAGTTTAATACCTTCTAAACCTGTCTTATTTCTTCTTTCATTGTCCTTTTCAGGAAGAATGGTTACAATAAAACAAAAGTTAGATCACTCACTTCTCAGTTAAGAAGTCTTCAATAACTTCCCTTCTTTTTTAGAGTAAAAGCTGAAGTCAGATTTAGCTGATTTCTCTGACCCATCTACTACCATCTCTGGACTCAATTTTTCCTTCTCGATGGCAGCCACACTGTCCTTTCACTGTGTCCTGAATACTCCAGGCAGTTTCCCCCAGACTGTCAGACTTGATGTTTCCATGGTCCATGATGATCTTTACCTAGATGAATGTGAGTTTTGCTCTTTCACCTTCTGTACTAGTCAAGTTCCAAATATTGATTCACAATTTTTAAGTATTTAAAACAGGCATTTTAAATATTTGGAAATAGCAGATTTAACACATGGTATTTGCTATCTCCTGCTGGGAATACTAAATACACATGAATTTAAAACAGTAGGGAGCTATCTACCTCTTTCTTTCATTGCCAAAAGAAAGAGACAATATTATCAGACTGTAAGATCTGGGGTCAAGAAGAAAATGTTGGAACCACAGTTACCCCATTCAGTAAAAGAGCCAGAGGCAAAACAATGCTAGAGGCACTGCCCAAAACATAGGTGGGCAAAAGGGAACACTCTGGCTTCTTTCTTCCCCTTAGTTTTCAATGCTCTCCTTTAGCCAAACCTAGCTAGATGCTGCTGGTCTAGATCAGAATGCCTTGCATATACAGCAGAGCAAAAGAGGGCTGAGAAGTGTAACTAAGGAAAGACACACTCATTCCAGCATACCTTTATTCAGCTCTTTATTCAGATATCCTTCAGTCTGGCCTTCTCTAATCACTTCATCTAAAATTGCATATCCCAGGTCCCCCTGGAATTTCCTATTCTTCCTTATTATGCAATTTTCTTTATAGTATTTGTCAGTATTAAACACAATATGTTTTATTTTTTAATAAAATATTTTCTTCGTCTCTTTCTCCCAATAGAATTTGAACTTCTAGGGGCATGGACCACTGCTCTTTTTATCCACTGCTGACTCCTCAGTCCCTGAGAATGTTTCTTTCACATAGTAATTGCCCATTAAATATTTTTGAATGAATAATTGAATGAGCACTTAAAATGAATGTGAAAATGGCCTTGCATACCTTGAACTAGAATAGTTTCATTTAAGAGAAGTTTAGACACTCAATGCAGAGCTAGTTAATATAAATATTATGTGCAATTTTAAGATACCAGGTGAAATCATGTTTCTGTGTAATAAAAAAATCCAAGCCATCAGTTATACACATGACAATGAAGCATCCCAGCAAGCAGGTACACTGACAACAAAAAGCCATAGCCATTGAGCCATCTAATAATTCAAGTTAAAATAAAAAGGCATAATAGTCCAAGTCCCCCTAGAGTAAGGCCAAACAGACAGTCAATATCTCTAAATACATGACTTAAGTTACTGCTGTCTACAAAAACTGATGACCCTGAGGATAAAAAATTTAAATAAACATATATTTTATTATCCACAATTTATAGAGATGTAAAAGAGCAATCAATGTATTTGTTAAAGCTTTTCCACAAAAGTTGTAAAACTCAATAACACTCCAAGCTTAAAAGTTTAGATTGTATTTCTACAAAATAATTTTATAGGAAATATCTTTGATGCTGGATAAATTAAATTGTTCCTTGTATGTGTTTTGTATATATAATGTACGTATAAATATGAAGTATCTTAAAAATTGTGTGATTTTTAGTCAGAAAACAATTTCAAATTATGTACAAATTATTTGACTTTAGGAAAGTTATTAAACTGCTTTGCAATTAAGGTTTTTCATTTACAGGCCTATTGCAAGAATTAAATGAAATAACATTGATCCTTTCAATTACCACATTACCTAGCACATAGAGAATGTCATATTAAGTCTTTTTAAATGCCATTACATATACCCAAATAGAGCTGAGTGCATATGTAAATTAGAAAATTGCATTTGGTACAAAAAATTAGACGAGCATGGTGGTACACACCTGTGGTCCCAGTTGCTCTGGAGGCTGAGGCAGGAGAATCGCTGGAACCCTGGAGGCAGAGGCTGCAGTGAGCCGAGATCATGCCACTGTACTCCAGCCTGGGCAACAGAGTGAGACTCTCTCTCAAAAAAAAATTGCATTTGGCTGCATACGAGTTTCATAATCGACAGTATTTTAAGGTAGATTATTTGAAATATAATCTGCAATAAGCATCTAAAGTCTATTTATAGTAAGCACCAAAATATAAATGGAATAATTATAGCATATGGTCACCCTCTTGATATATTATTAAGCATCTTTTGAAAATTTTGATTTCAGAATATTTTCTGTATAGTTAATTTTAAAGTTGAATTACTATTTCAGTTGTAAATAATCATAACATCACATGAGAATTCTCACTTTTTAATGTTTCTTTAGTTTTCATAAATTGATAATATAGTTGTGGCATCTTTTCTATAAATTTTAAAACATTTTTGATACAGACATGATTCAAAAAAGAAAACCATTTGCTTTTTATATCTCATGATAACCATTTCCACATAATTACCTGGAACAAAATCAATCAGATAATAATGTGTTACTCTTTTAAAGGTATACAGTTTAGGAATACAGCAATTCACTGGCTCATTTATTTTCCACAAATGCAAGCATAAAGAAAATGAAGATGCGATTTTGATTGAAGACATTAAGATTATTTTTCATGAAGAGTTAACTACATTTTTCACAGTATATGATTTTATTGTTTTGGATTCTATTACATAAAGGTATGAAATGTGTTACAATTACCAATCCTTAGTCTTTTACAGAAACACAGTGGAAGTCACTCAAATGCCATTGATTTTTGGGTTGACGTAATCAGTGTATACCTAAGAAAAGAGCCTAACTCTGTTACTAAATATACTCACAAAAGTGCATCAAAATACTCATCAAGTGATAAAAATAGCATGGGTGAGAAGGACTGGGGTTGATATTTTTCTGAATGTTAAATGCACGTGAAGAAATAATTTCTATCTGCAGATTATGTTATTTGATGCTAAAGAGGAATTGAATATACATTGATAACACTAACCTAGATAACATTTTTAACTTTTTATTGATACAGTGGTAATTGTTTATTTTTTCAATAAAATTTTATTGAGACTCTCTATAGAATTGTGTATAGTAGGAAACTCAAAGGAACGAGAAAGCTTTTTTGCAGCTATAACTTATAAGAAAAAAGAGATAGTAAACACACCATAAAAGAAGAGTATCCTCAGTCCCTGTCTACCTTGTTTCACTGAAGTGCAAGCAATAACTTTGTGTGTGTGTGTGTGTGTGTGTTTGAAGCTCTGACTCCTCAACTAGAGACCCTGGCCTAGAAGAATGGCAAGACTTTCCATTTACTAGTGAGATGAAGAAAGAAAGAAGTTCTGCTTATAGTTTGGGATGCCCCTTGGTTCTTCATTTGCACTGCGCGAAAGCCTTCTGCCTCAGTTTGTTTGTGTTGCTATAAAAGAATACCTGAGGCTGGGTAATTTATAAAGAAAATATGTTTATTTGGCTTATGATTCTGCAGTCTGTGCAAGAAGCACAGAACTAATAGTATCCATTTCTGGTGAGGGCTTCAGGCTGCTTCCACTCCTGAGAAAAGGGGAAAGGGAACCCACATGTGCAGATAGCGTGGTGGAAGAGGAAGCAAGAGAGAAAGGGAAAGTCCCAGGCACTTTTTAACAACCAGCTCTTTGGGTAACTCTCCTGGGAACTAATAGAGAAAAAAACTCACTCATTACCTTGAGTGAGCACTAAGCCATTCATGAGGGATCCACGCTCATGACCAAAACATGTCCCATTTGGCCCCACCTTCAACACTGGTATCCAATTTCAACATGAGATTTGGGGACAATCCTCCACACTATAGCACTCAAAACCTGGCCCCCCCGAGGCTCATGTTCTTCTCACATGCAAAGTACAACTATTACATCCCAATAACCCCTAAAAGTCTTAACTTGTTTCAGAATCAGTTTAAAAATTCAAAATCTCATCTGAGACTCAAGGAAAGTTCCTCACAGTTCTGAGTCAAAACCAAGTTGTTTACTTTCAAGATACAAGGGTGGAACAGGAAAAGGGTATACATTCCCATTCTAAAAGGGAGAAATAGGTCAAAAGAAAAGGGGGTAACAGGTCCTATGTAAGTCCAAAACCTAGTAGGACAGACAGTAAATCTTAAAGCTCCAAAATGACCTCCCTTGTCTCCATGTCTTGCATCTGGGGCATATGGTTCAAGGGGTGAACCCCTAAAGCCTCATGCAGCCCCACTCTGTGGATTTGTTGGGTATAGCTCACATGGCTGCTCTCACAGGTTAGAGTCAAATGCCTGCAGCTTTTTTTGGCTGAAGTTGCAACCTACTGGTGGCTCTATAATTCTAGGGTCTGGAGGGCAGTTGCCTTGCTCCTATAGATCCACTAGGCAGTGCCCAGAGTGGGGACTTTCCATGCGGGTTCCAAACCCCCATTTCAGCATTGCCTTAGTAGAATCTCTGTGTGGGTTCCACCCCTATGACAGGCTTCTTCCTGTGCACCCAGGAATTCCAGCATACCCTTTGAAATCTAGGTGGAAGTTTCCAAGCCTCCTCTATTCCTGCAATCTGCATATCTGCACTCTTAATGACCATGTGGAAGCTGCCAAGGCTTATGGCTTGGACTCTCTCGAGCTAGGTCCTGAGCTGTACCTGGGACCATTTGAGCATTGGATGCTTCAGCCAGAGGGGTCTGGATGCAGGAAGCAGCATCTCAAAGTGTTTCAAGGCAGTGGCACCCTGGACCTGACCCCAAAACCATCTGTCATCCCAGGTCTGTGATAAGAGAAGCCAATTCAAAAGATTTCTGAAATGCCTGCAGGGCCTTTTTCCCATTGTCTTGACTGTTAGCACCTAGATGCTTTTATCTGGGCTTATCTTTCTAGTAAGTGGCTGCTGCCCAGCACCCTTAGGTTTCTTGCCTGAAAATGCTCTTTCCTTCTCTGCCACATGGACAGGCTATAAATTTTCAAATTTTTATGCTCTGTTTCCCATTTAATTATTACTTCTAACTTTTGATCATCCCTTTTCTCCCTTGTCTAATCTTCAGCTATTAAATGCAGCCACACCACTTCTTGAGCACTTTTCTGATTAGTAATTTCTCCTGCCAGATACCCCAGGTCATCACTCTTAAGTTTGGCCTTCCACAAAGCCCTACAGATGGACACGATGTAGCCAAGTTCTTTGCTGCAGCATAACAAGGGTGACATTTGCTTCAATTTCCAGTAAGTTCCCCATTTCCATCTGAGACCTCTTCAGGATGGTCTTTACTAACATATTCCATCAGCATTTTGTTCACAACCACTTAACCAATTTCTAAGAAGTTTCAAAATTTCTCTTGTCTTTTTGTCTTCTTTGGTGCCCTTGCCAGAATGTTTCACTCATGGCAATACAGTCCTTTTCTAGCTTGCTCCTCCACACTTTTCCAACTTCTGCCCATTATCCAGTTCCAAAGCCACTTCTACATTTTCAGGTATCTTTGTAATAACACCTCTGTATTAGTCCATTCTCACACTGCTCTAAAGAAATACTTGAAACTGGGTAATTTAAAAAGGAAAGAAGTTTAATTGAGTCACATTTCCACATGACTGGGGAGGCCTCAGGAAACTTACAATCATGGCAGAAGGTGCCATGGAAGCAGGTGCCTTCACAAAGAGTGGGCACAGGAAAGTGCCACTTTTAAACCATCAGATCTCATGATAATTTCCTCACTATTATGAGAACAGCATGGGGGAAACTGCCCCTATCATCGAATCACCTTCCAACAGGTCCCTCCCTCAACACATGGGGATTACAATTCCAGATGAGATTTGGGTGGAGACACAGAATCAAGCCATATCATTCTGCCCCTGGCCCCTCCCAAATCTCATGTCCTTCTCACATTGCAAAATCAATCATGCCTTCCCAACAGTCCCCCAAAGTCTTAATTCATTCCAGCACTGACTAAAAAGTCCAAGTCCAAAGTCTCATCAGAGACAAGGCAAGTCCCTCTGCCTATGACCCTGTAAAATCAAAATCAAGTTAGTGACTTCCAAGATACAATGGAGGTACAGATATTGGGTAAATGTTCTCACTCAAAATTGGAGAAATTGGCCAAAACAAATGGGCCATAGTCCCCATTCAATTCTGAAACCCAGCAGGGCATTTGTTAAATCTTAAAGTTCCAAAATAATCTTCTTTGACTCCATGTCTCACATCTAGGGCACACTGAGGTGAGAGCTGGGCTCCCATGTCTCTGGGCAGCTCTGTACCTGTGGCTCTGCAGGGTACAGCCCCTGTGGTTGCTTTCATGGTCTGGTGTTGAGTGCCTGCATCTTTTCCTGGAGCACAGTGCAAGCTCTTGGTGGATCACCATTTTGGGGTCTAGAGGATGGTGGACCTCTTCTCACAGCTCCACTAGGCAGTTCCTCAGTGGGGACTCAGTGTGGAGGCTCCAATCCCACATTTTCCCTCTGTATTGCCCAAGTAGAAGTTTTCCATAAGGGCTCCACCCCTGGACCAGACTTCTGCCTTGACCTCTAGACATTTTCAGAGATTTCATCCTCTGAAATCTAGGTGAAGGCTGCTAAGGCTCATTATTTGGCTCATGGTTCTGCAGGCTGTACAAGCATGACAACACCAGCATCTGCTTCTGCTAAGGTTTTAATGCTGCTTCTTCTCATTGCAGAAGGTGAAGGGAAACTAGTGTGTGTAAATTACATGTTGAGACAAGAGACAGAGGGTAGGTGCTCTTTTAAACCACCAGCTCTCAGGTTAACTCTTTCAGGAAGTAATAGGGTGAGAACTCATTCATTACCATGAGGACAGCATGAAGCTGTTAATAAGTAATCCACATCCATGACCCAAACACCTCCCACTAGGCCTTGCCTCCAACATTGGGGATCAGATTTCAATATGAAGTTTGGGGGTAAACATCCAAACTATAGCTCCATCTTTCCCCCAGCCTGTGTGCAATGATCTGGCTAACAGGCCCAGTGCTAAGGAATGTAGTTCTGAATTTTTGCTACCAGGGAGAGGCCAGTCCTTGTGTTAACCTGTACCCCAGGATTCTTTCCTGGCTTGACTGATTTTTGCTACTCAATGGATTTCAGCCTGCCACTTAACCAGGGCTGTGGTATTCAGTGTAGTACAAAGTCCTGAGAAGGTTTTGTAATGGAAGAAATTACAGATAGGTAGATCATCTCAGAGCTCATGAAAGAACTTACCATTCAACTTGGCTTTGATGAATTTTGGTATACAAAGCCAGAGAAAGAATTATTTCTAAACAAAGTACAGCATCAATTTTAAAAAATAAAATAAAAGCCAGCATCTAGAAAGTGTACAGAGTATTCAGTGTGTAAAAAAGTCTTATTTTATTGGAGAATAGGGCATAGGTAGAAAACTGAAGAAAAAATGCAGGAGAATAAGTGCCAGATTACAGAGTACCCTATATCAGACCCCTTTCCAGCTCTTCAAAATTAATACTCAGCCATTTACTGCTAGCATAATCTCTCTGCTAAAAACAAAGAACGACATATCAAGAACCTCTTTCCTGAGGCTAGAAAGTTTTAGAAACACCATTTCCAAGTCTCACCTTGGAATCGTCAATCTCTACATCACACATTTCTTGCTGTCCACCGACCTCTAACTACTCTCTTGGAGCAGCCAGCCCACTCACCTATGTGACTTACTTTTATTGTGACTTTAAAGACAGGATTACTTTTTTCCTGTCTAGGAAACTAACGAGCAAACTATATGAGGAAAAAAAGAAAATTCTAAGATAATTTCCTTGTTCATGGCATCCCATTTTGATGTTACTAACCTCACTTCTGGCTTCTGCCTTCTTATTTCAGATAAAATGTCTGGAATGAACCAGACTCTAGCATGTCTGCCATCACCAACTGTATTTACAAAATGATATCCAGGCTTCATTCCTATGGATGAATTTCCTCATTGTGCTTCTAATGCCTAAAATAGACTGCAATAAATATGTAAAATCTGTGCTGGAACTTTGAGCTAATCCCCCCACCATGAAGGGTAGGCCACTGCTGCAGATAGTGATGACCTACAGAGTGAGCTTGCTACTTTACACAGCTATACATTGCTGTTGCAACCATAGATTCAAACTCTCCTTCCATTCTTCTTTGTGACCTTTCTTCATGAATAAAATTTCTAGCTAGTAGCATGTAATTGTCTGAGCCTGGACAATTTGCCCTCACCTTGGCTTGAAGGATGTAGAAAGAGAAAAATATCTGTCTCAGGCTGTCACAGGGGGCAGATTCCCTGCTTCCCTCAGAGACTCACATTGTGAAGAATTTCTTGTAAAATATGGGGTTTTTATGATAAGAAGTCCAAAAAAGAAAAATGTTCACAGAAAACTTGGTAGTGGGTCTTCTCTAGTTTTCTTGTGTCCTGTTGGGTAGCTGACAAATGGCTCTGCCCCACGTTGGGTCCCTCTTAGATCTTAGAACACACTATAGCAGTACCCACAAGAACTTCACCATCTCTCTCTCTCTGTCTCTGTACTAGGAGCAAATGTTGATAATGTGCACTTTTTAGGAGGTAAGGGAAAGCTTTACCTGCATTCTGTGAGCAGTATAATAATACAATCAGGCTGTACCTTGGGAATGTTATCTGCCAGGAAAGATTAATCAATGGGGCCAGCAAGTGGATGCTGTAGCTCTTTTTCAGAATCCTCTTGTAAAAGACAAAATGATAGGTAAGGAGGGACTTAAATAAGAAGCTGATGGAAGTTATAAAATAATAGTGGAGTTACTCTATAGAGGTTCAGTCCACAAGAGATGATGTTCAACGATATGTGAAATCTAAAGAGAAGGAAGAGTTATAATATACCCATATATATTTTAGCATGGACAATTAGAAGAATAGCAATGCCATCAGCAGAAATAGGGAAGTCAGGAAAATAAATTTATGGAAGTAGGGGGATAAATGATAAACTTAGTTTTGACTATTTTTAGTTTGATGGGCTGGAAAAAAATGCAAGAGTGGGACATTTGTAATGCAGAACTGCTATGTGCAATCCTTCACAATTTCTGTTTGTTGTTCTGATTTATTATGATAGGTGATTTCAAGCTCTCCAAGGAACATGAGATGAGATGGTGAATGACACTGAGCATATGAGTTAATGACAATAAACCAGCAATGCATTGCTTACCAGTCTGATTTATAATCTCTAAAACAGATTTCTGTAGTTTTAAAACCACTTGCTGTATAGTGAATAGAAAAAAAAACATAAAAGCCTGTGATTTATGAAACATATTAAACAACTCTAAATCGTTTTGAAAATTCTTTACCTTACTATTAAGGTGAAAAAAGTTCTGAAAAAATAAAAACCCATAAAAATGAACACTGAAATACTAAAAAAATCTAGTGTGTTATACTGTATACATTTTTATTTTTAAATAAAACCTTAAAGTTGAAATACTTGTTTGGTTTAATTAATCATAT
This sequence comes from Homo sapiens, assembly GCF_000001405.40. Classification (NCBI taxonomy): domain Eukaryota; kingdom Metazoa; phylum Chordata; class Mammalia; order Primates; family Hominidae; genus Homo; species Homo sapiens. Next base: position 44,036,086 of record NC_000014.9, on the reverse strand, counting down.
TTTTTGGAAAAGCTACTTTTAAGGAAATAATTGTAATAGAAAAATCCTACATATTTATATAAATTGGTTGCACTTTAATAGAATCTTTAGTATATATTTTAAACATAGTCTTTATAAGCCTATATAACATTCCGTAAATTCATGTAAACATTGTTCTCCTTTAGACCATTTTCTTAAACAAAATGACTAATAGCACAATCCAGTTCACAGAAACAACTGTTCTACTGTTCTAACAGAAAAAGGTTTGCAATATTGAAGTATTTTCACTAGCATTTATTAGAAGTCTGGTAAATATTTCTTTACGTAGTTCAACAGTTGACTTTGGTGTGATTAGACAGAGAGTTCTGATTTATAAAATAAATCCTTGATAATACTGCAGTCCAGCCAATGGTCCTAAACGTTCTTGTAAGACAATTCCCAAATTAATACAGCATTAAACACAGTTCTGTCTTATTTTATTACATTTTATGTAGCCTTGTCTTTCAAATCATGATTAAATTTTCTCCCTTTTTTGATGTTATGACTACTAATTTGCAGATAAATTTTTTAAAGACTTATTGTTTATTTATCTGTGTCTTTGATTCTACTTGATATTTTAAAAAGACTAAAGACACTGATTATAATTCTTCTTTAATGTAATTTCAACAAATACCTTCTAAGAGTTTTTGATAAAAGTTTTGTTAAATTAAATGCAACATTAGGCAAAAACTTGCAAGTTTACAGAGGTTCACCTGCAAACAGAATCTTATTTAAGATTCTCAGCCAGCTTGGAAATATTATTATTAGCCTTATTTTTATATAAGAGAACAAGTTTCAATGTGGATAGGTAACCTCTACAATGGAGAAGCAAATTAAGATTCTGTGGTAATAAATGACAAATCAGCTATTTTCACCATTAAACTATTACTTTGAGTACTACTATATTTCTTAAAAGTTTGTCCTGTTCATTTGCTGAATATGCGATGTGTTAAAGTATAGAGGCACATGATTAGGTTCAATACATTTATTCGTTCAGCAGTGAATAGTACTTAGCACATAACATATTCCGGTTTTTTTCCTAGGCAATTATGATCCGGTACTAAAAATGAAATCATTGGCACGGTAGAGCTTACATTCAATTAGAGAAATGTATAAATAACAGATATATTTTCTACTGTTATGCAATAGGTGCCTTGAGGAAAAAAAAACAAATGATAATTCGATAGAAAATAATGTGTGTTTGGGAGAAGGGAGATTGTGTGGCACTGTTGATTTTAGGGAATGCCAGATAGTCAGGTAGAGACTCCTGACTCTCTACTTAAGAGACTTAAGAGAGAAGGGGAGACCCGTACAGTTACCTGTAGAGATAGTGTTTCCAAGAGAGGGTTCCATGAATGGAAAAATTAGAAAACCTAATGAAATTAACACAAATGCAGATAAATTAGCAAACAGATAAATTGGCAAACACTTGAACTGACACATCACAGAAGAGGAAACACATTAAACCAATAAATATAAGACATATGGTCAAACTCAACAATAGAGAAGTGGAAATTATATCTATAATGAAACGTTTTTAAGCTACAAGATTGTAAAACATTTCTGATAATACTAAATATTCAGAATGATATAATACAGCAATGCAATTTACACACTACTAGAGGAGTAAAGATGAGTACAATGCTTTTGAAACCATTTATCATTTTTTGGCAGGGGTGAACAAGTGCACATGCACCATATAGAAATTAACACATGTGTTTGGAAAGAGATGGGCAAGAATGACCCTAGTGCCATTGCCTATAATAGGAAAAAGCTAGAAATAATTCCAATTTCTATTGGTAGGTGAGAAGTTAAATAATTTGTGGATTATACATAGAGTAGGATAGTATGTAGCAGTTAAAGTTTATGAATTATAGAGCTATAGGAATCACCCAGGATAAAAAACTGAGAAAAATGTCATAGAACCCAATGTGATATAATTAAATATTTATGAAGCTTATATTTATTCAAAGGTAAGCAGTATGTTGATTATAGTTAAATTTTTGCTAAAGATATAGGTAAAAGCAAGGAAGCAATAAGCTGAAAATTCTGGAATCTCTCCTAGGGAGAAAGAGATGGGATTAGGGAGAGAACACACAGGACTTCAAGGACATTGTTAAGATTCTATATTTTTATCTATGGCATGGATACATGCAGGTGTTCTTTTACTTTTATTATATATATCATATACATCAGTTACACATTTTTTTGTTTCTAAGCAATTTGCATTTAACACAGTTTTAAAGAACAAAAATGAGAGATAATTAGTGAAAATAAATATATTCAGCACTTTCAAATAGTTTTTCTTTTTAAAGGAAGAGATATAGGTGGTAGAGGGAGGGGCTTATGTGGCCAAAAAGAGGGTTTTCTATGTTTGTTCATACTGCGGCTTTTATTTAGGCCAGCATTTTGATGGCTTGTTTACTTTGTTTGTAAACTAATGAAAGTAATCCAGTACAAAAGAAAAATCGCTGCAACACAGAGAGGTGCCAGTTACTGCAGCAAAGTCCTTGAGTCGAGGAGAGGGAAGGGGATCCAGTCCCACTACTCATTAACAGGCACTTTATACTCTAGTCATACTGAACATTGGCAGTTCTACAAAATTACTTGGTCTTTTGCAACATCATGCCTGCGAACTGTTTACTCCATCTTCAGTTCTTCTCTACCACCCTCCACCTGTGAATGATTTCTCATCCTTCAAGAATTCAACCCAAATGGCACCTCATTAATCAACCTTTCCATACCAACCCAGACAAAATTAGTCAATCCACTGAGATTGTAGAGCATCTGTGCATATGTCTATTTAAATCACATTTACGGTTCTGCAGCCTGGCTTCCTCACTAGTCTGTGAGTATCCTGAGGAACTGACAACTGTCTTACTCATTTGTGTTTATTTATAGGGCCTAATACTGAGCCTGACATATCATAATTCATCATTAAGTGTTTAAATAAATGAATGCATAAATAAAGAGCTTTCACTTCAAAATACTGATTAAGAAGGATTATGTGAAATGTTTTGAAGGCATAATTTGTTCCTCCAACTCCTTCCATCCCAAATGATATGGAAGTCTGCAGTTAAAACAAGGTGGAATAAAGACACTTAAATCTACTTCCCTCTAAGTTGCATAATAATCTACGAAGAATAAAATATTGAAAATGCATAGACCTTCCATATTCAATGGAAAGAGAAATGCCATTGAGAAAAATAGGTATATACTTGACACTACTATAAAATTTGTTTGAAAATTACACATGCCTCATAGTATGTAACACAAAAAATGTATTTCTCCAAAAGTAAGGCTCATGATTTGAAGATACTTTGATTAGGACCATATTTCAAAAGTTGTGGGTGGGCTATAGGATTAAAGAACAGGTTCTCTATGTAGTCTTAGGTCAATAACATAGATTAGTAGGGAAGGTAGAGCTGAAGAAGAAATCATGCTGATATGCCATCTAAACTGGCTCTCGAGCCATGGGGACTTGAATTAGGAGATACACGCTAAGTTATAAGGAAATAAACAGTTTTGTTAGGCAGAAATAATTTGAATTAGAAGAGACACTCTAAGTTGTAAGGAAATAAACAGTTTTATTAGGCAGAAATCATCTGTCAATAGGACAGAAAGCTACTTCAGGTTACTCTCCCTACCTCTTTTAAACCATTCTTTAATAAATATTTAGCCCCATTTAAAGATGAATAATAATCTGAAAAGAACTCCTATATGACTCCTGTACAGTAATACAGTAAAATACCAGAAACACAATTTTAAAAGCAGCAGGAATTTAAATAATTATCAAAGTTTTAAAAGTACACAGTGTTTTTTTTCTTTTAAGACAGCATAACAAAATGTAAAGTGATTTGGAAAATCTCAGGGAACTAACAGGAGTAGAAAATAAAAACATTTAAAAAAATTAAAGCCATATTAGAAACATTTATAGAATGTATGTGATGGGAAAGACAGTTACTTTGGAAAAATCAAACTGAACAAAATGGAAGTAGCAAAGATAGTCACACACACACACACACACACACGCCCTTAAATATGTAGGATGAAATTATCCAACACACATATGCATCCATATGCAATTCCTTTGTCACACGATGCCTTTGGATGCCCTTAATATCAATGGCAATCACATGAAAAAAAATAACTACCATGTGTATATGCTTGCAGAAATTTGCATGTCCAATTGCATAAATTTACTGAGAAGAAGATAGGTCTTCACTTGCTATGTGTGTGCCACATACATAAGGAAGATGGGCTTGGTCACTTTTTGCTCTCTTACAGAATAAATTTCTTATTTAATTAATATAATTTTATGAATAGTGGATGTGTTAGGAGTAATTGTGATGGGCTCCAGCTGTGTGTGAAGCAAAGACAGGCATTGCTATTTAAATCAACAAAAGTATGCTTAAATTCATGCCAATCTACACAAAGAATAGTTGGTGGCCACAAAAAGACTTCCTAGTCTCAATCACAGTATCATTGCGAAGGGCATAGCAAAAAGATTTTTTTAAATGAATTTGATCAAATGATGGACAGTAAGTGCATTTTTTTTAGTGTGACTTCATAAGGAAGTAAGTAGTGATCAAAACATTTCTTTTATTATGTATCAGCCAGGATCCAGTCAGGAAACAGAAACCAGACCAGTAATTTGAGCAGGGAAAATCCAATGTAAAGAATTGTTAACTGGTAATTAACTGGTAAACAAGGATAAATTGCTAAGAAGCATGAATGGAACTCTGAAGAATTCAGCAGTAACATATAAAGGGAGCAGCCACTAACTCTAGGGCTGTCATAGAGAACCAAAGAAGGAATAAACTCTCCCTCTCCACCGAGGCTGAGATTAAGAACCCATTGGTGTGGGTCTGGTCATAGACCACCGGATGACAAGGAAGTTTGCTGAGGTGCAGCAGGCTAATAATGGCAAGCAGGAAACTGCCTGCTGAATTCTAGCAAAATCTCACTGGGAAGCCACTCACTGGCAGCTGAGGAGCCAGTAGAAAGTACTGAAACTAAGAAGAGAATTTCCTTCAGTGTTTCCAGCACTTTCTACTGACAAGACCTAACAGTGGTGTCAGCTGACAGAGGACAAAGGTTTTCAGAATCCAGCTCCAGGATCACAAAAGAGGGCAAAGAAGGGTATATTTGGTGCAGAAAATCAGTAAGTTTAAGGAGGATTTTCCCCTCGCTACGTTTTATGCATTTATAGTAGTACAAAAGGGAGCTATGATTAGGGTGACCATATATCCCAGGTTGTCTGGGACAGTTACAATTCATGCTTATTGTTGTAAGTGTTATAAATAGTGTCCAGTGGTCCAGTGTTATAAATAGTGTCCCCTTTCACTCTCAGAAATTTTCTTGTTAAAAGAATAAATTATGTGGTCAGAGTGGTCACTGTTTTAGCTGACATTAAACTAACTCTCTCACCACTAGTTGCTAGAAATTCTATAAATGCTCCCTCCCCTAATTTTGCGGAAGGTGACAATGAGCCACCAAGGCAGTCTAGGAGCTTAAGGGGCCAAGATTTCAGGGAGAAGAGATGTGTAGTCAGGTGAGTTCAGTACCCTGAGCTGCCTTTCTCCTTGCAGTGTTTGTAAGTGGAAGCAAATAAGAAGCTGTAAAGATGAGCAGAAAGCAGTAGCTCTCAAGAGAAATATATGATTAGAAATGTATATCTAAGTCCATTCAAAAAAACTATCTTAATAAGTGTAAAATAAAAATTATGTGACAAAAATTTCAAGTCACATAAAAAGATTTTTTTTCTCCCTGTGAAGTGTGGTGGCTGTGAAACAATTAATGCTTTCTATAGTTTCCAAATTGAGGAATGAGATAAAAACAATTCCTTCATGACACAGAGAATACCAGTTAAGACCAGACCCATGATTTCAAGCTGCTGACTCAAAGGACTTCAAATCTCATTGCACAACTCAAGTCCTGGCCAAGCCTAACATCAACCAGCTGAGGAACTAAGATTTACTGGAGGGAAGGGGTTGGAACAGTGAATACTGTGAACAATTACACAATCTATCATACATACCAAATACTTGTACTGTGATTTTGAATATGAGAGATGTTACATTCTCAACTACTTCAGACAACTAAACATTGCTTACTTATTTTATTAATGTAATTAAAATTCAGATACAGAAATTATGGGTATATGAGCAAATATACAATTCTCAGGTGATGACTTCTCACATTCCAGCTTCATTAAAATTACTTATTAACATATTTTTTTCTTTTCTGACAATCTATTTCAATTGGTAACTGTGATATTGTGAAATACACATTTGATCTTCTTCCCTGTCTCCTGGTATACAACTCCTAAAATCCTTGGAAAATCTAAAGTAATAAGTGTTTTTCTGTATATTAATGAGTTGACTGGTGGCTGGTCTCCCCAAGGTAGCTTCTGGATGTGGGCTGGTCACAGGAAAGACCAAAGCATTATCAAAGGTTGGAACTTTCAGCCCATCCCCAACCTTTGTGGAGGGGAGAGGGGTTACGGGTTAAGTTTATTATCAATCGCCAATAGTTTCATGCCTATGTAATAAAGCCTCCATAAAAACCCAAAGGGACAGAGCTCAGAGAGCTTCCATATAGCTGAACATGTGGAGCTTCCTGGAGGGTGACATGTATCTCTTGCCCTATGTATCTCTTCATCTGTATCCTTTGTAGTATCTTTCACAATAAACCAGTAAATTTAAATGTTTCTTGTAGATTCTGTGAGCCACTTTAGCAAATTAAACAAACTCAAGGAGGGTGTTATGGGAAGCCCAATTAATAGCTGGTTGGTCAGAAGAACAGGTACAATAACATGGGGATTGTGATTGGCATTGGAAGTGGGAATAGTATTGTAGGACTGAGCCTTTAACCTGTGGGATCTGACACTATCTCTAGATAGATAGTGCCAGAATTGAAGTGAAGGATATTCAGCTGCTATCCACTGCAGAACTGATTTCTTAGTGTATGTGGGAAAACATTCACACATTTGTTCACAAATCCCCTGGGATTTTTTTGAGATGGGGTCTCTCTCTGTCGCCCAGGCTGGAGTACAGTGATACAATTATGGTCAGTGCAGCCTTGAACTCCTGGCTCAAGTGATCCTTTTGCCTCAGCCTCCTGAATAAGCTGGTACTACAGGCACATGCCACCAAGACAAGTTGTGTGTGTGTGTGTGTGTGTGTGTGTGTGTGTAGACAGGGTCTTGCTATGTTGCCAAGGCTGGTCTCAAACTCCTAGCCTCAAGCAATCCTCCTGCCTTGACCTCCCAAAGCATTGGGATTACAGACATGAGCCACCAGACGTGGCCAATCTTCTGTGTTAATTGTGTGTCATCCAAAAGACAAACAGACTGGCCGAATAGAAAGCAGATCTTTATTGGAAATAAAGGTTTGCAAACTGGGGAGAGATGGTTTCGCTGTATGGACCAGAGGGGAGGTGTTCTCTCTTCGAAGACAGGAGGGATAGGTTGGGTTTTATGCCTCACAAGGCCTATGTCATACATATTCAACATATTTAGGGAAAAAGCTATACATATTTATGAGGGAAGCTGAGCCCATACAATAATAGATAAACATATGTGTAACATACATCTCATGTTCACTTTCAGGTGGGGTTTTATAATTAAAATGAGGCAACATTTACTATGTCAGAAGGTGGACTAAAGGACACAAAGAAGGTTTTTGTGCAGTCTCTGTAATTTGGCTAAAACTGGCTGCAATGGCTTATCAGAAGGGCATCCTTGTAAGGTAGGTCAGTTGTTCAATCAGAGTTCTAATGGTCTGGGTTGTAAATGAGAGCTGATAGCTCCTGTTGTTGGAAAGTTTAGCCACAGAAATTTGGAAATGTGCCATGCCAGCCAGGACCTGAACCTTAGACCCATAGGTAATTTTGTTTCCTTAACCTTAGGGTGTTTCTTAGTTAATAAAGGGGCATTTGTTTTGGTGTCTCAAATCACAGGAGAGTGGAGGAAAACAGTTTGTGGGTTGCTTTTTCTCATTAAGAATAACTTAACTAGTTTTGGCAAAAGCTTACCTTAATCTAAATTTTTTAAAATAAATATGTATATTATTTTAATCCGATATTTTAATAAAAGGCACAATTGAAGTAACTAGAGATATTTCAGCAAGAACTAGACTGGTGATGGGTGGATTGGAGAATATCATGACATCTATTTTTAAAAGATTGTTATTAAATAAGACATTTAACTTACTTTGTGTGGTTCCAGGAACTATGTTTAGGAAATATAGAAGACAGATGTTAGAGACTGCATTTTGTTTTCCCAACATTTACATATTGATTTCCTAACTTCCAATGGAATTATATTAGATATAGGGCTTTTAGGGCAATCATTAAGTTTAAATAAGGTTATAAGCATGGGATTCGTAACCAGTAGGACTGTTGTCTGTGTAAGAAGAGGAAGAGACACCAGAGTGCTCTTTCACTGACTATGCACTGAGGAAAGGCCACGTGAGGACAAAATGAGTAAGCAGATGTTTGAAAGCCAGGAAGAGAGCCTTCAGCAGAATCTGAATTTACCTTAACCTCGATCATGAACTTTTAGCCTCCAGAATTCTGAGAAAATAAATGTCTGTTGGTTAAGACACCCAATATATGGTATTTTGTTATGGCAAACTAAGTGGACTAATAAAACATATTATGTTGGCAATATGGCAAATATGGCAAAAAAAACTTTATTACAATTAGAATATTTTAAAAGTAGAATGGACCAGCAATCTCTGTCATCAAGCCAGGCCTGTGTTTTGGAGCACTCTAATACTTTTTTTTTTATAATTTGATTTTTATTTATTTATTTATTTATTTTTAATTAATTTTTTATTATACTTTAAGTTTTAGGGTACATCTGCACAATGTGCAGGTTTGTTACATATGTATACATGTGCCCTGTTTGTGTGCTGCACCCAGTAACTCTTCATTTAACATTAGGTATATCTCCTACTGCTATCCCTCCACCCTCCCTCCACCCCACAACAGGCCCCATTGTGTGATTTTCCCCTTCCTGTGTCCATGTGTTCTCATTGTTCAATTCCCACCTATGAGTGAGAACATGTGGTGTTTGGTTTCTTGTCCTTGTGACAGTTTGCTGAGAATGATGGTTTCCAGCTTCATCCATGTCCCTACAAAGGACATGAACTCATCCTTTTTTATGGCTGCATAATATTCCATGGTGTATATGTGCCACATTTTCTTAATCCAGTCTATCATTGTTGGACATTTGGGTTGGTTCCAAGTCTTTGCTATTGTGAATAGTGCCACAATAAACATACTTGTGCATGTGTCTTTATAGCAGCATGATTTATAATCCTTTGGGTATATACCCAGTAATGGGATGGCTGGGTCAAATGGTATTTCTAGTTCTAGATCCCTGAGGAATCGCCACACTGACTTCCACAATGGTTGAACTAGTTTACAGTCCCACCAACAGTGTAAAAGTGATGCTATTTCTCCACATCCTCTCCAGCACCTGTTGTTTCCTGACTTTTTAATGATCGCCATTCTAAATGGCGTGAGATGGTATCTCATTGTGGTTTTGATTTGCATTTCTCTGATGGCCAGCGATGATGAGCATTTTTTCATGTGTCTGTTGGCTGCATAAATGTCTTCTTTTGAGAAGTGTCTGTTCATATCCTTCGCCCACTTTTTGATGGGGTTGTTTGTTTTTTCTTGTAAATTTGTTTGAGTTCATTGTAGATTCTGGATATTAGCCCTTTGTAAGATGAGTAGATTGCAAAAATTTTCTCCCATTCTCTAGGCTGCCTGTTCACTCTGATGGTAGTTTCTTTTGCTGTGCAGAAGCTCTTTAGTTTAATTAGATCCCATTTGTCAATTTTGGCTTTTGTTGCCATTGCTTTTGGTGTTTTAGACGTGAAGTCCTTGCCCATGCCTATGTCCTGAATGGTATTGCCTAGGTTTTCTTCTAGGGTTTTTATGGTTTTAGGCCTAACATGTAAGTCTTTAATGCATCTTGAATTAATTTTTGTATAAGGTGTAAGGAAGGGATCCAGTTTCAGCTTTCTACATATGGCTAACCAGTTTTCCCAGCATCATTTATTAAACAGGGAATCCTATCCCCATTGCTTGTTTTTGTCAGGTTTGTCAAAGATCAGATGGTTGTAGATATGTGGTATGATTTCTGAGGGCTCTGTTCTGTTCCATTGATCTATATCTCTGTTTTGGTACCAGTACCATGCTGTTTTGGTTACTGTAGCCTTGTAGTATAGTTTGAAGTCAGGTAGCATGATGCCTGCAGCTTTGTTCTGTTGGCTTAGGATTGATTTGGCAATGTGGGCTCTTTTTTGGTTCCATATGAACTTTAAAGTAGTTTTTTCCAATTCTGTGAAGAAAGTCATTGGTAGCTTGATGGGGATGGCATTGAATCTGTAAATTACCTTGGGCAGTATGGCCATTTTCACAATATTGATTCTTCCTACCCATGAGCATGGAATGTTCTTCCATTTGTTTGTATCCTCTTTTATTTCATTGAGCAGTGGTTTGTAGTTCTCCTTGAAGAGGTCCTTCACGTCCCTTGTAAGTTGGATTCCTAGGTATTTTATTCTCTTTGAAGCAATTGTGAATGGGAGTTAACTCATGATTTGGCTCTCTGTTTCTCTGTTATTGGTGTATAAGAATGTTTGTGATTTTTGCACATTGATTTTGTATCCTGAGACTTTGCTGAAGTTGCTTATCAGCTTAAGGAGATTTTGGGCTGAGATGATGGGGTTTTCTGGATATACAATCATGTCATCTGCAAACAGGGACAATTTGACTTCCTCTTTTCCTAATTGAATACCCTTTATTTCCTTTTCCTGCCTGATTGCCCTGGCCAGAACTTCCAACACTATGTTGAATAGGAGTGGTGAGAGAGGGCATCCCTATCTTGTGCCAGTTTTCAAAGGGAATGCTTCCAGTTTTTGCCCATTCAGTATGATATTGGCTGAGGGTTTGTCACAGATAGCTCTTATTATTTTGAGACACGTGCCATCAATAACTAACTGATTGAGAGTTTTTAGCATGAAGCGTTGTTGAATTTTGTCAAAGGCCTTTTCTGCATCTATTGAGATAATCATATGGTTTTTGTCATTGGTTCTGTTTATATGGTGGATTACATTTATTGATTTGCATATGTGGAACCAGCCTTGCATCCCAGGGATGAAGCCCCCTTGATCATGGTGGATAAGCTTTTTGATTTGCTGCTGGATTTGGTTTGCCAGTATTTTATTGAGGATTTTTGCATTGATGTTCATCAGGGATATTGGTCTAAAATTCTCTTTTTTTGTTGTGTCTCTGCCAGGCATTGGTATCAGGATGATGCTGGCCTCATAAAATGAGTTAGGGAGGATTCCCTCTTTTTCTATTGATTGGAATAGTTTCAGAAGGAATGGTACCAGCTCTTCCTTGTACCTCTGGTAGAATTCGGCTGTGAATCCATCTGGTCCTGGGCTTTTTTTGGTTGGTAAGCTATTAATTCTTGCCTCAATTTCAGAACCTGTTATTGGTCTATTCAGAGATTCAACTTCTTCCTCGTTTAGTCTTTGGAGGGTATTGCGAAAACATGCCAAATTGTAAAGACCATCGAGGCGAGGAAGAAACTGCATCAACTAATGAGCAAAATAACCAGCTAACATCATAATGACAGGATCAAATTCGCACATAACAATATTAACCTTAAATGTAAATAAGCTAAATGCTCCAACTGAAAGACACAGACTGGCAAATTGGATAAAGAGTCAAGACCCATCAGTGTGCAGTATTCAGGAAACCCATCTCACGTGCAGAGACACACATAGGCTCAAAATAAGCGGATGGAGCAAGATCTACCAAGCAAATGCAAAAAAAAACAAAACAAAAAGCAGGGGTTACAATCCTAGTCTCTGATAAAACAGACTTTAAACCAACAAAAATCAAAAGAGACAAAGAAGGCCATTACATAATGGTAAAGGGATCAATTCAACAAGAAGAGCTAAGTACCCTAAATATATATGCACCCAATACAGAAGCATCCAGATTCATAAAGCAAGTCCTTAGTGACCTACAAAGAGACTTAGACTCCACACAACAATAATGGGAGACTTTAACACCCCACTGTCAACATTAGACAGATCAATGAGGCAGAAAGTTAACAAGGATATCCAGGAATTGAACTCAGCTCTGCACCAAGCAAACCTAATAGACATCTACAGAACTCTCCACCCCAAACCAAAAGAATATACATTCTTCTCAGCACCACACCGCACTTATTCCAAAATTAACCACATAGTTAGAAGTAAAGTAGTCCTCAGCAAATGTAAAAGAACAGAAATTATAACAAACTGTTTCTCAGAACACAGTGCAATCAAACTAGAATTAAGGATTAAGAAACTCACTCAACACCACTCAACTACATGGAAACTGAACAACCTGCTCCTGAATGACTACTGGGTACATAAAGAAATGAAGGCAGATATAAAGATGTTCTTTGAAACCAACGAGAACAAAGACACAACATACCAGAATCTCTGGGACACATTCAAAGCAGTGTATAGAGGGAAATTTATAGCACTAAATGCCCACAAGAGAAAGCAGGAAAGACCTAAAATCAACACCCTAACATCACAATTAAAAGAACTAGAGAAGCAAGAGCAAACACATTCAAAAGCTAGCAGAAGGCAAGAAATAACTAAGATCAGAGCAGAACTGAAGGAAATAGACACACAAAAAACCCTTCAAAAAATCAATGAATCCAGGAGCTGGTTTTTTGAAAAGATCAACAAAATTGATAGTCCTTTTCATTCTTTTTTCTCTAATCTTTTTTCCACACTTTATTTCATTAAGTTGATCTTCAATCTCTGATATTCTTTCTTCTGCTTGATTGATTTGGCTATTGATACTCGTGTATGCTTTATGAAGCTCTCGTGCTGTGTTTTTCCGCTCCATCAGGTAATTTATGTTCTTCTCTAAACTGGTTATTCTAGTTAGCAATTTGTCTAACCTTTTTTCAAAGTTCTTAGTTTCCTTGCATTGGGTTAGAACTTGCTCCTATAGCTTGGAGGAGTTTGTTATTACCCACCTTCTGAAGCCTACTTCTGTCAGATTAACATAGATGTGAAAATCCTCAATAAAATACAGGCAATCCAATACCAGAAGCACATCACAAAGCTTCTCCAGCACAATCAAGTCAGCTTCATCCCTGATGCAAGGCTGGTTCAACATAAACAAATCAATAAATGCAATCCATCACGTAAACAGAACCAATGACAAAAGCCACATGGTTATGTCAATAGATGCAGAAAAGGCCTTCAATAAAATTCAACACCCCTTCATGCTAAAAACTGTCAATAAACCAGGTATTGATGGAACATATCTCAAAATAATAAGAGCTATTCATGACAAACCCACAGCCAATATCATACCGTATGGGCAAAAGCAGGGAGCATTCCCTTTGAAAACCGGCACAATAGACAAGGATTCCTTCTCTCATGACTCCTATTCGAGATAGTATTGGAAGTTCTGGCCAGGGCAATCAGGCAAGAGAAAGAAATAAAGGGTATTCAAATAGGAAGAGAGGAAGTCAAATTGTCCCTGTTTGCAGATGACACGATTGTATATTTAGAAAACCCCATCATCTCAGCCCCAAATCTCCTTAAGCTGATAATCAACTTCAGCAAAGTCTCAGGATACAAAATCAACGGGCAAAAATCACAAGCATTCCTATATAGCAATAACAGACAAACAGAGAGCCGAATCATGAGTGAATTCCCATTCACAATTGCTACAAATAGAATAAAATACCTAGAAATAAAACTTACAAGGGATGTGAAGGACCTCTTCAAGGAGAACTAAAACCACTGCTCAAGGAAATAAGAGAGGACATAAACAAATGGAAAAACATTCCATGCTCATGGGTTGGAAGAATCAATATCATGAAAATGGTCATACTGCCCAATGTAATTTATAGATTCAATGCTATCCCCATTAAGCTACCATTAACTTTCTTCACAGAATTAGAAAAATCTACTTTAAATTTCATATGGAACCAAAAAAGAGCCCATATATCCCAGACAGTCCTAGCAAAAAGAACAAAGCTGGAGACATCATGCTACCTGACTTCAAACTATACTACAAGGCTATAGTAACCAAAACAGCATGGTACTGATACCAAAAGAGAATAGACCAATGGAACAGAACAGAGGCCTCAAAAATAACACCACACATCTACAGCCATCTGATCTTTGACAAATCTGACAAAAGCAAGAAATGGGGAAAAAATTCCCTATTTAATAAATGGTGTTGGGAAAACTGGCTATCCATATGCAGAAAACTGAAACTGGACCCCTTCCTTAGACCTTACACAAAAATTAACTCAAGATGGATTAAACACTTAAATGTAAGACCTAAAACTATAAAAACCCTAGAAAAAAACCTAGGCAATACCATTCAGGACAAAGACATGGGCAAAAATCTCATGACTGAAACACCAAAAGCAAGGTCAACAAAAGCCAAAATTGACAAATGGGATCTAATTAAACTAAAGAGCTTCTGCACAGCAAAAGAAACTATCGTGAGAGTGAACAGGCAACTTACAGAATGGTAGAAAATTTTTGCAATCTATCCATCTGACAAATGGCTAATATCCAGAATCTACAAGGAACTTAAACAAATCTACAAGAAAAAAACCAAACAACTGCATCAAAAAGTGGTGAAGGATATGAACAGACACTTTTCAAAAGAAGACATTTATGCAGTTAACAAACATATGAAAAAAAGCTCATCATCACTGGTCATTAGAAAACTGCAAATCAAAACCACAATGAGATACCATCTCATGCCAGTTAGAATGGTGATCATTAAAATGTCAGGAAACAACAGATGGTGGAGAGGATGTGGAGAAATAGGAACGCTGTTACACTGTTGGTGGGAGTGTATGTTAATTCAACCATTGTGGAAGACATTGTGGCGATTTCTCAAGGATCTAGAACCAGAAATACTATTTGACCCAGCAATCCCATTACTGGGTATAATACCCAGAGAAATATAAAACATTCTCCTATAAAGGCACATGCAAATGTATGTCTATGGCAGCACTGTTCACAATAGCAAAGACTTGGAACAAACCCAAACGCCCATCAATGATAGACTGGATAAATAAAATGTGGCACATATACACCATGGAATACTATGCAGCCAAAAAAAGGATGAGGTCATGTCCTTTGCAGGCACTTGGATGAAGCTAGAAACCATCATTCTCAGCAAACTAACACAGGAACAGAAAACCAAATACTGCACATTCTCACTCATAAGTGGGAGCTGAACAATGAGAACACATGGACACAGGGAGGGACACATCACACACCAGGGCCTGTCGGGGGGGTAGGGGGTAAGGGGAAGGATAGCATTAGAAGAAATACCTAATGTAGATGACGGGTTGATGGGTGCAGCAAACCACCATGGCACGTGTATACCTATGTAACAAACCTGCATGTTTTGCACATGTATCCCAGAGCTTAAAGTATAATAATAATTAGAAATAAAGCAAATTATATCACATATCCCATTTTATCTGTTCAGTTAATTGATTTACAGGCATTTATGTTTGTAAAGTATAGTAATTAACTCAGTGAGACTTACTAGTATCTATTTCCTTTGATAATGTTGATGATCTCTGTAGCCATTGAGGTCCCAGCAGGAGAAAGAAGCATGCTCAAACTGCTTAACTGAAGATAATGTTAAAAGTTGCTTACCAAGGTGTGGACAGAATTTAGGGAAACCAACAAGTGGGAAGCATGTACTTTTCCTAGGTTCACTACCTAACCAGATTCTCCTTCCATCTCTGATACTCCAATCCTTTGTTCCCCACACCCAATCAAAACACAAGGAGGAGTGAATGCTTTGAAAAAGCCTATGCAAGTCTGCCTACAGAGAGCAGAATGAAGGACAGATAGTAGGTATAAAGGCACTATGGAAAATGGAAAATATCCAGCAGCTCTGTTATTTGTATTATTAATTACACTATAATTAATTATACATAATATACTATAATTAATTATGTTTAACTTACACATAAGCTCAAATTATTTAAGAAAAGTGAAGTTCCCGTAAAGTAAATAAAACAGTGAAGAAATTTATCCCAATAAACACTATTTTATATTTAAATCATGTATTATTTAGTTCACTTCATTAGAATGAGTTTTTATTACAGGTATAATGAAGGTATTTTTAATTATTTGCAAATGGGTTGTAATAATACTTTATTATTAATTACCCTGCAAAAATTTCCATTATAATATTTTTATTTGTGTAGTGCTTTGTATATTATGAAGCAACTTTATAACTAGGTTATTACTAAGAATAACTCAATAGAACTCATGCTAATTTTCAGGATATTACTAATTTACTTGTATAAAAAATACTTAATTGCATTTTATAACACATATACAATATTGAAATAAAATGATTAATTACAAAAACCTTATTTTGTAGGCTTACCAGTAAAATAAGAAAGTAAAGCTATTCATTTAAGAATCAAAAAATGAATATTGTGAGGGGTAAAACCAAAGATTAACTGTAATGATATATATAAATGTTATTTCTGTATAATTTATCAAATTGAGACATTTTGTGGTATGTTTAATCATAATGAATTAAAATATATGGAAGCTATAGAATCCATTTGAATTACCCAAGTGGTCACTTTCTGGCCACAATACTGTCTTCCTCAAACATGACACTGCTAATAAAGAACCCTTTTTCACACTATCTAATAGCTTCATGAAGAGGCAGAATAAAATCAGAATTTTACACAGCAACAAGACAAATTCTTTTCTTTTTTAACATGCGGAGAAAACATTATTTTATTTATTCTAATAAGAGCTTTAAATGTTTTATTTTTCTTATTTCAGAAAGTTCTTAATTAAAATAACTTTTAACAGTTTTATAGACAATCCGTTACTTCCAGATTAAATAGATATAAGAAAATTGGAAATTTAAAAAAAGTTGTCAGTGATATTTATTTGAGTAAATTACGTTCATTAAAAACATACAAAACATTTACAACTTCCCTTTCATAAACACGCTAGCACATGTTTACATCAATCCCATATATCTATAAAATTTGTTCTTAAAATGAAGAATGCTTCATATTATGTAAAGTTCATTACTTTTTTAAAAGTCCTCAAAGTAGAGACTTTTTTCTATGTGTGTTTAGAGTTGATCTGAAGCCCTAACTAAATTATGGGTTCTAAAATCTCTTCCTGTTATAGAATTATTTGATAAGAGTTGATGCAAGTTAAATTATTTTCATGTGGTTCCATATGATTAAAGCCTAGTCTTCAATAATATTTATAAACAATTCATGAAAAATAGATACTTAATATGGTGAATAAAATTTATTATTTTAAAATTTTGTTTTTAATAAGACTATAATTTCAAAATATATTGCAAATAGTATTGAGACGGTGTATCTGTTTGTCATGATGGATTTGTTTGATCTGTGTTCAAGTGTAACACTTAATAAATAAAATATTTTGGATTCATGGTATTTTAAATTTTGTTCTGTGGTATCTTCGAAGTCAAGGACCATATGCCAGGATTCAGAAACCACACTTTCCTATGAAAATCTTTGAGAGAAATGTCACTAGTTTTATTATTAAGATAATTGTCATTCTAAGTAACATGTTTCTTTTACCTGATTGGTATGTGATCTTATAGATTATCTTTTCCTTATTCGCAATGTTTCTTGACAGCTTAAAATTAAATTTGTGATCAATCTCTAGTTCGCAAATAGGACTTTATGATATGACTTTATGATATGAATTTACTAAACTCATTTTTGTCGTCATCTTGCTTTCCTATATTGCCTCTCACTTCGTTTTCATCACTGAATTTTGTTGTGTTACGTAAGTATATTTTACATAATGTTTAATAATGTTACATAAATAGGCAAAATTATAGTGATGTGTAATAAAGATTGAATAAATGATAATGACAGGTAACACAGGTGCCAGATATACAAATATTTTGTCTATTTTTCAATTTAATCATCACAGAAGTTCTATGAATACCATTCTATTAGTACAATTTTATGGATGAAACAATTGAAACATATATTTTATTTAACTTATTCAAAGCCCACAGAGTAAAGAGTAGATCTAGAATCCAGTCTCGGGCAAGCCAACTCCTAAGTTCCTCCCTGTAACTACAAACATGAATACTGACATTTAAAAGAAGTATGTTTAGCTTTGGAGACTCAAGCAAGCTTACATTCTAGAGTATGTATCAGTTAGCCATTGCCACAAAAATATTATTTAAAAAACCCCAAAATGATCAGTGATAAAGTTCAGTGAACAAAATTCAGTGATAAAAACAAAGTGAGAGGCAATATAGGAAAGCAAGATGACAACAAAAATGAGTTTAGTCAATGCATATCATAAAGTCATATCATAAAGTTCTATTTATGTACTAGAGATGGATCACAAATTTAATTTAAAGCTGTCAAGAAACATTGTGAATAGGGAAAAGATAATTTATAAGTAGCTTAAAACAACAATTATTTATCCTTATAGATCTGTGTGTAATTACATCTGAACTGAATATTTATTCCTTTCATATGCAAAAAAGACTATTTTCCTTTATACAATGGGTGTTTCCTGAATGTGAGGCCCCTCTCTTGAACATATAAATTGATACAAACAAAAATATTTATTCCTGAATTAATAAATATAACTTTAAGTTACTGATTGTGATTCTGAATTTTTATTATTTAAAAGATGAAATAGTAAGGAAATAATACTGATGAATACGAAACTTGTGCACAGTTAGGATCTTTATACGAGTCAAGATGAAAGTGACTTTTGTAATGGCAAAACTGTGGTACAATGACTGAAAATAAAAAATGCCATACAAAGAAGTCACCTTCCTTTCAAAATACTAGGTGACTTTGTTGGCAGCACTGAAACAATTGTCTGAGGTGCCAAATATGTGCAAAAAGATACATTTATAATTTTACCACTTCAAAACTTATTTTTGTTCAGAAGACATTAATGAAAACATTAAATATCTCTAAGAAAAATAAAATTACTTTACAAGATGCTATTGCCTGAAAATATGCTTTTGCTGTGAGTTATGAAAAAAGAGAGATTAAAGCATATTTTAATCCAAAATATTTTCTCCTAAAATATACAAAAGGACTTTTATAAGCTTTAAATGTCAATTGTTTTTCATAATTTAAAGTCATTCCTTTTATGTATTCATAGTCATATTTTTATTTGTATTTATATCATTATAAAAGCAGTTTATGAACATAAACAACCAGTTACAAAGCCATAAATAAAAACAATGGTGAAAATACTCTGATTGATTTTAAGAAGTGGGGAAAACAGAGGATTATAATAAAACTAATCCTACATTTGCACACTTATTTTATATAAGACACAGTTATAGAGTTTATCTATGTAAGCTCTAAACATATTTATACTGTTACATATAAAAACTGTTTTTATATAACAGTTAAAGGGTTTATAGATATATAAACTATATAAACTCTATATGTATAAACTCTCTATAACAGTGTCTTGTATAAAATAACAGTACATATATACATATAAACATAATTTTTTTCTTCTACATGTCTTATGAATTTGGAAAGCTAGTTATCATTTTATAATGTAGGAAACTGAAGATTAGAAGGAAAAATGGACTGAAGATTACATGTCTATTAAATCAATAAGAATGCACATTCAAGGTTTTTCTGATTTCAAGAATGGCTTTCCTAACACTTAGAGCTCAGATTTCTCCCTCACCATTTGCATTAATTCTGTAGTTTCCAAATTTAGTAAACTTTCATCAAAATTCCTTTTCACACTTCTCTCTTCCCTCCCTTAGTTCTAAAATGTCATCATCTTCTTTGACCCAATGCAACCCTATTTTCCTCACTCTCTAAACTATTCTTTCTACTTTCTTCAGCTATGTAGTTCTAAAAGCAACAATGAGGAGAACAAAAGTAAACAAACACATAAACCAATTAGTTATTTTCCTGCTTATGTTAGTGCCAGATTAGCTGACATGGTGATTCTGTCTCTTTGAAGCTATGCACTTTCTTATTTTCTTTCTCATTCTATTTTTTTAATTTTATGTTCTCAATGTACAATAAATTGCTCTTATTTAAAGTGTACAATTTGATGAAGTGTGACATATGTCTACAATTGTGAAATCATCACCATGGTCAAGATAGTGTGTATCACCCTCTAAAATTTGCACAAACACCTTTGTATTCCAGCCCTCCTCTCTCTCCACAATGCCTGTTGCCACTCTCTCCAGTCTGGTCTAGTTTCAGACATTATAAGTGAGGCTTAACAAGAGTCATGGTGCAGCTATCTTCAAATCATTTTATAATTAATTTTATACAACCCATAGCATCCATTTATTCTTGTAGATGAGGGATTTTTCAGCTATAGTATGCTTTCTCAGATTTCTTTTGGAAAATGTGTATCTTAATCTGTGTCAAAGAAAAACTGCACTAAATGGAGTTAAATAGGCAAGACTATTGCAATATAGATCAAGACTACTAGAGTGGAGAGATTGAACTCAAATCTGCTGAAACAAAAGGCAGGAGAATTTCTAAGTGCTGGAGTGAACTAGTGGGAGAGTACTTGAGAATATGGGGAGACAAGAGGTTGCTCAGTATGATTAGGTTATCTACGTTTGTTTATTGTGCTTATGAAAGTTAGCCTCCCACCCTCCCACAGAGACTGGGAAACAGGGGCTTGCCCTTTCCTTCCTTCCATCCTTCCTTCCTTCCTTCCTCCCTCCCTCCCTCCCTTCTCTTTCTTCTTTCTTTCCTCTTTCCTTTCTTTCTGTTTCTTTCTTTCTTTTCTTTTTCTTTCTTTCTTTCTCTCTCTCTTTCTTTCTTTCCTCTTTCCTTCTTTCTTTCTTCTTTCTTTTCTTTTTCTTTCATTCTTTCTTTTTCTTTCTTCTTTTGCTTTCTTTCTTTCTCTCTTTTCTTTTATTTCTCTCTTCCCTTTCCCCATTCCCTTCCCCTTCCCTCCCCTTCCCTTTTCTTTTTCTTTCTCTTTCTTTCTTTTTTCTTTCTTCTTTCTTTCTTCTTCTTTCTTTTTCTTTCTTTCTCTCTTTCTGTCTTCTTATCTCTCTTCTCTCTCTCTCTTTCTCTTTCTTCTTATTAACCTTTTTACTTGATATATTAGTCTGTTCTCATTCTGCTAATAAAGACATACCCAAGATTAGGTAATTTATAAAGGAAAGAGGTTTAATTGACTCACAGTTCCATATGGCTGGGGAGACCTCACATTCATAGCAGAAGGTGAATGAGAAGCAAAGCCATGTCTTGCATGGTGGCAGGCAAGACAGCCTCTGCAGAGAACTCCCATTTGTCAAATAATCAGATCTTGTGAGACTTATTTACTGCCACAAGACCAGTATGAAGGAAACCACCCCCATTATTCAATTATCACCACCTGACCCTACCCTTGACACATGGGAATTCCTATAATTCAAGATGAGATTTGGGCAGGGATAGAGCCAAACCGTACCATTTCAGCCTGGCTCCTCCCAAATCTCATGTCCTCACATTTCAAAACCAATCATTCCTTCCCAACAGACCCCCGAAGTCCTAACTCATTTCAGCATTAACTCAAAAGTCCACAATCCAAAGTCTCATCAGAGAAAGGCAAGTCCCTTCCACCTATAAACCTGCAAAATCAAAAGCAAGTTGATTACTTCCTGGATACAATAGGGGTGCAGGCATTGGGTAAAGACACTCATTACAAATGGGAGAAATTGGCCAAAACAAAGGGGCTACAGGCCTCATGCAAGTCCAAAATCCAATGGGTCAGTTAAACCTTAAAGCTCTGAAATTAGACCTTTATCTCATACCATATACAAAAATCAACTCAAATGGATTAAATTTAAGACTTAAAACTATAAAACTGCTAGAAGAAAACATAGAGGAAAAGCTTCATGACATTGGCCTGGACACTCATATTCTTGATGATTACATTTCAAAGGGATGGCTTCCATGTCCTTGAGAAAGACATTCTTGGGTTCTAAAACTAGCAACAGGCTGGGAGAAAGACTTGTATAGTATTTCAAAGAGATAGAGAACTAATTTACAATAAGAAGTTGTCAATACTCTATGAAAAGGGCAGTCGGGAAGAAACATCTCTAAAATTTAGTCAAGTTGATGGGAATGTTTAAGGCCATCATTGTCACTGGCACCTCCTTTTGATGTTTCCTTTCTCTGTAACTTAGTGCTTCAGTGAAAATTTAAAAAGATGTTAAATACGCTCCTGGATAAATAATAAAGTGGAAACCTAAATAGCCAATATGGCTGAGAAAAGACACTCAAATTTATGAGTAATCAAAGAATTGACAAATAAACCTTATTCAACATACCATTTCACATATGGTAGTAGAAACAATATTTTAAAAGTCTGAAAATACTACATGTTGAAGAAAATGCAGAATAATAAAACTATCATATACAGCTGGTGGGAATAAAACTTGTAAAAAGATGTTTAGAGGGTATTTTGAAGTTAAAGAAAGCATGCCCAATGAAGCACTCATTCTGTCTCTATAGGTGTATATATATATATATATATATATATATATATAATATTTAAAGAAAGATTCAGTCATGTTTCAGAGACTGTATATAGCAATATCCACAGAATCATTATCTGTAATAGCAGAAAAAAAGGAAGACAAATACACAGCTTATTTTTATTATTTATTCATTTTTGAGATGGTGTCTCCCTTGGTCGCCCGTGCTGGAATGCATTGGCATGATCTCGCCTCACTGCAGCCTTCGCCTCCCAGGTTCAAGCAATTCTCCTGCCTCAGCCTCCTGAGTAGCTTGGATTACAAGTGCGTGCCACCATGCCCAGATAATTTTTGTATTTTTAATAGAGACAGGGTTTCACCATGTTGTCCACGCTGGTCTCAAACTCCCAACCTGAAGTGATTCACCCTCCTTGTCCTCCCAAAGTCCTGGGATTACAGGTGTGAGCCACGGCATCTGGCTAACACAGCTTAAATATTAAGGTGAGAAAGGATAAATAATGTTGCATACAATCAAGGAAAATGTAAACATTAATAAAAATGATAGAACTCTGAGAACTGCAGCAATATGGATACACCTCCTATACATTAAGTGAAAAAAGTAAGTTTCAGAAAAATATATATAGGATGATAGTTTATATAAATGCATAAACATTACAAATGAAAAATGAATTGTAAATTGTTTACAGAAACATCTAAAAGAATGCATATAAATGATAAACACTAAAATCAGAGTATAATGTGCCCCTGTAGAAGGAAAGAAAATATTTCAGTTGTATGCAGGGAGCTTCAAATGTTAGTGTCTGATTACCAAAATATCAATCATTTATAAGTTAAGTCATAAGATTATTGAAATCTCACTTAACTTGAATTATAGTTTATGCATATTTGACATACATTTTTGCTTTAAATAAAAAAACAAACAGCTTAGAGTATCAAAGTCTATTATTGAACAGAAAATTATGAGACATGTATCCTTTGTTTACCTTCCATGAAAAGATTCAGGAAGGAAAGTCAGCATCAAAGAATTCCAGTTTATGCTGAATAGAACTATCCCTAAGAAAATCCCTGACTCCAGGACATAAAAACGAGATAAACAACAGAAGAAAAGGCACTTGAATGCCCATAGAAAAATGATCAGTATTACTTCAAATTACAATTATATATTGACTGCAATGTCATTTTATTGATTGATTGATTGATTGAGATGGAGTTTCATTCTGTTGCCCAGGCTGGAGTGCAGTGGTGCAATCTCAGCTCACTGCAACCTCGGCCTCCCGGGTTCAAGCAATTCTCCCTGCCTCAGCCTTCCGAGTAGTTGGGACTATAGGTGCCTGTCATGATGCCTGGCTAATTTTTGTATTTTTTAGTAGAGATGGGGTTTGGCCATGTTGACCAGGCTGGTCTCAAACTCCAAACCTTAGGTGATTTGCCCACCTTGGCCTCCCAAAGTGCTGGGATTATAGGCATGAGCCACCACACCAGGCCCTATTTAAATTTTTAAATAACAAATTTCTCCCAAATGAGAATATATAAGTTTTCACAAAGTTTTTGTACTCCAAAGTTGTTGTTAGGACAATAAGTTAACATAACCCTTTGAAAAGTAGATTATAAATTTAGAAGCCAGGGATTTTTAAAATCTGCTTCCATTCAATGATTTTTTTTCTTTTTTATCCTAAATGAACAATCTATATATGTAAAACCTTCATGTGTTTGTAGGTGTGTGTGTGTAACAATTTGATGGATGTATATATGTCTCAAAGGAGTGAGAGGATGCACTGAATTTTGTGGCTGTCAGTAAGTTGCTTAAGAATATCTAATAGTCTACACACTGTCTCTACAAAAAGTAAAAATTAAAAAATTAGTTTGACGTGGTGGTGTGTGCCTGTAGTCCCAGCTACTTGGAAGGCTGTGATGGGAGGATCACTTGAATCCAGGAGTTATAGGTTAGAGTGGACTATGATCATAACACTTGCACTCCAGCCTGGGTGGCAGAGCAAGACCTTGTCTCTCTACAAAACAACATTTAATAGTAATGAGTGAATATTTTTGAATTGAGCTTGTCTCCTGAAGCAATATCTATAAAGATTTGAATTGTTACTTATAAACTAGTAATGGTCAAACAAGGTGTCAAATATCTTTTAATGCCTGTTGCTAAGTGCACATTATTTATGTAAATGCTGAATAATATTTGAAGTCTCATTTCCAATACTGAAGATTTATTTGTCCCTATTTCTAGTGCATCTCTCCCAGTAAACTTTTTTATGACTCTTCTAACTATGATTGTAGATAAAAGCTGTGCAGTCTGGGGTCGTGGAGGAAAAGAAAACCTAACCCATGTCAATAAGTAATTTGATACAGATACTGTCTTTTTATAATAGAACCATCTAGGCCATCTCAGTTTTATGTCAAATAATTATAGTGAATTAAAAACCCTTAATCTACCTATAAGAACAGCGATAACATTGAGAGTAATATTCTTTGTTATATAATATTGATAATGTGTTGATAGCTAATATGTATTGAGTATTAATAATGGATCACTATTATCTGACTTAATTCCCACAGTGATCCTCTAACATGATACTTTTATCATCTCTATATTTTACAAATGAGGAGGGTGAAGTACAGAGGGATTTTTAAACTTTCCCAAGTAGCACAGCCTGCTAGTGACACAATTGAAATTTGGACCTGAATGATTTTTGTTAGAACTGGGAGAGTACATTATTGACTAAATATCTGCAAACAGAGACTTTGCCATTTTCTTTCACTGAAGAATTTATGAGAAAAAGTTGACTTTGAGTCTTCAACTAACTTCTTTATATGTGAGGGACATTAAAACAATAATATTTCAACCAGAAATATGTTTTTCAGGATAATAGGTTTTCTGTTTTTTCCCCTAGTCTTTTGTTTCACTTTTTTTTTTTTTCCTACTGTAGAACTTCATTGGAGAAAAAAATCTCCCTTTGTTAGTCTGCTCTCAAAAGAACACCTAAAAAGGGCAAAAAAACTTTTAAAAGGATAAATCCTTTTGTTCCCTTTCTGACAAAATATAGCAATATGGTACAATGAAACCTCTCAAACGAATACTTGGTGGAGAGGGAAAAGAAACCTAATAAAAAGTAATAGCTATTTGAAATTTTTCCAAAATAAATCATGTACATTTCATTTAAAGTGGAACCCGCTTTCGTGGGTATTGTTGGAAGACAGATTGAGCAATATACACTAAAAGTAACTGGAAACTTCCTGCACTGTGTACAGTCTGTAAAAAACAAAGTCAATGAATGTTGTCTCTGATTATTTACATACATGATCAATCCAGTCTGTCCTTCACTAAAGCAGTCTGGAAAAATAACTCAGGATAAAAATATATTTTATTTAAAGTGCAGATGATACTTGTGAATTTTTAGAGAAAAATATAATCATATAAGCAAAGCAAAATGAAAAATACTCCAAATTCAATTCCCCAAGATAGCAACTAATATTTTCATATATATCCTATGCATTTTAGTTTGCATAGGTTATACATACAGACATAATAAGAACAAAATAAAATTGTGCTATATTTTAGCTGTATTTATCATTTTAAACTTCTGCTTTAACTTAGTTTTGCAGAGTACACAGCAACAAGTATTTCATCATATGATGACTCTCATGAGTAAATATGTCTTTGCACTGTGTATCTTATTCTAAGTAATTGACATGTTATCATTCGACATTCAGGTTATGATTAAATGAACAGTCACAAATTAAAGTGTTATAGCTAGCTTTTAAACTGTCTTCATAAACATAAGCATATATTTTAACATTTAAAAAATACTACAGGACACTAAATACAACAGTGATGTAAGCCTAAGTCTTAATGAAATAGTCATGCGAAAAATACTTTAGCACCTATGATGTTTCAAGCACTATAAAAAATAAAATGGCATCAGAAGTGAAGCTATTTGGAAATTAATCTAAATGAAATGCTGGATAGTAGAAGTGAGGATATACTTTTTTTATTTGATACAAATTTTGTTGAAGTGCTTTTATTTTTATTTTTTATTTTGCAGTTTTATATTCTGTTACCAGATACAACATAGCAGATATACTTCATGCACGTAAAGCTAAAGGTCACCAAATCAAGACTAACTATATCTTTTCCATTCATTTCTTTATTCAATCATGCATTCAATCAAGTTCAGAATTGCATTCACAAACTATATTCTTTTTCTCTCTCCTATAAATCCCCTATGTAACATACATTTTTATATTCAGTCCCAGTACTTGGGATAGACTTAAATACCTCTTCAGATAAAGTGTCCTTTTAGCACAACTACAGATAATAGTCTCTCATGGCCTTATTTATGCAATTATTTGGCAATGTAATTTTATTTTATTTAGAACTTTCTGTAAGGGAAAAATAATGTTATTAATTTCTATTAAAAGGGTTATATGCATATTGTCCTGCTTTTTTACTTTATATAAAATTTTGTCATGCAAACAATAGTAATGTTTATACAAAATTAAATGTCTTATAGCAGCACTATTCACAGTAACCAAAAGATGGAAAGACCTCAAATTTCCATCAATGGATAGATGAATAAACAAAATATTGTACAGCCATACAGTTGAATATTTTCAGTAATAAAAATGAAGTACTAATATATGCTACAACATAGACTAATCTCAAAATTATTATGCTTAGTGAAAGAAGCTACACACAAGAAGTCATATATTGCATTATTCCATTTATTTGAACTCTCTAGAATAGGTAAATGCATGGAGACAGAAAGATTTGCGGTTGCCAGAGGCTGGGCAGGGGGAGACGAAAGAGTGAATGACTACTTAAAGTATAACAAGTTTTCTTTGGGAATGATAAAATATTTTGGAACTGAATAGAAGTAGTGGTTGCAGAAATAATGTGAATGTATAATTCTATTAAATTGTACACTTAAAATGGTTAATTTTATGTTATGTGAATTTTACCTCAACTTCAAAAAGTCTACACAGAAAAATTTTGGGGTAAAATCTTAATAAACAGTCCTCAGCAAATTATTTGTTTCTAAATTCAGATGGATCAATGAGAATCAGATTCTAAACATATTTAATTTCAGTTGGCAAAAGCATCATCTATTAAATTGAGGATTGGAAATAGATTAAAGTAAGAAAAGAGGCTTTTTCTTATGCCTATTAAGAAACAGACTATTAAAAAGTAATAACAATATACTGAAACAAATGACCACAACCACTTTTTACTCCCTAGTCCATTCAGTTCTATGTATTTAATTCTTTTAAGGGTAGGTTTTGGATATGCCTCTCTTTTCATGAAGTCATGCTTTGGATTAAAAAGAGTCCTGGCAACCTCAATAGACCACGACAGAGTCTGACAAATGACTAAGTCGGCTCTCAGGTTTCAAGCTTGGACTATTATTTGAAATATCAATCATTAATAGTACCTGGTTATCTTTTTCTACAGTGTTTTGAGGTTGCCTTTCTTAGAGACATTAGAGCTAGCCTGTGAGCCTTCGGGGAAGCTCAAATAATCTGTAGATGAGACTGCATAGATGTAGTTAATTTATTATAGTAACACATTTTAAAACAGAAGGAGACTAAAATTCTTTGCCAGAGTAAAATACATAGTTATTTCATCAGAATTTGTTAAATGATTCTATTGAGGATCACAGCATGTGAATGGACCATGATGGCACTGTCAGATCTACAAACCTTACAATCCATTCTGTAAATGTGCAATATCTGACTTGTATATAGACATTAATAACATTTCAACTATATAAAAATCAGTAGCATTTCTTCACGCCAACAATATCAAGGCTGAGTGAAATCGAAACACAATTCCACTTACAATAGCCACAAATAAAATGAAATACCCGTGAATACAGATAACCAATGAGGTTAAAGATCTCTATAAAGAGAACTATAAAACACTAATGAAAGAAATCATAGATGACACAAATAAATGGAAAATCATTCCAGGCTCATGGATTGGAATAATTAATATAATAAAAATGGTCATACTTCCCAAAGCATTTACAGATTCAATGTTATTCCTATCAAACTACCAATGTCATTCTTCACAGAATTAGAAATAAAAAGCTATTCCAAAATTCATATGTAAGCAAAAAAGAGCCCCCGAATAGATAAAACAATACTAAGCAAAAAGAACAAACCTGGAGGCATCCCACTACCCAACTTCAAACCATACTATAAAAACACAGTAACCAAAACAGCTTGGTACTGATACAAAAACCCATGCATAGACCAATAGAATGGAATGGAAAAATCAGAAACGAAGCCACACATCTACAACAATCTGATCTTTGACAAGGCTGACAAAAACGAACAATGAAGAAATAACTCCCTAGTCAATAAATGGTGCTGGGATAACTAGCTAGCCATAGGCAGAAAATTGAAAATGAACCCCTACCTTTCACTATATAAACAATTAATTGAAAATCTATTAAACATTTCAATGTAAGACCTCAAACTATAAAATTCCTGCAAGATAACCTAGGAACCACTCTTCTCGACATTGGCCTTGGCAAGGATATTTGACTAGGTCTCCAAGAGTAATTGCAACAAAAACGAAAATAGATAAGTGGGATCTAATTAAACAACAACAAAAAAACTTCTGCAGAGCAAAATAAACTACCAACAGAGCAAACCAACAACCTACAGAATGTGAAAAATATTCACAAACTATGCATCTGGCAAAGGACTAATATCCAGAATCTATAGGGAACTTAAATCAACAAGCAAAAAAGAAATAACCCCATTATAAAATGGACAAAGGACAGGAAAAGACACTTCTCAAAAGAAGACATGCAATTGGCCAACAAACATGAAAAAAATGCTCAGCATCTCTAATCATTGGAGATATGCAAATCAAAACATCCGTGAGATACCATCTCACACCAATCACAATGGCTATTATTAAAAAGTCAAAGAACAACAGATGCTGGGCAAGACTGGGGAGAAAAGGGAATGCTTATACACTGTTTATGAGAATGTAATTAGTTTAGCTACTGTAGAAAGCAGTTTGGAGATTTCTCAAAAAACTTAAAACAGAGTTATCGTGTGTCCTGGAAATCCCATTACTGAGTATATACCAAGCCCCCAAATAAATCATTCTACCAAAAAGACACATATCCTTATTTGCATGTTCAACACTGCACTGTTTGCAATAGCAAAGGCATGGAATCAACACAGGTGCCCATCAATGGTAGAGTGGATAAAGAAAATGTGGTATATATATACACTATAGAATACTATGCAGCCATATAAAAGAATGAAATAATGTCTTTTTCAGCAACATGGATGGAGCTGGAGGCCTTAATCCTAAGCAAATTAATGAAGAAACAGAAAACCAAATACCAGATATTCTCACTAATGAGTGGGAGCTAAGCATTGTACACACATGGACATAAATATGGGAACAATAAACACTGTAGACTACTAGAGGGTTGGAGTGGTGGATTTAAAAAACTCCCTGTGAGGTACTATGCTCATTACCAGGGTGATGGGATTCATACTCTGAGCCTCAGCATCAAGCAATATTATCATGTAACAAATCTGCATATGTATCCCCATATCCAAAATAAAAGTTCAAATATTAAAAAAAGAAACAAAGAGTATCTGATAGAACAAATTTTCTCAGGCAGTTCTGACAACATTACTGAGCTAATTAAGAAATATAGAACATGCCAAATACCTAACAACACAATTTTTGAAAACTTAATTTAACATATAAATAGGAAAATACATCGCGACCAAGTAGCATTGATCTCAGGATTGCAATGTTGTGTTAACATTTAAAAATCAGTCAATGCAATTAAACGGATTTACAAAATACCAAGAAAACCATATTCTCAATTTAATAGATGGAGAATAGGTATTTGTCAAAATCCAAAATCTATTATTTTTTTCTTTTAAGTTTTGTTTTACTTTCATTTTAGGTTTGGGGGTGTATGTACAGGTTTGTTACATGTGTATGAGAACATGCAGTATTTAGTTTTCCACCCCTGTATTCATTCACTTAGGATAACGGCCTCCAGCTGCATTCATGTTGCTGCAAAGGCCAGATTTCATTCCTTTTTTATGGCTGACTAGTATTCCATGATGTACAGGGATCACTTTCTTCTTCTTCTTCTTCTTCTTCTTCTTCTTCTTCTTCTTCTTCTTCTTCTTCTTCTTCTTCTTCTTCTTCTTCTTCTCCTCCTCCTCCTCCTCCTCCTCCTCCTCTTCTTCTTCTTCTTCTTCTTCTTCTTCTCCTTCTCCTTCTCCTTCTTCTTTCTTCTTTCTTCTTTCTTCTTTTCTTCTCCTCCTCTTTTTTTTGAGACAGGGTTTCACTCCTGTTGCCCAGGCTGCAGGGCAGTGGTGCAAGCTAGGCTCACTGCAGCCTTGATTTCCAAGGCTCAGGTGATTCTTCCACCTCACCCTCCCAGGTAGCTGGAACTATAGGTGGGAGCCACTGCCCAAGCTAATTTTGTGTATTTTTAGTAGGGACAAGACTTCACCATTTTGTCCAGTCTCGTCTTGAGCTCCTGGGCTCAAGAGATCCACCCACCTTAGCCTCCCAAAGTGGTGGGATTACAGGTGTGAGCCATTGCACCCAGCCCATACCATATTTCCAATCCACTGTTGATGGGCATCTAGGTTGATTCCAGGTCTTTGCTATTGTGAATAGTGCTGTGATAAACATGAGTGCATGTGTGTTTTTGGTAGAATGATTTATTTTCCTTTGGATATGTTCCCTTTTCTCCACAACCTCGCCAACATATTTCAACATCCATTCTTAATAAATCTCTCAGCAAATTGGAGATACAAAAGAACTTCCTCAAGATGATGAATGCCATTAATTTCCTGGATCTGCCATAACAAGTACCATAAACTAAGTGACTTAAAACAACAATAGCTTACTGTCTGATGGTTCTGGAGACTACAGTTCCAAAAATCAAGTTGTCAGCAGGGTTAGATCCTTCTTAAGGCTGTGAGGGAGAGTCTGTTCTATGCTTCTCTCCTAGCTTCTCATAGTCTCAGGCATTCCTTGGCTTATAGATGGTGTTTTCCCTGTGTCTTCAGATTGTTTTTCCTCTATGCATGTCTATCATTGTGTCTAAATTTCCCCTTCCTATAAGGACACAGTCATATTGGATTAGGGCCCACTCTAATAACCTCATCTCTACTTGACCATCTGCAAAGATGCTATTTTCTTTTTTTTTTTTTTTTTAACTTTTAAGTTCAGGGATACATGTGCAAGTTTGTAAGACAGATAAACTTGTGTCATGGGGGTTTGTCGTACAGATTATTTCATCACCCAGGTATTAAGCCATTAATACCCATTAGTTATTTTTCCTGATCTTCTCCTTCCTCCGTCCCTCCACCCTCCAATAGGCCCCTGTGTGTGTCGTTACCCTCTCTGTGTCGATGTCTCATCATTTAGCTCCCACTTAAAAGCGAGAACATGTGGTATTTGGTTTTCTGTTTCTGCATTAGTTTGCTAAGAATAATGACCTCCAGCTCCATCTATGTACCTGCAAAGGACATGATCTCATTCTTTCTTTATGGTTGCATAATATTCCATGGTGTATATGTCCCACATTTTCTTTATCCAGTCTATCATTGATGGACATTTAACTTGATTCCATATCTTTGCTCTTGTGAATAGTGTGCTGCAATGAACATATGCTTGCATGTGAACAATTTATATTCCTTTGTGTGTAAATGCAGTAATGGGATTGCTCTGTTGAATGGTATTTCTGCCTCTAGGCCTTTGAATAATCACCACACTGTCTTCCACAATGGTTCAACTAATTTATACTCCCAACCAATAATGTAAAAGTGCTCCTTTTTCTTTATAACCTCGCCAGCATATGTTGTTTTTTGACATTTTAGTAATAGTCATCCTAGCTAGTATGAGATGATATCTCTTTGTGGTTTTGATTTGCATTTATCTAATGATCAGTGATAATGAGCTTTTTTTTTCACATGATTTTTGGCCACACGTATGTCTTCATTTGAAAAGTGGCAAAGGCCCTATTTTCAAATAAGGTCACATTCACAGTTAGGATAAGACTTCAGCAACTTTTGTGGGGGACACAACCCCCACTCGGCACCTATGCAAATGCACAGCTAACATGGAATTTAATGATGAGAGACAATGCTTTTCCCCTGACTTCAGGAAAAAGGCAAGGATGTCCATTCTGACTTCCTCTATTTAGCATGGTATGGTTATTTTAGTCATACAAAAAGGCAAGAAAAATACATAACAGGCATCCAGATTGAAAAGGAGCAAAAACCGTCTTTATCCTATGATAACATAATAACGTACGTTGACAATTAAACAAAATCTACAAAAATGCTACAAGAGATAGCAAGTATATATAGGAAGGTTGGAGACTATATGATCAATATGCAAAAATCAATAATATTTATGTATACAAGCAACAAATAATTGGAAATCTAAATTAAACAATCACTACCCTTTATGACAACTTAAAAAATCTGAAATACATAGGTCAAAATATGACAAATGATGTGTATGACTTGAACACTTTGAAAACCACAAAATGTTGTTAAAAAGACCTAAATCAAGATAAAATTACACTCCTTCATTGATTAGCAAATAGAATAGAGGGAAGAATGTTAATTCCCCCCAAATTAGGTCAATAGATTCAATGCAATCTCAACCACAATCCTTGCAGAATTTCCTAGCAGAATTTCCAGACAAGCAAATTAAAAAAATTTGTGCCAAAATTCAAGTGACCTAAAATGGTCAAATTTTATTTTAAAGTAAAATAATCATATACTACTAAAGTCTGATTTCATAGTTATTTCTTCTATCTTTATCCTCTTTCTTCTCTTTTTTTTGTGTTTTCTATTATCAAAGTATTGAATGCCATAAAAATTAAAGAGGCAAATTGCAATAAAAATTCAACTGTCACGCAAATAAACATAAAATGCAAATTCTGTGCTCACAAAGTCTATTTTTTCAACTTTTCTGATTTACCACTTCTTATCATCATTCCATGCTTAATGTGTGGTACTTTCCTGCCCTGTTACCAGCTTCTCCTATCTACGGTATTTTTGGCTTCAATTCACACTTACCAGAAAAAACTCTTTAAGATTTATTAACCTGTTTATTTGTTACATTTAGGCCATTTCATTACCTCTGTTTTAATCCTTAGCCATTGAAATAAATCTATAGACAGAAGATGGAGCCAGTAGAGAGAGCACATGCTTGTAATCCCAGCTACTTCAGAGGCTGAGGCACAGAAATTGCTTGAGCCAGGAGTTAGAGGCCAGCCTGTGCAACATAATAAGACTCCATTTATTTAAAGGAAAAAAAAATTGAGAAGTAAATGTTGTCTCTAAGTTGTGTAAAATAAACTTTGAATGGAAATAATCAAGATGTAAGTAAGTTGCAAGATATAGGTCTACTTTATGGGTAAAATATAAGATGCATTATGGAGTGTTTAAAGTTTTTTAAGAACAGAGTTTGGGATAAACTACCACTTCCATGTCAATCTGAGGACTTAAAATCTTAATTCTGTTCAGTAGCTGTCTTACATAGTCATTTAAGATTTCCAAGTCATTTCTTCGTCAGCAATAAAGGAAGAATATACACAGGGCTTATTTGTATTTGATAGGGGCAAATGAAATGTACATCAAAATGCGTGGTACATCCTAAAGAATGATATAAAGAACCTATCTGTGGCTCTCATCCAACACCACCCATCCTCCAACTGGTGTGTAAAATCACTCAGAGGTTTACCTTATACCACCAGGCAAGGAGAAGTTTATACAAGTACTTGCATGCTTTGTGTATAAAGGTACAATTAATTCCCTTATTTTTTAATTTAATTTAATTTAATTTAATTTTTGAGAAGGAGTCTCACTCTGTTGCTCAGGCTGGAGTGTGGTGGCCTGATATCTCCTCACTGCAACATCTGCCTCCTGGGTTCAAGGTACTCTCCTGCCTCAGCCTGCTGAGTAGCTGGGACTACAGGCACAAACCACCACACTGGGCTAATTTTTGTATTTTTAGTAGAGATGGTGTTTTGCCATGTGGGCAAGGCTGGTCTCGAACTCCTGACTTCAAGCGATCTGTCTTCCTGGGCCTCCCAAAGTGCTGGGATTACAGGCATGAGACACCATGCCTGGCCTTTTCACAATTTTTATTTATTTTATAAATCAGATTTTTAATTTTTAAAATTTTTAATTTTTGTGAGCACATAGTAGGTGTACATATTTATGGGGTACATAAAATATTTTGGTACAGGTATATAATGCATGGTAATCACAGGGAAAATTTGGCATCCATCTTCTGAAGCATTTATCCTTTGTGTTACAAATAATCCAATTATTCTATTTTGGTTATTATAAAATATTCAATTAAATTATTATTGACTATAGTCCCCCCATTGTGCTACCAAATGCTAGGTATTATTCATTCTTTATGACTATTTTCTTTGTATCCATTACCCATTCCCACCTCTCTCCCACTACCGTTCCCAGCCTCTGGCAACCAACCTTCTATTCTTTACCTCCATGAGTTCAATTGTTTTGATTCTTAGATCCCACAAATGAGTGAGAACATGCAATGTTAGTCTTCCTGTGCCTAGCTTATTTCGCTTAACATAATGACTTTCTGTTTTATCCATGTTGTTGCAAACGACAGGCTCTCATTCTTTTTTTATGGCTGAATAGTACTCTGTTGTGTATATATATCACATTTTCCTTATCCATTCATTTGTTGATGGGCACTCAGGTTGCTTCCAAATCTTGGCTATTGTGAACAGTGCTGCAAAAACCATGGGAGTGCAGATATCTCTTTGATATACTGAGTTCCTTTCTTTTGGGAATATAACCAGCAATGGGATTGCTGGATTGTATGGTAACTCTATTTTTAGTTTTTTTCAGTAGCTTCCAAACTGTTCTCCATAGTGGTTGTACTAGGTTCCTACCAGCAGTGTACAAGGGGTCCCTTTTCTCCACATCCTCACCAGAAATTGTTATTGTCTGACTTTTGGATAAAAGTCATTTTAATTGGGGTGCTATGATATTTCATTGTAGTTTTGATTTGCATTTCTCTAATGACCAATGATGCTGAGCAACTTTTCATATGCCTTTTTGTTTCTTTTCTCTTTTCATGTGTATTTTACACATCTTGAAATTTTCCAACAGTTTAATATTCTCTATAGTTTAAAATTTTTACACATATTAATTTTAGATTTTTTTTCCGTCTTCATGTTTATTACATTTTTTTTCTGTGATGTCTAATCTGTGGTTAATCCCATTCAGTATATTTTTCATTTTAGTAGCTGTAGTTGTCATCTTTACAGGGTTCTATTTGAGTCTCTTTTCTAACTTTCTTGTCTCTACTTAATTTGTTCAATATTTCTACTAGTTTTTGAACATATGGATTATATTTTAATAGCTATTACAAGGTCTTTTCCTGATAATTCTAACAGCTGTGTCAGTTCTGGTTTATTTTGATTAATTGAATCTTTCTCCTTATTTTGGTTTATTGTTCTCTACTTCTTTGCTAACTGGTTAATTTTGATTCAATGCCATACATTTTGAATTTTATCTTTTTGTGGTTGAACATTTTTATATTGCTACAAATATATTTAAATGTTTTTCTAAGATGCAGCTAAATTACTTGGCAACAGTTTGATCACCCAGATCTTGGGTTTTAAAATCTGTTAGGAAAAGAGCAGCCTTTAGGCTAAA
The DNA here is from genome assembly GCF_000001405.40 of Homo sapiens. Lineage (NCBI taxonomy): Eukaryota > Metazoa > Chordata > Mammalia > Primates > Hominidae > Homo > Homo sapiens. The sequence continues at coordinate 43,999,762 of NC_000014.9, read as the reverse complement.
GCTGATTTTGTGCTAATAATGAATCAAGACATTTTATTCAAAGACCTATGAATTACGATGTTTTTCAGTTTGGCTGGCCCTGTGGTAACATCAACTCTCATTTCCTCTACTCCTTTTTGGATGGTTCTTTACCTGATCTTGCATAGTTTATTCAGTGCTTTGTTGACAAGTATTTTGTTGAATACCTAAGGGGGACCCACGGCAGACCTTTGAAGTTTTCTTTCTAGTAAGTTCTTCTCTCTGTGGTTCTTCACCTTGGTCTTCCTGGACTGTCAACTCAAGAGGTCCGCTGGTTTCACACGGGTACTCCCTTTCTATTCCATACCCTGGAAACTCTTGTAAGGTAGTAAGCTGTGACAATCATAGGGCCACTTGTTTGTTTCTGTTTTTTTTAGGTGCTCCTGTTCCTTGGTGCCTGATGTCCAATATCTTAAAAACCACTCATTCATCTATTTCATTCATTTTTGTTTGTTTGTTTCAGGCAAGAGGGTGAACCATACCCTTGTATCTCTGTTACAGCACTTTTCCTTGATGCAGAAGCAATCCTTTACTGTTTTAGAAGCAATAATATTCTTTCATGGACTTACAAGTATTTTTAAGTTATGTTTTTTTAATTAAAATATTTTTGGGAGGAGAATCCAATCTGGTAATTTACTGGCTAACAAAATATAAAGAAGATACTTTAGGGTAAAAGATAAGAATCTATATTCAGATTATTGAAAATGAGCTATGCCAACGAAGAGTGATTTTCGAAGCTTTTAATAGAACTTACTTTGATCTGGCTGGGTGCGGTGGCTCATGCCTGCAATCCCAGCACTTTGAGAGGCTGAGGTGGGTGGATCATTTGAGGCCAGGATTTGGAGACCACCCTGATCAACATAGTGAAACTCCATCTCTACTAAAGATACAAAATTAGCTGGACATGGTGGCACATGTCTGTAATACTAGCTACTTGGGAGGCTGAGGCAGGAGAATCACTTGAACCTGGGAGGCGGAGGCTGCAGTGAGCTGAGATTGTGCCACTGCACTCCAGAACAAAACACTGTCAAAAAAAAAAAGGACGTTACCTTGACCTGAGATAAGACTCCAGAGGACTAAAAGGTTAAAAGCTAAGATTTTTTTTTTTGTCATTGCCATTGTTCGTTCAACCTTAACCTTAAAAGACAACTGTCTGACCAACTCTTTTATGATAGATTAAAGGCCTCAGAGGAGGTATATGTCTCCCTCTCTCTCTCTCACTCTTTCTCTGTCTCTCTCTCTCTCTCCTACATACACACACACACACACACACACACACACACACACACACACTAGTTAGGAACACGTTTTGGACCAAAATCTTCAGCTGACAAAGTGCTAGTGTCATGTCAGTTAAGATATGTGTTTTAAAAGAAATCACTAATTTGTCTTTGTCTTTCAACAACAAAAGAAGAACACTGGGAATGTACACACATTAAATATTTAATAGGACTTACTGTTAACATCTTTAAAGAGAACATATGAATCTGCCTTTCCTGTTCTCAGTAATGGGAAGTCAGGGATTTGCATATACTCTTATACCTTCCAACATTTATTTCCTTGCTGTTACTATCTGCTCTGGACCATCACTACTACCCTTATTGTACAGATAACTTTTGTGCATGTTAGCCACCAAGAGAAACTTAGATCTCCTGGTCATAACTCATTCATTTTTTTCAATACTGAGTCAAAAACACTACTTGTTTATTAGGGCTCATCACTTTTCCTTTATTTTAGGACTTTCCTTTAGCAAATATCATCACGATCTAATTAATCACCATTTTTTACTTTTTACTAAATCTTTGTTATTAGCCATCAAACTTGAACACATTTACCTCTTCAGCTACTTCCCAGTTACCTGTTCCCCCTTATATCAAACCTCTCCACAAAGCCATCTCTAGTTCTTTTTCACACATTTTAGTTGGTTCCCACCTTTTCATTAAATGCAGTATTTTCAGTTACCAGTGATCTTCATGTTGCTAAATTCAACAGTCAATCCTCACATCAAATCACATGTGTCTTTTAGTATGATTTCTCAAAATTGCCATTTCTTCTTGTCGAATTACATTCTTGATTGGCTAATAGAAACATGGACTTTCTCAGTTTTCCTCCCATCTCCCCAGTCCATCAGTCTCCCATCTTTCTGGAGGGAGTGACAAAGGAATTAATTCAGTCACAATCCTTGTTCCTCTCTTTTTCTCTTTCTATATTCAAACTCTTGGTGATCTTACTCTCACAGATTGAAATTTTTGTTTTCACTTGCCCCAGATGGCTTATCCCCTTGTTTCTTCCCTTGCCTTATTTCCTAGTATTCTCTTTCTTATCCTCTCTGTTTCTCTCTACTAGATTTTTTGCTTGTGCTGGAGGTTTGTTAGGAATACTCCTAACTTTGGAACTTGACATTTGTGATTTCTTCTGCCTAGAATGTCTCTCCCACAGAGATCTTAATGGTTTTGTCCCTCACCTTCCTCAAATGCTTGTTCAAATATTACTTTCCCAGTAAGATGTGTTCTAACTAATCTATTTAAAATTGGCTCCTCACTTTCATGTTGGCATTTAACAGTATACCTGTCCTGGTTTATTTTTCTTCATAACATTTAAAACCTAACTGTTTTAATGTTAGTAAAAACTGATGCATTTTACTTACTTATTTTTAATTTCTATGTCCACCCAATAGAATGCAAATGGTATAAGACAAAGGATTCTTTTCTTCTTCTTTTGTTTGCTGATGCATCTCCAGTGCTTAGAAAAATACATGGTAAATCATGGGTATAAATACTTGTTGGGTAAAACAATGAATAAATGGAACGTTTCTGTCACTTTGCTTCTGTCAACTGATGAGTAGAACACTTCTGTCAACAAGAATGGGTTTCAACAAGAAGAAATGGCGATTTTGAGAAATCCTACTAAGAGGACCATGTGATTTGATAATGAAGATTGACCATTGAATTTGGCAATGTGAAGATAACTGTTAACTTTGAAAATGTGCATTTAGTGAAAAGATGGGACCCAAATAAAATGTGTGAAGCAGAACCCAAGGCAGCTGAAAATCTTAATTTCCCTTTAGCATTCAGTATATTTGTCACTTTTTCCAGCAAGTCTTACCTAACTTTGCATGACCAGGTTTCATTGTGATGTGCTTTTCTTTTTTAAAACTTTTTTTTTAATTATACTTTAAGTACTGGGGTACATGTGCAGAATGTGCAGGCTTGTCACATAGGTATACATGTGCCATGGTGGTTTGCTGCACCCATCAACCCATCATCTACATTATGTATTTCTCCTAATGTTGTCCCTCCCCCATCCCCCAACCCCCAACAGGCCCCAGTGTATGGTGTTCCCTTCCCTGTGCCCATGTGTTCTCATTGTTCGACTCCCACTTATGAGTGAGAACATGTGGTGTTTGGTTTTCTGTTCCTGTGTTAGTTGGCTGAGAATGATGGTTTCCAGCTTCATCCATGTTCCTGCAAAGGACATGAACTCATCCTTTTTTATGGCTGCATAGTATTCCATGGTGTATATGTGTCACATTTCTTTATCCAGTCTATCATTGATGGGCATTTGGGTTGGTTCCTCTTATAATGAGAATTATGCTACATGCATTTTTACTACTTTTCTAATTGCCTTTCTCCCTCTGTGAACCCGAATTATAGGCTAAGAGAGAGTAGGAACTTAGTTTTATTTGTTGATCATGTTATAGTAAGTATTTAGAAGAATTCATGTGAAAATTAGATACTACATTCAACAGACTTTTAATACATGCCTTGAAATTGGCTGGAAAGGTGTGCAAAAATACTTTCAAAAGTGATTGAAATATTTTAATTTATATAACTTCTTGAGAAATGTTCATCTTGTAAAAACTGCTACTTGAAAAGATGTATTATGTCAATTGTATTCCCAGACCTTTCAAGAAGTATTAAGGAAGCCAGATCTCATGCCTTACAGCACAGTGGGAAGAACCACTGCCTCCCATTGGTTTGGAGGTGGAGGGTTGAATGTGTGCAACAGAGCTGCTGTGAATCCTGCCATGGAGGCATATGTAAGATGTGCTGAAGCCTTGCCTTCACCACAAGGGACACTGAGCCAGCTGCCTGCGTGAAAGATAAGTAATACTGGTGGTGAGTACATCGTAAGTCCAATTTCAATAGTCAATTGTAAAAGTGATAAGTTTCAAACTTAACATTAAAATTATGTCTTATGTCTGTTACTGAATCCAAGTTATCATACAAAGAAAAACTCAAACTGAAAGTGCCTTAATTTTTTGAAAGAAATCACTATGAAAAAATTAAATTTGAAAATGCCCACTTAGGGATTCTTATTTTTTTTTGTCTCAGTAGAGAGTGAGATCATATTAAAAACATAAATTGTGTTTTAATTTGTATAATTATTAAACACATTCAAAATAAACATAGAAAAACAGAAAATACAAGTGAAAAAGTTAAATTAGTAAAAGCTAATGATACTGATACTACTATTGACAATATTTGAATATATTCTCTTTCTGCTTTTCTATTTTATACAATATTAGGGTAGTACTACTTAAGTAGTATTATAACATTTTTCCTCAAAATACGATATTGTAGATATTTTCTCAAATCCCAAAATATTTTTTGTAACATAATTTTAGTTTGAATATATCATGCCGTAACTGAGTATTTTTCTATTTTTTGACGTTCATATTGCTTTAACATTTTTACTATTGTATATAAAATACTTTGATAAATGTCTTTTTGCGTGAATCTTTGTATACGTCCTTATATTTGTGATATGGAGAATATTAGATACGTAACTTCTGGGTCAAAGAACTTGAATATACTTAAAGATCTTTACTTAAAGTGTCAAATTGCCATGCAGAGAGATTGTGCCAACATTCTTACTAGTACCTTGGGTGAGGTAAAAATGCCTTGACTTTTAAAAATCTCTTATTGTTGCTATTTTAAGTTTCATTTTTATCTAACAGTTATTTATGTGGTTGTCATTTTCTAAATGGCTAGTTTAAGCACACTTTGTAAATTGATGAGTCATTTATATTACTATTTGGTGAAGTACCTGTTTTTGCCTAATTTTCCCTGTGGCTCCATTCTTTTCTATTTACAAATTTACATCAAGGATGCTATTCTTTACATTTATGTTATAGTCATTTTTCTGTTTGTTATTCCTCTTTGAGTTCTATCTATAGTCTCTTTTGAAGTACTGCTTCATGTTTTAAAAAATAAATTTGTTACTCACGCTTGTTTCTTTCCGCTGATTTAATACTTAGAATTTGTTTACCACCTCTGTGTGATTTATATGAAGCTTCTTATGTGTCAGACACTGTTCTTTATAATATGTTGACTCCCCTATACCTCACAAAATATCTGTATGAAGCCCCTATTTTTGTTCATGTTTTACAGATGACTAAACCTAGAAATGGAAATAGTAAATTATTTCACCAAAGTCACAGTAGTATGTAAATTGCAGAGCCACAATTTCAATACAAGCAGTCCAACTCCATATTCCATATGCTTAACGAGTATGATGAACTGCTTGTATTTTCTCCTATTTATTACATGATTTTATTTCTTAATTTTTAATTGTTGTACTCTTTTTGATTAATGATATATGTCATGAGTAGGTTATTTAAGTTTTTTTTAATTTGGAAGACTTACAGTACCAAGAGTATTTTTGAATAATTTATTTTTGCACCTTGATAAAAAATGTTTCTCTGAGCACATACTCAATCTGTATGTAGTACAAATTTTGCTCCTTGAATTTCTATTTAGTTTTCTCTTTTACTATTAAACAATCACCAAAACTATTGTATTTTTAAATGTTTTCATTTTTAAAATTAATATTTCACCTTCTATTACTTTCTTAATAAAAAAACTTTGGTTATTCTTGAGTTTTATGGGTTTTTTAAGTTATTACTACCCTTAGAAATATTTGTCAAGATGTAAAACAGTTTCCATTAAAATTCTGTTTTTAATTTACTTGAAATAGATTCACTGAAGGACAATTCACACTTTATTATATTGTTTTCCCAATTCAGAATGGGGTACAAACCCCCCAATTATTCAAGATTTATTTTATATACTTATCTTATATATTATACCTTTTATATAGAGTTCCTACATGTATGTATATGTGTGTGTATATATATATACTCACACACAAAAATGTATATATATGTAAATAAAATAAATTTATAGGAGTATTTGTGTATGGGGTGGATATATATGTGTATTAATTATTTATTATAACTATTCTGCAATTGTCCAAACTAATGACTCTATTATTCATTTTAATTTAGATTTCCACACTTGCCTATGATAATTGGTTTGTGTATCTATTCTCTCCCAAACTGGGAAATATTAGGACAGAGTTATTACACCATAGTTTGTAACCCTTCAGTGCATACAGACACAGTAAATATTTCTTACATGAATGAATGCTTTCCTCCCCGCTATTTAAAGTAGAAATATTTTAGCCCTTTTTTATTTACATATATTTAACCATCACTTGTAAATCACTAGAAGTAGTATATTTGATTGAAACCTGCAATGCATTTCTACAAATTATTTTTTTGCCTCAGAATAAAACAATTTGAATTGAAGGATTATCTTTAAATTATTAAATACTGCTATTTTTAAAGCAATTTGGGGAAGGTTTTAAGTGTGGTCAGAAGTAGACATTGCCTGTACACAGAAGATTTTTATTTCTTGACCCTTGATTGTTGCTCTTATGAATTTGAAAAAATTAAAAACAGCAAGAGTTTTCATTTAATAGATCCAAGGTTTCTTTAGAGGCGCTTATTTTTGTTTGTTTTTGTAGCAGCATGCAAACCTTCTAAATTTCAGTAATTCACATAAAATATGATATCAGGAAAACACAATCTTCAATAGCTATGGGGAAAATGTTTTGAAATTGCTCTTAATGTTACTCTTTTCCACTTATGAAGGTAAACAAAACTGAGCATCTTTACTATATATATAAATCTAAAATACATATCATAATGTGTATATAGGTATATACATATTATGTGCTGTATATAAATATATGTTAAAGTATTTTTCATTTGAAAGCAAAAAACTCTTTAATTTTCTGGTGTGTCTTTGTAGTAGGTTAGCATTTTATATCAGCATTGCTTTGGGAGCTCAATTGAATTTCCTTTGAAATTCCTATGTGTCATATAACCTGAAGAGGATCACAAATGTGAGAAACATTTGTGGTCATAGAGGACTTTCATGGCACATTAAATATGTGCATGTGGGTGGGAGAGAGAGAAAAGAGAAAGAGTGTGTGATTTTGCTTATGTGGATATCTTTGCATTGACTTACTATATGTTATTTTTATTTTTTAATCCTATAGAGTCTGATCTTTTGCCAGTCATGTTTTCTTTGTGTGGCTTTTTAAAATTTTAATTTTTTAACATTTACTTTCATGGGTACATGTGCAGGTTTGTTGTATTCATAAATAGCATACCACAGGGATTTGATGTGCAGATTATTTCATCATCCAGGTAATAAGCATAATACTCAATAGGTAACTTTTTGAGCCTCATCCTCCTTGCACCCTCCACCTTCCCATAGGTCCCAGTGTCTGTTGTTCCTATCCTTGTGTCCATGTGTACTCAAGGTTTAGTACCCACTTATAAGTGAGAACATGTGGTATTGGGATTTCTGTTCCTGCACTAGTTCACTTAGGAACATGGCCTCCAGCTCTATCCATGTTGCTGCCAAGAATATGGTCTCATTCATTGTTATGGCTGTGTAGTATCTTATAGTGTGTACTTCCACATTTTCTTTATCCAGTCTACTGTTAATGGGCATTTAGATGGATTCCATGTCTTTGCTGTTGTAAATGGTGCTGCAATGAACATATGCACAGCAGGAGTATCTCTTTCATCTCTACTCTAATAGGCTCACCTCATTAGGTCAGGCCCAGCTAGTTAATTTCCTTTTTGTTTAACATAAATTTGACTGATTAGAGACCTTAATTACATCTTCAAAATTCATTTCCTCTTTTCTATTCTATTGGTTAAAAACAAGTTGTTAGTCCTGCCCATACTCAGGAGGGAGGGATTACAGACAGGTGTGGATATCAGGAGCTAAAAATATCAGGGCCATTTTATAATCCTGCCTACCACACTCTGTGACTACAGTTTGCAAATAATTTAAGAGGGAGAAAATAATATCCTGTTTATGTTATCTTAATTTGTAATTTTTCAGCTGTATTTTAACCAGCATGAAAGCACTGTAGAAGCTATAATATCCTCTGTAATTATTAAATAATACAGTGGTTATGAATATTTTCTTATCTTTGCATAACTCAAAGGAGACTTTTGTGACCATTCTCCTTCTAAGGTAATTTTAATATAATCTATAGAAGCATTCTTCAGATACTTGACCTAATTCCAAATTGGTGCTTTGAAAAAGAGACCCAAATGTGGATACACTTGAACATGTTCATGATGTGAAGAATGATAATCTTAAAAGGTTTTCTCATCATTTGGACTTTTATATTATTGTAACAGTTTGCCATATCAGTCAAGGAGTACTTGTGCCCCACTTGTGGTTTAGATTGCATAATACAAAAGTCTCTAATACTCTCAAATAATATTTTTCCTGAATTTAAGATTATTTTATTCAATATTATAGGAAATAAAAATACAGTCAAGAGAATTTATTTTATTATAGTCGATTTTATTTAAAAATACTAATGATTTACTGAAAATTATCATCAATAAACAGAATCTTAGTGTGTATTGAAATATGTCTACACTGGAATAATCTTTTATTTTGAAGTATTTATGCCTTAGACATTGCTGATTTATATGTCTGGATAATTATCTTTAAATTAATATACAAAAATTACAGTCATTTTTATGGAAAACATCATACTTACACTTTTAAAATGTTTTAACTTGATTGAATTCAATCTATACTTACACCTTCAGCTCCCATTTCTCCTTTTTTGTTTCCAGGTTAAGCTGTAATAGAAATTCAGTTGATGAGACAAGATCGAAGTTCTGCCATTGAATACTCCTTGAACTTGGAACTCTTCTGAATAGGCCCAAAGGAAGATAACTTTGACTATATAAACTACTTTTGGTCATTACAGGTCGACTATTATGTTCTCTTGTCTTATAAAACAAATATCATCTAAAATATTGTACATGATTATAAACATAACCTTTCCAAAATAAAATCAGAACTTTTTCCTGTGCCAGCATCATGAAACGTTCATATTATTGTGATGAGAATGTTTATAAGTGGATAAGCATTCTCTGTTCATCAGTGATTCTTTTTCTCCCCTAAAATTTAGAAGATTTTAAAGGTATTATTGATCATGTTGCTTTCTCTATAAGCTTCACTGCTCATTAATTGCTCTTGAATTGATAGCCATTGTATGTAACTCCCACTGTGGTCAATCATCAGGCAGTAGAACTTAGAACAGTGGGAAATATTCGTTAATATGATTCTTTGATCAACTCAAAAAATATGAGGACTTTTAAGGGTGACATCTAATACAGGTGGATTTAATTTTGTGGACAAAACCTAATATGAAAACCCAACAATTCGTATGGGCGTTGATACTCAAAAGATTAAGTCTTTTAAAGAATCTGGCATGCAGAAAGAGAGCACAGACTATTGCACTGTTAAAGCACTGCAGCCTAGCAGATAGTAGTCCTAGAGCTTTCTGGGTGTCTACAAAGACAACATTATTTAGTCTCATGTGAGTGGCTATTGAAACATACCTGACCTTACAGATTATTTCTCATAATAAACACAATTCTGAGTTAGACCTTGGAAACTTTTGTTAAAATGAAAGTATGTTCTTAGAAAAGAGTAGCAGGTCATACATACATTAAGGCAATTAATAAACTATTCATCAGATTATGATAGCAAATGCCATCAAGGGAAAGAGAGGGATTCTTATTTTGTCTTCTTGTAGAGAAGATAAGAGCCATACATTGTAAAATATCTGTGCCATCCATATTCATTTTATACCTTCCTCTTTTTGTCTACCAATCTACCATTGCATCTGATAGAACCTGTGTATTCCAAAAAAGTCAGGTACAACCTATATAGGTAGGCATACAAATACCTTCATTATCCTTCAAGAAGACAGAATCAGGAAGAGATTTACACAGACTCTAACGTGAGCTCAGCCAATTTGAGCAGCTATTTTAGTGTCTTGGAATCCACAGCATGGCCTAGAGTTAGTGAAAGGCTTAATAAGGGCACATCTCATTGTCTCCATTGACTCCTTACCTAGGAGGGAGTGGCAGGGTCAGAAAAGGTAAGAACTGGATACTCTAAAGCCAGGGTCCAAGATGGATCCTTCATTGTCCATGTTTATAGCGGAGCTGTGCTCCTTATTTTCATATATCTAAAAAAATGTTCTGCTGACTTATACATGTTTCTCTTAATTTGCTAGTTTATATTTATTAACAATAAATATAATAACAAGTAATATAATATAATATCATAATAAATATAATAACAAGTAATAATAGCTAATATTACTTGTTAATAAAATAATCTTAATCCTAATATTAAATAATATTAAATTAAATCCTAATATTTAATAATATTAAATTAAATCCTAATATTAAATAATATTAATCCTAATAGCTAATATTTTCCCTTTATTATAATAAACTTTTCTTATGAATATTATATAACATCAATGAAAATATTTATTTTCCTTTTTTTTCCTTTGAGACAGTCTCACTCTGTCATCCAGGCTGGAGTGCAGAGGTGTGATTTTGGCTCACTGCAACCTCTCCTTCCTGGGTTCAAGCGATTCTCCTGCCTCAGCCTCCTGAGTAGCTGGGATTACAGGTATGCGCCACCACACCTGCCTAATTTTTGTATTTTTTAGTAGAGATGGGGTTTCACCATATTGGCCAGGTTGGTCTTGAACTGCTGACCTCACAATCCACCCTCCCTGGCCTCCCAAAGTGCTGGGATTACAGGCGTGAGCCACCATGTCTGGGCTATCTTCCTTTTAACAACATGTATATTTTTAAATTAAGCTAATACATTTCACATGTTAATATTATGTACATCTTGGTGAATATTTTATAAAAATTATTTTAAATCTCTTGATAGTACTTAGAAACTTATGTCATAAATTTTAATGAGATTAATTGAGCAAATCAAACTTCTAGCATTACATAGTAATCAAGATGTGATTGCCAGTGGAGTAATGTTTCATTTTTATTACTGTAATGGTATCTGAGAAAATAGATACATTTTGTTTTTTGTAATTCACTCAATTATGCCATTATGTTTCAAGCTCTTCTGATCCTATTTTGAATTTAACTTTTATTAACCTAAATTTTAGTCACATTTTGCTTTACCTAAATGTCCCAGAATATTAGTATTAGCTCTTTTCTTGTGTATAATAATTTTAATAATTTCAGATTTTTACGTCCAAATCTAGACTTTCAGTATTGAGACAAATTAATTTTGTGAAATTGGGAACTTAATTTTTCATTACATGAAGAATATAATTCTTAGATATTTTTCCTTGCTTAGGTGGCCTTAAAAGGTAAAGACTGCTGGATACACAATGCTATCAACAATGTTTTTTATAATTCCAGTAGAAATTAATTTTAAATAACAAATATATGTATGGTTTAATTTTGATAGCAGATGAAACTTACTTTATGGTTATTGAAGAGTCCGAGTGATTTCTTTGGTTGAAAATACTTTATTGACCCATATGGCAGGAAGACCACTCAGCACAGAGGACTGTTCCCAAATAGGGAAAAATGGGAGGCAGCCAGCAGACACGTGCCTTCTCATATGATGGAGTGTGGTGACTCTTCTCTGCTGCTCTGTGTTTACACAGCCAACTCTCAGGCAGGATTCTCAACTGGACCATACAATGTGAACATGGCAGAGGTAAGGTCAGTGCTCTTCCTTTTGTACTAAATAGGAAATATGACTAATTGTCTCTTAGCTTATAAAATAGAATAACACCTAAACCTTTTATCAACATAGTTGAGAAATAAGTGAGTGATGAAAAGGGCATCTCATGTATTCTTTATCTTGTAAATCATATTGAAAACTTCTACATTAATATCAGAAGTGTATATTTACACTTCAGGTTTGTGTAAAATTTGAATTTATTGAAATTAGTAAAGATAGTATGTCTTAAAAACACACAATATATTCATTGAACTCAACTCAAAGTTTCATTTTAGCACAAATTTTGATGTTTGTTGTCCCCAAGGTAATGGTGATAAAATAATTTTACACTTTTGAGAGTTATGTAAAAGAAATTCTCAGTAAATAATTTAAATTGTTGTCAGGAAATAATATGTAGTATCATAAAATAGCTTACAAAAAAGCATTGTGTTTCTTATTTTTGAAAGAGAATTGGGTTGAGAATCAAGAGATCTGAGATTGTGCTCCAATTCTTTTAATAATTAGTTGTGTAGTGTTTACCTTTTCTATACGGTATTTTACTGTGTTAGGTCATAAGAGCTAGTAGCATCTAGGCCTCTTTTAGCCTAAAATTCTGTGATACTTAGTTGCGATATAATAAGAAAAAACTTTTCTTTTAGTTACAAATTATACAGATTTGTGTTTTACATCGATTTTGCATAATGAAGCATTAACAATTATAATATATTTAAAAGGTATTAAAATATTCTCTCATGCCAAAATATCCCATGCAATAGTCATATTTCTAACCTAAGTGTTTCTTGTAGATTGTACTTGCAGCAACACACACGGCTTGCTAGATAACGAACCCTTAATAAATATTTGTTGGTTAAATAAACTTTGCAGTTGACAGATATTTATATACATTATTTGTTTTATTCATTGAGGAGAAGAATTATATTACATTGCAGTCATTCACTTACTAACACATTCTCTATAGTGACAGAATAAAGGTGCCTTGCTCTATAACACTTGTCCTCTGCCAAATGAGAAAAGAACTAGTGTGTAAAAAAACAGCAAGAAATACTTGAAAGATTATAGATGTTACCAAAACAAAAGATAGGGCTCAATATGGATTCCATATTGTTTTTC